>NC_000009.12:123845552-124470552 GCF_000001405.40 Homo sapiens | reverse complement strand
CTGCCAGCCAGGTCAGGCCTAGGACGGGCAGCAGGACCAGCACGGGCTTCACCGTGGCCCTGTAGGAGGGCAGGCAGGGCTGACGGGGGTTGGGAGGCCTGGGGAGCTCCCCGCAGGGCTCCAGGGAGAGCAGCACCTGTACGTGCCTGGAGCGGGGTGGGAGCTGAGGGCCGGGACCATGGCTCAGCAGGACTTAGAGGGAGCCAGAACCTTTGACTGGACTTTGTTGCCCCCCCTGTTCTCAGAGACAGAGGTGGCATGAAGTAGGGTAGCGGCACTTGGGAGATGGGGTCCCAGCCCCCAACCTGGCTGGAAGGAATGGGGTGGTAGTTGTCCAGAGTGGGGGCTGAGGCCTGAGCAGTGGGACCAGCAGGGATGGGGTTAGAAGGACTCCCTTCTCCCTCTCCAAGGGCCCTGGGGTTCCCTGGCTTTTCAGGGACCCCCTCCCAGCTTAGGCTGGCCTGTGCTTGGTGGAGGATGGGTGGGGAAGGGGAAAGCCAGCAAGGAGGCAGGGCTGGGAAAGGCCGGTGGGGTCCCTCTCTCTCCCAGAGTGTGACCCCAGAGGGCGATGCGGGTCTTTGGCAGGAACAGGGACCCAGGTCCTTACCCTGAACCTGAACTTCTGGAGCTAACCCTGAACTTCTGGGGCTAACCCTGATTTGAGGGTCTCCCCTACTTTGTCTCCTGCAGGCTATCAGTACCTGCCGCAGACAGTGCACTCCTTGAACAGTGGCCAGTGTCCACAGCTCCCTCAAACGGATCAGTGACCATCCCCACATGTGACACGCATGGGTGCATGTTGACACATGTTGACATGCCCAAGCATGTGTGACACAGATGCAGGGACACGTGTGTACCCACATACTCAATACAGACTTGGGCATAGCCACACGGTCACGCTCTGGACACAGACTCGCACGTGCTCTCGCCCAGTGAGCCTCACGCCTGGCGCCGGCTGACTGTGCACTTCCTGCTTCCTGCTGGCCCCCCATTCTGGGGCCTCACCATATCTGGGTCCAGATCTGCTGCTGCAGGCAGGGCTGTGGGCTCAACATGCGGGCACGGCGGCGGGCACTGGACACGGTGATCATTACCACACGGGCCAGGATGCAGGTGTTGGCCTGGAGACCTGGGGTCAGTGGGCAAGAGGACTTCCCCATCCCCAACACGCCCCTCCCCTGCAGGTCCCCAGCTCACAGTCAGCACGAAGAGCACAGGCCCCACGAAGGCCCAGATGGCATTTGTGTGCACATTGAGCCAGCAATGTCCGGGGGCCACGTAGTCATGGGGGAGCATGGCCAGGGTGACCGCCACGATGCCCACAGGCACGCCTGGGAGAGGGAGAAGGGGGCCTCAAGGCTGGGTCACCTGCTTTTTCCTCTCCAGGACCCAGGATCCGCCCCCCAAGCCGCAGCTGTCCCCTACTGGAGGTTGTACTGGGGGCACTGGGGAGGTCCAAGGAGCAGGGCTGGGGGCTCTGATGCTGTTGGGGTGGCATTGGAGCCACAGTAGTTTGGGAGTCGGGAGAGCTGAGGCTGCTTTGGAGGCTACAGCTGGGCGTCTCTGGAGACGGAGGCTGGGCAACTGGCTGGCTACAGATTTGGGGAGATAGCACTGCGGATGGAGAGGGGAGGCTGTAAAGTGGAGAAGGATTATGAGGAATGGGGATGGGTAAATTGGAGGTTAATAGAACTGAGGAAATTGAGGTCATGTCAGAGATGGGACTGGCTGGGTGGTGCTGGGTTCTGGGTGACGCTAAATGCCGGATGCTGAGTGGTGCTGGGTGCTGAGTGCTGGGTGTGGGGCCATGTTAGATGGCAGGGTCGGCCGTGCAAGGTACAGCTGAGGAGAAGAGAGTGTGGGTGCAGAGCAGGCCTCACCCCAGCCTGTGGCGTGGTAGAGCCGCATGCCTGGGCCCGGGTGCATGCTCACAGCTACCACCTTCCTCCACAGCAGCAGCCCCTCCACCAGCATCCAGGAGAATGCCACCAGAAAGAGGAAGTGCATTGCGACTGTGACAGCCACACATGCCACCTGTGGGAGGGTCAGGATCCCCACCCAGGTCCGAGGTCAGACGCAGGTGCAGGCCAGCCCCGCGGCCCATGCCCAGCCCGGCCTTGCCAACCCAAAGAAGTCTCAGTGGGTGAGGCCTCTGGGTAGCAGCCTGGGCCCCGCTCCACCATTCGGGGCCTTTCCTCCCAGGGCCCTTTCCTCCCGGGGCCCTGCTCCTCCCCGGGCCCTGCTCCTCCCCAGGGAAGTGGAGCCATGTGAAAATAGTTGGGGGCAGGGGGTCACCCTAGAAAAGCCCACAGGCACTTTCCCAGGCTTCCCCGGGCTTCCAGCCCACCCACTGGCTGCCCACCTCATTGGCCTTGGCCCACTCGCTGGTCATGAGGAAGCCCTCGGCAGAGGCCAGGGAGAAGGTGAGGTTCTTGTGGACTGTGGTTCGCTCTGACTTGGGGACCCTGGAGAGGACAGAGGAGTCAGTTAACAAGAACACCACTGCTGGTCCCCACACCCCGTAGGGCCCTGTCCTGCCCGATCCCCTGTGCCTGGGCAGATGGAGGGAAAGAGAGCAGCTCCACAGGGGACCCAGCACATCCTAAGGAGAGGCTCAGACCAAGGTTCTGCTGGGACCAAGGATGGACACCCGACCAATGGGGACATGGAGGCCTGAGCGAGGCGGGAGGGCCCAGGCCACCAGGCTACAGTGGTGAACTCTCCTCACCCGGCCACCAGGAAGAGCAAGAAGGTGGTGGTGAGGGCGCAGAAGGACACGCCACAGCCCACAAATGACAGAGTCCTCAGCAGCGACTCCTCCTCAGGGCCTCTCTGTGTGGAGGGACAGAGAAACCCCCCTGGCACCACCCAGACCCAACCCAGGCCAGAACTCGCCCCACCTGGTGACTCTAAGGCCCCCCACGCCGCATTCGCCTCCACAGTGCAGCAGCAGCCAGCAGGACCCAGGCCTGCACACAGTAGGCATTTAATAAGCAGGTGTGAGCATGTCCTTCTCTCCTGCTGGCTCTCCCTAGACTGACCCCAACTGGCCCGGATTCTACCAACTGGACAATTACTAAGAGTGCTGACAAACGTGCCCACGGGGAGGGATCCCGGGGACCATGGAGTATCATCAGAATGGGGCTGCGGATGATACTCATGATGTGGAAAAGTGTCCACGCTCTGACTTTTTTTTTTTTTTTTTTTTTTTTGTTGCTTCAAGACAGTCTGTCACCCAGGCTGGAGAGCAAGTGGCGCAATCTCAGCTCACAGCTCACTGCAACCTCCGCCTCCTGGGTTCAAGTGATTCTTGTGCCTCAGCCTCCCGAGTAGCTGGGACCACAGGCACGGGCCACCATGCCCGGCTAATGTTTGTATTTTTAGTAGAGATGGGGTTTCACCATGTTGGCCAGGATGGTCTCCAAGTCCTGACCTCAAATGATCCGCCTGCCTTGGCCTCCCAAAGTGGTCGGATTACAGGTGGGAGCCACCGTGCCTGGCCCTGACTCTACAGGAAAAATGCATTTGGTAACATGTTTTTGTAGTGTGCCCCTCAACACTACAAGGTGTTCCTTGTAGTGACCCCAGCGTTCCTGAGGCTCACGTCCCATCTCACCTGACTTCTCAGCAAGTAACCACTCCGGGGCCCTTTCCAGCTCCAGTGAATCCGACCCCTCCTGACATCCTCTTAGAGTTTTCCCCCAACAATTTTTTTTACAATTTATTATTTACTCATTTATTTTTAGACAGGTTTTTGCTCTGTCACCCAGGCTGGAGTGCAGTGGTGTGACCTTGGCTCACTGCAGCCTCGACTTCCTGGGCTCAAGCAATCCTCCTGCCTCAGCCTCCTGAATAGTTGGGACTATAGGCACGAGCCACCACACCTGGCTAATTTTTGCATTTTTGGTAGAGACGGGGTTTTGCCATGTTGCCCAGGCTGGTCTTGAACTCCTGGGCTCAAGTGATCAGCCGCCCAAAGTGCTGGGACAACAGGCATGAACTACTGCATGCAGCCCTGTCCCCGACAATCTATGAAAGCTGGCATCCCTCAGATGCTTCTTCTGGCTACCTATTGGCTCTTCTCTTCACCTCCAGCTAAGAAGCCCCCTCCTGACACCCCCCTCCCACCGTGCACTCACCTGTACTTCATAGATTTGCAGCAGGATGGCAAAGCTGGTGCTGTGGTTGCAGAAGCAGGCGGTGGAGTCCAGGTACAGGGCAGCCACGGAGCAGCCTGTGGTGGCCCAGGCACCCCCTGTATATGGGCTTGGGGGATGGGGAGGGAACAGGGGGCTCTTGAGATAAGGTGGACAAGGGGGTGAGGGGCCAGAAGCAAGCAGGGGAAAGGCTTTCCCCAGAGCCTGGGGCCTGTCACTGCCCTGCCTCTAACCAGCTAGGTGACCTTGGCGAGTCACCGCCCCTTCCTGGGTCTCAGTTTTTCACCTGTAAAATGTGCTTGACATTCTTAGGATGGTAGGAGGGCAGGGCTGATCCCAGTGACTGTCATTTATCAACTTAATTAATTACTGAGCCACTGGGACCAAGGTTCCCTACCTCAGCTAAAGATCCAGGGCAGGGAGCCAGGATAATCCCTGGAGCCTGCTCTGCTCCTTCAAGAGTCCAAGGGCCCCGGCCTCAGATAGATCAAGTTCAACGCCAATTTGACAGATGATTCTCTTCCTAGGCACCTCACAGAGTGAGTGCTTCCTCCTTCACATACTCCTATGACAAGGAGCTCACTACCCCCTGGGTAACACATCCTCCCGCTGCAGCTTGTCTTAGAGCTGGGAGGAGCCTGGAGTCACCCTGAAAGGCAGATGGTGAACAGAGGTCAAAACCATGTGTAAGTCTTGCCTCATCCCCAAGCAGAGTGGACATATTTTTAAAAAAATCATCTTAACGGCTGGGTTTGGTGGTTCACACCTGTAATCCTAGCACTTTGGGAGGCTGAGGTGGGTGGATCACCTGAGGTCAGGAGTTCGAGACCAGCCTGGCCATCATGGCAAAACCCTGTCTCTACTAAAAATACAAAAATTAGTTGGGCGTGATGGCGGGCGCCTGTAATCTCAGCTACTCGGGAGGCTGAGACAGGAGAATTGCTTGAACCCGGGAGATGGAGGTTGTATTGAGCCAAGATTGTGCTATTGAACTCCAGCCTAGGCAACAGAGCAAGACTCCATCTCAAAAAAAAAAAAAAGAACCTGGAAATGGAAACTCATCTGATACTGTAGTTCCAGAAAGCACAGACAGGCTCCACCAGCTTATGACGGAAGGTCTGGAGGCAGGAGACAGAGACAGGGCAGGTGCATGAGCGTGGATTGAGGGGCATGGGGCAGTTGTGAGTGTGGATGGGAAAGGAGAGAGACCAGGAGGATGGAGGGACGCCAAGGACTCTGCATTTTAGGGACCAGGGGATTGCCCACCATGCGTCACAGGTGAAGGGGCAGAGGGGAGGCAGAGGGAGGAGAGTGCAGGCTGTCATTCCAGCATGGTGTGGAAGGTGGAAAAACTGGGAACAAGCTAAGCAGCCATCACCGGGGAGCAGTTAAGCAACTGCGCCTCTCCTCTCCTTGGGACACTGCCTCTGGTAAGATGAACACACAGGCCTCTGGCTACTGATGTGAAAGATCTCCGTGATACTTTGTTCAGTAAAGGAAGAATTCACAACATTGGGCATGATATAAGCCCATTTATGTGAAAAATTAAGGTCTGCATACTTGTGAAAACACATACACACACACGTACACACACAGCATGTGTGGGAGCAAACATGCAGTGAACTTAACAGTAGTTAGGTCTGGGTTGAATGTGTTATGATGAATGTGTTAGTTCTTTTGTAATTAAACAATGACAAAAATATAGATTTTATAACATGTCATTAAGCAGTGAAGACATATCAGGTGGCCAGTGGTACGAGCCCCAGTCTAGGTAGGGAAGGTAGCCTGAGCTTGGGACTTGGGCCATCTGTCCTGACTGGGGAGGGTGATGGTAATGACACCTCCCTTTGTGTCTTGCCAAGCACTTTCATGTCCTTTATTGTAGCTGATCTTCATAGCAACCTAAGAGACAGCTATAAATTCATGCAATTTCAGATGAGGAAACTGAGGCTCAGAAAGGAGGGTTAACCTGCTCGAGATTACGCAGCGCCATGCTTTGCATGGCTCTGCTGAAAGAGCAAGGGCTTTCATTTTGCAAAAGGAAAGAAATATATATAGTGTTATGTGCCCAGAAAACAGCTTAAGTAAAATGCACCAAAATGTTCATAGCGGTTATCTCTGAGTAATACAATTTTGTCTTTATCCTTTTCTATATTTTCTGAATGTGTCACAATGAGTAACACATCACTTTTATTTATTTTTATTTTAATGTATTTTAAATTATTAGTATATAAATATAATCTCAAAAATTCATCCTTTAGAATATTAAACAAGGCTGGGCGTGGTGGCTCACTTTGGGAGGCTGAGGCAGGAGGATCACTTGGGCCCAGGAGTTTGAGACCAGCCTAGACAACAAAGTGAGATCCTATCTCTGAAAAATACAAAATAAAATTAGCCAGGCGTGGTGGTATGGACCTGCAGTACCACCTACTTGGGAGGGTGAGCTGGAAGGATCGCTTGATCCCAGGAGGTCGAGGCCGCAGTGAGCTGTGATGGTGCCACCGCACTCCAGCCTGGGCAACAGAGGGAGAGACTGTCTCAAAAATAAATAAATAATAAAAATAAAAATATAAGCAAAATTGTAAAGTTCTAGCTAGACTGGCCAAGAATGAAAAAGAAAACATCACTGTAGAGTCTACAGATGTGAAAAGGAAATATTATAAGCAAATCTGTGCTAGAAATTTGACAACCTGGATGAAATGGACACATTCTTTGAAAGGCGCAAATTACCAAACCATCTCAAGAAGAAATAAAACACCCAAATAACCTATATCAATCAAAGAAACAGAACACACAATTAAAAATCTTTCCACAAAGAACACACGAGGTCCAGAGGAATTCACTGGAGAAGCTGATCAAACATTCACAGAGGAGGACAGAACTCTTCTCTTCCCAACTCATTTTATGAGGCCAGCATTAATCTGACACCCAAACCAGAGGAAGAGAGTACAAGAAACTACAGAACACATTATTCATGAACATAAACATAAAAATCCTCAACAAAATACTAGCTAATTGAATCCAGCAATATATATAAAAGATAATACACCATAAACAAATTACACTGATCTCAGGAATCCAAGGTTGGTTTAACACTTGAAAATCAGTCAGTGCAATTTACTAGATTAAGGAAATAAATGAGAAACCCATATGATCATATCAACATGCAAGAAACATCTGACAAAATTCAAAAGCCATTCATGATAAAAATTCTCAGCAAACCAGGAAGAGAAGGGAACTTGATTTGATGGACATCTACAAAAAGCCCAAACATCGCATTTAGTGGTGAAAGTCTGGATGCCTTCCTTCTAAGACAAAGAATGAGACAAGGATGCCTGACCTCACCACTCCAATTCAACATTGATCCAGAGATCCTAGCTGGTGCAACAAGGGAAGAAAAAGAAAGAAACAAAAGGGAGGAAAGAAAGGAAGGAATGAAGGAAGGAAGGAGAGAGAGAGAAAGAGAGAGAGAGAAAGTCAGGAAGGAAGGAAGGAAGAAAGGAAGGAAGGAAGAAAGGAAGACATGGATTGGAAAGGAGAAACAAAAACTGCCTTTATTGGCAGACAACATGAGCAAGTGTGTAGAAAATCCTAGAGGTTCCAGAAAAGAGCTACTGCAAGTACTAAGTGAGTTTGGCAAGGTTGCAGAATATAATATCATTGTATAAATCAATTATATTACTATATACTAGCAATGAACAGTTTAAAATTAAGAAAACAATATCATTTCCGGTAATATCCAAAACTTATGTAATACTTAGGCATATATTTAACAAAATGTCTCTAAGATCTGTGCACTGAAAGGTATACATCACTGAGAAAAAAATGTAAAAACCCTAAATAAATGGAAAGCTATATCTTGATAATGAATTGAAAGATGCCAGTTCTCCCAAATTGATATACACAGTCAATGCGATGTTAATGAAAATACTAGTAGGTTTTCTATAGACATTTATGAGCTGATTCTAAAATCTATATGGAAATGCAAAGAATCTAGAATAGCCAAAGTAATTTTGAAAAAGAACAAGGCTGGGTGTGGTAGCTCGTGCCTGTAATCCCAGCACTTTGGGAGGCTAAGGCAGGTGGATTGCTTGAGTCCAGGAGTTTGAGACCAGCCTGGGCAACATGGAAAAATCCTGTCTCTACAAAAAGAGAAAAAAAAAATTAGCCAGGCATGGTAGATCGCCTGTAATCCCAGCTACTTGAGGGGCTGGGGCTGAGGTGGGAGGAGGATCGCTTGAGCCAGGGAGGTCGAACCTACAGTGAGCCGTGTTCGTACCACTGTACTCCAGCCTGGGCAACAAAATGAGACCCTGTCTCAAAAAAAGAAAAGAAAAAGAACAAAGTTAGGCCAGGCACCGTGGCTCACACCTGTAATCCCAGCACTTTGGAAGGCTGAGGCAGATGGCTCACTTGAGGTCAGGAGTTCGAGACCAGCCTGGCCAACATGGTGAAACCCCGTCTCTACTAAAAATACAAAAAATTGATGAGGCGTGATGGCATGTGCCTATAATCTCAGCTACTGTAGGCTGGGGCAGGAAAATCACTTGAACGCGGGAGGTGGAAGTTGCAGTGAGCCGAGATCGTACCACTGTACTCTAGCCTGGGTGACAGAGTGAGACTCCATCTCAAAAAAACAAAAAACAAAAAACAAATTAAAAAAAAAAAACAAAGTTGGAAGATACACTACCTGATTTCAAGGCTTACTATACAGGCACATTAATCAGGACAGTAAGAAATTAACATAGGGATAGGCATATAAATCACTAGAACAGAACACACAGCCCAGAAATAGATCTACACATATGCAGACAATTGATTTCAACAAAGGTGACAAGAAAATTCAATGGGAGCAAAGAATAATCTTTTCAACAAATAGTATTGGAACTGGTTGTCTATATGGAAAAAAATGAACTTCAACCTTTTTACCTTCATAATATATAGAACTTAAGTTGAAATACATCATACACCTACATGTAAAAGTTAAAGTGATAAACTTCTTTGAGAATATCTTTGTGACCTTGGGATTGGCAAAGCTTTCTTAGATAGTATACAAAAAGCATGAGCTATGCAAGACAAAAATTGATAAATTGGACTTCATCACAATTAAAAACTTATCTTCCAAAGATACTGTTAAGAAAACAAAAAGCAAGCCACAGACTAGCGGAAATTATTCACAAGACATATCTCTAACAAAGGACTTGTATCCAAAATATATAAAGAATTCTTACAACTCAATAATAAAATAAATAATTTAAAAATTGGGGAAAAGATTTGAAGATGCATTTAAGAAAGGAAGATATATGACTGCTTAATAAGTGTATAAAGAGATGCCCAGAGTCATTGGTTTTCAAGGAATTGCAGCTTAAATCCACAATGAGATAGCAATACATGACTATTATAATGAATGACATTAAAAACACTGACAAGGATGTTGGCAGAGGTGTGGAGCAACTGGAACTCTCCAATGCTGCTAGTGGGAATGTAAAAATGGTTCAACCACTTTGGGGAACAGTTTGACAGTCTCTTAGGAAGTTAAAATATGCTTATCCTACAACTCAGCAAGTCTACTTTCAGGAATCTACCTAGTAAAGAGAAATCATTTATCCACAAAAAGACTTGTATATGAGTGTTCATAGCAGACTTATTCATAATAGCCCAAACTGAAAACAAGTCAAATCTCTGTCAGCAGGTAAATGGAAAAACAAATCATGGTACATCCATATACCTCAGTACTACTCAGCAGTGAAAAAGGAATGAGCTATTGAAATGTGCAACAACATGAATGATTCTCACCAATGAGACCTGAGCAAAAGCCAGGCCTCAACACATACTAGATGATTCCATTTACATGAAATGCTAGAAAAGACAGACACAGGGCCAGGTGTGGTGGCTCACACCTGTAATCCCAGCACTTTGGGAGGCCGAGGCAGGCAGATCACCTGAGGTAGGGAGTTCAAGACCAGCCTGATCAACATGGAGAAACCCCATCTCTACTAAAAAAAAATATATATATATATACAAAATTAGCTGGACATGGTAGCGCATGCCTGTAGTCCCAGCTACTCAGGAGGCTGAGGCAGGAGAATGGCTTGGACCCGGGGGGCGGAGGTTGCAGTGAGCTGAGATTGTGCCACTTGCACTCCAGCCTGGGTGACAGAGTGAGACTCAGTCTCAAAAAAAAAAAAAAAAAAATCAGAGCGTGGACGCTTTTCCACATCATGAACAATCCACCCGCAGCCCCATTCTGACGATATATACAAGAGAGTGATAAGCTGTGGTTGGTGTGTGTGTGTGTGTGTGTGTGTGTCCAAGATTACTGGTTGTGAGCAAAGAAGACTTGCTTTCTCTGAAACATTCTAGTGTTTCAGAAGGGAGAAGAAATTTGTGTATTAAGCGTGAAATGAAATTTAACATATCTTGGAGATCTTTCCACGTCAGTTTATAGAGAAATACCTCAATCCCTATATAACTTTCAGTTGACTATTCCATTGCACACTTGGTCCCTATTACCTGCGGGAGATTGGTTCCAGGACCCCCAAGGATGCCAAAACCTGCTGAGGCTCAAGTTTTTTATATAAAATGGCATGGTATTTGCATATAACCTAAACACATGCTCCTGTATACTTTAAGTCATCTCTAGATTACTTGTAATACCTAATACAACTTAAATGCTATATAAATAGCTGTTATACTGTCTTGCTTAGGAAATAAAATATAAATATATAAATAGCTGTTATACTGTCTTGTTTATGACCCCCAAAATAAAAGTCTATAGATGTTCAGTACAGATGCTATTTTTTCTGAATATTTTCCACCCATGGTTGCTTGAATCCTTGGTGGCGAAACCCTCCCATATGGAGGGCTGACCATATATATCTACAAAACTTTTTTTTTTTTTTGAGACAGAGTCTTGTTCTGTCACCCAGGCTGGAGGGCAGTGGTGTGATTTCGGCTCACTACAACCTCCGCCTCCTGGGTTCAGGCGGTTCTCTTGCCTCAGCCTCCCTAGTAGCTGGGACTACAAGTGTGTACCACCATGCCTGGCTAACTTTTGTGTATTTTTAGTAGAGATGGGGTTTCACCATGTTGACCAGGCTGGTTTCGAACTCCTGACCTCAAGTGATCCGCCCGCCTCGGCCTCCCAAAGTGCTGGGATTACAGGCGTAAGCCACCGTGCCCGGACCTACAAAACATTTAAAGTAGTCCCCTACTGATGGACATTTAGGTTATTTTTATTTGTATGAAGCGCATTCATATGTGAAGGCCCCTGTACACACACTGCAGTGAGTGAATGAATGAATTCACTGCACATGCTGCAGTGAATGACTCCATGGGAACTAACAGGTTTTCAAGTTATGCAGACGTAGAATGAAATCCCAGCTCTGCCACTTACAAGCTGGGGCCAATCACGTCAGCCCTCCCAAGCTTTGGATGAAGTGCGCGGTTGGAGGATTAAACGAAGGCTGCGTATCTGTGGCACCTGCCATAAGGTGACCCTGCAGTCAATCGCTTCCCTTCCCATTCCCTTGAGGACAATGGAGGTGGCTTGCAGGTACCTTTTGTGTGCATTATTAGGCCTTGGTTGTCCATTGGATAAATACTGGGGGTTGGGGGAACTGAACCAGGACACGTGCGCCAGGATGGCTGCTTCCCAGAAGCGCCACCCAGTACCTGGGCCCGGTGCTGGAGATGAAAGGTCATGGCCACGTTGACCTCTCCAGTGACGTCCCACACTTCAGAGGAGATGATGGCTGACCCCACCTGGGTGCTTAGGAACCTGTGGGAAGAATGGGAGCTTTCAAGGGTGGCTGTGGAGGAGGGATGGTGCCTGGCTGCGGCATGTCACCCAGGCCCCTACGGTGGAGGTGGCAGCCTCTGTGTCCGAAGGGATATCAGGAATTGTGGCACCTGGTTCAGTCTTGCCTTAGGGACTTGCTGGTAACTTGGGTAAGTCCCAACACAGAAGCCAGAACCCCAGACAGGAGTTGAGCCGTGTTCACCTCTGGCAGGTGCAGAAGTGTGTGTGTGTTGGGCAGGGGTGGGAAAGGGTGGGCCCTGGGCTGCTAAGGACACATGCGCCCACCAGAACGGGGGCTTTGGCCTTCCTTGGGGAGGGGACACAGGCCCTCACAGCCCTCCAGGTGGCGCCTACTCACCTCTGCACCCTGTTTGCCTCCTCTGAGCTGGCAGGGGCCTGGGGCTCTAGGTCCGGTCCCTCTAGGGTGTGCTGGAAGACTCTGGAGGTGAACCAGCTGTGGATCACGGTGACTCCAGAGAGGCCTGGCTGAGAGGAAGGGGCACCAAGGCACCACCCGGTGGCTGGGCAAGCACCACCAGTTGGCCCCGAGGGTGATGCTCTCCCCACTCTAGAGATAGGGAAACTGAGGCTCAGAGAGGTAAACTGACTTCCCTAAGATCACACAGCTAAGAAGTGGAAGAGCCAAAATTCCAAGCAGCCACAGTCCATGTGCTGAACCTCACAACTCCAAGGCCCTTTGCCCCTTGCCCTAATCCCCCACCCCTGCATGGCATCAAGCATAGGGGATCTTCCTCCACCACCCACTCCCGAGGGAAGATGTGTGTGGTTCGGTGGAGGAGAGTAAGTGAACACCACTCTGTGGTGGGTGCTTTTAACCTCATAAGCCACAAGGCAAGTAGTAATGTGCCCATTTTACAGACGAGCAAACTGAGGATCTGAAAGATGAGTAGCACAGCTAGCGACAGTTAGAGCTGAGGTTTGACCCAGAACCCAACAGGGCTCTGGACACCCCCTCATCCTCACCCACCTTTCCTGAGGAGTCGCCTCACTTCACTCGCAGGAATGTGGATATGGCCGGGCCCCTCTGGACGCCCACCAGGCATTGTGAATAAGCAGCCCCTCGTGCTGGCCTCCCTCAAGCGTAAGCTCCGCACCTCCAGGCCTGGGGGTAAATGGGGCTGGGTGGCTGGACCTCGGAGTGAGGTCTTTCTGCTGAGCAGGCCCAGCTAGCAGGGTCTGGATCCCTCCTTCCTGCCATAGGCCTAGGAGGCCACCATTCCTGCTCAGAGAGGTTCAGCAACTTGCCCAAGGCAAATCTGACTTTTCCAATTCCAGGGGAAGGGGGTCACTGAGAAGGAGGGGCGGTCACCGCGAGGCAGGACCTGAATATTGATGAGTCACCAGAAACTGGTGGGTACCCGAAGGACACGTGTTTGTACCTGAAGCTTCACCACAGGTGCACCCCCATTCAGGCTACAAACATTCACGGAGTGTGTACTTGGGCTTGGCCCCAAGATGCTGAGATGGCTCAGAAACAGCCTTACCACTCAAGGAGTGTCCCATAGAGGGAGATAATTCCATTATGTAATTACCAGAAATGCAATGAAAGACATGTTCAAGGTTCTGGGGTAACAGAGGCGGGAGGAACTGTCTCTCAGAGGAGGAGAGAGCTAAAACAGGAAGGCTTCCTAGAGGGAGTGAGGCCCACACAGGGTTCTGAAGGATGTATAGGTGTTTGCTAGGAGATCGAGGGAGAGAGGGCATTCTGGATGCAGGGCACAGCATGGGCAAAGGCAGGAAATAGAATGGAGTGTCTGTGGAAGTTCAGACAGCTCCCAGTCACCAGGGCTGAGGAGGGAGGTCTGAGTCCAGCCGTGTGGGCAGGTGGGTGCAGGCTCACCAGCATGGCGGTGCTGGATGCGCATTCGGGGCCGCTCTGAGGTCATTGAGGTGCTCAGCAGGGGTGCCAGGCGCTGCACACTCGCCACCAGGGCCATAGGCCCACCAATCACCTGGGAGGACGCTGCATCTCAGCTCTCTGTCACACTCTGCACCCCACTGCCGCCTGCCCTGAGCGCTGGGATAAATGCTCCATGATCTGGGAGGTGGTCCTGCCCTCTCCAGACCCTCCGTGGCTCTTTAAGGACTCTAGGATCAAGTCCTGGGTCCTCAGGTTGACATTTGAAGCCCTGCCTGCCCCAGCCTCCTTCGACCTATCCAATTCTATCTCCCAAGCCACCCCATCCTCCTGTTTGCCAACCAGGGCACACTCCGAAGGCTGGGCCATGCCTACCCCTTTGCTGTGGCTCAGTGCTAGACCTGTAATGGGTGCTCAACACTGAGATTCCAAAAGGAAAGCCATGGATGGGGGTGGTGAGAGCAGGGGAGGGAGGAGAGGAACCTGCATTCATGGGGCACCTACTCTGTGCTGGGCAAGTCACACTGTTCATCCCTAACGCCTCTCCATTGCCTTAGCAAGGCTGGCGTGATCATCCCTATTCCCCAGGGAAGAAAACTGAGCTTCAGTCTGGCTTTCCTCAGTCTACTGCAGTGCCTCGGATCCCTAATCAACTATGGGCTTGCACACTTCCCAGGACGGGGAGCTCACTACCCATGGTGAATCATTCCATAGAACCAGCCTCCTGTGTTATGCCGTCTTCCCCTACCCCCATGTCCTAGTCCCAGTTCTGTCCTCTGAGGCCCACAGGGGGACCAGGTTTGCTCCTTCAACCCCAGATAATTTGCAGGCACTGTTCATGATTCTCGTTCCCTCCCTGCTCTGGGCTGATCACTCCCAGGCCGACAGCCACTTCCACCAGGACAAGGTTTCCAACAGCCTCTCCATCTGGATAGCACCTCTCATGTTGTCCAGAGTGTCTGGGCTGTTTAGGCAGACAAGGTGGACTGTCCACTTGGCATAGATCCCCCACTTAAGGTGGTCAGCAGGTTCTTGGAGATGGTGGAGGCTCTTACTGACTGGTGGTTCTTAATCACTTCATTTAACTACAGAAGCTATTGTTAAAGTGCAATTTTTTTTTTTTTTTGAGACAGAGTCTCACTCTGTCACCCAGGCTGGAGTGCAGTGGTGTGATCTCAGCTCACTGCAACCTCCGCCCCCTGGGTTTAAGTGATTCTCCTGCATCAGCCTCTTGAGTAGCTGGGATTACAGGTGCCCGCTACCAGGCCTGGCTAATTTTGTATTTTTAGTAGAGACAGGGTTTCATTATGTTGGCCAGGCTAGTCTCGAACTCCTGACCTCAAGTGATCCACCCGCCTCAACCTCCCAAAGTGCTGGGATTATGGGCGTGAGCCACCATGCCCAGCCTCAAGTGCAATTGTTTGTGGAAGTTCAACTTATCAAATAGACAAAAGAGAAGCTTTTCAGGATAGACGCAGAGATGGAGCCCATAGCTAGATGCTGACTCCCCCACAGCTACACAACCAGCTGGTGGCTAGGCTGGAACCATAGCCCAGGCCCCTGCCCCACCCAGCCCTGCCAGCCTCACTTCACGGAGGGAGAGCCATGTGTCAGCCACCTGCTCCTCCAGGACCAGGCTGGCCACAGATACAACGCCTTGGCTCAGCTGCTCCCAGGGGCCTGTCAACAACAGCTCTGGGTCCCCAGCCCCGAGGGCCACCACCCTCTTCAGGAAGCGGACAACAGCCAGCAGTGCGGCCGGCCCCAGGGGAGCCATCTCCATCGCCAGGACATGCTCCAGAAGGCCCAGGAAGCTGGAGGCCTCCGCTGGGGACAGGGCCCCATGGACTTCGGAGAGGGGGTCCGGGAGGAGCTGTGGACAGAGGAGCCACTGACTCTGGGTCTGGTTGTTATGAGGGGATCCCCCCAAGGGCCACACTTGGGCTTTGCCAGGGTCTTCTTGGTGGGCACCCATTAAACTTGTCACAAGCCGCCAACTCTCAGGGGCTACAGAATAGGGAGCCTGAATGGCCTTTATTCCTGCAGACACACCAGGTGGGTGTCCCCTTTACAAGGGAGGAAACTGAGGTGCAGCGAGGTGACCCATGGAGCCCCCAGGCTTTCCAGCCCCTGAGAGGGAGCTCACCACAATGTCGTTGGCCAAGGCATTGACTCGGCTGATAACATCCTGG
This sequence comes from Homo sapiens, assembly GCF_000001405.40. NCBI lineage: Eukaryota > Metazoa > Chordata > Mammalia > Primates > Hominidae > Homo > Homo sapiens. The sequence goes on along the minus strand of NC_000009.12, from coordinate 124,454,523 downwards.
CCAGGCCACGACTGGGCATCCTGCAGCCGACGATAGGGCTCTGCAAAGGAGTGGATGCCAGGCTAGGCCCCGGGCAATACCCCTGCCCAGAGATGCCAGCCTGTTCAGTGACCTCCACCCACCACGTGCTGCCCAGGGAAGGAAGAGCACCTTGATGGCTGTGTGTCCAGAGTCTTACACACGGTGTTCTAGATGGGGAAACTGAGGCACAGAATGGCAAAAGAGCTTGCCCAAGGTCACACAATTTCGATTCACCCTTAGGTCCGTCTGGACCCACTGCTCTGTGGCCTAGACTCCATGGAGACCTTGAAGCTCTGAGTTTATTCTGAATTCCCAGACTTTGCCAGCAGCTCACCCCCTCTCAGTCTACTCCGGTCCACACCGGCTTTCCCTTCAGCAGAGCCCAGGGGTACAGCCAGGGCGCACCTGTCCGGTAGCAGCAGAGGAAGGGCTGCGGCTCCAGGCAGAGCTCAGAGCCCTCACTGCGAGGTCCCGGGTTCCACGTAGGGCACTCCTCGGAGGGCACTGGCAGGGGCAGGGGAGCTGTCAGGGCTCCCTAGGGGACCCTGGCGAGCCAGGACGCACGGCCCCGGGGTTAGGTGGCAATGTGAAACCTGAGAGAGGGACACTGTTGCCAGCTCGGGGTGGGGGTAAGGGGGCCGGGGGACGAGCGCAGACCCCCAGGCTGCTGGGACCAGGTTTATGCTGGAGCTTGCAGGCACTGCGGCCTGGAGAGGGCGTGGCCAGAGCTAGGCGTGGCTTGGTTGGCAAGGGGTGGGTCGAGTTCCAGGGTCGGAAGGGAAGGATTCGGGGCCATGGGGTGGGGCCGGGGCGGGGCGGGTCGTACCGGGACAGAGAAGGCGCACCCACACAGTGGGCAGCAGCGAGGGCGTGACGTCCAGGGCGCCCGGGTCCCAGCGGAAGAGCAGGCCCTCTGAGGGCGGCGCGCAGGCCCGTGCCCGGTGCAGCTGAGCGGGGCTCAGCGCCCGCGCCCACAGGTGGAAGTCGGTGAGGTTGCCGCTGAGGGCGTGACGCACCGAGAAGCCACCGCCCAGAGAGTCCTGATCCTGGCCCAGCACCAGGATGCCGCCGGACGGCACCGGGTGGCCGGCGCCCAGCCCCCGCGCCCCAGCGCGCCGCCTCCCATCGGAGAACAGCGCCCAGCGCCCGCCCCGCTGCTCCCACGTGGCGCACACATGGTGCCAGCGGCCGTCGGCGCGGAAGGCTGCGAGGAAGGGCGCGTGCTGCCCACGCACCACCAGCGCAGCGCGCACGACGCCCCCCGGCTCGGCGAAGGCGCGCAGCTGCAGCGCGTTGGGCAGCGCGGGCGCGGCAACGGAGAAGAGCGCTGCGGGGTCGGGCGAGGCACAGTCCCACTGCACGTGAGTACACGCGGTCAGCGCTGCCAGCTCAGGCAGAGGGCTCCGCAGCCGCGCCGCCCGGTCAGCCGTCCTCTCGTCGAACACCAGCACGGCGGTGGTGCGCGCACCTGCAGGGACACGTGGGCTGCGACCTCAGTTTCCTCACCTGTGCACATGGTCCTGCCCCTGCCCTTTGGCTCAGCGGTGGGGTCCTTCCAGGCTTTGGGATGCCTCCCCACCTCGGGAAGGAGGAAATGGGGGCTAGAGTTCCCCTGCCCAAGAGTCAAGCCCCGACGCCCAGTCCAGGGCAAAGGAACCTGGAGATGCAATGGGGTCTTACTCCCGGCTCATTCTGCAAATATTGTCACTGTGGGCTCCTATATCTGAAGGTCACCAGAGCCTCTGCCCCTTGCTCCCATTTCCCAGGGGCCCACACTCACGCCTCTGTGGGGGTCTCCGCAGAGGGGCCTCTCTTTGGCCCACCCAGACCGGATCGCGCAGCCGTGAAGCAAGAACCCCATCAGGGGGCTGCAGTGCCAAGTGGCCAAACTGCTGCTCGCAGGACTCTTGGGCCTGCCACCAGCTCAGTCGCTGTCCAGAGAACTTGCACACCCCACCTGCAGTCTTCACCACCTCGCCGGCGGCCACGGGGGCTAAAAACGATAAGAGAGACGGTGGGGGGTGCATTTTGTGGGCATCTGACTCTTCCAGGGCTGGGCGGAGCCAAGGACACTGGGCTTGGAGTCATTCGGGCTGGATGGGGCTGAACCCGCCCATGTCTATGGCCTGCTGAGTCCTGTCCTCTTGCAGAGCTCTTTTCGTCATCTGCGCAATGGCAGGAATGAGACGGAAACCAGTGAAGCGTTCCTCGCAGGGCCTGGTATGGTGGGGGTGGAACTAAATGTTACTCTTCCCCTCCTTTGCATTCTAGGCCAGTGCACCCCTTGGATCACAGACTTGCTTAGCTGGGGGACTGGGACCCTCCCTGGGGGGATCCCTCATACCAACCTGGGGCCCAAGGGTTCCTTGATTCACCTGGGGAGTTGGAGGGGGTCCCAGAGAGACTCCTGATCTGGGAGAGAAGAAGACAGGTGGGGGCTGGGACAACCCTCCCCTCACACTTGCAGTTGTTGAATGCCTACTCTGGGGGTGGGTGGGAGGGGGGCATTCAGTGGAAGCTGCAGACTCTGCAGTCAGACCTGGATTCAAATCCCACCACTCAGAGTGTGATCTCGGGAGGGCCCTTTGCTGCCCTGAGCCTTTTCCCTGTGTGAGGAGTAAACAGGCTGATGAGTAAGAGGGGTCACCCTTAGTGAGTGCTTTTATTCCGTCTGTGCCAGGACTTATCTTGGATAACATTTGCAGTGACCTTATGAGGTAAGGATGGCCACTTGGAACCCTTGAAGCTGTGAGTCCCCTTGACTTCCTCCCAGGCACTGCCCTCCCAGAAGTGAAGGTACCAGGAGGCAGAGGAAACAGTAGCACCACGGTGCCATCCTGGATCCAACGGAGCAGGTGACAGACAGCAGGGGTCACAGGCAGGCCAACTTGGACTGAGGAAAAAAAAGTCGCAGGAAAGCAGCTGGGCATCCTGCCTTGCTTCGCCCTTGGACTTCTGCAGGGTCCGTTTGCCCTTTGTTTGACTCCCAGACCCCACTGAGCTGGGAACCAACCAGTGGGCTGGAAGCCCAGGATGGGGTGGCCCACCTAGTAGGGACGACATTTACTTGCACAAAAGATGGTCTCCAGGAGCCCCTTCAGGACCGAAGCAGGGAAACACTGTCGCCCTGGAGAGCTGGGAGAGGGGGAGGCAGCAGCAGTCGCTGGCCAGAGAGGGGCGAAACAGAGCTCAGGGTCCCTGCAGCGGGTGGGGGAAGCTCAGGTCCAGGTGGGCTTTGTGTTCCTTGAGGTTCTCCGCCAAGGTTCTGCTTCATCAGGCCTCTGCCGAGTTCTCTGGCCTCACCTGTCCACCGCTGCTCCGTGCAGCCACCTTTCCCCTGCTCCCCAAGGTGCGTCCATTTCTGAGTTTCCCTCCTCTGGACCTGTGACCATGCCATCCCTCCTGCCTGGACTGCCTCCCAGTCTCTCAGTAGTACCACCTCCAGGTTCAGCTTGTGGTTCCGGCTGGTGGGTGTGCCACAGCCAGACGCTGTGCTCAGCGGGGATACCCTAACCCTGGGTGATCTGGGGTCACTCCCGTCAACCTGGGGGGCTCTGCAGGCAGGGAAGAGCCTCCTGGGTCTCTGCTCCAGCCCTGGCTTTACACAAATGTGCCTGAGAAAACACGGTGTCCTGACACCTGGCCTCATGCCACCTGGTGACGGCATCTGAGCCATCACCAGTGATCATTCACCCCTTTTCCCTTTTCCAGACAGCACGAAAATCCAACACGCCCCTCACCGGAGGACTGGGAGGCTCCCGCGTTTTGGATTCTGAAAAGCACTCCCTCGTTCACGTCTGCCTGGATTCGCGCCCTCAAGCCCCCTGGCGCCCACTTTTCTTGCTCTCCAAACACTCGTTGAGGCCCGAGAGGGAGATGCGAAGTTTGCCCACCACTGCGCGTCCCTCCTCCGCGAGGCGCCAATGGGCCTGAGTCAGGGGCCTCCCCTTCATCCGCTGGTCCCTCCCCTGTTCCCAGCTCCAGTTCCTCACCCGCTATGGCTGGCCTGGCGCCTGTGGCCGTTCACCGTCTGCGAGGCATCTGCGGGGACTGAAGTCGGGGAGGCAGCGGCGGGCTCTGGCAGATACCAGGAGATCCCGCCCCTCGGCCCGGGAGACCCCGCCCCTCGGCCACGCCCCTTTCCGCTCCCCACCCCGCCCTCTTGGGCCCCCCACCCGGCCCAGCCAGACAGAGACCTGCCTCCAGGTGGGTGGGAGGAGACCTTCAGTCCCTCGCCCCGGGCCTGTTGTCACTACCTCCCCCAAACACATTGGTTAAAGTCACCCGATTAGAAGGGGCCACCTGTGAGACTTGGATCCAAAGCAAACTAGCGGAAGCTGAAGGGTCTTGGGGCTTCCCAGGCCTCTCGGAGGCCGGGATGGTCGTGGAGGAGGGAGCGCTCAGTGCCTGGCCTACTGCCTGCCCTGAGCCGGCTCCCTACAGGACGCTTCTCCTGTACCTTCCACCTGCTGCGAGGAAGGGCTGGGGGCAGGCGTACCCATTTTCCAGAGGAGAACTGAAGGCTCTCACCCCGGGTTAGGCCAGTGGCCGGAGGCAGAGCCGGGCCTTGAACCTGGCTTTCTGGATCTTCATCCAGGCCATTCTAAAGGTACTGCAGGGATGGCAGAGAGGGCCTGTCTGGGGGAAGGGAATAGGGGCAGAGCCAGGGCCAGGGCTGCAGAGGGAGGCTGAGGGGTTGGGGGGATGCAGAGGCAAAGATCCTCCATGCAAGTGTGGAGTAGGGACTGTGGGCATACCTTCCTGGTCTCAGTAGCAGGGATGCCTGGTTAGGAGGGAGGTTAGACTGAATGACCCCAGGGCTCAGGCTTTGGGGGCAGATAGATCCATCCAAGTTCATCCAAGTTCATGTTGACTCTGACCTAAGGCATGACACCTAATTTCTCCAAGCCAGTTTCCTCATCTGTAATGTGTGGATGATGAATAGTGCATAACTCATGGAGTTGCTGTGAGATTTAAGTGACTTTGACTTAACATGTACCAAGCCCGTAGCTAATACATGGTGCCTGGCACACAGTCCACTTAGCATTCTTGTCAAAACTCACTTAAAAGGTAGCCTGCCAGGCCGGGTGCAATGGCTCATGCCTGTAGTCATAGCACTTTGGGAGGCTGAGATGGGAGGATAGTTTGAGGCCAGGAGTTTGAGACCAACCTGGGCAACACTGGGAGACCCTGCTCTGTCTGTACAAAAATTTAAAAATTAGCTGGGTGTGGTGGTGCACACCTGGAGTCCCAGCTACTTGGGAGGCTGCAGTGTGAGGATCGCTTGAGCCTGGAAAGTTGAGAATGCAGTGAGCCATGACCATCCCACTGCATTCCAGCCTGGGTGACACAGCGAGACTCTGTCCTCCCCCCTAAAAAAAGCCTGCTGGCAACAATTTTTATTTTACTTTTATTATATATATATAGAGAGAGACAGGGTCTTGGTCTTATGATGGTTTATTTTAAGAAGGGGGGGAATCAATATATATCAAAGGAAGATATATTGGTGTTCCATGTGCTATTCTTTCAGCTTTTCTCTGGGTTTGATAATTTTCAAATTAAAAATTGGGAGACAAGAGGCCTCTGCCTGGGTCAGAGCTCGGAGCATTTCCCGGGTTCTTGGTCCAGCAAAACGTGGGCAGGACTTGGTTCTCTCCTGTTTGCGACCTGCCCACTTCCCAACCAGTCCCAGTTTCCAGAGCCAGTGAGAAGTGCAGGAAGGAGAGGCCCAAGATGAAGCCTCGCTCTGCTTGGCCCTGGCTGGGCCTTCCCACACTTGCACCATCTCACTCAAGGCAGGGATTCTTAGGAGCCCATTTTACGCATGTGTAAACTGCGCCCAGTGAGGAGAAAGGACTGGCCCAAGGTCACGAAGCAAGGAAGGGGTGGGCTGCAGGTCAGCCTCCGAATGCCAACACTACCAGTCTTCTTGTGTACCTTCTGGCCCTCCTCACCGTGCCCTTCCTGTCCTACCCCAAATCTCTCTCTGTATCTTAAGCAACGACCTTCCTATCTTTGGCGATGCCCCTGCCCTGGCGCCCACAGCCCAACTCTCTCCCTTCCAGGGGATCACAGTTTCCAGGAGTCACTCCTGAAGATGGTCAAGTACCATGGAGGGGCAGGGCATCCATGGACCCTGATTTGAGGCCCCGGAGCAGTTGGGACTGGTTTGGGCCACGGCTGGCCTAATCTCCCCTCCACAGAGCCTGGGCATTGTCCAGTTGGCAGCCAAGAGCCATCTATCCACTTTACAGCGGGCAGCTTTGACAGGCTGCTTGTTTCCAAGGACAAAGCCTGCAGGCTGTGGGTAGGCGATAGCCACTGCGGACCTCGGGCTCATTGCCTGGGTACAGGGGGTGGGGAGCCTGAGGTCTGCCAGGACCCAAGGGAGCCTCGAGGGTGGCCTGAGGACATTGGGTCCTCACTCCTGGCCCCTCAGCCAACCCCCTCATAGCCCAGGGCCAGGAATTTTGGAAGGAAGAACCAGCCACTGGGATGTTTTCACTTTTGGGTCACCCTGATCCCCCCAGAATCGAGGCTTGGCCATCAGCCAGCTTTTATGTGACCCAGGCAGCTCTCTCCACTCTGTTTCTTCTTCTACAGAATGTTGAGAATCACCTCTTTCTCTCAGGGACATAAAGCATGGCTGTGAGAGAGATTTGTGAGTGTTGGGGTCACTGTAATTACTCTCTGAGGGTGCCTGTCTTGAGCTCTGTAGACAAAGTGGGATCCCTTCCCCTCTCTCATACCCCTACAAACTTTGGGCCTCGAGTATCCAGGATGGGCCCAGAACCAGCACTGGCACAGCCTCCTCTCTGGCCTGATCCAAGCCCTCTCCCACACAGCAGTCAGGCTGATCTTCCTAAAATTTCCGTCTATTGAGCTTACATTAAAATAATAATAATAATAATAATAATAATAATAATAATAATAATAACAACATTTCTGTCTGATTTTGTCTCTCCTCTGCTCAAAATCCCTCTGTGGATCCCTAGTGCCTCCAGGAGAAAGTCCACCCTTCCTCTCACGGCTCACCCAATCTACCCCAGCCGTGGCTCCTCCCTCACTGTGCCTCTTCCCCTTACCTTCTAGCCAGAGTGAAATCCCCAGGCCTCTGCGTGCACCATTCCCTCTGCTTAGGAATAGGCAGACCTGCCCCCAGGTCTTTTCTGGTTCATTTCCACTTATCCTTCAGGTTTCTAGGATGCTTTCCCTGACCTCCACTTAAATTGGCTCAGGAGTTCCCTGATCTCCACAAATGTCAGGAACTTGTCCACCCGCCTGCCCCCAGCACCCAGGTTACACCTGACAAAGTAAGCGCTTTGGAATGCTCCAACAGACCTAGTCATACCATACCCGGACAGATGCCTTGCGTGTGTGTTTGAGGGTGGTGGTGCTGGGGACAGTGGGAAGGGACTCTGCCTCATGGACCCCCAAGGCCAGACACCTGCACTGCTGCTTGTGGCCACTGGAGGGCGAAACAACTATTTAGTGCCTACCTGCGGCAGGCCCCTCCTCAGCCTGGGAGAAAAGAGATGCCCCTCCCGCCCACCCCCACCTGTCCCCACCTGTCCCCACTTGTCACTGGGGCAGCTCCGGAAGTAAAACGTGGACGCAGCTGGTGCAGTGGCCTTGAGCTGGCAGTCAGAACCTCTGCCTACCCCCATCCCCCATTCCAGGCCCTTCTCTGCCAACAACCAGCATAGGGACCTGAATAAGTCACATCTCTGCTCTTGGTTTCAGATGATCTGTGACATGCCTGGCCTGGAGCCTGGCACACAGCAGGTGCTCAGTAAATACATATTTGGCCGGGCGCGATGACTCACGTCTGTAACCCCATCACTTTGGGAGGCCGAGGTGGATGGATCACCTGAGGTCACGTGTTTGAGACCATCCTGGCCAACATGGCGGAACCCTGTCTCTACTAAAAATACAAAAATTAGCTGGTTGTGGTGGCGCGTGCCTGTAATCCCAGCTGCTGGGGAGGCTGAGGCAGGAGAACCTGGGAGGCGGAGGTTGCAGTGAGCCAAGATCATGCCATCACACTCCAGCCTGGGTGACAGAACAAGGCTCAGTCTCAAAATGAATACATACATACATACCTATTTGTATTAGGAGGAGAAAACCAAGAACCAGAGAAGAGAAGAGAAGGGAAGGGACCTGTGGCCACATAGCAAGGCCATGGCACAGCCGAAGTCTCCTCTGCTTTCCTCATGCAGCCCCGTCCAACCCATCTCTTTCATCTCTTTTCTTAAAACTTAAAAATATTTTCAGGGGGGTGTGGTGGCTCATGCCTATAATCCCAGCAATTTGGGAGGATGAGATGGGAGGATTGCTTGAGCCCGGGAGTTTGAGGCTGCAGTGAGCCACTGTAGTCCAGCCGGGGTGACACAGCCAGACTCCATCTTTTTCTCTGTATATTTTTTCACCTCTACCTGATGTGACTGAGTAACTGCTGGGGTACATCACCTCTTTCAGGTGATGGAAATGTTCTAAAGTTGATTATGCTGATGGTTGGTTGCCCAGCTGTGAATGCAGTAAAAACATTGAGCCGTACACTTTAAATGGACAAGTTATGTGTGAATTATATCTCAATAAAGCTCTGTGCCCCACCCAAATCTCCTGTCAAACTGTGATTCATAGCGTTGGAAGTGGGGCCGGGTGGAAGGTGACTAGATCATGGGGGCGGATCCTTCATAAATGATTTAGCACAATCCCTTTGGTGCTGTTCTTGTGACGGACTTCTCATGAGATCTGGTTGTTTAAAAGTATCCAGCACTGGCTGGGTGTGGTGGCTCACGCCTGTAATCCCAGCACTTTGGGAGGCCAAAGTGGGTGGATTACCTGAGGTTAGGAGTTCAAGACCAGCCTGTCCAACATGGTGAAACTCCGTCTCTACTAAAAATACAGGTGTGGTGGCAGGCACCTGTAATCCCAGCTACTCAGGAGGCTGAGGCAGGAGAATTGCTCGAACCTGGGAGGCTGAGGTTGCAGTGAGCTGAGCTTGCGCCACTGCACTGCAACCTGGGCGACAAGAGCGAAACTTCATCTCAAAAACAAAACAAAACAAAAAAAAGTATCTAGCACTTCCCCCCTCTCTCTTTCTTGGTCCTGCCTCTGCCATGTAAAACACTTGCTTCCGATTTGCCCTCTGCCATGAGTAAAAGCTTCCTGAGGCCTCCCCAGAAGGAGAAGCTGCCATGTTTTCTGTACGGCCTGTGGAACTGTGAGCCAATTAAACCTCTTTCCTTTTTTCCTTTTCTTTTTTATTTTTTCCCCACTCTGTCACCCAGGCTGGAGTGCAGTGGTACAAACATGGCTCACTGCAGCCTCGACCTCCCAGGCTCAAGCAATCCTCCCACCTCAGCCTCCCAAGTAGCTGGGACTACAGGTGCATGCCACCACACCTGTCTAATATATATAAATATATATATTATATTATTATATATAAATATCATATATATAATATATATATAAATATATACTAATATATATATATATATATATATATATATATATTTGTAGAGATGGGGTTTTGCCATGTTGCCCAGGCTGGTCTTAAACTCCTGAGCTCAAATGATCCTTCTGCCTTGGCCTCCCAAAGTGCTAGGATTACAGGTATGAACCAATGCACCCAGCCTAAACCTTTTTTCTTTATAATCACCCAGTCTCAGGTATTTCTTTATCGCAGTGTGAGAACAAACTAATGCAAGCAATACTGTGGAAGAGAAACACTGAACTTGTTTGGGAGGCTGAGGTGGGCAGATCACCTAAGGTCATGAGTTCAAGACCAGCCTGGCCAACATGGTGAAACCCCATCTCCACTAAAAATACAAAAATTAGCCAGGTGTGGTGGTGGGCACCTGTAATCCCAGCTACTCGGGAGGCTGAGGCAGAAGAATCTCTTGAACCCGGGAGGTGAAGGTTGCAGTGAGCCGAGATCGTGCCACTGTACTCCAGCCTGGATGACAGAGCAAGACTCTGTCTCAGAAAAAAAAAAAAAAAAAAGAAAAAGAAAAAGAAAAAAAAACCCCACAAAACTTGGAGTTGGAGGCCCTGCCTCTTAGTAGCTACATGAACTTCTTGAGCTCCGGTTCTGTCATCTGTGACTTGGGATCCTATTCCCTACCCCACCTTCCTCCCAGGAAGCAATCAAATGAAAGAGTTGAGTTGTAACATGCCCAGAGTTGATACCAGTCTCAGCATGGCCATGCCTGAAAAAGTGAATCTCTTACTCCAGGTAACAAACAAATATTTCACCAAATAAAGAAGTGAACAAATACTTCACCAATACAAAAATAAAGTAAAAAAGTACGAAGTGAAACACAAATATAAAGTGAAAAATACATGGGGAAAAACCTTCTTCCTTAGTTTTCATCATAGGAATAAAAACAATAGCATTTTATTGAAACAGGCCCTGCTCATGTTTTGCTGGCCCAGGAACCTGGGAAATGATCCAGACTCTGCCCTAGGCAGAGACAGACCTCTTGTCTCCCAATTTTTAATTTGAAAATTATCAAACCCAGAGAAAAGCTGCAAGAATAGCACACAGAACACCAATATATCTTCCCCTGATTCCCCTCCTTCTTCTTAAAGTAAACCATCATAAGATGGTAACATTTTATGATACGAATTTGGTGAAAACCTTTTTAAAATCATAAAACTCTGTGCTGGCACAGTTGTGGTGAACTCAATACACTGAAGTAGAGTTACATGGAAAATAGCACAACACTCTTGGAAATCAAGAGAGTAATGTATTAAGAGCACCAACAAATGTTAAAATCCTTGACCCAGCTGGGCTCAGTAGCTCACGCCTGTAATCCCAGCACTTTGGGAGAGCAAGGTGGGCAGGTCACCTGAGGTCAGGAGTTCAAGACCAGCCTGACCAACATGGAGGAACCCCGTTTTTATTTAAAAAAAAAATAATAATACAAAATTAGCCGGGTGTGGTGGTGCATGCCTGTAATCCCAGCTACTCAGGAGGCTGAGGCAGGAGAATCGCTTGAACCTGGGAGGCGGAGGTTGCAGTGAGCCAAGATCGTGCCATTATACTCCAGCCTGGGCAACAAGAGTGAAACTCCATCTCAAAAAAAAAAAAAAAAATTCTTGACGCAAATAATTGTGCTCCATGGAAAATACATGCTGCATGAAGATATTCATCATAACATTATGTATAATATTTTAAAAATCGGAAACAACATAAATGTCCAACAAATACATCAGAACCATCCACTTGAAGAAGTACTAAGCCATTAATGAGAATTATAGAAACGACATAGTGATAAGGAAACTGCAAATGATCTAATAGTAAAAGAGAAAAGTAGAAAACAAAAATTATGTGTTGTATAATTGCAACTAAGTACAACTTGATGCAGCCTGGCAGATACTGTTGGTGACTGCCCAGCATTTGTCCTCACCGCCCTTCTTCTTTGTCCAGAAACGCTTGCTTTCTCAGCCTCCCTTGCAGTTGTGGGTAGTCATGTTACCACTGAGATGTAAACCAAAGTCTCCTGGGGGAATTTAGGGAACTATTTTGCTTTCCTGTGAAAAGGGGTTGTTGGCTGGGCACAGCGGCTCATGCCTGTAACCCTGTAGTCTCAGCACTTTGGGAGGCCAAGGCAGGAGGGTTGCTTGAGCCCAGGAGTTTGAGACCAGCCTGAGCAACATAGCAAGACCCCATCTTTACAAAAAAATAAAAAAAATTTGCAAGGTATGGTGGCACATGCCTGTAGTTCCAGTTACTTGGGAGGTTGAGGTGGGAGGATTCCTTGAGCCTAGGAGGTGGAGGCTGCAGTAAGCTGTGATGGTGCTACTGCACTCCAGCCTGGATGACACAGCAAGACTCTGTCTCAGAAAAAAAAAAAAGAAACAGAGAGAGAGAGAGAGTGTGTCATAGCTTTCACTATCCCCTTTCCCTCTTCCTTCTGCCTTGAATGCATGTGAGATGGCTGGAGCTGCAGTAGCTTTTCTGTGTCCATGAGGCAGTTAGTATGTCAAAAAGGATAGTGGAGCAGCATGATTGAAAGACCCTGAGTCTGTGACATCACTGAGCTGCTCCCCAATCTGGAGACCACCTACCAACATTTTTTTTGGTATGTGAGGAAAAGAAGCCCCCATTTATTTAATGCACTGTTGTTGTTACTTGAAGCTGACAGCATTCCTAACTGATACATGGACAAAGACTTAAAAATACAGTGAATGGTGCACAAGATTTGGAGTCAGACAAACTGGGGTTCAGATTTCTTTTCTCCCACTCTCTTATTGTGTGATTTAAGCCAAGTCACTTCCCCTGTGAGTCTCTGTTCCCTCAAGTTTATTTTTATTTTATTTTTTGAGACAGAGTCTCACTCTGTTGCCTAGGCTGGAGTGCAATCGTGCGATCTTGGTTCACTGCAACCTCCGCCTCTCAGGCTTAAGTGATTCTCCTGCCTCAGCCTCCCAAGTAGCTAGGGATTACAGGCACACGCTACTGTGCCTGGCTAATTTTCGTATCTTTACTAGAGCCAGGGTTTTGTCATGTTGGCCAGCCTGGTCTCGAACTCCTGACCTCAAGTGATCTGCCCACCTCGGCCTTCCATCAGTTCCTCAACTTTAAAATGAAGCTAATGACACTCACCTCTTGGGCTTTTCAAGAGTAGAACAACATGACAGAGTTGGAGTTCTTGGTTAACGGTAAAGGGATATTTACATTTAATTTTTCAAACTAGAAGTCTGAACTAAAATAAAAGAAGGAATTAGTTATTGTGTTAGAAGAGCGGAATTGGTCATTTTTTTCTTTCCTTTTTTTTTTTTTTTGTCTCAAATATTCTTAAGGCTGCTCTGGGTCTCTCTCTTCTGGACAGTGAGCACTTTGTGGTGTGGAAGGGTCTGGGCCTGAGGCCGGGGCTGCTGCTGGGTCCTGAGTGGAGGTGGCGGTAGGTGGAGCTCGCAGCTTGCAGCAGAGCCGGGCCAGGGCGGTGGGCTCCTCACCTGGCCCTGGCAGGCAGGCGGGCGCAGGTGGGGCTCGGTGGCAGCGGCTGTGACTCGAGGTAAAAATAATCAGGCAAGGACAGCTGCTTCCTCATCAGCAACCAAGAGGGAAATAAAGCTCATGTCCCCTCCAGCGAAAACCTGCTCTCCGGTCCCCTGGCTCCTGCCACCAACTGCTCGACGTCCTTGTGCCAATCCAATTTGAACGCCTGCGATTCACCCCAGAGAGGGCTTATTTTAACTTCATCAAGCGCAGAGAAAAACATCCAGGCTGGAGTCTGTGGGAGGGGGAGGAGCAGCTGCTTGGGGGCCTGGGCTGGGGATGGGGTCCCAGAGCTCCTACCCCTCAGTGGTGGGACTTGGGGTCCCCTCCTCCGAGTCGGGTTCAACAATCAATCAAGTCATTCCTTCAACCAAGGCTTAGTGAGCACCTACTGGGTGTTCCCTGAAATCAATGGGAGAAAGTCCCGAGGCCTTGGCCCGGCTCGTGAAGTCCTTTCCAAGTCCTCACCCCTTTCCCTGTCCCCTCAGTTCTCCAAACAGCCTCCTCTCGGGCTGCACCAGTCCTCCACGAAAGCCTAGGCATGCCGTGTTTTCTCCCGCCCATGCCTCACACCTTCCGCCTGAACTGTCTTTCCCCTGTTTCTCCACCCAGTGGAGGTCCAGAAATTCTAGAGAGTTCCTAGTTGTACCTCAAGCCTCAGCTTGGTCTCTCTGGTGGCTTCCCCAGCCCCTCCTGGCAGTGGGAGTGGTTCCCTCTGGGCTCCAGCAGGATTTTGTCCATCTATGTGTTTTAGCAAGGAAGCTGGGGGCTTCCTCCCTTCCTTGTCTACCCTTCTTTCTCTTCCAACAAGCACACTGACCTCTACTTTCTTTTTCCTTTTTTTTTTTTTTAGACAGAGTCTTGCTCTGTGCTCAGGCTGGAGTGCAGTGGCATGATCTTGGCTCACTGCAACTTCTGCCTCTCAGGTTCAAGTGATTCTCTTGCCTCAGCCTCCTGAGTAGCTGGGATTACAGGTGCCTGCCACCACGCCTGACTAATTTTTTTTTTTTAAGTAGAGACGGGGTTTCACCATGTTGGCCAGGCTGGTCTTGAACGCCTGACCTCAAGTGATCTGCCCACCTCAGCCTTCCAAAGTGCTGGGAGTACAGGCGTGAGTCACTGCACCTGGCCTCGTTTGGAAAATCTGAAAGTGTAATTGTTTCCTAGACCATGTGAAGTGCCCCGGAATCAAGGGGAGTGTTGACACATCCTAGGGCTCAGTGGCTCGCTAGGCTAGGTCCCAGGCTGGGTGTGGTTGGAGCTGTGGAGGTAGGCCTCTTGGGGAGGGTAGATGACAGGAGAGGAAGAAGAGGGAATTCCAGGTGTGTGGAGAGCTGGGAGAGAGTACAGACAGACCCAGAGGAAGAAATGAGGAAACTGGCGTGCTGGCTCAGAGAGGTGAAGCAGCTCATCCAAGGCCACACAGCTGAAGTGGCTGAGGTGGGCTTTGACCCCAGGTCTGTTTGGCCTCCTGCAAGCAGTTGACAGTGCTGGCTTGAGATGTGCTCCCTAGAGTTGACCTTGGAGCCCTCCACACCTTTGTCTTCTTGACCCCCTACATGGAGGCCTCCCGATGGACCTCCCTGGGAGAGGTGAGATGCACCTATGGGGGCACCTGACAGGATGGCCAGGGAAGCCCTCCAGTAAGACCGAGACACTGCCGAGCAGGGCAGAGCTCCCGGCCTGTGAGCCCCACAAATGGGTTCACCACATGCTGGCTGCCGTAGGCACCCATCATTTCTTATGTCCATCCCACCTGCTTCTCTTGGGGAGTTATCTTCTCCCACCATTCATGGGTTTCCACTCCAGCTGCCTCTCCTCAAAAGCAAACCAACAAGTAACATAAAATGCCCCGGGAATGCGCCTGAGCCATGTTTCGGCTGTTCCTCCAGTCACGGCCCAGCCGTGCAGTTCAGCGCTTCGCCTTGCCTGACACTTTGGTGTGAAGTGAGAAGAGCAGTGGTCCTGACCCTGGGGTTTCTGAGTTGGGAAGGTGAAGCTGGAGCTGCTGGTGGCCCCATGTCATGGGGTTAAGTTTAACTGCACACAACAGAAAGCTCCAAATAAAAGTGGCTTAAACAGGTAAAGATGTATTATTATTTTTAATGTAAAAGAAGCCTGATGGTGGCCAGTCCAGGTCTCATGTGACTCACTGAGACATTCCATCTCACCTCATGGCCCAAAATAGCTGCCAAAGCTCCAGCCATTGCACTTATGTTTTAGGCAACAGGAAGGAGGAAAGGTAGGTAAGGGCCTAAGAGTTTCTTCTTCCAGCGGTATCAGCTCCCTTCAGGCAACCTTCCCAGATGTACTACAGAATACTTGTGCTTATGTATCACTGGTTGCAAAGGAATTTGAGAAATGTCATTTATCATCTGGGCATTTTGTTGCCCCAAAGAGAACCAGGTTTCTGTCTTTGCCACAGGCTGCGTTTCCTGTTGTATCCATCTGCAATGGGAGGGAATAAATCCTGAGAGGAGGAGGAGGTGGGAGACAGAGACAGAGAGGAAAACACAGAGGCAAAGAGGGAGGCAGAAGGGGAACGAAGACTTCCCCAGTGCCTGAACCGATGGGGGCCTGAAGTCAGCCGCTGACCTCCAGGTAGCCTGAATCCACACTCCCCTCTCCGCCATTTCCCCTTTCCCCTTTCCTTTCCTTTCCGACGGAGTTTTGTCCTTGTTGTCCAGGCTGGGGTGCAATGGCACGAACTCAGCTCACTGCAACATCCGCCTTCCAGGTTCAAGCGATTCTCCTGCTTCAGCCTCCCGAGTAGGTGGGATTACAGGCGCGTGCCACCACGCCCAGCTAATTTTTTTTTTAGTTTTAGTAGAAACGGGGTTTCACCATGTTGGCCACGCTGGTCTGAAACTCCTGACCTCAGGTGATCCACCCGCCTTGGCCTCCCAAAGTGCTGGGATTACAGGCGTGAGCCACCGCGACTGGCCTCCGCTTTTTCTTACGCCAGGTTGAATTGGGTTTCCGTCGCTTGGAAGGGGAAGAATGAATGTGCTGACCTTGGGGAAGGATTTATCTCCCTCATGCCTTGATTTTTTTCTTCTGAGAAATGGGGTTCCTATTGGCTGCTGACGGAACTGTGTCAAGGATGGGATGTGTGACGTCAGGGGACCCTGCCCGGAACAGCTTGGCTGACCTGCTTCTCCTCCTGCCGCCACTTCCAGGGATTCTGCTCCATGATTGCTGAAAGTTTACACGGAACCTGCACCCTGTCAGGCCCCGGGAGCTGGCCAGGTGTAGGGAATTTTCTGGACACCTGAGTAGTGGGGTGAAAACTGAAGAAGCCGAAGATGGCGAGAAGAGTTGGGGGAGAGCTGGAGGGATTCCTGGAGCACAGGAAACAACTGGCGCCTTGTAGGGGCATGGCCCTGGGCACAAACAAAGGGGGCCAAGGCCCCTCCTTGAATGGGTCCGATGCTTGGGTGAGAGCCTGGCTGTGTCGGGGTGCTGGGCCATGGGGAATGCATTTTCAGCTTCGACACTGTCAACCCTGCCCAGTGCTTTCCTGCTCCTTCTGGAAACAGCACCTGGTTTTCTTTCTCTCTTTCTTTCTTTTTCCTTTTTCTTTTTTTTTTTTAAGAGACATGGTCTTCGTTGCCCAGGCTGGAGAGTAGGGTGCAGTCCTTGAACTCTTGTTCTCAAGCCATCCTCTCACCTCAGCCTCATTTTTTTTTTTTTTTTTGAGATGGAGTTTGCTCTGTCGTCCAGGCTGGAGTGCAGTGGGGCCATCTCGGCTCACTGCAACCTCCGACTCCCTGATTCAAGTGATTCTCCTGCCTTAGCCGCCCGAGTAGCTGGGATTACAGGCACGCGCCACCATGCCCAGCTAATTTTTGTATTTTTGGTAGAGACGGGATTTCACTATGTTGGCCAGGATGACCTAGAATGCCTGACCTCGTGATCCGCCCGCCTTGGCCTCCCAAAGTGCTGGGATTACAGGCACGAGCCATCGCGCAGGGCCTCAACTCAGCCTCTTGAGTTGCTAGGACTACAGGCATGCACCTCCATGCCTGGCTAATATATACATACACATATATATGGATATATATGGGGTCTTGCTATGTTGCCTAGACTTGGTATTGAACTCCTGGCCTTGCCCTCCCAAAGTGCTGGGATTGCAGGCATGAGCCACCATGCACAGCCAGCAACTGGTTTTCTTTGTGGAGCCTCCTCTTCCATGATCAGTTCCTGTGGTGCTGGGAGGGGCCGACCCCGCTCTATCCTCCTGGAGTGGCATATTTGTTTTGTATTTGTTTTCATGGCAGCACCTAGGTTAGTGTTTGGTTGAATAACCAACAATGGAAATCCTGCAGGATTGAAGGGGGCATCTTCAGAATTCTGACTGCCACAGGTGGGGATATAACCCAGGCTCCTCCAATAAGGGAACCGAATGCCCGGGTCAAACAGATTGACTCACTCTTTGGGAGACTGAGGTGGCCAGATCACTTGAACCCAGCCTGGACAACATGGTGAAACCCTGTCTCTACAAAAAAAAATTACAAAAATTAGCCAGTGTGGTGGGATGCACCTGTCATCCCAGCTACTCGGGAGGCTGAGGTGGGAGGATTGTTTGAGCCAAGGAGGTCGAGTCTGCAGTGAGCCAAGATTGCACCACTGCACTGTAGCCTGGGTACCAGAGTGAGACCCTGTCTCAAAAACAAAAAAAAAAAAAAAAAAAAGGAAAGAAATTTGAAGTGAATAGGATGGCTGTTGAAGATTTTAGTCGACTGATTTTGATTTTGTCTCTGTAGTAGCATCTTAAGGAATGTTTGATTTGTTGTAAGCTAAGGGTCTAGTGTGATTTAATTTTCTCATAAAAATATTTTACATTCAGAAAGCATATTTCCTCATGAATCTTCATGTGGTTCCTGTATCAGTCAGGACATGCTAGGACATGCTGCAGTAGCAATTCTAAAATCTCAGTGCCTTAAAATAGTAGTTTTGTGGCTTTGTTTTGTTCATGCTACATCCATCATGGGGAAGTTCTATTCTTGTGGCAAAAGGGCCCTAATCAAGGGACTCAGGCTGATACAGCAGAAATCATCCAGAGTGTCAGGAGTCACTGAGGCTGGGGAAAAAAAAAAAAAAAAGCTCCAGAGGAACCCACCCTGGCATTTAAATGCACCAGCCCTGAAGTGACACATATTTTGTGTGTGTGTGTGTGAGACTGGTCTGTCACCCAGGCTGGAATGCAGTGGTGCAGTCATGGCTCACTGCAGCCTCAAACTCCTGGGCTTAAGTGACCTTCCTACCTCAGTCTCCTGAGTAGCTGGGACTATAGGCAAGTGCTACCACACCTGGCTAATTTTTTTTTTGGAGACAGAGTCTCGCTCTGTCACCCAGGCTGGAGTGCAGTGGCACAGTCTCAGCTCACTGCAACCTCCACCTTCCAGGTTCAAGCAATTCTCTTGCCTCAGCCTCATGAGTAGCTGGGATTACAGGCATGTGCCACCATGCCCGGCTAATTTTTGTATTTTAGTAAAGTCAGGGTTTCACCATGTTGGCCAGGCTGGTCTCGAACTCCTGACCTCAGGTGATCTGCCCACCTTGGCCTCCCAAAGTGCTGAAATTACAGGTGTGCGCCTCCACGCCCGGCCCACCTGGCTAATTTTTTTTTTTTTTTTGAGACGGAGTCTTGCTCTGTCACCCAGGCTAGAGTGCAGTGGCGTGATCTCGGCTCACTGCAAGCTCCGCCTCCCGGGTTCATGCCATTCTCCTGCCTCAGCCTCCCGAGTAGCTGGGACTACAGGCGCCCGCCACCACGTCCAACTAATTTTTTGTATTTTTAGTAGAGACGGGGTTTCACTATGTTAGCCAGGATGGTCTCGATCTCCTGACCTCGTGATCCGCCCACCTTGGCCTCCCAAAGTGCTGGGATTACAGGCGTGAACCACCGTGCCTGGCCCACCTGGCTAATTTTTTAAACTTTTTTTTCTTATTTGTAGAGATGGAGTCTCACCGTGTTGCCCAGGCTGGTTTCAAACTCCTGGGCTCAAACCATCCTCCTGCCTTGACCTCTCAAAGTGCTGGCATTGCAGGTGTGAGCCACTGTGCCCAGCTTGTTCCCTATTCTTGAGTACCACCCAGTCTAAAGGGATCCAGGAAGTTTAACCTACCATGTCCTCTGAAGATAGGTCTAGAAATATTTGGTGAACAGACTAATGACTACTTCAATAAGAAATATTTTGGCGGCCAGGTGCAGTGGCTCATGCCTGTGATCCCAGCACTTTGGTAGGCTGAGGCGGGAGGATTGCTTGAGCTCAGGAGTTTGAGACCAGCCTGGGCAACATGCAAAACCTCATCTCTACAAAAAATAGAAAAATTAGCTGGGTGTGGTGGTGTGAGCCTGTAGTCTGGCTACTTGGGTGGCTGAGGTAGGAGGATTACTTGAGCCCCCGAGGTGAGGCTGCAGTGAGCCATGATCACACCACTGCACTCCAGCCTGGGCAAAAGAGCAAGATCCTGTCTCAAAGAAAAAAAAAAATATATATATATATATATGTATATAGTTATGTTGTTTATTTTCGTATTTTTTCAACTTGTTCCATCCCTTTATTTTTTTGCTAAACCTTTATTGTTTTGAATCTTTCACCAGCTTTTCATGTATCAATTCAATGTCAGTTTATTATTCTAGAAATGAGAAATATATCAAGAATTTAATTAATTAGAGTGATTGTTCTCTTCCAGATAGTCTTACTTCTGTTCTCCTGCTTTTTACAAGTTTATTCTTTTCAAAATAATTTTTCTGCAAAGAACTATGACAGTTTGTACAGGAAATGGTTCACTAGAAAACAAACCCTGAGAATGAGATTCTGAAATTGGATCACTCATCACTCATCAAATGGCAACAAAAGCCCATGGCAACAGGTAAGAGGGGCAGCGATCATGTCCGGCATGCTAAAGCATCACAATCGGACACATGGTGGAATGGGATGAGGAATAGGTGGACAGGAACACACTGGGTTATGCACTAGCTCTAGCACTTCAGCAATATGGCAGCATTGACAATTATACACGTTATGGGGTTGGCTGGCTCTTGTCCATTGCCTTGGACACCTTGAAGAAAGAGAATGACTGGCCTAGACCAGATAGCTCAGGGCATTCTGTGAAAGACCAGTGTTTAAAGGGAACCTAATTTCTTTCTTTCCTTCTTTCTTTCTTTCTTTCTTTCTTTCTTTCTTTCTTTCTTTCTTTCTTTCTTTCTTTCTTTCTTTCTCTCTCTCTCTCTCTCTTTCTTTTGAGATGGAGTCTCGCAGTGTTGCCTGGGCTGGAGTACAATGGCGCGATCTCGGCTCACTGCAACCTCTGCCTCCTGGGTTCAAACGATTCTCCTGCCTCCACCTCATGAGTAGCTGGGATTACAGGCGCCCACCACCACACCCAGCTAATTTTTTATAGTTTTAGTAGAGATGGGGTTTCACTATGTTGGCCAGGCTGGTCTTGAACTCCTGACCTCGTGATCTGCCTGCCTTGGCCTCCCAAAGTGCAGGGATTACAGGCCTGAGCCACTGCGCCCGGCCAAGGAACTTAATTTCTTTAGGCACTAAAAATCAGGCCCTGGATTTGATTGGAAGGACAGTACAGCTTCTGTGGAGATTGAGTGGTTAGGCTTGTGTCCTATGCTAAAGTCAGGGTCCTGATAGGGGAGGAGTGGGATCTCGAGGCCAAGGATGGAGCCGTTTGGATGGATGCACCTGAAAACCTAATCCAAAGGTTTCCCCTTGAACCTTCTGGGTCAGCAAAAGTGGTTCTTTCCCTCTTGCAAAGCACATCAGGCTTTTATAATTTTCTCCCTGGAGAGCTTGCAAAGACCTTTCTGGGGAAGAGACTTTGCAACACGCTCGTCCTTCTCAAGAGCCATAGCCACACTTTCCTCTTGGACGAGTTTCTTACGGCTGCTGTAACAAATCACCATGAACTCAGTGCCTTAAAACAACGCAAATTTCTCTCTTCCAGTTCAGTAGGTCCACAGTCCAAAACCCGTCTCTCTGGGCTAAGCCGAGGCGCTGGTGCAGCTGGCTTCTCCTGGAGGCTTGGGGCAGAGGATCTGTTCCCTTGCCTCTCTCAGCTTCTGGTGGTTGCTGGGATGCCTTGGTTTGTGCCCCTTCCTCCATCTCTCTCTCTTTTTTTTTTTTTTTTTTTGAGACAGAGTCTCACTCTGTCCCCCAGGCTGGAGTGCAGTGGTGCGATCTTGGCTCACTGCAACCTCTGCCTCCCGGGTTCAAGGGATTCTCCTCCCTCAGCCTCCCGAGTAGCTGGGACTACAGGTGTGGGCCACCTTACCTGTCTAATTTTTGTATTATTAGTAGAGATGGGGTTTTGCCATGATGGCCAGGCTGGTCTTGAACTCCTGGCCTCAAGTGATCCACCTGCCTCAGCCTCCCAAAGTGCTGGGATTACAGGTGTGAGCCACCGCGCCTGGCCTCCTTCTTCCATCCTCAAAGCCATGTCTGTCATTGCATCTCCTTCTCCTCTTCTGCAGTCAAGTTTCCCTCTGCCTCCCTCTTATAAGGACACGTGTGATGATATTTAGGAGTGACTCAGGTAAGCCAGAACAATCTCTGCATCTCAACATCTTTAACCTAATCACATTAGTAAAGTTCCTTTTGCTGTAGAAGGTAACGTTCACCAGTTCCAGGGATTAAGACCTGGGTGTCTTTGGGGGCCATTATTCCATCAATCACACCTCCCTTTATTGCCTCCAGACTAATAGCTAAAAGTAAATCGTAGCACAGCCTAAGTGAAGACATACTTTCCAGAAAGGGTAGTTTACTTTGGAGAGAATTGCAGGATCTGGCTAATACAGATCAACAGGAGTTTTAAGAACACCTAGAGGTGGATCTTGAGGTCATTGTACTGGGGTCTGTAACACAAGGTAGGAGAGGGGTGAGTTCATTGGTCTGGGTGTCCTTACCTATGACTCAGGATTTAGTGTACTGGCCCAGACACCTTGAGGAAGCCCTGATATGTTGTTGGGGTGGCTCCTGGAAGCTTGGACATGACAATGACCTACAGGAGTTGAGCTGGAGATGCTGGTGCTGCTTTAGCAGAGTATTGAAGAATAGGTCAGATGGCCCAGGGAGTCGGGCTTGTTAGAGTGGATTCACTACCTGAGACCCCAGCACTGCACTCTTTGATTTACCCCTGTCTCTGCAAAAGCCACATGGATCATGGTGGATGATGGTGAATGGCCATAAACTTAGCCAACGTGTAGTCCCAATATAGAATAGATCAACACAGCCTCAGTCACTTGGCATGGGGCTCTTGGTTTGGCAAATGCATTCTTTTGAGTTCCTATCAGTCAGAAGGATCAAAAGTAGTTTGCAGGCCGGGTGCGGTGGCTCACATCTGTAATCCCAGCACTTTGGGATGCCTAGGCGGGCAGATCACCTGAGGTCAGGAGTTTGAGACCAGCCTGGCCAACATGGTGAAACCCCATCTCTACTAAAAATACAAAAAATTAGCTGGGCGTGGTGGTGTGTGTCTGTAGCCCCAGCTACTTGGGAGGCTGGGGCAGGAGAATCACTTGAACCCAGGAGGCAGAGGTTGCAGTGAGCCAAGAATGTGCCACTGCACTCCAGCCTGGGCGACAGAGTGAGACTCCATCTAAAAAAAAAAAAAAAAAAAAGTAGTTTGCATTTATGAGAGAAGGGCAGTAAAGCACATTTATTGTCTCACTCCAGGGCTATGTCAGTTCTCCTGTTCTGTGTCGCAAAGTTCATACGGGCTTGGCATTCTGCCAAACATCCCATTCATCCACTCCATTGATGACACTATGTCCATTTGACCCCGTGGGCAGAGAGTGGATTGTTCTCTGGGGGCCCTAGTCAGACATATCTCTGTTAGAGGGTGAGAGAAAAACCCTACAGAGATTCAGGAACCTGCATATTGATAGAACTTTTTTTTTTTTTTTTTTGAGACAGAGTCTTGCTCTGGTACCCAGGCTGCAATGCAGTGGCCTGATCTTGGCTCTCTGCAACCTCTGCCTCCTGGGTTCAAGTGATTCTTGTGCCTCAGCCTCCCAAGTAGCTGGGATTACAGGCATGTACCACCATGCCCAGATAATTTTTTGTATTTTTAGTAGAGACAGGGTTTCACCATGTTGGCCAAGCTGGTCTCGAACTCCTGAGCTCAGGCAATCTGCCTGCCTCGGCCTCCCAAAGTGTTAGGATTACAGGAGTGAGCCACTGCACCTGGCCTTCATATTGATAGAATTTTTTTTTTTGAGATGGAGTCTCGCTCTGTTGCCTGGGCTGGAGTGCAGTGGTGCGATCTCGGCTCACTGCAACCTCCATCTCCCAGGTTCAAGTGATTATCCTGCCTCAGCCTCCTGAGTAGCTGGAACTACAGGCTCCTGCCACCACGCCTACCTAATTTTTGCATTTTTAGTAGAGATGAGGTTTCACCATGTTGGCCAGGCTGGTCTTGAACTCCTGACCTGAAGCAATCCACCCACCTTGGCCTCCCAAAGTGCTGGGATTACAGGTGTGAGCCACCGCACCCAGCTTGGCTAATTAAAAAAATTTATTTTTGTAGAGATGGAGTCTCACTATGTTGCCCAGGCGGGTCTCAAACTCCTGGCCTCAAGTGATCCTCCTGCCTTGGCCTCCCAAACCTCTAGGATTACAGGCATAAGCCACTGTACCCAGTCAAAATGATCAGTTTCAAGTGGGGATCAGAGCACGAGAGATCTAGTCAGTGGTGTAAGTACCTTGCTGCTTGGGCCTTACCCAATCACAAACCCAACGGTGCAAAAGAAGTATCCATGTAGACAAGGTTGTGTGTCTGCCACACCCTAACAGAAGATTCGTAGCACAGACCCCTAGGGTTAGAGGCAAGTTCATGACTTCTGATGTAGAGAAATGCTCACCCTTAGAAAATCAGCTCCTGGCATCCTTCTGGACTCTAGCAGAGACCAAGCAAGCACCTAACCAGGAGATATCAAATGACTATGAGATTTCAGCTGTCCATCATGAGCTGGTATTTTCTGATTCCCCAAGTTATAAGGTCAGGTGGACCCAGCAGCACTCCATCATATGATAAAAAGAGTACTTTGGAGTTTAGAGCCAACCAGGTCCAGAGAACATCAGTTACACAACTGTGAAGCCCGGGCCTTGATGTCACCTGTGTCTATTGCAGATGCCTCTCCCTCAGTTCACATCTGAGGCCTCAACTCTGAGCCTCCTGCCTCCCTCTTGTAAGACCCTTGTGAGGATATTATGCTCACCTGGATACTCCAGCATAACCGCCCCATTTATAGATCCTTAACTTAATCATACTTGCAAAATCCCTTTTATCATGTAAGGTAACATGTTCATAGGTTCTGGGGATCAGGACATTGACATCTTTGGGAGGGCCATTACACAGCCTGCCACATCTACCAATGAGCTGGGCATTCATTCATTCATTTATTCAATAATAAAAATTATTATTATTATTATTATTTGAGATGAAGTCTCATTCTGTCACCCAGGCTGGAGTGCAGTGGTGCTATCTCAGTTCACTGCAACCTCCCCCTTCCAGATTAAAGCTATTCTCCTGCCTCAGCCTCCCAAGTAGCTGAGATTACAGGAGCATGCCACCATGCCCAGCTAATTTTTGTATTTTCTACTAGAGACAGGGTTTCACCATGTCAGTCAGGCTGGTCTCAAACTGCTGAACTCAAATGATCCACCCACCTCGGCCTCCCAAAGTGCTGGGGTTACAGGCATGAACCACCATGCCTGGACAGTTTATTTATTTATTTGTTCATGCATTCACCTAGTGGCTCATTGATCAGCCAGGGCCTGGCTGGAGATGGTAACAGCTCCTCGCCAGGGGGAGACCAGATGCTGCTGTGCCTTGTGCCCTCCCCCAGCTCCTCCAGTGCCAGCCCCACTCCATGCAATCCTGAGGCTTGATCTCTGCCTCCCTCTGCCCGTGGGCACACGCAGGTCACTCTGGGCTCACTTCTCTCTCCGCTGGAAAATGAAACCCAGTCGGCTCTGATCCAGCAACACCCACAGAGCATCCATTATGTGCCTGGCACTTTGCGTACATCTGCTTTGTGCCAACCCAATGGGTGGGGCTTCTTATGGCCTTGATAGGCATGGAGGGCTCAGAGAGGCCAGGTGGCTCGCCCAAGGCCACATAGAATAGGAATGGCAGATAGAACCGAGTCTGGGTGACTCTGCCTCCTGCCGCTTCCCCTGTCGAGAAGCCACATTGGGCTGCAGGTATGGCAGCCTCTCTCCAGCTCTGAGTCATTTTTCCTTGGCCCCAAAAGTTAGAGTTCTAGCTCAGTTCCCTCTGAGCCAGCAAGTTCAGGGGGAGTTGGCTGGTGGCCCTTGGGAACGGAAGACATTTGGCTTCCGGTGCTGGAGGCCTCCTGGCCACCTGTCTCCCGACTGCTGTCACCTTTTAATAGATTTCTTGGGGAATAAGTAATTTGTTCCTGGAGCTGGCTCGGCGTTCGGCAGGAAGTCCCCGCAGGCCTGGAAGGTCAGCATGGAGCCACTCAAAGGCGACTGCTGGGGGAGGATACCGGGTCGGTGCTGGCCACTTAGCATGGCCGCACCGCCAATTACTGCCCGGCCTGCTTCCTGCCGCAGACGTGCCCAGGGCCAGGGCTTTGAACCTGTGCAGGGAGGCCAGCTTCCAGTAAACAACCCAGGGCAGCGGGCAGATTGACAGCGGAGATACAGGACGTCGGGTGGCCGCTGGTGCTGCTCGCTGCTCCTGCTGGCAGACGGACAGGATCACAGTCCCCCAGGGGTCCCCACAGTCAAGGGTGCAGAAGGGCTGTCAGAGTGGCCGAGCCTCACTTCTGGGTAGATAGGCTGCCAAGTCCAGTGGAGTTTTGAGGCCATAGTTTCTAGGCCATGGAAAATGATTTTTCCTGAGTAGGGGAAGGAGACTCATCTGTGTCTCCTCGTCAGCCACCAGCCTGGGAGCAGAGATTTGGAGCCAGAAGCTACAGTGGGACATCAGTACCTCTTTGCTTCTCCCCAAGAAGGCCTCAGAAATATTTTGGAGCAGTGGTGACACTGCTAGCCTTCCCACCACCATTTTATTTGGTAGTTAAAATAAAGGAGGTGTGCCCATTGTAAGATTCCTTTTGTGTGAAGTTCTAGATTTTTTTTTTTTTTTTTTTGAGGTAGGTTTCTAGCTCTGTCATCCAGGCTGGAGTGCAGTGGCGTGATCATGGCTCACTGTGACCTCTGTCTCCTGGTCTCAAGGGATCCTCCCACCTCAGCCTCTCAAGTAGTCGGGACCACAGGTAAGCGCTACGACGCCTGGCTAATTTTTGTATTCTTTTTGTAGAGATGGGGGGTTTTGCCATGTTGCCCAGGCTGGTCTTGAACCCCTGGGCTCAAGGGATCTACTCACCTCAGCCTCCCAGAGTGCTGGGATTACAGGTGTGCTGGGATTCATGTCCGGCCTAGAATTTTTTATATGGGAAAGTGGTTCCCTTTATGGAGGGTTGGGGGATTGACTGGAAGGAGCATGAGGAAACTTTCTGATGGTGGTGAAACGTTCTAAATCTTGGTCAGGGTGCTGATCACACATTTGTCGACACTCATCTAACTGTATCCTTAAAATCTGTGCATTTTACTGCATGCACGCTATATGCCAATTTCTTAAAAGTTAAGATAGAGAAGAAGAAAGGGGATCCGAAAGCCTGGAGAACCTGGGAGACACACACACACACACACACACACACACACTCACTCTCGTAGGCACACATATACCTTGGCCTCCTAAAATCTTGGCATGATTCCCTACTTTTTTTCCTTCCTCATGGAAGTTGCAAAAGAATACAGTTTTTCTTCATCTTTGTACCATAATTAATCTCTTTCCACGTGCAAGAAGTAAATAGATGAGATGTAAAACCAAGATGCCCAGGCAGGCTGGTGGCCTGTGTCTAAGCTGGCTCTGGCTCTGGCCCTGACCCTGGAGTAGGGCCATTCATTAAAGTCCTGGCTGCGGAGCTTCTGAGAGAAGGCACTACCAATGTCCACACAGCCCTGCTGCTTCCCTTGGTGCCTGCAGACTTCCTTCCAGCTTCCCAGTGGATCTGGAGTTGAGGCGTCATTTCTGTGGCTCATGTGATTCCTCCACTCAGGCCATCTCACTGGGCCAGAAAGCAAAGAACTGAAGCTGGCAGGGAGCTGCTCTGAAGGCACTCCTACCGGCCACATTTGGGAGAACTGGAGATAAAAATGATTTAAAATAAGAATTAGAGATAATAAATGGGAGAATTGGAGATAATAAATGATTTTTAAATGATTAAAATAAGACTAGATTATAACACATAGAAAAAAGAAACCTAGAATTCAAAAAAACAAGGAGGCCAAGCATGGTGGCTCACGCCTACGATCCCAAAGCACCTCCCAAATCCTCAGGAGGATCACTTGAGGCCAGGAATTTTAGACCACCTTGGGCAACATAGTGAGATCCCTGACTCTACAAAACATTAAAAAATTAGCCAGGCATGGTGGCGCATGTCTGTAGTCCCAACTACTTGGGAGGCTGAGGTGGGATAATCGCTTGAGCCCAGGAGGCAGAAGCTGCAATGAACCATGATGGTACCACTGCACTCCAGGTTGGGTGACAGACCACAGTCCTGTCTCCAAACAAACAAACAAACAACCCAGAGGGGACAGAAGGGTTCTGGCTAAGGGCAGGGATAGACACAGAGAATGGCCTCTCACAAACACATGATCATAATGGATTCAGGCAAGAATTGTTAGTGGCTGTTTAACACCACTGGGCAAAAGACCATTGGGAATGAGATATCCATACAGCCTCCAAGAATCACCCACATGTTACTTTTTAATTACAAGGGGAAAAAGTTACCTTTATAAATGGAGAAATCTGACAGGCACTACCTTTACTAATAACGATGAGACTTAACACCACAAATATCGGGGGAAGTCAACATCACGCGCCCTTCCCGTGATGCCCTGAGAAGGACGGGTGTCATCACAAGGTGCTCCTGCAAAAACGCTCACCAGAGTCTCCAGGCAAGTCCTCACTGAGGAGCATTCTTCAGAACAACTGGCCTGACCTCTTCATGAAAGACAAAAAAAAAAAAAAAGCCTGGAGGATTGTTCCAGGTTGAAGGAGGCTGAAGAGTGATGGCGACTGAATTCAGTGTGGGGTCTCTGGTTGAATGCTGGATCACAAAAGTTATGAAAGTTATTCCCGGGACAATAGGGGAAATTTGAATGTGGATTGAAATTAAATAATAGTGAATTCCTAGAATGGCACTGTGGTTGTATAGGAGAATGAACTTGTTTTTGGAGATTCACGGTTAAGTATTTAGGGGTGGAGTGTTGGGTAATTTTCTTTTTCTTTTAAAAAATATATACATATATGTGTGTATATACATACATACATATACACATATACATATATACATATATACACACATATACACATATATACGTATATACACACATATACACATATATACGTATATACACACATATACACATATATACGTATATACACACATGTATACATATATACGTATATACACACATGTATACATATATACGTATATACACATGTATACATATATACGTATATACACACACGTATACATATATACGTATATACACACATATATACATATATACGTATATACATACACGCATATGTGTGTATATACGTATATATATATGTATATATATAAAAATTTATTTTTTTGAGGCAGAGTTTCGCCCTTATTGCCCAGGCTGGAGTACAGTGGTGTGATCTCAGCTTACTGCAACCTCTGCCTCCTGGGTTCAAGTGATTCTCCTGTCTCAGCCTCCTGAGTAGCTGGGATTACAGGAGTCCGCCACCATGCCTGGCTAATTTTCTGTACTTTTAGTAGAGATGGTGTTTCACCATGTTGGCCAGGCTGGTCTCCAACTCCTGACCTCAGGTGATTCACCCGCCTCGGCCTCCCAAAGTGCTGGGATTACACGCGTGGGCCACCACGCCCAGCTGTGTTGTGTAACTTTCAAATGGTTCAGAGCGAGAGAGAGAAGAGAAAATGGTAAATCTGGGATAAAGAGTCTCTGTGTGTTTATTGAACCATCCTTGTAGCTTTCTGAAGCTCTGAAAAACTTCACAATGATAATTTGGAGGAAAAAAGTAATAAATATGTAGAGAACTTGAAAATTTGAAAAAAAAATCCTTGCTGAAATCCCACCAGCAAGGAATTACCACTATTAATAATAGGATTTTTTTAAAAAAAGAATGTATACCCCCACACATAAAACCATACACATTGTGTCCATTTTCTCATTCTTTCTTCTGTCCTTAAACATGCATTGAAGATAATTTTTCTTGGCCTCATAAATTTCATATAAACTAGTTAACTATTCTCCCATTGTTTGACATTAAAGTGATTTCTAGATTTTCATTATAATATTGCTACATATTATAACATTTAATCCATTTCAGTATCCAATATATACTTCATTATTCAATATATAATCCACTATGAATAATGCTACAATGAACCTTTTTTTTTTTTTTTTTTTAACAGATGGGGTTGCACTATGTCGCCTAGGTTGGAGTGCGGTGAACACAATCACAGCTCACTGCAGCCTCGAGTTCCTGGGCTCAAGTGATCCTCCCACCTCAACCTCTTGAGCAGCTGGGACTGCAGGTGCGTGCCACTTTGCCTGGCCAATTTTTCTATTTTTTGTACAGATGAGGTCTCACCATGTTGCCCAGGCTGATCTCAAACTCCAGGCCTCAAGTGATCCTCCCGCCTCGGCTTCCCAAAGTGCTGGGATTACAGGCATGAGCCACCACACCTGACCTCTATGATGAACGTCTTTATACACCAATCTTTGACTGAAGATAGATCCCTAGAAGGGGAATGTTGGGGTCAAATGTTCTGGACTTTTTCAAGGATCGTGAACTATTCTGGCAAAGAGCTTTCCAGAAGCTCCTATTATACCATTTTGCCTTCCCACTAGCAACCCTTAAAGGTGCTCATCTCACCAGATCATCCCTAACACTGAGTATTATCATTACAGAAAAGGTCTTTGTCAGACCTGATGGCCCCATGGACACAGTTCTGTCCTCCTCTTGCTTGCTGGAGTCTGTGGTGCTGGACTCAGGTGCTCTCCCTGCATCTCCGGGCACTCTGATCTTGGCGGCTGTGATGTCACTCCCCTCTAGTTCCCCTTCACTCCACTCTTTGCCCACTCGGTCTTTGCTTGCCTGACACATGGGACCATCCCTAGCTCTCTTCTCTCCCTTGCCCACTCTCCTGTGTTGTCTTCACATTTGGGACTTCCACAGCCTTCTCGCTGCTGTTGGAGAACTCCTGCAACTCTCTCCCCAGCCCAGACCCTTCTCTCGAGCTCCAGGGACCCACGGGGACCTCCAATGCAACGTGTCCCCAAGGCACCCACGTGGACCTTCCTGCTACCAAAGTCAGATAACCCGGAGAACAACGTCGACTCCTCCTTTTACCTCTCCTCAACATCCAAACTTCAACCATGTGCTGTCTATCTGGCCTCTGTCATATCTCCAGTGACTGTTCCCTCTCGCTGTTCTCACTGTCACCACCCTACTTCAGGCTACCTTCCTCTCCTCCCTGATCTGTGGCCGGAGCACCCCCACCGCCCCTGCTCTCCCACTTTCATTCTCTCCCTGTCCATCCGTCCTCCCACGGGCTGCCGGAGTGGTTTTCACACACTGTGATGTGTCAGCCTCTGTCCCCTGCCTCCTACTCTGGGATGCCCGGTTTCCAGCTGCCCACGCCCTCTTACTCCTCTCATCTTCTGTTCTCCAACAAGCCCAGCTGTTTCCCGCCTCCACGGATCTGCTCACACTGTCCCCTCCTTCTGGAATTGCCCACTCTCTTCTCGCTGCAACCCCAGCTAGCCAACCCCTGCTCCTCTTCTGCGTCCTGTTTACAGTCTCCTGTTTTCCTCAGAGCATTTGCTGCTGCTGTTCCTCCCCTGGGGGAGTTGACTTTTTCTCTCCTTGGAATCTCTGTAATCCACACAGTCTCTATCAGAACCTTCTGATCCTTTTACTTGCTTATTTATTTCTGTATCCATTTCTCTTGAGGGCAGAGTCTTTGTTTTCTTGTGCGTCGCATGGTACCAGACACAGGATTGGAGTTTATGTAAGGAACATCTGAAGGAGTGAATGAATGAGTGAATGAATGGAGCAGCATTTACCTAGGGCGAGGCAGGTCTGAAGCATGGAGAAGATAATGGGGCTGGATGTGTCTGGGTCCGGGAGACACATTCAGAGATGGATCCTGCAAGATTTGATGGAGAAAGCACCCGTGGTTCAGCAGCCTTCAGAATACCTTGTCCCGGGTGATGAGCCCTGTTCAAACCCCCACGTCAAGCAGGAAACCCGTTTTCTCTAGAGGTCATGTTGATTCTCTGCTCAAAAGCATTCCATGGAGGCTGGGGTGGTGGCTCACGCCTCTAATCCCAGCACTTTGGGAGGCCAAGGTGGGTGGATCGCTTGAGGTCAGGAGTTCAAGGCCAGCCTGGCCAACATGGTGAAACCCCATCTCTATAAAAATACAAAAATCAGCTGGGTGTGGTGGTGCACACCTATAATCCTGGCTACTTGGGAGGCTGAGGCAGGAGGGTTGCTTGAACCCTGGAGGCGGAGGCTGCAGTGAGCAGAGATCCCACTACTGCACTTCAGCCTGGGTGACAGAGCAAGACTCCATCTCAAAAAAAAAAAAAAAACTGATGGCTTCCCAATGTCCTTGCGATAGGCCCAGGCTTCTGAGCCAGCCTGCAAGGATTTTCTTCTTTTTGTTTTGAGACAGTGTCACTCGGTCGCCCAGACTGGAGTGCAGTGGTGAAATCTTGGCTCACTGCAACCTCCACTTCCTGGGTTCAAGTGATTCTCATGCCTGAGCCTCCCAAGTAGCTGAGATTACAGATGTGCACCACCAAGCCCGGCTAATTTTTTTGGTATTTTTCGTAGAGACAGGGTTTCACCATGTTAGCCAGGCTGGTCTTGAACTCCTGACCTCAGGTGATCTGCCCGCCTCAGCTTCCCAAAGTGCTGGGATTACAGGCATGAGCCACCACGCCTGGCCTCTACAAGGCCCTTCTTAACTGGGGCCTGGCCAGCTGGCCACATTGCCCCTGGCCCATAACCGGACTGATCTGCCTGCTATCCTGCCAGCCGGATGGCGCTACCACACCTCCGAGCCTTTATCTCTCTGTCTTGAATGCTTTTTTCTTGAATGCTTTATCTGCTCTCTCTGTCTTGAATGCTTTTTTCTTGAATGCTTTATCTGCTCTCTCTGTCTCGAATGCTTTTTTCCTTCTCTCCACTGCCATTCTCCAAGACTCTGTTACAGCTTCACTTCCTCCAAGAAGTCTGCCCAGGCCCTCCAGGCAATTGTGTCTCCCCGAATCTTCCCCTCTTTAGGGAAAGTAATTCCACTCTCTGCAGCCTGCCTTCCACAGACCCAAGTCTCAGCCTTGACTGTCCTCCCTGTGAAGCTGTGGGTCGGGCCCTGGTCCTTCTGAGTCTCAGCTCCTTTTTCTGTTCCTTCCCCCTTAAAGGATCCCACCTGCTGTTCCCTCCCTCGGAAATTATTAAGAGAATCAGGTATGCTAAAAGGAGAGGCTGGGATTAAGAACATGAGCTTTAACCAGGACAGGCTTGGGTTCAAATTCCAGTTCTCTTGCTGACCAACTGCGTGACCTTGTGTTACAACTCCTGTCTCCAAGTGGAGAGTCCCCTACCTGTAAGCTGGAAACCTCAGATGGTGTTTTGATGAATGAATTGGGTTGTGGCATGGAAGGTGATTACCGTAGCACCTGGCATAGAGAAAGGATTCAGTAAATAGATGTTAAACATGATGATTAAACCAGGTGGGGAGAGTGTTTGGTTGTTGGAACCCACTGAGGAAGTGCGGAGTATTCTCATGATTTCACTGTGACTTGAACAGCCCCTGGATACGAAGAAGGGAGGGATGCCCCCTCCTGCTCTCCAGCAGCTGGAGTTGGCAAACTCAGGGCCCAGCCGTCCCAGGCCTTGCTCACAGTGGTGGGGATTCTGGAGGTCTCAGGTGGGCCCCAAAATCTGCTCAGCACCCCAATAGAGTCTGGATGGGTGGTAGGAATCCACACTTTGAGATGCTGCCCTGTGCCGTGCTGCGCCCCTCCCATGGGAGCTGTGTTTCTGTGGCCCATGCAGCGAGGCTTGGCACCTGGGTGCTGTGCCAGGGGCCCTGGAGCCTGGAGCAGCTGCTGTAATTTATGCAAAGGAAGGCGCCCAGGTCTGCCCTGTCTATTTATAGCTTATTTATGAAGAAGGAAAAACAAGGGCCCAGTTGCCATAGCAACCAGGAGCATCATGGGCTGCTTTCCCTGCAAGAGGAAGATGGCCAAGTCTCCTTGAAGGGTGCACCCTCAGATGTGTTTACCGTGACAGAGGATGCAGGTGGGCCTTTGAGGGCCTGTCCCATGCTGGGTTCCTGGGCAGCCTGCAGGGTGGGTGGGGTGGGGGGTGCTGCTTATTGGGCTCTTGGAAAATCCAGGGTGATGCCAGGGCCACGCACAGCTGAGCTCTCGGCAGCATGAGATGCACCCTCGTCCCCTGGTCTTGATGCTAACTCTTGTCCTCTGGGTGCCCACCTGCAGCCTCAGGCAGACTTGGAAGCTCTTTCCCTGGCTGTGCTCTGGCTCGTGTCCTTTAGGGCACTTAGCACAGTGAACTGGAGGCCTAGACGCCAGACCAATGCCCCCAAGGCTGTCATCTAGCACAGGGTTGGCACCAAGCTTGGCACCAAGGAAGGGTTTAATAAATAATGAATACATGAAGTGTTGTATAGTTTACGATGCGTGTTCTTATTCGATGCGTGTGGGGCAGGATAAGCACTGCAACAGTCTGTCATTTTACAGATGAGGAAACTGAACTTCGGAGAGGTCAAGACACCAGCCTAAGGTCCTGCAGCTGGCAAGTAGCTGAGCTGGCCTGAGTCCTGGAGGAGGAAACCCCACCTGTGTGCTGGCAGAATACGAGGGAACTTGGGTTCCGGTTGGAACTCGGGTTCCAGTTGGGCCCTTATTGTCAGGGGTGGGGGAAGTGGTGCTGTGTGTGGTCTGTGGCTGGGAGGGGTGTGGTTTGACTCTCAAGTCATATCAGCGGTATGACCTTGAGCTAGTGACTTCACCTCTCCGGGCCTTGGTTGCCTCATCTATAAAGTGGGGCCATGATGCCTGGTCCCTGGGGACTGCCAGCTCCCTGAGGACAGGCTCTGTGTCTGTCTCTTGATTGTGCTTTCCTACTGCCTGGCACATTCTAGGTGTCCAGGGTGATCATGAGATCCTGCACACAGAATGGCTGGGTCCAAGCCCAGGATGTTGAGTGCTCTCAGGGACTGTTGGTTGTTACTGTGTTATTTGGGAACTGAGGCACAGAGAGCCTGATGGCTCTCCTGAGGTCACCCAGCCAAATCCACAGCAGAAGTGGTGGCTTCACTGGTGAGTTGGGGTTGGTAGCACTGCCAGGGATGAAGTGGGACTGTGTCCAGGCCCAGGGGAGGGCCAGCTGGGCTGGGCTGCAGTCCCAGGGGGCAGCAGCCATGCTGGGCAGGGAGGCCGAGTGGGGATCTCTGAGTGCTAGGGATCTAGGGTTGCCCTCCACATGCCTGGAGGTGCAGAGGCTGCCCCCATCCCTGCCCGGCTGCCCCCATCCCCGCCCGGCTGACTCCCTTGCTTTATGTCCAGGCCGCCTGGAGGCTCTTGGTCGCCCTCTGCTGGGCTCTGAGTGCCTCTGCGGGGCCACCTCCAGAGGCTGTAAGAGGAAACAATGTCCCCTCCTCAGCCCAGTCTGGGTGTGAAAAATCAAAGATACCAAAGAAACCCAGGTAGGAAGAGAAAGTTCCCTCAAGCAAATCGAGGTCACAGATCATTTCTACAACGGCTTTCCTAGCTCTCTGTGCTGTGCCCGGGGCCCTGGCTTCTCTTTTTTTTTTTTTTTGAAACAGACTCTGGCTTTGTTGCCCAGGCTGGAGTGCAGTGGTGTGATCTCAGCTCACTGCAACCTCCGCCTCCCAGGTTCAAGCAATCCTCCCACCTCAGCCTCCCAAGTAGCTGAGATTACAAGCGGGCGCCACCACACCCAGCTAACTTTTGTATTTTTAGTAGAGACGGGGTTTCACCATGCTGGCCACGCTAGTCTTGAACACCTGACCTCGAGTGATCTGCCTGCCTGGGCCTCCCAAAGTGCTGGGATTACAGGCATGAGCCACCACGCCTGGCTGGGCCCTGGCTTCCTAGCTCCCACTGAGACCCTACGGCGGGACTCAGGCACCCACCACCACCCCCCGGAGGCTGCAGGTACCACTGCAGAAGCCTCACGACTGTTTCCTAAAAACCATGTCCAGGGTTTTCGGTTTGGTTTTGTTTTTGGCACATCTCAAGCCTTCGCCCACGTGCCTGACCCTCTTGCCTTGTCGTCCCGATGGGCTCCACACCGTCTGAGCCTCTAGGCTTCCCTAGAGTGTGTGCCCCCCACTCGCATTCCCATGCTTCCCCCGCCTGGCAGTTGGCACACAGCGCTGGGAGTCTTTCTTTTCTGAGACTTCCTCTCCTCCCCTGGACTGTGAGCTCAGGAGGTGTCTGAGTTTCCTAGCTCTGTTATAACAAAGTACCACAATCTGGGTGGCTGAAACACCAGAAATTTATTGTCTCACCATTCTGGAGGGTGCAAGTCCAAAGCAAGGTGTCTGCAAAGTTGCTTCTTCTGAGAGCCGTGAGGCAGACTGTTCCAGACCTGGCGCCTAGCTTCTGGTGGTTTGATGGCAACTTTTGGCATTCCTTGGCCCATAGGATCATCACTCCAGTGTCTACCTTCATCTTCATATGGGGTTCTCCCTGTGTGCATGTCTGTCTCCAAATTGCCAATTTTTTTTTTTTTTTTTAGACAGAGTCTTTCTCTGTTGCCCAGGTTGGAGTGCAGTGGCATGATTTTGGCTCACTGCAACCTCCTCCTCCCAGGTTCGAGTGATTCCCCTGCCTCAGCCTCTTGAGTAGCTGGGATTACAGGCGCCCACCACAATGCCCAGCTAATTTTTGTATTTTTAGTAGAGACGTGGTTTCACCATGTTGGCTAGGCTGGTCTTGAACGCCTGATCTCAAGTGATCCACCTGCCTTGGCCTCCCAAAGTGTTGGGATTACAGGTGTGAGACACCATGCCCGACCCAAATTTCCAATTTTTATAAGGACGCCAGTCCTGTTGGATTAGGGCCTAGTGACCTCATTTTTAACTTGATTACCTCTGTAATATCAAATCAAATTCAATTCATTTGGAATACTTCCAAGTAAGGTCAGCTACTGAGTTACTAGGGGCTAGAACTGCAGAATATGAATTTATTTCCCTAATTTCAACGGAAAACTCAGAGGTAACGAAAGGGAATTCAACCTTTGACAAATGTTTATTAAACACACAGTTGTGATAGACACTGGTTCTAGGTGCTTCATTCATTCATTTGCACCTAGAACCATGTCTGACGCATAATGGGAGCTCAATAAATATTTGTTGAGTGAATAAATTAATTCATTCCACAGTCATTCAGGCTGTAAAAGGAGCCTTCAATTCCCTCAGTAAAATGAGTTGAATTACATAATTATCTCTTAGGTTTGTTGACAGGATGAAATGAATGTATTATTAATAATAACTATTTATAAGAAGCTTCTACATGCTAAGATAGATGGTCTTCATGTACAATGTTTAATACTCACAATAGCCTTATTAAAATGAAATTCACTGGCAAGGCATTGTGGCTCATGCCTGTAATCCCAGCACTTTGGGAGGCTGAGGTGGGCAGATCACTTGAGGTCTGGAGTTCGAGACCAGCCTGGCCAACATGGTGAAACCCTGTCTCTACTAAAAATACAAAAATTAGTCAGGCGTGGTGGCATATGCCTGTAATCCCAGCTACTTGGGAGGCTGAGGCATGAGAATCACTTGAACCCAGGAGGTGGAGGTTGCAGTGAGCTGAGATCATGCCACTGCACTCCAGCCTGGGTGATAGAGGGAGACCGAGTCTCAAAAAAATAAATAAATAAATAAAATAAAATAAAATAAAATAAAATTCACCTAACGTAGAAGTCACCATTTTAACCATTTTAAAGTGTGCAACTCAGTGGTTTTTAGTGTATTCATAATATCGTGCAACCAATACCACTATGTAATTCCAGAATATTTTCATCATTTTCCAAAAACTCTGCGCCCACTAAACAGTCCTATCCATTCTCTCCTCCTCCCCTAACCCTTAGCAACCAAACATCTACTTTCTGTCTGTGGATTTGCCTATTAAGAACACTTCACATACATGGAATGATACACTATGTGGCCTTTTGTGCCTGGCTTCTTTCCCTCAGTATATTTTTAAGGTCCATCCCTGTTGTAACATGTATCTGTGCTTCAGACTTCTTTATGGTCTAATAATATTCCATTAAATGAATTTACCATATTTTGTTTATCCATTCATCAGTGGATGGACATTTGTTTCCATTATTTGGCTATTGTGAATAATGAGACCCCCCCCTCGCTTTTTTTTTTGAGACGGAGTCTCTGCTCTGTTGCCCAGGCTGGAGTGCAGTGGCGTGATCTCAGCTCACTGCAACTTCTGCCTCCCTGGTTCGAGCTATTCTCCTGCCTCGGCCTCCTGACTAGCTGGGACTACAGGTGCCCACCACCACGTCTGGCTAAGTTTTTGTATTTTTAGTAAAGACGGAGTTTCACCGTGTTAGCCAGGATGGTCTCAATCTCCTGACCTCATGATCCGCCCACCTCGGCCTCCCAAAGTGCTGGGATTACAGGCGTGAGACACCGCGCCCAGCCAATGAGACCCCTTTTGACGCAGGGCAGGTAAGCCCCAAAGTGCGGCTGAGCCCACAAGGGTTCTTGGCTTTGCCCAAGAAAGAATTCAAGGGCAAGTTAGAGGCAGAAGAAAACGGCTTTATTGAAGTGGCGGCGTTACAGCTCCATGACTGCTCCTGCAGAGCAGGGTTACCCTCTTAGGCAGAGTGTCAGGGCAGTTTTGCTGTCATATTTATACACACTTTTAATTACATGCAGATTAAGGGGTGGTTTATGCAGGCATTTCTAGGGAAGGGGTAGTAACTTTTGGTTTATGGTGCCACTGCCATGGAAAGGGGCGGTAACTCACGAGTGTTGCCATGGCAACGGTAAACTGACTTGGCTGGCTGGTGAGCGAGTCTTAGGGAAGACAGCTTCCGTCCAGGCCCTGTTTTAGCTAGTCCTCAATTTGGTCAGGTATCTCAGCCCCATCTCTGAATGGAGGCCTGCCTTCTACCTCACCTTTGTAGAAGTTTTTGTGAATACATGTCTTCAACCCTCTCGGGTGCGTATCTAAGAGGATAATACTTTTTGGGGAACTGCCAAATTGTTTTCCGGAGCAGCCGCACCGTTTTGCATTCTCACCAGCCGTGTATTCGGGTTCCAATTTCTCCACACTCTCGCAACCCTTGCGCTTTTCTGTCTTTTTGTTTATGGCCATCCTAGCGGGTGCGAAGTGGGATCTCACTGTGGTCGTGCTTTGCATTCACCCTATGACTAATCATGTTGAGCCTCTTTTCACAGACTTAATGGCCATTCTACAGCAGCCTTTTGAGCTAGGTTGTAATCTCCATCTGATAGCGGAGGAAACAGATTCAGAGAGTTGAAGAGACTTGCTTAACGCAAGGGGGTGGTGGGGCTGTGCCTGGGACTTGGGTCTGTCTGTCTCTGAAGCACCGCAGAACCAAATTAACGGTAGAAACAAGTCCAGTCTGAGCGGCAGGAGACCTGGTCGCTGGTGCGTTCACCTTGGACAAGTCCTTTCCCGGTTCCGGGTGTCACTTTCTCCTCCGTGCCACTTGGGGCGATATACTTCAAACATCTCTGGCCTCTCTAGGAACCAGAATCTCTAAGATCAATCGTTCTAGTGCGGCGTTTGCCCCGCCCCTTCAGCCCCCGTTGCCAGCGACGCCGGAAGTGCTCGGCTCTTTTTGTTTGCACCCGCCTCCGACCCGGAACTGCTTTCTTGGGAAGATGGCGGCTGTGTCGGTGTATGCTCCACCAGTTGGAGGCTTCTCTTTTGATAACTGCCGCAGGTGCCGCCTTGCTTGGGGCTTGGTTCAGGGAGGGAGAAGAGTGCGGTGCTCGGGTGGGAGCTGGGCCAAGGTGTGATACGAGAATTCTGAGGGAAGAATTCATGGCGGGGCCTGTGGCCCGCGGCTAGTGTGACTCAGGGGAATCAGGGCCTGGGCGTGGGTTTCTCCTGAAGCCGGGTCTGCTCTCCCACCTTCCCAGCGCACTCGGCCACCGTTTATCTCCGTCTCCTAAGGCACGTCACGGCCCCTTTGTAAGACTGTCTTCGTTGGAAAACGGGAGAACAGTGCTGATGGTGGGAGGATTCATTAAACAGATGGGCGTGAAAACAAGTAGCAGCTTTCCTGAGTTCTCTGTTAGGCACTTTTCATGCCAGTGCTGTGCGATGTGGTCCTGCCCTTCAACACTTGATTCTCTCATTTGCTCTTAGGAATGCCGTCTTGGAAGCCGATTTTGCAAAGAGGGGATACAAGCTTCCAAAGGTCCGGAAAACTGGCACGACCATCGCTGGGGTGGTCTATAAGGTAAGCCGGGTTAGGCTAAGAGCAGCAGTGACTGAACCGGCAACAGGAATCAGAACACTTGGCTTCCGGTGTCTCTCCCGGCTCGGTCTGGAAAGGCAAATGCTATAGAATACATCAGGAGACCGTCTTTCAGGAGCGACTGCTTTTGTCAGGTTTTGTGTGCTTCTTAACAGTTTATGTTCTTTCCTCACTTTGCTGAGGTTTTTTCTTTCTTTCTTTTTTTTTTTTTTAAACAGGTCAGTTAGCTTCTTAATTACTAGTTTAGGAAGCTGAAGTATGTGATGGGAGATCACGAGATTTGGGGTCAGACAGGTCTGTCTCACCTTTGAACTCTATAGTGCTGATTCCAACTTCTGGCAGCTCACTTTCCTTCTCACAGGGACACCTTCAGATGCATCAAATGGAGATAACTCCTGCCTTAAATTGTTGGAAACGTCAAAAGGGATAATGATTACCTGTGCAACATGTTTTAAAGAAAAGCAACATGTTTTAAAAGGAAATTGATAGTGATGGCTAATTTAATGGAAAGATTCCTGAGTCTTAATCCAGGTTTTTTCCAGATTAGCTCTGATTTACAAGGAATTTACCCGACACCTGAGCCTCACTTGAAAATGGGAATAATTCTTACCTACTCAGGATTCAATTAGTAGCATTTACTAAGAAACCTTTTCTTAAATCCTGAAAGTGTAGCACAATATTTTTGCTATGAGTTTTGGCTGGCGTTTTGAGATTAGGGGAGCATGTGGTATGGCCAACATAGTATTCCCTAAAGTAGAATAGAGAGTTGCGGTTGGCTTATATTTGTAAAATTGTTTAAAAACTTTTTTTTTTAATAGGATGGCATAGTTCTTGGAGCAGATACAAGAGCAACTGAAGGGATGGTTGTTGCTGACAAGAACTGTTCAAAAATACACTTCATATCTCCTAATATTTAGTAAGTATTGATTCGTTTGAATAACTCTTATATTTTCAAACATGTCAGGGCTAAAAATTGACCTTCCTGTGCTCCTTACTAAAACCTGTTTTTCAACCTGTATTTTCTGTCTCCCTTAAATGGCATTTCCAGCCACCTGTTACCTAAGCCAGTAACTTCAAGTCCTCTCTTTGCTTCAGTCTCCAATTGAATTGGTGGCCAGTTTTGCCCTCTCTGTGCCTCTTGAATCCATTCCCTCCTATCCTTTCCTTTGCTAAGGCTCTAGTTTGGGTTCTTTTTTCTTTTTCTTTTTTTCAAACATTAACTTGAACCATAGAGGTTCTTTTTTCTTAGCTGGACTATTGCAGTTACCATTTAATTGGCCTCTCTTAGGCATCCTATTGTTCACTCTTCTGCCATACTGGATTTTGTAAAACATAGATCTGATGGCATCCCTTTCTTAAAAAGCTTTTCAAGAGACTTGTCACATTTCCACATGGCTTTTAGGATAAAAATCAAAATTCTGTGGCCTTGCACAGTCTCATAGAAAGCCTACCCTTCAAGCGTCTTTTTCAGTTGCCATCACCCTGTGCTCCAGTTACGTCTGAACTGTCCCTATTTCCCTCATCTCCAAGCTATTCTACCGTTGCTTATGTGAGATTCTATTTAGAAACTCTGCCTTCTCTGCTTGTAGAGTGTTTTTATTCCAGCTCATATATAACCTTTTCCTTTTTTTAAACATTTTTTTCGTTCTTTTTTTTTTTTTTTTTTTTTTGGGAGAGATGCGGTCACACTATGTTGCCCTGGCTGATCTTGATCTTCTGGCCTCAAGTGATCCTCCCGCCTGGGTCTCACATAGTGCTGGGATTACAGGCATGAGCCATCATGCCCAGCCTGAAACCTTTTCTTAATGATCAGAATCAATTACCTTCTCCTCCGGTTTCCCGTAGGATTTTGTACCTATGCTATTACTGTGTATTAAATTATGTGTTATAATTTTTGTCTTCTTGTGTATCTTACACTCAACTTTGAGCACAAGGCCTCTCATATTTTCTTTATTCCCAGTGCTTAGTGTAATTACTGGTATCTGATAGTAAATACTTGGTAGATGTTGAATTGCAAGAGTTAACACACCTGGCACTTCTGTACAACTTGGATATATTTGTAGCATTAATGGAATGCACACACTGTTATCACAGAAACCAATAATTTCATGTGTTCCATTGGGCCATAGATAATGTATTTGCATATAACTAGATGCATATTCTCAATTTTCTGTTTATTTAAGGTTGACTAAACAGAGAAGTTACAGCATAGATATACTCAAAAACATCTCTCTGTACCTGAACTTCATGGAAGTTATCCAAGAACCCATTACTTCTAATTGAGCCCTCTGGTAATTGGATTTCAGCTAAGTTTCTAATTGGATTTTTCAGTT
Source organism: Homo sapiens (assembly GCF_000001405.40). Lineage (NCBI taxonomy): Eukaryota > Metazoa > Chordata > Mammalia > Primates > Hominidae > Homo > Homo sapiens. Next base: position 124,412,490 of record NC_000009.12, on the reverse strand, counting down.
GTTGTGGTGCTGGGACAGCTGCAGACACAGACATGACAACCCAGCTCATTTCTTCCAACCTGGAGCTCCACTCCCTCTCCACTGGCCGTCTTCCCAGAGTTGTGACAGCCAATCGGATGCTGAAGCAGATGCTTTTCAGGTAAGTTTCCAGAATGGGGATTCCTACTAGTATCTTCTTCTCATATCTTAGATTTTTTTCAGCCAAGAGAAGCCTGGAAAGTAGCAAAAACACATTCAGAAATACACATTTTGTTCCGGAAATCAGTTGTTATATTAAAGAGCCATTTTAAATGGTTTTTGATGGTGCATTTGAATTTCTGGGGCCTGATTTTTTTCATGAGTAAATCACATGTCACCAGTTGAGTCATTTCCTGGAGCATAGGGATATTACTGGATAAGAGAAACTTTTTTGTTCACGGTAAGAAAGTTATAGCTGGAGGAACTATCAAGTTGTCTTGTGAAACTACTCTCTCCTCCCCATAAACACAAACCCAAATGATTGTCTCTCCTTCCCCCCACCCCCTCCCTTTAGGGGCAAAATAACAGTGAATGAAAAGTGATATTTATAATTGGCTGTCAGTGGGTATGATAATATTAATATTAACCAACCTTTATCTACCTCTTACTCTGTTCCAGGACCTATGCTAAAGCGCTTTATGCACGATTTCATCCTTTTAACTCTGAGATAGGGACTATTAGCGTCTCCTATTTGTAAGTGAAGAAATTGAGGTTTAAAGAGGTGCAGTAGCTTGCCTGACCTGACCTTCATTCTCTGCTGACTCACAGCTCATATTAGTAGTTTTGTTTCTCTTTCTCCTTTAATAATTGCGTCATTACTTTATGTTTGTATGGGTCTTGGCAGTTTTCAAAGTGTGTTTTCTCATTTGCTTCTCATAAGAGAGGCAGTGATTTTAGGAGAAGTAGCCTGGGCATTTAGTCTTGGGTTGGAATACTGGCTTCTCCTTTTGGGACTTGCCTTACCTTTAACAAATTCTTTGCCTTTTTCCTTCTGTGTAGAATGGATATCATAATACCTGCCCCTAGTGGGGTGGTTGTGAGAATTAAAGGGGAGCACGGATAGACAGTAAAGATTTTAAACTGGTGGCTCATAGGCCATCAGCTTGTAGGGAAATTTGTTTGGGTCATATGGCCTTTTTTTCTTTTTAAATAGTGGCTAACAATTGTAAATGGGGAGATTTGAATTAAAAGTCTAGATTTTGGCTTGGCACGGTGGCACACGCCTGTAATCCCAGCACTTTGGGAGGCCAAGGTTGGCGGATCACCTGAGGTAAGGAGTTCGAGACCAGCCTGGCCAACATGGTGAAACATCTCTACTAAAAGTACAAAAATAGCCGGGCATGGTGGCGCTTGCCTGTAATCCCAGCTACTTGGGAGGCTGAGACAGGAGAATCGCTTGAACCTGGAAGGTGGAGGTTGCCGTGAGCCAAGATCACGCCACTGCACTCTAGCCTGGGTGACAGAAGAAGACTCCGTCTCAAAAAAAAAGAAAAAAAAAAAGTCTAGATTTCTGTCTTTTGAAAACATTGGAAACATGTGGCCGTAATCTTCGGGAACTCATTGGTGGTTGTTGCCTTAGAAGTGGGAGTGGGTGCTCTGTCACTTTCTCTGCCTGGCTCACTTCACTGTTCCCTTCAGGGCCCTGGCCTTCCTGATAATTTGCGGGTCCTCATCTATGTGTCTAGCATGGCCTGTGGGTTTTCAGTAGTGTATATGAGGTTGTAGCAAGGCCAGTAGTATAGTTCCCATTTTACAAATGAGACCAAAGCCTAGAGTCATATGGATAGGAAGCCTTGTCTATCCAATTGCTGCTTTATGTTTGTGTACGTATCATTATTCTAATCCAGGAGAATTATTGCCAACCAAATTCTCCCAGTACAGTGAGTAGAACTTGTTAAAGCACACCTATTGATCAGATTTCTGAAAAGATTTGTGGATTTTAATTTTAAATATAAAGCTCCCTCTGGTGGCTTGCTTGGTACATTATATATAAGGCTTTTTTGAAAACTTTTTTTCTACACGATGTGTCTATGTAATAAAGGCAATTTTTAAGCTTGTAAAATTGCTGCAAATAAGATGTTTCAAGATTCTTTGTAATGTCATTTAAAACAATTAGCAAAAAAATCTAGCAAATGTTTCTGTTAATCACTTCAGAATGTTTTAAGAATCCTAACATCTCGGCTGGGCGCGGTGGCTCATGCCTGTAATCTCAGCACTTTGGGGGGCCGAGGCAGGCAGATCACAAGGTCAGGAGATTGAGACCATCCTGGCTAACATGGTGAAACCCCATCTCTACTAAAATTACAAAAAATTAGCCGGGCGTGGTGGCGGGCGCCTGTAGTCCTAGCTACAGGAGAATGGCATGAACCCGGGAGGTGGAGCTTGGCAGTGAGCCGAGATTGTGCCACTGTACTCCAGCCTGGGTGAAAGTGCGAGACTCCGTCTCAAAAAAAAAAAAAAAATTCTAAATTCTCTTTTTTCAGTGTTTTGTCATTTTTTAGTTCAAGATACTTTGTAAAAGTTAAATTTTATCAAAATTTGAGGACCATTTAAAAATATAAACCAGCATAATTATAGTCTTTTATGTCCTCTTAACATTTTTGGTGAGTTACATAAAATGAGAGTGGTATAAGGAAAGAGTTTAGGATTTGATTTTAGAACTTTGGTTCATCTCCCACCTACAGCACTGACTGTCGTATAAATTTGGGTGATTCTTTCTCAATAAAATGAGGATAATAGTTTCTGTCTATCTGACTTTTGAGGAGGACAGGAATAAAGAAGCTAGGCTCTGACCTTGCATACTACAGAGCCTACTGCGTAGTTAGAGCCCCGTAAAATTCAGTCTGAAAAAGAGTACAAGGTGTTCTTGGTACTGCTGTACTTTTTTTTTCTGAACAGCCCATTTCCTTGTATGTGAGTCAGTGAGAAAATAAGGTTTGATAAGCAGAAGTGATGTCTTTTCCCTTACTTAAGCACTGCCTTTATCTCACACCTATCCTGGCTATATGTAGTTGATGTAAGTAATGCTTGTTCTGTGAGCATGGAACCTCCTTGTTGAGTTTCATAAAAATGTTAGTGAAATGCTGTTGTGTGTTCTAGAAACTATTACTTGAATACGTAGAGACTCTTATATTGTAACTTTTTTTCTTATAAACATAATGTACATTTATTGTAGGAAATTTAGAAAATACTGAAAAGCCCAAAGAACAAAATGAAAACTTTGCCATTCAGGGAGCATCACTCTTGGTTTGGTGTATGTTATTCCAGTCTTCTGTCTCTTAAGTTCTTCCCTTCCTCTCTTCCTTTTATATTGCTAGTACATGTTCATGGTAAAAACAAAACAAAGCTGGAAGATATGAACAAAAAGAATGTAAAAAACTACCTGGATTCCTGCCACCCACGAGCAGTTAGTGCTAAGAGATTGTTACACACCCTTCAAGGTTTTAAAAATAAGTTCAGTAATATTTAGAAAATGGGATTATAGTTGTACTGACTGTAGTATAGCCTAGTCTTCTCACCTAACAGTGCATCTTGAATGGGTTCTATACTAGGGCATTTCAAAATGAAAATAACTTTTTAAAATTATAAAAATAATATAATTGTAAAAAACGTAGACACTAGAAACCTGGATAGAAGGAAGTAAATGCCACCTGATGTTCTGCCACTTAGACACATACACTGTAAATTTTTGAAGATCTGTTTTTTCATACCTTTTGTTCTAGATATATATCCTTGTATGTGTTGTTTTGTAATTTCCCTTGTTTACATAATGGTATGTTACAAATATTGTTCCTGTCAGTAGATGAGTTTTTCTCTTGAGCCCATAGAGAAGTTCTGAATACTTGTAACTCTCCTGAAATCAGAAAAAATGTTTGTGTGTACTCTTATGGGGGAAAATTTCCACAATTTTAATCAATTTTTAAGAGGGCTCTCTGACCCATAAAAGCTTAAGAACCATTAATCATTATCATAATTTTTGGTGGTGTCATAGTATCCGTTTTGTGGCTATGTTACAACTTAACCAATTTTTAAACATTAATGATATTGCCCATTTTAAGGTATTTAAGGTATTATTAGGTATTCTACGAACCTTTGGAACATAGAAGCCTTGGGTACTCATGTGATTTAATTCCTTAGCCTGTATTCTAGAATAAATGCACATTTATTTAGTTTTGCACATTTAACATTTTGAAAGATGTTGTCAAAGCTCTCCCTTGACAAACGTTGTACTACCGTCAGTAGCGCAGGAGAAAATGCAGCATGGTTGTTAAATTTTATTTTAGTTTAGATAGGGTCTCTTTCTGTTGCCCAGGCTGGAGTGCAGTGGCATGATCATGGCTCACTTAAAGGCAGTGCATGGTGGATGACTTGAGCCTTAAAATTCTAGGCTCAAGTCATCTGCTCGCCTCAGCCTCCTGAGTAGCTGGGACTAAAGGCCCACGCCACCATGTTTGTCTAATTTTTTGTTGTGTTTGTTTTTTTAAACTTTTTGTAGACGATGTCTCACTATGTTGCTTAGGCTGGTCTCAAACTCCTGGCCTCAAGTAATCCTCCTACCATGACCTCCCTAGGTTTTGGGATTACAGGTGTGAGCCACCACACTCGGCTTAGCATGATTTTTAATGATTGGGTGATGTTCTGTTGTACAGTTGGATCAGTTTAGCCATTTCTCCCTGGCTGTTTCCACTTTTTTAATCATCATAAACAATGCTGTTGTAAACATCCTTGTGCATTCATTTCTGTACATTTGTCTGTTTATATCCTTAGAATAGAGTCCTGGTAGTAGAATTTGTGGATCAATAAATTATTAAAATTTTAATGACTTCAATAATTTGCCAAAACATCTTGATTATTTTAAAGGCATCTAACAGTTGATATTTTAGCTTAGAAGGCAAGTAGCTGATTATTATTAACTTTATTTAAACACCCTGTTCAGTAGACAGTTGGCATAGTGGAATAGGCACTGGACTAGTTGGGGGTGGTGGGACTGGCGATTGTGGCTTCTCTTCCTGGAGCCCTTGGCCCTAGTCTGACCCTGCTGCTAGCTCACACGTGGGGCCTTGGACCAGTTTCTTCCCTTGTCTGGGGCTCTATTCTCTTTTTAGGCTACTGCTAAAATCTTTTCCTAGGAAGTTTTTGAAGTTTTTACTTACAAATGAAATAACAATTTGGTAATCAAGGAACAGGGCAAGTATTGGACCACTGTTCTGTTTACTTAGAGCACTTCTGGATGTGTGGCCATGTCTCAGACAGTCTAAAGTTATGACTTTGGTTCTCATGTTAATTTATTTGTATTTTAATGATTACATCGTTTGGCAAATTCAGTATGTGTCAGTTTTGTTTTCCTTCCCAAAGAGCTAAAGGCTCACAGTGGAGAACTTTAAATCCAGCATGTTTATCTAGCACAGCTAGATAAATTGAGAGCAATTTATGTTGACAAATGTAGATCTAATTCTTCTTTTGATTTTTTTTATTTTTTATTTTTTGAGACTAAGTGTCACTCTGTTGCCCAGGCTGGAGTGCAGTGATGCGACCTCGGCTCAGTGCAACCTCGGCCACCCAGGTTCAAGCGATTCTCATGCCTCAGCCTCCCACGTTAGGAGTAACATTGGCCTCCTAATGTTAAAAAGCTGTACCAAATACAGGGAAAGGAATCTATAGAAATGGAAAAAAAGGGTCCAAAGGAACAAATATGTGCACAATTAAGTGGAGATGGTGTGGGTGGAAAATATATTCCTGTGATGTTCCTGAGGAAGTGTAAGTTTATCCTATGTGTAGTAGCAGTGGTTTCTTAGGCTATCATGGAGTTATTTTAATATTCACTTTCCTGAATGATGAAATACTTTTTTTTTGATACGAGTTCATATATGTAATTATAATATGGGTTAATTCAAAGGCAGAGGTGTTTCGACATGAGCCATTTTTCTGTTTGGGCTGTGGTGAGGTTGATACTTTTTTTTTTTTTTTTTTTTTTTGAGACAACTCTTGCTCTGTCCTGGCTGGAGTGCAGTGGCGTGTACATGGCTCACTGCAACCTCTGCCTCCCAGGCTCAAGGGATCCTCTCACCTTAGCCTCCCAAGTATCTGGGACTACAGGTACATGCCACCATGCCTTGCTAATTTTTTGTATTTTTTGTAGACAGGGTCTCGCCATATTGCCCAGGCTGGTCTTGAACTCCTGGACTCAAGTGATTTGCCCACCTCAGCCTCCTAAAGTGCTGGGATTATAGGTGTGAGCCACCATGCCTGGCCTTTGTGGCCAGGTTGATAATTTGAACAGTGGAACAGCTGAGCTTAGCACCTCCTCATTGTTAACTGTGGAGGTAGCTTATGTGCTGATCACAGAGAGGTGTGATGGGAAAAGTGCTGATAATCTTTGGAGTCAGTCCAATTTGGTTCTGAGACCGGGCAAGTTCTTAATGTCTCTGGGTTGGTTTTTTCTTTTCTAAAATGGGAATGATAATGTTGTCTTTTAAAGGGGACTGTGGGCTGGGTGTGGTGGCTCACACCTGTAATCCCAGCACTTTGGGAGGCCAAGGTGGGAGGATTGCTTGAGTCCAGGAGTTTGAGACCAGCCTGGGCAATTTGGCGAGACGCCATCTCTCCAAAAAAAAATACAAAAATTAGCCAGGTGTGGTGGTGCACACCTGTAGTCCCAGCTACTTAGGAGGCTGAGGTGGGAGGATTGCTTGAGCCTGGGGAGGTTGAGGCTGCAGTGAGCCGTGATAATACCACTGTACTGCAGCCTGGGTGACAGAGTGAGACCCTGTCTCAAAAAAATAATAATAATGGGGGCTGTGAGGCTGAGCTGAAATCAGGTGTGTGGAGTGCCTCACATAATTTATAGTTTATACTGGCTGACAGTAGATGTTCATCTAATGTTCCCTTCCCTTTTTTGTTCCCATCAAAACAATAACCCCTTAATGAAACAGTCTTAAGGAAAACTTTTTGTTACCTGACTTCTCATGCAACTTTTGGCTAAGTTACAGTGATGCTTTGTGGACTCATGTTTTTTTTCTTATGCATACTCTGATCACCAGGTATCAAGGTTACATTGGTGCAGCCCTAGTTTTAGGGGGAGTAGATGTTACTGGACCTCACCTCTACAGCATCTATCCTCATGGATCAACTGATAAGTTGCCTTATGTCACCATGGGTGAGTGTAACGTTTTCCTGATGTTTAAGAGTACTCTTACTTACCACGATGGTCTCTTGAAGAGCTGGTCTGTTTTCTCTTAGAAGAGGAGGTGCAATACAATGCTTTGATTCATTCAGCAAATATATACTGAGTTCCTACTATAGATTAGGCCGTGTTCTAGGTGCTTGCTATATAGCAGTCAACACAATTCTGATAGTGATTCCTGCTCTCGAGGATTTTGTATTTTAGTGAGGGTAAATAGACAATAAACAACTGTGAGAAGTATATTTATAATACACAGGTATTCTAAATTAATACACAGGTATTATAAATATATATAAATATACACAGGTTATACAACCTGTGTATTATGAATATATTTTTATAGTCTGAAATCTGAAAAGCTCCAAAATCCTAAAGTTTTTGAGTGCTAACATGATACTCATTGTAACATTTTTATTTTTATTATTTTTTTCTTTTTTGAGATGGAGTTTTGCTCTGTTGCCCAGGCTGGAGTGCAGTGGCATGATCTCGGCTCACTGCAACCTCTGTCTCCCGGGTTCAAGTGATTCTTCTGCCTCAGCCTCCCAAGTAGCTGGAGTGATAGGCACACGCCACCATGCCCGGCTAATTTTTTGTAGTTTTAGTAGAGATGGGGTTTCACCATGTTGGCCAGGCTGGTGTCAAACTCCTGACTTCAAGTAATCTGCCCACCTCGGCCTCCCAAAATGCTTGGATGGATTATAGGCATGAGCCACTCTGCCCAGCCTCATTGGAGCATTTTTGATTCTGGATTTTTGGATTAGGGATGCTGAATTGGGTGAGTTATAATGTAGATATTCCAAAACCTGAAATCTGAAACACTTCTGGTCCCTGGCATTTTGGATAAGGGCTACTCAGCCTGTATTAGAAAGTGATACTAAGAAAAAAAGTAATACAGATGATATTGTACTATAGTTACACAAGATACTATCTTTGAGAGAAACTGAGTCAACTTCATATGGAAATGCTCTATTTTTTACATCTGCATATGAATTTGCAATGATCATAAAACAAAAAATTAAATTCACACATGATAAGGGGACTTGGGAGTTGTGGGCAGGGGCTGGGGTGGAGGCAGATGGCAGTGTTAAATAGAAAGATCAGGGCCAGGCACGGTGGCTCATGCCTGTAATCTAGTGCTTTAGGAGCCTGAGGTGGGAGGGTTGCTTGAGGCCAGGAGTTTAAGACCAGCCTAGGCAACATAGCAAGACCCGGTCTGTGCCACATATATATATAAGCTGAGTGTGGTGGTGTGTGCCTGTAGTCCCAGTTGCTTGGGAGCCTGAGGCAGAAGCATTGTATGAGCCCAGGAGTTTGAGGTTGCAATGAGCTGTGATCAAGCCATTGTACTACATCTTGGGCAACAGAGTGAGACCCTGTCTGTTTAAAAAAAAAAAAAAAAAAAATGTCAGGACAGGTCTTATGAAGAAGGTGAGATTTGAGTAGAATTCTAGAGTAGAAGCCTTACATTGAAACTTGGCAGGTACATTTTGACCTAGAGGAGTGATTGTGGTCCTTCTTTACTACTTAATCTCTGAGGGATTGGGGTATTTGATTTCTATCTGAACCTCAATTTCCTTACCTGTGAAGTGGTATTGGTAATACCTACCACACCAAGTTGTAATGGTTGGAAATAACGTATATAAAGCATGTGCTCCAATGCCTGGCCTGTAAATAGTAGTTATTTTTTTGCCCCCTCTCTTCCTCATTTGCTAACCAGCTTTTTGCATTTATGTTTTAGCTCTAGCTGCTAGATTAGGAGATTTTTTGACAGGCTCTCACTCTGCTGCACAGGCTGGAGTACAGTGGTGCAATCACAGCTCACTGCCACCTCGACTTCCCCGGGCTCAGGTGATCCACCCACCGCAGCCTCCTGAGTAGCTGTGACTACAGCCATATTCTGCCACACCCATCTAATTTTTGTATTTTTTGTAGAGATGGGATTTTGCCATGTTGCCCAGGTTGGTCTCGAACTCCTGGGCTCAGGTGATCTGCCTGCTCCAGCCTCCCAAAGTGCTGGGATTACAGGTGGCTGATAATTTTTTTTTTTTTAATGACTGCAAAAAATAGTGATAAAATTATATTTAGAAGAATTGGGATTTTCAAGTTCTAACATTTACATTATTGCTTCTGGGTCAAATTGCATAGGTCCAGAAATTCGAACAGGTTGTGTGTATCGTGTAGCTGGTGTTTTTCCAGCTGTCATTTACCTCTTAATATTTTCTGTCTTGGTGTCTTGGCTCCACATCTAGGAAAACTGCTGCCTTGAGTAGTTTGGAAATTGCCAGTTTGAGACTTTGCTATGCCATTGTGTTGTTATCTAGCCTCTTACAAGGTTTTTATATAACAGATGTTCACTGTTTGTTGGGGAGAATGATTTATCCCCAGATACCATACGGATGAATCTTTGCAGTTATTCTAAAATGAAGATACTTATGGTAATTTTAGAATTGTTCTGAATTGCTTTATTCAAAGGTATTAGGTATCTCCATCAAAGTATTGCTTTTATTTCTCCCCATCTGATACCTTTAAATGGTGGTAAAGGTGGAATAACCTTTTCTATTAAGTAGTTTTTATTTTTTCTTTTTTTTACTTAAATTTCAGACTTGCAGAAAAGTAACAGTAACGTTCAACAAACACTGATCTGTCCTTTACTCAGATGTGTCAGTTGTTAGCATTTTGACACATGTGTTCTGCCTCTCACACACACATTGTTATTCCTATCATTGTTTCGTGTGCGTGGGGAACCATTTGAGGGTAAATAGCAGGCACCACAGCCTTTCACCTCTGAATCCTTCAAGATGTTCTCTTCTGTCACCTTGATAAAGTCATCAAATTTAAGAAGTTTGACATTGATACAAAGCAGCTTCATTTGTAAAATGGGAAAATTGGTTTCTCTTGCCAGTGAACTGTGGTAATTTGTGTCATGAGCATAAAGCTGAATTAGGAAAAGTTGTTGAAAGTGAGTAGGTAAACAGCTTTGTGTCTGCCCATTTTACTTCTGCCGCCCAACTTTGTGCTTTTTCCTGGCCAAGAGTGACCTCCTGTCTGTCCAAGTCTCATTTGAGTTCCGGGTGATGGGTCCACAGCTCTTGAGTTTATAGAATAATTCTATTTAGAAACCACTGACTCCACACAGACTGGTTTTGCTGCCCTAAAATGCCAGATTAAGGAGAATGAGACATCAGTAACATCTGATTTTAATACCCAAGTAAATTGTTACTTTGAGGTCTTGTTTGTTCCTCCACTCATTTATCAGCTTTTTTTTTTTTTTGAGACTGAGTCTCGCACTGTCACCCGGTCTGGTGTGCAGTGGCATGATCTCTGCTCGCTGCAACCCCTGCTTCCCGGGTTCAAGTGATTCTCCTGCCTCAGCCTCCCGAGTAGCTGGGACTATAGGCATGCACCACCATGCTCAGCTAATTTTTGTATTTTTAGTAGAGAGGGGATTTCACTGTGTTGGCCAGGCTGATACGGAACTCCTGACCTCGTGATCTGCCGGCCTCTGCCTCCCAAAGTGCTAGGATTACAGGTGTGAGCCACTGCACCCGGCCTCATCAGCTCTTTAGTGAGTGCCTTCTGTGTAAAGGCACTATAGCAGGCAGCACAGATAGAAGTGAATATCAGGGTCTTTGTCCTCAGATACTCAGTCTAATGGGGGAGACAGATGTACCTACTGACGAGGGCAGGAGGGGACCCAAGGGAGAAAAGGTCACTTCCAAGCTGGGATAATTCAGGAAGAACTTCACTTGAGCCGAGTCTTAGAAGGAGGATTGGATCTCTTCATTCATTTGTCTGATGTGTATTAAGCATCACTAGTGCGGAGCACTTTGCTAGGAGCTGGGAAGATTAGTGGTTAACACAGCGTCTGCCTCAGAGCCTATAGTCTTGTGAGGGAGACAGGTATTAGACAGGTAAATTCACATGAACCTAGAAGAATGCATTGTGATAAGTGCCCCAGAGGAAAAGAACAGTCATTAGAGAGGATAATAGGAAGGAGTGTGTGGCTGGTGGGTGTTTGTGTAGTCCTTTCTGAGCAAGTGACATTCAAGCATTTTCTACTGAACATAATTTATGAACATGACAGAACATTCAAGTGGGACAAAGAACTATAAGAAAAGTCTCCTTCACATCCCTCCAGAGTAACCACTGTTAAGAATTGTTTGTATTTTTTTCCAGAAAATGTGTTATGATAAACTTTCACGTATCTCCTTCTCTGTCATCTAGTTACCCCTTTAAAAAAAACACACAAATGAGCTCATGCTATACATAATATTCTTCCCTTACTATTAACTCGTTTTGAAGAAGTGTTTATATCAGCTTACGTGGGCCTATAGAATTTCTGTAATAATAGCAAGCTGTACAGAATTGTATTATGTGGCTACACCATGCTTGCTGACCCATTCTTCTTCTGATGAACATCTTGTTTTTCATATTTTGGTAACAAATGTGTCTTGGTCTACTTGTATAAATACGTACTTCATTTAGATAAATTCTTAGCAGTGGAATTTCTGGATTAAGGTGTACACGTTTCGGCCAGAATTCTCTGTTGCAAGCAGTTGAGTCACTGGATGATTTAAGGAAGAGAGGGATTTTTGAGAAAAGTATAGCAGGTGGCTCACAATGTAGTTGGGAGGGCAAGAACTGGGTTTGGGGCCAAGAACAGTGTCTCAGTCTATGCTGCGGGCACAGCTGGTGCCGGACCCTGGCTGCCACAGAACTGAGCCTTCCTGCCATCCCTTCCACCACCAGAGAGTTCCTCATGGGGAAGGTGGGTGCTTCTGATTGGTGAAGCTCAGCCTCAGCTCAGATGGCAGTGGAATTCTCCGGACAGAGGCAGGAAATACAGCTGCTGGGCAGCCCAGAAAAGGGACAGTGCATTTTACCTTTTGAGAGCTATTGCCAAATTGCTGTCCAAAAAGCTGGCACGAGTTTATACTCCCACTAGAGAATACAAGGACGCTTGTCTCCCACCACCTCACGGATGCTGAGTATTTTTGCCAGTCTGATGGGTGAAAGTGGGAAGAAAGAACACTTAAACGCCTGAGGGATGAGTAGGAATTTGCAATGCACCCCTTACCCCCGAGGGATAGACCTCAGGCCTGTGGTGCACAAGGGCTCCGTGTGGTTAAGCACTGAAAGGCCAGAGTTTGCTGCATGGGTGCGGCAGGAGCAGTGAGTGGGGGTGGGGCAAGGGACCCATGCAGGGGGTGCAGCAGAAGCAAAGATGGGGAGGGTGGAAGAGGGATGGATGTTGGGAGTTTGGAGCAGAGGCAAGGCTGGAAAGCAGGCCTCGGGGGTCCAGACGCTGCAGGCAGAGCTGTTTTGATTTTGTCCTGGAGGTCTCCTGCTCTTTCAAGCCAGGGAATGAGAGGATTAGGTTCGCTTGTTAGAAGGAGCAGCTGACAGCTGTGGGGAGCAGTGGCGTGAGAGGCCTGGGGCAGGGAGGGAGCTTGCATCCTGGCCAGAAATGTTGAGGGTGAGGACGAATCCAGTGGTGGTGGCGGTAGGGATGGCCACTGTCATTACAGAGACCTCTCAGACAGCAGCTAACCCCTGGGCCACATCCTGGGTTTCTGTCGTCATTCTCTCCTGGCGTTCCTCAGCGCCAGCTCCTTGCGGCTCTTGGCTGCAGTGTTGCAGTCACGCCTTCATTTGGGGCCATCTCCCTTTTCAGTTGGGCTCTAGGCCCTTTTTCTCATCTCATTTCCTGTTCTTCCTTCCCTTGTGCCCTGGGCTTCAGTGGCAGCAGCCCCCTCGCCCTCCTCTGAAGAGAGCCTAACAGCTGTTGCTGCCTCCTTTCAGAAACACATTTTCTGCCTGGAGTGTTCCTCCTCCTCATCCTGAGTGTGGCCCAGAAGCCATTCCCTCCTGGCTGCCCCTGGCGGAGTTAGCAAGTCCCTGCCAGGAGTGAAGCAGGATCCCAGGACTCCCGCCTTGGCCCCACTTTGCTTCCCCTAGGCATTGTCCCTCCTGCCCCTGCACAATTCTAGACCTCTGAGAGCAGCTTCTGTGCCTCACTCTCAGGGTCTCACGGAGCCCTGTGCAACTCAGTGAATATTTGATGGTGAATTAATTTTCTGATTCTCCAACTTGTTTGTGCTAAAGAATGTCTGAAACTTAGTGTTAGAAACCTTAGCCGCTGTTCATTGTTTGTGAACTAGCAGTTTGCAGCACCCCTGGAATGCAGTTGGTTTAGATTGTGTTCCATTTGTGTGGTCCCAGTTTAGCTGTAAAGTGTTGTAAATGTGACAGGTCCTTTTACTTTTTTTTTTTTTTTTTTGGTTAAAGCTTAGTATTATTTTGAATTTAAAGCATATTTATGGGAATGTCTCTGTGCCAGAGTCTGCTGGGTGCTGGCACATTATTTTCAGTTAAAATTCAGTGTAAGGGATGCTATTATTGCTATTTTACTGACGAGAAACCTGAAAGTTAGAGAGATTTAGCAACTTACCTAGTGTCACTCAGCCCCATAAGTGACAAAGCTGGGATTTGAACCCTTGTCTTCCATCTCTGGCAAGCCCCAGTACAACACAGCTGCTGTGATTTTATCATCCTACAGATGTGATTTCACTTAGCTATTAAGCCTTGCTTCTGAATACTAAAAATATTTATACAGATTCCCGAAGGGCACTTACTGGATTTTGTATTTTTGACTGTTCTCTGCATAGGTTCTCTGTCCTGCATGTTGAAAACAGTATTTACTGAAACAGCCTTATTGCAGCAAAGGAAATTAAACTATATATATGCATATATATCTCCACAATTTTACTACCCAAAAACAACGTGATTTTTACTTTTTGTTTCTTTCCAATCCAAGTCCATTGTGAAGAGGAGCTCTTTACAGAGAATGTAAGATCACGGTTTTGTACTCGCCTGGGCTTTGTCTCTGTGGCTCTCTTAGTTTCTTTCAGCCATTGTTCCGTGGTCGTAGCTGTGCAGGGCTGGCTTTCTTCCTAATCTGAGTTTGATTTTTGTTGTTTTGTCTCTTTTTTCTTTCCCTAACCTTCTTTCACCCCTCCCCTCCCTGCCTTCTTTACCCTTTCCTTTCGAGGGAGTGAGGAGTTGGGTATTGAGAGAGAACTCAGAATTGCTAAAATTTGGTGGTTTTTTTTTTTTTGAGATGGAGTCTCACTCTGTTGCCCAGGCTGGAGTTAAGTGGCTCGATTTTGGCTCACTGCAGCCTCCACCTCCTGGGTTCAAGTGATCCTGCCTCCGCCTCCCAAGTAGCTGGGATTACAGGCGTGTGCCTATAATTAGCCACGCCCTGCTAATTTTTGTATTTTTAGTAGAGACGGGGTTTCACCGTGTTGGCCAGGCTGGTCTTGAACTCCTGATCTCAAGTGATCCACCCGCCTCGGCCTCCCAAAGTGCTGGGATTACAGGCATGAGCCACTGTGCCTGGCTGGATTTTGTTTTAACTCATGCTTATTATTTTGAGTGAGCTACAAACCAAACCTCACACTCCAGATAAAATAGAAGGTCCTCCTAAATGAAATGCCTCCATGGAACATTAGCATTCACTGTGGAATCAAGGCTTTCTGTAATTGTAGCTTAAGTGAGAAAATGAATATTTCATCTGAATTCTCATGTTTTAGTTAGATTGTGAGTTTTTTATTATGAAGAATAAAAGCAAAACTTTGTAATTAATCTTTTTTTTTCTTTTTTCTGAGTGATTTGACAGTAAGAGCTGGAAGCTATAAATTAACCAGAAGACAAGGGTGTCTAAATTTTGTCTACCCATGGGCCTGTATTGGCTACTAGCCAGGCGCCTGAAGGCTGCTCTTAATTTACATTGAATAGAAGACACCTGTCTTGTCTTGCGCATCTTTAACTTGAGGCACAGCTGATCTGCATTGAGCGCTGGGTCCAGGAGCAGGACTCTCTGAGGACTGGCCTTCCTGAGAGTTTATTTGGGAGACTAATATATCAGACTCCTGGTGGTGTGGCCCCTGGACAGTTTCTGCCCTAAAACCTTCTTTGTGAACATCACATTGACTACAATGAGAGCAGCGTTCATCCAGCTGTAGCACCTACACCTGTTGTGGGATGCTTTACTGATACAATCTTTGCACCACTGTGAGGTGGGTGCCATCATCCCTGTCTTAAAGATGAGGAAACTGAGGCTCAGAGAGGTTACTTGAACCACAAGTAAGGAAGTATGTGAGTGAGAATGGGAACCTCAGTTTCTGACTTTTTCCTGTTGGTACATGGCATGTGGCTTATTCTCCAAAAAGAAAAAGGATCCCGTCGGTTTCATTTACTTCTTTTTTAAGAGAGTAATTTGGAAGAGGCTACTGGTGATCGATTCATTTGATTGTTAAAAGCTAGGCAAGATTTTTTGACTTTATTAGGAAAGGGAAAGCATTTTAGTTATGTTTTTATAGACATAATGTGGGTTCTTTTAATTCTCAGATTAATTAGCTTATTCTTTGAACTTGCCAGCTTTTCTTTATTAGGCAAGCTGAAGTAGTGTCAGAAGAAGCTTGGGGACCATCTTTTGCTATTAGCTTGGCAGTGTTCCTTGTAGCAGCATTGGCAAGGTATATAAAATTTTTGTTTTTGCCTGCTTATCCACATAGAGAATTAACATGAATAAAATTTCAAGCATGACATTCCTGAAAATGAGGTCCTTGGACAATTTAGGAATACTGACTTAAGGAATAAACATTGCTATGCACCATTAGGAAAGACTTGGGGTCACTGCCAGGGCCATCCAGGTAGAATTCTCTCTCCAGATAAACTGGTTATACAGTTTCCTAATTACTGGAATGCACCTACTAAGTCCCAGTTTACAGGGCCTCTGAGCAGTGAGAAAGATGTGGGACAGAGTAGTAAGCATGCTGGATGTCTCACCTTGTGGGCAGAAGAATCTTACAATTAAGTGAGAACTTAGGAACATGGATAGGGAGTTCAGATTTGCCATCGTTACGCTAAAGTACAGCCTTTTCTGTATTTTTACACTAAAGTACAACCTTTTCTGTATTTTTATGCTAAAGTACAACCTTTTCTGTATTTTTATACTCAAGTACAACCTTTGTATAGATATTTTGATACCTCCACATGACTTGATTTTGAAAGTTGTCCTGCACAGGATCAAATTAGTGCACTTTAAGATGGCAAATGTTTCGTCTATATTCATTTTCAACTGTTAAATTGGGTGCAAATTTAGCAGCATGTTTACTTCATAAAAACCTCAGAGGGCACGTATATATGGACTTCATAGCCGTGTGTTGCTGGAAATTCTTCTGCCTGCTCTGGGGTCAGCCATGTGGTTGACTGTGTATAAGAGGCTTTAGAAGCATGTGTCTCCATAGGAACTGGATTGCCCCTGTGTCCCTGCTCTCCGTGGGCCAGGGGCTGGGCAAGGGAGGAGCTGTGCTGGTGTAGGAGACCCTATTCCAGCAGGAGCTTTGTCCACACAGCCAGTGACTGCCTTTTCTGAAAACCCCTGAATGAAGTATCACTTAGGATTCTAGAAAAAGAGGTGGAAGCCCTTGCTTTGGTCCCAGCTCTGCTTGACCAGAGAGCCTAGTCACCTAACCTCTGGAACCTCATAACCCCTATTTCTAAAATGAAGCTACTTTTTTTGACTTGGGAAGGTCACAGGGTTATTGGGGTGCTGAAGCGTCGCGTTTTATGTGTGCACGCTCTGTACATCACTGTGTGCTTTTTATGTGGATATGTTGCTTTTGGCCATTTTTTGAGGCAGTGTGGCTGCATGAAAACTGGTTTTTGAAGTCAAATAGGGTTCAGATCTTTTTAAAAAATAATAATTAACTTATTTGTTTTTATTTTTTAGGGGCGGGGTCTTGCTCTGTCGCCAGGCTGAAATGCAGTGGTGTGATTATAGCTCATTGTACCCTCAAACTCCTGAGCTCAAGTGATCCTCCTACCTCTGCCTCCCAAGTAGTTGGGACTATGGGCACACCACTACTGATTTTTTTTTTTTTAATTTCTTTCTTTTTTTGGTAGAGACGGGGTCTCACTGTGTTTTTCGGGCTGGTCTGGAACTTCTGGTCTTAAGTGATCCTCCTGCCTTGGCTTCCCAGAGTGCTGGGATTATAGGCATGAGCCACTATGCTTAGCCTGGGTTCATATCTTAAGTCTAACATTCATTTAGCTGTTTGACTGTGAACATTGATTTCTTCTGTAATGCTTACTTCATGTGTGAGCATGAAGTGAGATACCAAACATAAAAGTCTTTTGTATGTAGCATGTAGTAGATGTTTGGTGCATAGTATTTTGATAGTTTTAGTGTCAATACATTTTTCTGTGTGTAGCTCTCTGTGTCAAGATTTCTCTGGCACTTTTTCCTGCTTTGATTAATATAAGATGCATTTTAGAAGATTTAAAATGTGCAGTGAATGGATTTTATATCTTAAAATTATGTTGCGGTGGAGTGCCAGGAATAAAACAGCTGGGAACCAAAAGCCCGTGAAAGTTGAATGAATGCATCTTGTTTCTTGGTTGCTGCAAAGGTGGTACTAAGCCAATAGATGGTGCCGTGATATCAGGAAATGAGAAAATACTTACTTCTAAAATTCATATTGTTACAGGAAATGTAATATAGTCAGCCCTTGCCAGTTCTTAATTTATTCTAATTAGATTGGATTTTGTTCTTGATTCTGTGTAAAAAAATATTAAACACCTTTTATAGACAAAATGGTGAGGTATTGAATTAATGTATGGGTGCTCTTCCTCCTTTTTTCCCTGCTCTGACATTTTACCACAAAGTCTCCTGATTTGAATTGTCCTCAGCCTACAACCAAGTAAAAGCCCTTGCCAGAGCACTTTTCAGAACAGTTAAAGGAAATGCTCAGTTTAAAGTTCTTTGCTTTAAACCCCACTGAGAGAGAGTGAGGTTAACCAGCTCATCTTTATCTGCTCTTGTTTCAGAATTGGACCAGAGTCGCCCCTGCTAAAGGAAAGTGCCTTTATATGCTTATGACCTAGTGCTTGATGCCTTTTACTTCCTCATTGGTCAGACTACGTGGAAAGTCATCTTAGCCATCAGAAGGCTTTTCACTGTGTAGTTCACAGAATGAGGGATTTGCTGTTAACCAGATCTGAGTTCATGTACCCATGCTGCCATTCCTGGCTGCATGACTTTGGGTAGCCTCCTTCCTTTCTGTGAACTTTAGCTTCTTCCATCCATACAATGAAAATAATACTGTCTAGTCCATCAATTAAAGTGGAATGCCCTGAAGTTTGGGAAGTTATTTTGAAATATGGACCTGAGTAAAGGGGACCTTTAAGAGACTTGCCAGCTCCCACTGCCCTGCGTTCCTGCGGCAGCAGGGCAGGGTGTATGCCTTGCACTCAGCTTCGGTTTCCCGGTGTGGCCTCGTGGTGCAGGGGACTGATTAAGATAGGTGCATTTTAGGGTCATTTTCGTCCTCCATTTTGTCCTCTAAACAGGGGTAGGTGACACCTATGTTTTAAGGAAAAAATGTTCTCTCTCCATATCTTGTGACATTTCATTAAAATGCATTAATGAAATAAAACCTCTCACATTTTAGGCCCTGATGCCGTGATTGTTAGTCTTTTCTGAAGAATAAGTGTTTATAACCTGTCAGGTCAATGAGATGTTGCAGTTGCAATTATAAGAAAAATCCCTTTTCCCTTCAAGTGGTGTTTTAAATTATTAGGGTAAAATGTAACTCCTCTTTGACTATATTACATTTAGAAAAGGAACTCCGTTTTTTGAGGAATTAGCTTTTGAGTGAAATTGTTGGATGCCTTACAAATATTTTTAGCAAATTAAATGGAATACTTTTTTAAATTCATTGGGAATAAAAGGTAGACTTTGACATTGAGGTACATTTGCTGATGAAAAGGAAGCATTCTTCTCCCTCATGAGGGGTTTAAATGTAATACTCAGTGCTTACTCAGGAGTGAAAACATCAAATTAAACTGTTTATGCTGACAAAGGACAAATCTGGATTTCAGCAAGCGATGCAAGATTGTCTGATTGCTTGGCTTGCCTCGCCGGGAAGCTTTTGGCCAGGACTTATAATGAAATGCATGCATACAATTAAACCATTTAAAGCCTGCGTCTGTTTTACCGAGCAGTGAGAGGTGCTCCACTGCTCTCTAGTGGCTGGATATGGTCCCCTGGTGCCCGCCTTATTTTATATTCATCAATCAGCTCTGCACACATTGGCATTGTTGGCCTCCAGAGCAAGCACCAGTACTAGGAGATGAGGCCTTGGAGGCAGGAATGGAGTGAAAAATGATCCCAGTCTGTGGGTCTGTGGAAAGCACCAAATTTTACCCAGGATGAGTGGCCAGTTGACTAACAATGAGCAAGTGTGAGTAAGCGCTCTGTCAGGGAGAGCTGACACTGATGGATTAGAAAGTCCTGTGTGTGACTCTGTTATCGCCGCATACATCTTACACCTTGGCAGGCCATGGTGGCAAACAGGTCCTTGGCTGCTTAAAATGGACCGCTCTTTAGCAGAAGGAGCAGCTTTTTTTCCTGAGACGATCTGGTTAAATTGATTTGGGGAAAAGCAGTAGAAATCCATTTCCTGCTGCCTCTCATAACTTCATGACTTTGAGAAAGAAATTCTGAAGACCTCTATTTCCATGAAAGCTGCCAACCCTGGGACTTGCTGAGAGTGATTGTATAAAATAGCTGCCTGGAGGACCAGGAGCTTGTCGGAGAGGAATTTCATCAGCCAGCTTTTCTTGAACTTTTAGTGTCCCCAGCATTTTGCTTTACACGTGCCATCTTGTGTAACCCTCAGAGCCACCCTTTGAGGAAGGCACCTCCTGTCCCCTGCCCTCTTGTGCGGGGAAGGAACCTAGTTCAGTAGGGCTGCTGTGCCCCTCGGTTTCCGGTTGCATCATTCACGCTGTGCTTGATGCAGTTGCTTGTGCCTCCTGGAGCAACTTTGGCAGCTTTGCAGAGCTCGGAGTGATATGCCCAGCTAGGGAGCGCCAGAGCCGGGCCACCTCTTGTGCCTCTTGGTGTTCCCAGAGCCTGCTGCTCCTGCGTGGGCACCTGGGAATGGGTTGTTTGAAGAAAGAGTGGGAAGTTGCCCTTCTGAAGGGTGCATGAGCTTGAGAACCCATGCTTCAGAATAGGACCTAGGTTTAAAGCTTGGCTCCGCTTCTCATTGACTCTTGCCATGGGCAAACTATTTGGAACCAGTTGAGTCTCAATTTCCTTGTCTGTAAAAGGGCCAAATACTCCCAGTACTTGAGTTCAGGGTCCAGGACCTAAGACCGTCAATGAATGTTTTCCCCTTCCCCAGTTTGAGAGTTAGTGAGCACCTTATTAGAAAAAGCAAATTTCTACCTTTCAGGTCCTTCCTAGCTTTTGACTTAGAAGCAGCAGGTTTTAGGAAATTATTTCAGTCTTTTACTGTTTCTTTAGCATATCTAATAACATAGATTATAGAATTGCTAAGTTTGTTGAGTATTTTAGTGAACTCTGACATAGAAAAATAACACATTTAAATGTACAGAACAAGTAAAAGCAATATCTAGATTGTAAAATTTCAGATTTCATCCTGAATTGGATTGTTCGCTCAGAAAAAGTTAGTTTCAAAGTGAGTTACTAATCCTGGTAAGCTAAGATCGAAACACCTTCAGAGGTTTTAGAAAATGGAGACTAATTTTAGGTTTTTTTTTTTTTTTGAATGAGACTATTTTAAAATAAATGCTGTTATAACAGATACTTGAGTGGCATTGCTAAACAGTGAATGGCATATGTTTAATCATTTAAAACATTTAACTAAATTCCAGTCTCATTTGAATTTCCAAGCAAAACAACACAAATTAACTATATCCAGATGTGTGTGGTAATCGAGCTGAAATCTAAAGAAGAAGCAAGTTTGAAAGCATGCTTTTTTGGGGTGGGGAGCTAAGAAAAGATAGCTCCATCTCCCAGGCTTACTTGCTAATCTTGATTTCAAGCATTTGGCTTTGCTATTTAAGAGGCAAACGTGGTGGAATGGAAAGAACATCGCACACTTTAAATTCAGAAAGATCTGGCTTCAGAATCCCAGATTTGCTTATCACTGGCTGTGTGATCTGGGCACGTTCCTTATCTTTGAGCTTTATTCTCCTTTTGTAAAATGGGACTACTACTACTTGCCATGCCTGAAGAGCAAACAAAACTGATGTGACTGTGCTGTGAAAGTTCTTAAGTACCGTGTGCATCTGTTGTAGTTTGTTCAGTGCTGTGTTTGCCAAGAGTACACTTCTGGATAAGTGGGGTCTAGCCCCATGCTGAAACGCTCAGAGGACTTCATTATTAAGATGATTGTACCTCTAAGACGGTCCTAAGGAAGCCCTCCTAAGGACGTTAGGCAGGAGAGACATGGTGTATTTGTTTGTGATGATTGATTGCTGTTGTTCTTTGGGTCTGTTGACTCATGCATGGATTGACCTTTAGGCCCTTGTATACAAATGTAAGGAATAAGCTGCCTGCTGCTGCTGTTACACGGAGACTGTGACAGCTAGCAAAGTCTTGGTCTTTTGCTTGTTTTTTCCATCCCCTCACAATGTTGGATTTTCTTCAATTTTTTATACCTTAAAAAATTGCTATTAATGCCTGCACTTTGAAGAAAAATTTAAAAATACAAGTAAAAAGAAAATAGCACCACCCAGAAATAAGCTTAATATTTTGATTTATATGCTTCCAGGTTTGTATAATATATAGTGCATAAGCATGTCTGTTAATTTTGCTTTAGAACATGTTTTTCCCCCACTAAATACTATAGCATGGATCTCTTCCCATTGCCAAAAAAATGTACTTCTACTTTGTCATGTTTAATGTCTGTGTGTATAGTATTTTATTGTTTATTTTCCCTGGCTCCTGATTGTTGAACCTTTACATTTACTTCCAGGTATTTTTTTTTTCCCCTTTAATCTAAACAATGATCTTTTAAGATACGTGACTTGGGTACTTGTCCATGTGTTTCTTTAGAATAAGTCCCTAAGAGATTTGCTGGTTTGGTGGGTATGTATAGCTGTATGATTTCCAATCGATGTTTCTACATTGCCCATTAGAAGAGTTCTATCCATTTCTGCTTCTCCAAGTGTGTCAAAGTACCCATTTGATCACACCTTTGTCAGCACTATTATTCTTTTTAATCTTTGCTAATTAAAAAGGCAAAAGGTAGTTATTTTACTTCAATTCATATTTCTTTGATTGCTAGTGAACTTGATCAGTGTTGCTTAATGTATATAGGCCTCTACCTTTTCTCTTTCGTAAACTACTGTCTTCTCTCTTGGAGTCTTGATGTAGTTATCTGTGAGCTCTTTTTAGTTATTAATGTTCTGCATGTTGCATGTATTTTTCGGAGTTTCAGGGCTTTTATTTTACATTCTTAAAGGAGCTAGTAATTTTGTTTATAAGCTAGTGGGCCTGCTATTATAAGATGTTTCATTGTAACAGACTGGCTGGAGGTGTGGTCCTTGTGGAACTGGTGCTTGGGACTCCTTCTCCTGGGGCGCAGCAGATGTGGGTGACAAGAGGGTCTGTGGGTGAGTCCGGCCCTGACAGAGCTGGGAAGCAGGCCAGGTGCTCTTTCCAGGACTCCACAGGGCATTGGTTGCAGGAGGAGCTTTGAATGAGGACCTAGCTGGAGCAGCTGTGGAGTGTCTGCAGTGGATGGGGGAGTGCCCTGCAGGTGAAAGGGAAAGAGACATTTGTCCTCCCTGCCTCCCTGTCTCTCCACAGCCCGGCTTCTTGGTGGGTTGGGGTGGCGGGTGTTGAACAGGGTGTGTAGGTGGGCTTGGGGGAGGGCAGTGGATGCAGGAGGTCAGTCTGAGGGGACTAGGTAGCCATCATAGTGTCCTCACTTACATTCACCTAAGTGCTGGTCACTGAATTGCACCTTGTTTTTCTGTTTTAAAGAGCTTTGTTCTGGAAGCAGTACTGGGTACTCAGTAACCGTGGGTGTGCTGAAAGGCAGGCTTGGGGAAGGTTGCTAAGGAGCAGCTTCATGGAAACTACTGATGAGACCGAGAGCGTCAGTAGTATTAATATAGTGCAGAAATCCAGGAAAGGCCATTCACTCCTGTGATATCACAGTGGTTTGGACTGGACTAGGACATATAACAGGACTTGGTTTTGTGGTTTTTAAGGCCCTTTTTCCTTTTTGAAAATTGAACTGGCTCTACACTTGAGTTTGTCTTATATTCAGCCTAGTATGGTAAACTAGGCGATAAATATTGCTTTACACCTTATCCAGGCATTTACTGCTATCCTCACACCTTCAGGGGCAGCTTAGAGTTTTTTTTGGCTCCCTCATTTGGGTAGTTGGCCTCACTTTTAGTGCAGCTTCATTCAATAAGCGTCTCTCCTAATGCTGCCATGTGTCAGAGACTGTTGGGGATGGAGGCTGCAGATATGAAAGGATGGACAAGTTGCAGAGATGAGAGTGATAAACCCTGTGGAGGGGAGTGACCAAGGAAGGGTTCTAGGAAGAAGTGATCTCTCAGCTGGAGTTTGAAGGGTGACTGGGAGTTCTGTGGACTGCCATGTGCTCTGTGAGATAGGCTTGAACTGGCACGGGCATTTAGGAAATCATGGGCAGCGTGGTGTTGGTGGAGTATCAGGGGTGTGTATGGGGGATGGGAGGGAGCCGAAGGAGGTAGAAACCTGGTCATGGAAGGTCTTGCGTGTCCTCTCTCAACTGTATTGTAGCATATAGGACTTTTTGTATGAGAGCGCGACATAGGGTCAACAGCTGAGACAGGAATCCCACCCCTGTGCTTGTTTCCTGTAGTCCTAGACAAGGAGCTTTCTCACATTAGTGGGTTGCTATGAGGATGATGAAATGACCTAAAATAGGCCGCATGGCACCTGGCGGGTGCTTAGCAGAAGGCCCTTGTTCTTCTCTTTGGCTTCCTTCTCCTCCTGACTGGAGTAAGTTCTCTGAGGCCTCACCCTTGCTCATGGAGCATAGCCTGCATTTGTGGAGGGCACGTCCTCTCTGACCTGCCTTTCCTTCACTGGCATACTCGAGTGTACAGCAGAGGCCCAGTCCTGGCCACGCTGTCCCCTGGCTTTTCTGTGTATCTGTTCTTTAATGGGAAACCAGACAGTTCTGATGTCTAAGATGTCTCTGCTTTTGGAATAAAAAATCAGAGCAAATGATCCTTCAAAAGATTTTCGCCTTGGTTTTGTGTATGAAGAGAGTGCCAGCTTAGGTAGTTGATGCTGAAATAACAGAATGTCTCAGGGCATTATTAGTGGTTTATAGGGAAAAGAGGATGTAATATATTAATGTTTTACAGGTCACATGGTGGCTGTAGTAGAATGGCATTTGACTGGTGATTTATTGTATGTAGTTTTGGATGTTGGACCAGTATCTAGGAAACTTGAATGAAATTATCTTTAAAGAATACTGGCCTGAGTTTACCATCTTTTTTTTTTTTTTTAAATGGCCAACTTCTTGTTCCTTGTGTCCCCCACTGCATTGCCTTGAAATTATGTTCTCTTGTCACTTCAGGCAATTGCAGCTGTATTTGAAATTCTCACCCCAGTTTTCTAAATGGCAGACACACATTCAGAGGTATCTACAAACCTGTTGACAGGTTTTCTATCTCCAAACACTTCTGTGTATTTCTGAAAAGGGGGCGCCAAAGTCCTCCTTTCCTGAAAAGCTGGGAGCAGGAGCTAATTTGCAAGTGATTTAGAAATTATTTTTAATGTTGAATTTCCCTTTCTTTTCAAGTTTATTTTGGGGCCCTCTTGTCTTTGATTTCATGGGAAGCAGAATCAGGTTGGGAAGCTCCTGCTTTTCAGAAAATTTCTCGAGAGAGAGAGTGTGTGTGTGTGTATGTATGTATTTTTTGAGGTATAAAAAGGGGAAGCCAGAAATACAGTGTAGTAAAAGCCCCAAGTCCTATGTTTACTTGTCTTATATGCCTGTCTGATAATGTAGAGAGCCTCCCCACATTGGAGAAACTCTTTTGTTCCAAGAGTCTGTGGGTTTAGTGTGTTATTTCCACTTATAGAAATTTTGTCTGTAATATTGTTTCTAGGCAGGAAAAAGGTTTTTTGTTTGTTTGTTTTTTTGTTTGAGACAGAGTCTTGCTCTGTCGCCCAGGCTGGAGTGCAGTTGCGCGATCTGGGCTCACTGCAAACTCTGCCTCCCGGGTTCATGCCATTCTCCTGCCTCAGCCTCCTGCGTAGCTGGGACTACAGGCGCCCACCACCATGCTCGGCTAATGTTTTGTATTTTTAGTAGAGACAGGGTTTCACTGTGCTAGCCAGGATGGTCTCAATCTCCTCACCTTGTGATCCGCCCACCTCGGCCTCCCAAAGTTCTGGGATTACAGGCGTGAGCCACCGCGCCCGGCCAGGAAAAAGGTTTTAAAGAAATAATTATTTGGGGAGGGAAATATTTTTCATTTCTTAAATTATTGAGTGAAGCTGAGCAGAAGGAAATATATGTGCCTAGGAAAAAGAATAGAGCAAAAAAAAAAAAATTTACTGTGCAACTGCCAAGGAAAGGAATGGCCCCGGAGGAAAAAACAGCTAGTGATTTTTAAGGAAAAATGCCTTTAAGGTAAGCTTGTTTTTCTTTTTTAACAATTCATTACAGTTTTCCACAAGTTGTTAGCTCCTAGCTAAATACCTGTCTTCTCCCTGTCCTTTTTTAAATGTTTATTTCTGGCCTCTGGTTGATTACCCTTGTGTTCTTCGTGGAGATATTCTTGGACTTTGTTGGAAGAGACCAGTCTGCTCATCAGTGCTGTGCAGGATTGGTCTATATCTGGGAGTATTTTTTCCTGAGATTCTTCATTTGCAGTTGCCTCGTTCGTTCATGGCAGCTGTCTTTCGCTTTCCACACAAAACCAGCTTGCTTTTACTAGTAAGTCTGAGACTGGTTCTCACCTGGGCCTGAAAACAGCAACTTAGGTTAACTTTCCCCCTTGACCCCTGAATCTCAGAGTAAATATGTGACTCACAGAACATTGGTGGAGTTTGACCCTGTTTCCACATCTTCAAGGACATGTTTACTTTGAAATTCAGAGGTTTGTTTTGCTGAATTTGCTCTCACATATGTGCTAGTTTTATCTGAGTTTACTAGTTTTATATCTGTTTAATTTCTATCTCCTTTTCAGAGGGCTTTTAATGTCCCTTTAGATCACCATTTTAGTTTTTTTTTTTTTTTTAAGGAGAAAAAAATTGTGAGGAGGGGAAAATCGGGTTGCCTTTTGCTCCCAAAGCCTAAATGAATAGTCATTGCTTGTAATGCTGGTTTACACTTGACGCTTCCTATGGCTTTAGATGTGATGTATCCGGTACTGTGAAGGTAATGATCCTCAACCGCAGCAATATTCCCTAACAGGAGTATCTGTCATATTCATCGGGATTACCATGTTCATTGATTTGTGTCTGTAAATCTGCTGTTTCTACCCTTTAAATTTGATCTATAATTGGACCTCCTTAAATGGTTCAGATAAGGTAGTCTGTATTTTCTCAATGCGGCGTTGCTGTCAGCTTCTCCTTTTTCATTATACATTCAGCAGACTTGATAAAATCAGCAGGACACCTCATTTGAAACTGTTTAATCGCTGCCTTTTTCCTTTGCTAAACCATTGAGGTGGTCAAGCGATGTACACAAATCATTTTAAATAGAAAATATGGTTTTCTCTGTGACCCAGCTAAATAGATAGTGTTATGCAAAACAAGTTAAAAAGTAATAAATGCCAAAAAAATCTTCTAATTGGAGTAAAAAATTGTGGGCAACTCTATCCTCTCTCCAAAAGTGGAGTATCCTGAAATATTGCCAGGACCTGTAAAGACAAGATGATGATTTTCTAAAGATTCTCTGGTTTTTGAACAAAGCAAATTTAAATTTTCAAGGAGTGCTTAGCTGCCTTTTGCATCCATTCAAAGGGAGCCCACGCTTATTTGTAATGGCTTTACGTCCTACTTTTGTAGGGATAAATTTGCTATCCGTTAATACCTATGCAGCATAACCTTTCAGCCATTTGCTATTGTGATAATAAATTTTTGTTTCTTTGTCTGTCATTTTGTCTATTCAGCTGTTACTCTTCAAAGTACAAACTAAAAATAATAGCTCCAAATAAATGCCACATAATAAAGTGTTTTACAGTTGTAGCTGGAATAACCTGGTGGCTGCTGCTCGCAGTCCTATTACCATTGCTGGTGCGGTAGTTTCTTCCCTGCGTGTCAAGGTGACTCTACCAGGGCCAGCTCATTAAAACAATCTTTTCTTTGGAACTGGCTTGGTATTTAGCGCTATACCCAGCAGCCTGCCAAGGCACAATATGGAGCACTAGACTCACAGCATAGAACACGGGAAATTATGTGGCAGTCACTGTTTGAACAAAATCCAAATTCTCCATAACCTCATTTTCATGCTTCAGCATTTTATTGTGAATAATTTACAATTATACCTGTCAGTGGTGGAAGTAGGACCAGTTGCAGATTTACCTTAGATAGTGGTAAGTGTGACTCCAGGCTTTTGAAGAGCACTGTTTTTACCTGGTTTATGTGGCCCTGTAGAATTAATATTTACACTGTACTTGAATGAGACACTGGGCATGTTTTGCTGTTTTTCTTGCCCCTAGGTAAACTTGAGATGGATAAGCTGGGATATCATAAAATACACTAAAAGTGCACCTTTTTCTTGCAGGTTCTGGCTCCTTGGCAGCAATGGCTGTATTTGAAGATAAGTTTAGGCCAGACATGGAGGTATGTAAGTCCCTGCAGTTTTATTCTTTTTCAAAGATTTTTCTGGTTTTATCTTGAACATTTACAAATTGATTGCTGATTCCTCCCGAGCTTGTACAGCACTGTTGTTAGTTGGAATGTTCTTTGGCACAGATGGTCTGTTTGCCGAAGAGACCAGCTTCCTTTTGTAGTGGCCCAGCTGTGCCCTTCCTTGGGCTTGAGGCACCAGCGCTATCCAGCTTTTTGCTCTGGGCTTTGGGCTGTCTAGGAATCTTCTTGACTGTAAATGCGGTGGTAACGTGGAATGTTTTCTTGCGCACCAAGCTTTCTGTGTCACGATATCTCAAAATGACAGGTTTTTCTGTTCTTACTAAGAACAGAAAAACTGTGTATGTCTTTGCATGTTACAGAGACGTGACCTGAAAATGGAGGCAGTTTTAAAAATCCCTGTAGATGATTCTGCATCTGGCAGAAGATGGGGACAAGACCACACATGTGGGGGATTCATCTCAGAGCGTAATGATCTAGTGTCTCAGATACATGTATGAGAGATTCTTTTATTGTGTTTTCTTTGGTGGTGGGGGAAGGTGGTATCTTCTGAATGATACTCCACTTAAGTCTACTTTAATGATAGATTGTCTCCACCCCGCCACCCCCTACATCTTCAGGACAAATGCACAGCTCTTCCATGGTCACTGTCGCAGGAATGTTGAATATGCCTGGATCCATCATGGTACCACGTTACTCCTCCACGGCACTACATCTGGCCGCTAAACCAGCATTCGGCACATAAGCTTTTTTGATGGTTGTTAATTTTTTGATGGGGAGTATCAACTTCTTTTCAACAATTAATAGGTAGTTTATGAGTGGTTTACCCTATTTCTTAGTATGTAGGTTTTTGCCATTTCTGACTTCGCAGTATTGTTTAGGGACCAGAGGGTGTCTCTGGGAATTGCTTTTTGACAGTGCCTTATGTCCAGTCATCTTTGGAAAAGATTGCTTATTAAAAATATTTTGTTCTTCCGTCATCTCATTGTCATTGGAGCACCAAGTGTCATTGGAACTCTGAAGCTCTCTCTGCCCTTTAGGTTTGGACCAAGTGCTGTCAAAGCCAGAGAAAGTAGGATTAAAGATACTGATCAGCCAGGACAGATAGGGGTTTTCTGCTGGAAACTGCGATACCTACCCTCGGTACATGGGGATAGCTCACATAAGTGACTTGGTCACTTGGCAAGATTTCTTCGCTTCTCGGATAGCTGCAGGAATTAAAACATAGTGTATAGAATTTAGGTGTTTTACACTAAAAATGATAATGTCTTGTTCCAATTAAGAATAGTAAACAGGTCCAAGTATAGACAATAAATGAGATTGGGATTCTGTTCTCATTTCTCAATGTGAACAGTTACTCCCATATCAGCATTATTTTCTATTTGGCCTTCTTAAATACAGAGAAAAAATAGGATATATTAATAGTAGGTCACTTGAAAAAGAAAAGAAAAAAAGTTCCCCAGTTTTCTAACTATAGGAGAGGAGTTCCTAAGGTTCTACGCATCCATTAGAACTCACAGAGGTACAAGGAGGCGTACTCTTGAGTTTTGTTTAGAAAATCACCTCAGTAATGCCAAACCCTTCTTTAAAACACATTAATCTTTTCAAATCTTCCTGAAAGCTTTGTCTATCTCCAGTTGATTGGGACTTCCGTATGTTAAAGAAAAATGAGAATTGTAGGAAAAGTTGAGAGTATGAGGTACATTAGAAGTGACTTTAACACTCCACCAAAGTAATTTTACCTTATTTAGAGTTTGGATTTGAAATGGTTCAAAGGCTGTGAATTCAATATTTGATGTGATTTTGGGAAGTAAAGGGGAATGTCAGCATCCTTTCGATAAAATTGATATTATCAATCTGAAGAATGTTTCTTAGATCAGTTGTGTCCATAACTTGGGAGCATTAGCTGTGAGACCTTGAAACAGATTGGCCATATTCTTATTTCACATTGATTATTTAAATGGACAATTTTAGGTTACTGGTCTTTATTCACTTGTTATTGAAACCACATGCACACTGACAATCAGTGAAAATCACTTTATTTATTTTAGAGACAGAGTCTCGACTGGGCGCAGCGGCTCATGCCTATAATCCCAACACTTTGGGAGGCTGAGGCGGGTGGATCACTTGAGGTCAGGAGTTCGAGACCAGCCTGACCAACATGGTGAAACCTGTCTCTACTAAAAATACAAAAAATTAGCCGGACGTGGTACCGGGCGCCTGTAATCCCAGCTACTCGGGAGGCTGAGGAAGGAGAATCACTTGAACCTGGGAGGCAGAGGTTGCAGTGAGCCGAGATCATACCACTGCATTCCAGCCTGGGTGACAGAGCCAGACTTTGTCTCAAAAAAAAAAAAAAAAAAAAAAAAAGAGAAAAGAGAGAGAGACAGAGTCTCACTCTGTCATCCAGGCTGGAGTGCGGTGGCATGATCTCGGCTCACTGCAACCTCTGCCTCCTGGGTTCAAGCAATTCTTGTAGAGACTGGGTTTCACCATGCTGCCCAGGTGGGTCTGGAACTCCTGAGCTCAAGCAGTCTGCCTACCTTGGCCTCCCAAAGGCTGGGATTACAGGTGTGAGCCACCATGCCCGGCTGAAAATCACTTTATTAAGGTGAAGGTGGTACCTTCTTCTTTAGTGGTTGAGTTTAAAAGTAAACAGAAGGCACATAATAGAATAACAGCTGTCAGCAGATTAATTGTTTAAAAATCTAAAGAGATGTTAATAGTAGGAAACATTTATTGTGAAGACCAAGCCACTAACTGTGCTAACCACACTGTTTGCTTTTGGTGAATATTAAATGAAGGCTGAGACTGCCTAGCAGAGTTGAGAGGCCACCATTTTAGATTCAGCCAAAGTGTCTGTCATTTCTGGTTCTGCGTCTGTATAGAACTCATAACAACAAAGGCAGTTTGGTTTAAAATTTCCAAACTTTTAATTTTCCTTCTTTCCAGGGAGACTTTCTTTCTGTGTCAAAAAGCCCTGGATAACTTTTCTTGCCTAATTAGAGACCACAGAATTGGGTGACTAAGCCTGCTGTTTCCTTTCAGTGTGGAAAGATGTGTC
The DNA here is from genome assembly GCF_000001405.40 of Homo sapiens. Lineage (NCBI taxonomy): Eukaryota > Metazoa > Chordata > Mammalia > Primates > Hominidae > Homo > Homo sapiens. Next base: position 124,381,506 of record NC_000009.12, on the reverse strand, counting down.
TCAGACAGAAAGCCAGGAGAATAGCACTGCTGCCTTTCACACCTCGAATGGGTTGCCAGGACAGTAACTGCCACTCACTCACAGAGAATTGCTTTGCAAAGTGGCAGTTTTAGGCTGTTGTAATAACAAATTGTTCAACCAACAGTAATTTTTAGGCCAGACTTATGAAATAAACTCTTGGCTTTATCGTTAAAACAAATAACAAATTAGAGGAAGCCCAAAGTCTTTCTGTTTCCTGATCTCCAAACCTGTACTTTGGATAGTGCTGGGCCTTTGGACTATAGTATTTATGGAATACAAGTTCCTCCCTCCTTAAAAACCTGTCTTGTGTTCCCGTCATCTCTAGCTGCACTGTCCAGCGCTAACCTTACGTGGTTATCGAGCGTTTGAAATGTCAGTTGAGAGGGTCTGTAAGTGGAAAACGCACACCAGGTTTCAGAGACTTAATACAAGAAGCTTTTAAAACACCTCAATAAATTTTATACTGATTATATGTTAAATGGTACTGTTTCAAGTATATTGGCTAAATAAAAATATTAATAAAATATCATCTAATTCTATTTTTTAAACCATAACTACCAGAACATCTATTGGGCAGGGCCAGCCTATCACTGCGTTTTGAACTTGTCATTTACACACTACATTTAAGGTTTCTGCCATATCCAGGTGCCACCTGCTCTATTAATTTTTTTGAAAATTTAAATTAACTCAAATTAAGGTATAATTTACATATAATAAAGTGCACAGATCTTGAGTGTAGAGTTCAATGGGTTTTGGCACTCAAATGAAGATAGAGAACGTTTCCTTTACCCCCGAGGGCTCCTTTCCAGGCAGTTCCATTCTCCATGTTTCCAGCAACCACTTTGATTCACCTTTTTAACTTAAATTTATTTTTAAAATACAGTTTATATCTGAAATCCTGGGTTTGATGTACTGGTTCTATTTTTCTTTTCTTTTTCTCTTTTTAAGACAGGATCTTGCTCTGTTGCCCAGGCTGGAGTGCAGTGGCATGACCAGGGCTCACTGCAGCCTCGACTTCCCAGGCTCAAGTGATCTTCTCGCCTCTGCCTCCCAAGTAGCTGGGACTATAGTTGTGTACCACCACGCTTGGCAGATTTTTTTGAATTTTAGTAGAGATGAGGTCTCACTATGTTGCCCAGGATGGTCTCAAACTCCTGGGCTCAGATGAGCCACCATGGCCAGCCTATATTTTTCAAGACACATGAAAGTGGGTACATACTATTGATAGAAATAAAAATGGTTCATATATCACCATCACATGTAAGTCCAGGGATTAAACTTTGGGGGAACATAGTTCCCTTTGGCCATTCTTGTCTGCTCACTGTTCTTTGAATATAGCGTGCACTGGCTCGCCGTGGACTCCTTACCACTGGTGCCCACCAGCAGTACCCTGTTGCTGCTTCATTTATTTGTGTCCCTGTGCTGCACTGTACACACCTGTCCTGTTGTTTTCTGGCTGTTTTCAGAGGCATCTCCTCCATGCCAGTGAGAGAGGGAGCTCCTTGAGGGCAGGGGCCATGAAGTCATCTCTGTTCTTAGCTCCTGAGGTTCAGTATGTGTCTGTTGCCTTGAGACAGTAGGATAACCCTGAGCTTAGTCTGAGTTATCAAAACCACCTGGGAAATGGAAGGGACCTTTTCTTTTTATCTAGAAAGTGCTGAACATCTTTTCAAGGTAACAGAGGACGATAACCAGTACACTTCTCAAACAGCGTGCAGTATTGGGGCACAGAGTCAGCAAACCAAACACCCCATTAAGGACACAGGGAAAATGAAGATGGGGCAAAGGGCAAATGCTCATTGGGAAATTATAGGCCGAAAAAGCAGAAGAGTGAAACCCAGCTGGGATTCGTAAACGCCCAAGATGGGCTTCTGCTGTTTTAAGTTATCTGAGCTATGACTTGCCTCAAGTAAAAGTCCTCAGTTCCTGAGTTTCAACTAACCAAGTGAGTTTAGGGCACATTAAAAATCTTCAAAAAGTCTCACCCAGTTTTGGCCTAAACGCTACCTTGAGTGGTCTTCTAATTTTCATTTTTTTGTTTGTTCCCTTGCTGTGAGCCTGAATTCTTCTCGGGCAGGGACTGTGCGTACACCTGGTCGTTTCTATTCCCTTGCCCTAGCATGGTGACTGGGGCATAGTAGGTATTCAGCCAGTGTGTGTTGAATGGGTGGATAAAAAGGTGTTAAACACAACTTTACTTAGTGATTCTGAGAGTAACCTTCCTTTGAAACAGTTTGATAATTTCACCTTTAGTGTTCACACTACTTAGCTGTGATGGAAATGAAGGTATAAAAATTGTATTACTTACTGGTGATAAATCTCGTGCTTTATTTTTATCAGTGAAGGTGCTTATTCAGACACTGTACCAATGTATTACCAGAATAGGGGATTTTGAAATGTGTAAGTTGACCTGATGACAAGGGGTCAGTTATATGAGAGGTTTTTTTGGTGATGATGAATTGCTCAGAGCATTCCCCCAGATTTTTTCTTCTCTATTGTTAAGGCTGGTATAAGAATTCAGCTCCTGGTCCTGGTTCTTACCCACAGGCTAGCTTAGCTGGACAGGAAAACTAGTGATAACCATGCTGGGGCATTTTCAGTCCATTTTCCAGTTAAAAATAAGGAGTTTGATCATGATACCTGGAAATATGGCATTAGCTTGGCAGATATGTATCTTGAAAATTGCTAAAATTGCTAAAATGAAACATGGGTTTTATTTAAGGGGGAGAGAGAATTAAATGAATCCGATAATGTAGGTTAGTTTTCCTTCTATTCTATTTCTTTGTAAGAAGGGATGTTTTCATTTGGCCTAGTGAGAAATTTAAACTCTTGGAGATTACAATTCATTAAAATGGGTAGAAGATTAATATTTAGTCTGTCAAGATCAATACTGCCCCCTCTTTGCACTAATTGTCAGAATATCTTGCGAGGGCTGCTGAAGGGTAGTGGTGTGCGCAGGACCCTCACATCACAGGGAGATGATTCAAAGGCAAACTGTCCTGCACCCTCTGGTATCGACTTGCAAATTAGCATCTGGAATCTAATTAAACAAGCTTAATGAAAGTAGCAGCTGAATGCTGCTGGAAAAGACAATCAGCTTTTTTCCCCCCTCTCTGATACATATTCTGTACTATTGAAGTTGGTCACCAAACACATCGTGTGAGCACAGTTAAAAAAAATTAGCATTTATTTGAAGAATAGAAACTGTTTTTCATTCTGTTATGCATTTGGCATGCTCTGGCGTCCCATGAGAGCCATGCCACAGCAGATAGTGCACAATATTTATAAATCCATGACAGGCAATAATAGCAACTTGAAAAATTCTTTTGCTAGAATCTCAAGTTGAGAGCTGCCAAAAGCTGAGAGGATCAGATCTGCAGTGGCAGCTGCTGTGCCCTACAGTTAGAATTCTAGACTTTGAAGATGCTCAACTTAAAGAAATGAAGACTGCAGGCTTAGCCAATTTTTGCAGGTTTCTAGAGCTCTGGCTCTCTGCCTTTTGAAGATGAGTTGCTGAAGCTTCTACCACTGCCTGAGGCGTGCTAACACCAGCAGGATCTTTTTTTTCCCCTAGTCTTAGTGTGTCTTCAGTTTTAAGTAGCACATGCTTAGTCAATGCCAACTGTGATGGTCCTTTCTCTGGTTGCAATACCGAGGGATGAGCTCCTACCCTATACCCTTCAGAGAGAAGCTATGAAGATAGGTGGTGACGTATACAAGCGCCACTTCAGCCGTCTGATTTATGGAGTCATATCTCATCACTCGGCAAGTGTTGGCCTCTAGAGAAGCCCTTATAGATTGCTAAAGATGTGAGCAGCTATCGCCCTAAAGGCTTGTGGTTACCTCACAAGCGTGATGCCAAACACCTAGCTACTGAGGAAACAGAATTAATCTGTCATTGCAGGCAGCTATAGATCCACTTTAAATAATGAGAGTTGATACCAATATGGTTTTCTGACAGCAAATCTTAGAAGTAACTGTGTGTGTGTTTTTTTTGTAAGTCCAGTATTAGGAAGACACTGAGTTGCAGGTTCATTTGTGCTTTGCAGATGGACAGTAGTGTGAGAGATCTGCATTATTTTGATTAAAAAATTGTGCTATTTGGCATATAGAATGGTCCCAAAAGAGAACATAGTATGAGTTCAATATGGTTGCATGGAAAGGGGCATGGGGCTTGGGAGCTAGAGGATTGCGCTGCAGGTCTGTTTCCTCTGTCCTTACAGCAGGACTCTGGGAAGAGGGGCATCCTTGTCTGTGCGATCGGAACAGAGACCTGCCTGCACGTTGCTGTGAGCGTTAGATGCGGCCTGTAAAAACACCTTAGATGGTGGCTCACACAAAATTGGCTCTAAAATATGGCAGCTGGTTTTATTTTTTTAGTTATTCAATAGTAGGATACAAACATCGCATAGCAACGAGTAATGTGATTATTTGTGCTGGCATCAGGCTTGGTGAATTTATAGCATGATATAGATAGATACAGGCCTTCTTATCTGAAAGCGTAATATTGGAGACAGGCATATGTGGTGGTCATAGACAGTGGTATATTATTTCATTTACTTTTCAGCAATTCCTTGAGGTCAGTACTTTGTTGTCTCCATTTTGTAGAGAAGAAAATTGGGCCGTAGGGAGGTCAAATAACTGGCCAGAGGTCACACACTCAGTGGAAGACTCAGAGTCTGAACCCTGGTCAGCCTGACGTTAGAGCCCTCCGATGGGTTCAGCCACTGGGCTATATCTGCCTCTTTGTCATTCTTTCACAACAGGGAGGGAAAGACATCTTATTCCTTTAATTCTTTAACACTTTCTTATTCCTGTAATTCTTTAACAAGACTGGGAAAGACATCTTATTCCAGGTGAGCAGAGGTGTGGGCTGCTTGGGCTGTTTCTTTTCTCTGATGAGGTCTTGTGAAGACGGCAGAAAGCCAAGCAAGTGTCAGACAAGGTGTGTAAAGCTCTTTGGCAGCTCTGTGATTGGAGGGAACCCAGGAACAGAAAAGTTTAAGGAAGTCAGAGATAGAGATGTTAGTAAATGTAATAAAATCACTTGGCTGTGGAAGGTCATTTTTTTCTTTTAATTCTAGATTTTTTTTTTCATTTTTAAACTGCCCTCCACCCTAAATAGCTTGTGATTGTTATATTCCCTTAAAATTTTCAAATATTATTTACAAGAGAGCTGTTTTACAGGAGAGCTGTTTTCTCCATATAGCTGATGTACAGACAGCACAGCCCTCTTCAGATTTAGTAATGAGACCAAGAAGTCTTTAAATATTGGTGAATGGCATTTGTCCATTTGAGGTGAATCATGAATAACTTGAACAAAAATAAAAAAAATAAGCAAGACTATCATATTTGAATAATGAGGTGCTCTTTTTTTCCCAACTGCCAAAACTTTTTAATCTTTGTCAACGATTGTTCTGTCCTCCGTCTTATTTAGGTTGCATCTGTGCGACTCTGAGCTCAGGAGCCCTGACAAGCGGCATATGAATTCTGTATTCATTAGTGATCTTGATCCAAATGCCTCTGTCCCTGCCACGGGGGCTCAGGTGTGGAAGCTGCTGGCTAATCCCACCAGCTGACATTCAGAGGTTTAATGACTCCATAGGAAGGTGACCACTCGCTGGGAGGTTTGCTGGCGGAACCCACACAGCAGACAGTGGAGATCAAGGAAGACTATCCGTGTTTAGCCGAAGCACCTTCCTGTGCAACTTGAACCCTGTTGGCATCAAACACAGAGTTTTAAGTAAATGCAAAATTAAACCAAAAAAACCTCGACCTTCGATAACTATTATAAACAATGATTTTCTTATCTGTTTTGATGGTGTTTCAGGCTGTTTTTCTTATGGCGCTTTAATAGGTGTCAGCTTAATGAGCTGAACTTGACTCACTTCTCCAGATTTTTAGGTTTTAAGGTTATATTTGGTTGTTACATCTGTTTCGGTATCTCGTTTGTCTGGGGGGAAAAATGTGTATTTAGACCCCAAATTATTTTCTCATTAAATGCTTTTAAGGATTTATGCTAGGCCAGGCGCCGTGGCTCATGCCTGTAATCCCAGCATGCTGGGAGGCCAAGACGGGCGGATCGGTTGAGTTCAGGAGTTTGAGACCAGCCTGGGCAACATGACGAAACCCTGTCTCTACAAAAAAAACAGAAAAAATTAGCCGGGTATGGTGGTACATCCCTGTAGTCTCAGCTACTCAGGAGGCTGAGGCGAGAGAGGATCGCTTGAGCCAGGGCAGTCAAGGCTGCAGTGAGTTGTGCCATTGCACTTCAGCCTGGGGCGACAGAGTGAGACCCTGTCTCAGAAAGAAAAAAAGGATAAGGATTTATGCTGGTATTTTTGTTTATTGTGATCCATAGCTTTTTTTTTTTCTTTTGAGATGGAGTCTCACTCTGTTGGCCTACAACCTCCACTTCCTGGGTTCAAGTGATTCTCCTGGCTCAGCCTCCTAAGTAGCTGGGATTACAGGTGTGCGCCACCATGCCCGGCTGATTTTTGTATTTTTAGTAGAGATGGTGTTTCGCCATATTGGCCAGGCTGGTCTCGAACTCCTGACTTCAGGTGATCTGCCGCCTCAGCCTCCTAAAGTGCTGGGATTACGGGCATGAGCCACCGTGCCTGGCCAATCCCTAGCTTTTATTTATTTATTTATATTTTTTAGAGATGGGATCTTGCTGTGTTGCTAAGACTGGAGTGCAGTGGCACACTTAAAACTCACTGTAGCCTTGAATGCCTGGGTTCAAGGGATCCTCCTGCCTGAGCCTCCCAAGTAGCTGGAATACAGGAGGGTGCTACCGTGCTCAGCTAATTAAAAAAAAATTTTTAGATAAGCGGTCTCACTATGCTGTCCAGGCTAGTCTTGAACTCCTGGCCTCCAGTGATCTGACTGTCTCAGCCTCCTCAGTAGCTGAAATTACAGGCACAAGCCATGGTACTGGTGTCTTAGCTTTAAAAAAAATTAATATTAAAGTGTGAGTTTATTGATTGACTTGTAACTAATCAGATGTTTTGACTACTTTTTTAGGTCTACTGTTCTAAAAGTGTGGGATACCTAGTTCTATTACTATGTAATAACAGCTTCATTGATAATTCACACCTATGCAGTTCACCTGTTCTAACTGTGTAGTTCAGTGGTTTTTAGTGTATTCACAGAGATGTACAGCTATTACCACAGTCAATCTTAGGACATTTCCAGCACCTTAAAAAAATAATAACTCCATTCTTATTGGCCATCACTCCCCATTTTCCCCCAACCTTCCCAGCCCTGGGCAATAACTAATCCACTATCTCTGTACACTTGCCTATTCTGGACATTTCATGTAAATGTAATCATATAATATGTGGTCTTTTGTGCCTAGCTTCTTTCACTTTGTGTAATATTTCACCCGTGTTGTAGCATATATCAGTATTTTATTTCTTTTTGATGGTCAAATAGTATTCTGTTGTATGGACATACCACATTTTACTTATTCATTAGTTGGACATTTGGATTGTTTTCACTATTTGACTATATTTATAATGCTGCTGTGAGCATTGGTGTACAAGTTTTTGTATGGACATATGTTATGATTTCTCTTGGGAAGAGAAATTCTAGGAGCAAGATTGCCAGGTCATATAGTTACTCTATGTTTAACCTTTTGTGGAACTACCAGAGTTTTCCAAAGCGTCTGTGCCACTAGCAGTGTGTGAAGGTTTCGATTTCTATATGTCCTCCTTTCCATATATCCTTCCATATATCCTCTATCCTTGATTGTCACCAAGACTTATCATCCTTTGGATTGTAGTCATCCTGGTGGGTGTGTGTGACTTGGTATCTTATTGTGGTTTTGATGGATTTTTTGTTAAGAACTAGTGCAACTATGGAAACGTTTAGATGGGACAATTGAAACATTTGACGTGCTTCCTTTATACACTGGATTTGTGCCGTAATTGGGTTGATGATTGTACATTTGTTTAAATATTGAAAGGGCCTTTTCAGAGGCTCCCCCTGAGGCTATTTCTGTCATTTGCTTTTGGTCGTAATTCCTGCTTATTGGCTTTCCTTAAGACCTGAAGCATTAGACATAATAAATTGTCTTTATTATTGGATCAAAAGATGTATCAGTTTTCCCCAATAATTTTCTCTCTGGCTTTATTTAGCATAAAACGTTAGGTTTTAGAGATGTCTGAACCCTAACATACAATCCCTGGGGTCCTGTATGGAATTATTCTAAGTAGTGATTTCTAATAGTGCTATTAACCAGTTAATTTTAGAAGTGAACAGTTACTGAAGTTGGCATTTATGGTTCAGTGGGTGATTCGGAAAATCACCCATTATGTCTTTAGAATAGATGATGATGAGAAACTCTGTTGAAGGTGAAAGGTTCCCACCAGCACCAGATATTTTGAGTTGTCCCCCTTTTAAGAAGTGAGCTTGCTCTGTGCATTGGAGACCACTGGTGGCCAGCTTTGGAGAGGTAGGAAGGGACTTCTTGAGTTAAGGCTGCCCTCTTCAGTCTTCTTGCTTTTTGAATTTTGTGGCATCTTACAGAGCAGATATAAATTTTATGCGGTCTTTCACCTGATTCAAGAGCAGGACTTTGCTTCCTACCATACAGGGTTTGGAATTTTAGAAGTAATTGCTTCTTTCTTTCTTGATTCTCTAGGATTCGTTAGTCTTCCTGGACTTAGAAGTGGCCACTGAATGTGTATTCTTCTGTTCAAGTCTGTGTCTTCCTCATCTCTCTATCTTTAGAACCCCAGTTAATGGTGGTGGCTGGTCCTCATTTCTACCCTTGCCATTGCATTCTGCCTTTATTAAAAGTCAAAGTTGAAAGTGGCATATTTTGGGGAAGGGTTGAAGGAAATTTTAGAAAGTGTGACTTACTCCCATTTAATTTCAGGAAATAAAAGGGGGTTAGATGGAAGGAAACAGAGAAGGAAAGGCATAGTTTACCAAAAATCTCCGTAAGCTTGGAATGGATCCTTCTTGGGGCCAGGTCTCTGGAATTCAAGAATCAACAAATCTTAGGAAAGTGACTATATACATTTTGAAGGTCTCTATTTCCAGTTCTTAGAGGAGTAATGAAAGGATATCAACAAATGGTATATTGGCTTTGTTATTGACTTTGTTGATTTTTCTCCCAAAAATATTTCTGAAAATTCTGTCATGTCTTCTGCCCTGCTGTGTAAACACCCAATTTCATATTCTCATATAACCAGTATGTCATCAGCAGAATGTCATCAGGTTCCAAGTGATTACCAGCTGTTAGGCTTGGTGCTGTAATGCAGAGGCAGTACTGAGAGAGGCTGTTGTGTATGGTGGTGGGAATTCCTTGTGCAGCTATTGGCAAAGTAGATAGAAAAGAAGGGATAGGTATTCTATTGTAGTTGATAGGTAATTATTTATGATGCATTTCTTTGGAGCAGGTGTTCCATTTGTAATATGCAATGTTTTTGCTTTACATATTTCCTAGAACAAAAGCAGTGTTTTTGTAAAAAGCAATGTTTTTGCTTTACATATTTCCTAGAACTGAAATGTAGGGGGACATACACCATATAGGAGAAATATTTCACGAAGTATGTTGTCTGCTGGCACCTGTGGCAAAAGTCCAGCAAGCAAAAAACTTCTGGTCTTGTGACCAGAGACGAATCAGAGAGAGAGGTGAGAGCTAGATTCAGAGATAGTGTTGAATTCGTAAGTGTTTGGAGACTTTTAACTGTATAGGTGGAATTGAAAGGAAGATATTGCTAATGAAATGTTCTGTGTCGTGATATCAAAGAGAAAATGGGACTTCACCGCTCTCTTCAAATTGAATTGCCTTTGCTAACTTGGGTCTCAGGTACATAATAAGCACTAAAAATCCTTCCTTTATCTAGGTTGTCTTTTTTCGGTTACTTGAGCCAAGCCAAGATTTAGAATGGGAAGATTTTCATTGGGAAAAGAAATAAAAGATACTCTTTTGTTATTCACTGACTTTATTTCATTTTAGAATTCTATTTGGTAAAAATTTGGAATCATAACCACTTATTGAACAGTGGCTTTCAGGGGGAGAGGAGGAAACCAGCACGAATTTCACCATCAAAAGTGAGGCTCTGTTAGAAATCCAAGAGGTCGTCTGTGGTTAGAGTTTCGCAAGCTCTTGGAACAATGGATTTCCACTTTCTTGTATATGGGTTAAAGAAATACAAGAAATGAAATATAGGACCGAGTGTTACTGGTTTGTAGCTTAGAATCTTATAAGTTTTGCCTTGGCAGGTAATTTGGCATAAATTGTTAATGTAAATCTGGTTTAGTGGTGAAGACATTATTTTAGTAAAAAAGATAAACTGCTGATTAATTCAGCATAGAACTCAATTACAAATTGAAAGTGTCTCTGCGGGACTCCCGGACCCTAAAGACAGCAGATGTTGAATTGATAATCCAGCATATTTCACAGCGGTATGAAATATTCACATGGTTTATTGTACTTGTGTGGTGTGCGATATCAGAAAGGGGGGTGGTGGGTTCATGGGTGTGCAAGACAGTCACACACTGCACATTTGCTAATATACACGGAAGCATGATGAAGAATTTTAGCAAAGATTTTTCTTCTTTTTATTAGCTCTGTGGAAAATTAAGTTTAAAATAATATTTGGGGCCAAATATTTAAATGTAGTACCTGTGTAGGTTTGCATGATATATGTAAATTAACCTAAACTATAAAATGGTAAACCTTCTAATGCAGGGCATTTAGGTGTTAATTGAGACCACTGCCTACAAGAATTGGGGGGCGTGAGGGCTTGGACCGTATTTCACTGAGTTAATTGTCAGCTTTCACAGGCTGGAAGGTTTTAAATTGCTACTGTACTGTTTTTACCTTGTGATCTAAAGCATATGGTAATTTAAAAATGCCCCTGTATTTTACACAGGCAGGCAGAGAAGTTTTGTTTCTAGCCAAGAAAAAAAAAGCTTTGCAGTTTTTATGTATCTATATCAACTCAAGGGGGGAAAGTCAGCAAATTTTATATATCGGAAGATCTGAATAAACGGAACTGCCAATATTTGAAGGGACTGGCGATTCTTAAGAGGGATGAGAATAAAGTTGGCTTGGATGAGATATTTCAAAGCCATTACTACCTTTATGACAGGTTTTTTTTTTTTCCATGACAGCCTATATCAAGTGTAGGTTTTGCTAGCTGAAGTAAAAACAGTTCTAAAAATAGCCAAATGATTATGGTCGGAACAAATATACCCTGGATACCTTCTGCTATTGTGAAAGCTTTAAAAAAAAAAAAAAAAGGTGCTCTTTCTCAAAAACTCCTAAGGCACATCAAAACTGGCAAAGGCAGAGTGTAATAGGGGAAGTTTCTTGGCATCTGCGCCACCAGAAGAGATCTGTGTTGCCACTGGAGTTGCCATTAAGCCCTCTGTAAACTGTTGATAGACGGTGGTCCTTCAGACATGTGAAGGGTGGGCTTGCATGCCATTCACCTTGAGTTTTGTTGATCAGGCCTGTGCCTGGTTTTAAGACATGGTCCCTTTCTTAGTGACTTTACAACCTAGAGAGGGGTGCACAGGCCCACAAGCAGGGACTATGTCATGAAAAGTCGAGAACGGTACCCATACAGTGGGCAGTAGGGGTACGGCGGAAGAGGAGCCGATGGACTCTATCTGGGAGACTATAAAGCCACCTCAAATTGCATGTGACTCCTCACATGAATTGTTTTTGGTCTTGGGGTGTGAGGAAAGGTGGGACAGGGAGGCAGAAGAGAAGGAGACCATTCCGGACAGGAATGTTAAGTCCAGAGGCACGGGGGCCCCTGCTCTGCCTCTCAGTCGTGCAGTCCTGGAAGTTGGGACAGCTGGGAAGGGAAATGGCAGACAGTGTCTAAAGTTGTCTGGGCGGTCATTTCCCGAGTCAGTGTGGCCTTTTAATTAGCATCCGCTCTTCAATGTGAGATAAGGCCGGAGCTTAGCATCCCTGTCCCTGCATGTGAATATTTAGTTTAGAAAGCTGCCACGTTCCATTAGAGGTGCTTGTGTTGCAGCAGTGGGTGCAGGAGCTGTGTAGACTTTTCAGATGTCCTTTGAGATTTATGTTGCAGTGTAATTGGGAGATGCTGGTACTTAGTGTGTTGTGCATGGCGGAATGTGAGATTACCTGCTGTAATGAGACCCCAGCAGCATACCTCAGGAAGGTAGTTAAAGTTTTAACCTTAACAGATAATGTTACTTGTGGGTGTCTGTTAGGTAATTTATACTACCCTCCCCTCACCCTGAAATTGTGCAGAAACCAAGAAATGATAGGAAGTTGTACTAAATAGATATTTTAAAATTCCACCTAGTGGTACAGATTTTTAAAAATATTTGCAGTGAATATTTTATCTGTAGAATGTGGTCATTCTCGCCGTCATTGTCACCCTGTCATGTTAGAATGTAGTTTTTCTAGAATCAGAACCTTGGTGATAACAGAATATTAAAAAGACATAAAGACTCATTAACTTTGGTTCCTTGACAAATACACTGGCTTTTAACTCAGCTGAATGGAATTAGGGGATAGAGCGGTAAGAATGGGCTGGGTGGAGTGTGCACACGTGGGCTCTGAAGAGGCCTGGGTTGGAAGATTGATTTTTGCCTCTTGTGTAACCCCTGTAGCCCCAGTTTGTAAGATGTAAAACTCACTCTCATGAAATGGCCTGAAGTTGGTACTTGAAGGGATCATTACGAGGACAGTGTTTGTAAAATGCTTATCAGGTATAACAAGAGTTTACTCTCTGAGTCTCTGACTACCTCTTGTCCTGAAACTTTCAAAGAAAATTAAATTGCTTTTGATTTCTTGGTCAGTTTCAGTTAAGATTTACAATCAACAAATGGCCAGATGGGAAAATTAAATGATATCTTTTTGATTGACATACGGGGTGGCCGAAAATAATTTGACTGATTCTGTTTGCTGAGAGGTTTTATTACATGTATTTTAGGGAAATGTCAATGTTTGGATGTAGTTTTGATGCAGTGAATTTGATAGCTCTTTGCCGTGGGATTCGATGACTAGATTCTGTAGTAGAGGAATTCATCAGGATGTGTTTAATTTTACCAAATGTAACAAGCCAGATGAGTGTTGGAATGTTAGGGTAGCATAATTTAAGCAATATATTTGCAACTGTGAAATAATTTTAGAGGTAAAGTACTTTAAAAAGAGAAACCCGCAAGTGATTTATAAATTAAATTTACTTAAAGACTTGATGGTATCATTTGTATTTTTGGAGACTGGAGGTTTTGTTTTCTTGGGTGGAAAAAACCAAATCACCTTAAAGCGTTGTTTGGGTAAATGTGTGGAATTGGGTACTTGGCACAGAGCCTGCACACAGTAAGTCTGCCTTCTTTTTCTGTGTCTTTTTAGAATATAATTTTTGGTGAAAGAGAATAAATGAAAATGTGGTACTTACACTTCTCACCGAAATGGCGGTAATTCTACATGGAAGATGTGCATATGAACAAAGATTTTATGGCAATATGTTGAATTTCATTTGCAGTATGATGGCCGCTGTCATAATTGATTTGCTTTTAAATGGGGGTTGAGAAAAAGAAGTACTAAGTTCGTATCAGTTGCCTATCACATTGGTAGCCCTGAAGCCTTTTGCCTTGGTAATCGTGTTTGTGAGTGTTGGAGATGGGTAGGATCAGGTGAAGTTAGCATTCATTGTGGATTTCCTGCACTGCAGGCACCGTGGCCCAGCATCTCCTGTGCATGACACTTCGTATCATCCTCATGACCATCCTGGTGCTTGGGGGTTTTAGGTCCTCCTTTGCAGATGGGGAAATTGGAACTTAAAAATGTGGAGTGACTTTTATCACTGAGGTCACACCGCTGGTAAGTAACAGGACTAGATTCATATCTTTATTCTGTCAAATTCTTTGCCTCTGTCAAGCATTGCCTCCCCCGCCCCCCATGACCACAGTCAATATAGTGACTATATTCATCAGTTCCAGAGCCCTGAAGCTTCCTTATGCCTTTTTGAGACCCCCTCCTCCCACCTAAGTAACAGAGAGTTTATCCGAATGCTGTGTATGCCTGGAGGTCTCATGGAGAAGTATCTGCGTTAGCTCCTCCTGGTGCAGTGGGGGGAAATAGAATCATTTCTATTTGGGTGGGTTGATGAGAAGTCAGCCATTGTCTTCTCATCAACCACCAGAAAAATAATTGCCAAGAAGTTATGAAAGGCCTTTGTGTAAAGGCTGTGTTTGTTCAGAGGGGTGGTCAGCACCTATGACTGAGGCTAGAAGTCCAGGTGGCACCCTCCACATCTTTCCATCCTGCACTTTCACCTGGCTGCTGCTTCCTCCTCACCCACATCTGCTCTGCTGCTGATCCTCCTCCCTGGCCCTGCTGCCCCGCCACCATCTCTCATTGAGAATATTATCATCAACTCCTCTCTGGTCTCCTGCCTTTGGCATTTCCTCCCCCACGGCTTCCCTGTCGTAGTTTCAAAAAGCACAAGTCGAACTATAGTTATGTGTTGCTTAACGACAGGGACACATTCTGAGAAATGCATCCTTAGGTGATTTTGTCATCACGTGAATGTCATAGGATGTACTTACACAAACCTAGATGGTCTGGCCTTCTGCACACCTATACACTATGGTGCAACCTGTTGCTCCTGGGCTGCAAGCCTGTACAGCATGTTAACTGCGCTGAATACTGTCAGCAGCTGTAACACAGCAGTAAGTATTTGTGTATCTAAACATATAAATGGAGAAAAGGTACTGTAAATGTATAGTATGAGATAAAAAATGGTGTATCTGTCTAGGGCACTTACCATGAATGGATCTTGCAAAACTAGAAATTGCTCTGGGTGAGTCAGTGAGTGGGTGGTGAGTGAAGGTGAAGGCCTAGGGTGTTACTGTACACTACTGTAGACTTTATCAACACTGGACACTTAGGCTACACTAAATTTACACACAGAAAAATTTCGGTAATTACCGTAACCTTTTTACTTGTTTGTAAATTTTAAAAACTTTTGGACCCTTATAACGCTTAACTTAAAACACAAGCACATTGTACAGCTGTACAAAATATTTTTCTTTATATCCTTAGTCTATAAGCTCTTTTGTTATAGACTTTGTTTTTTGAGACAGAGTCTTGCCCAGGTTGGAGTGCAGGACATGATCTCAGCTCATTGCAACCTCCACCTCCAGGTTCAAGCGATTCTCCTGCCTCAGCAGCTGGGACAGCAGGCTCGCATCACCACGCCCAGCTAATTTTTGTATTTTTAGTAGAGATGGGGTTTCACCATGTTGGCCAGGCTGGTCTCAAACTCTTGACCTCAGGTGATGCTCCTGCTTTGGCCTCCCAAAGTGCTGGGATTACAGGCATGCACCATCATGCCTGGCCTATAAGCTTTTCTCTATTAAAAAAATTTTTTTTTAATTTTTTTACCTTTTAGATGTTTTGTTAAAAACTAAGGCACAAACACACACACATTGGTGTAGACCTTTGCAGGGCCAGGGCCATCAGTATCACCGTCTTTTGCGTCCACATCTTACCTCACTGGAAGGTAGAAAGTGATAGTAATCTCTCTCTCTTTCTCTCCTTTCTCTCTCGTTTTTTGAGACAAGGTTTTGCTCTGTCTCTCAGGCTGGAGTGCGGTGGCACGATCACAGCTCACTGCAACCTGAACCTCCCAGGCTCAAGTAATCCTCCTGCCTCAGCCTCCCAAGTAGCTGAGACTACAGGTGCACATCACCACACCTGGCTAATTTCTTTTATTTTATAGAGACAAGGTCTCACTATGTTGCCCAGGCTGGTCTCGAGCTTCTGAGCTCAGGACTCCCAGCGTTACAGGGTCACAGGTGTGAGCCACTATAGCCAGCCTGGAGGAGTTTTTTTAGCTTCATGATAATTTTATGGGACCACTGTTGTATATGCAGTCCGTTGTTGTCCAAAATGTTACGTGGTACATGACTGTACATCATTTTCCAGGTAGAAATTTTTGTGTCTTCCTGCTGCTTAGCATAAAGGGTGGGCTGTCTGTATAGCCTGTGAGGTTCTCTGGCAATCAGCCACACTGAACTACCTACTCGACCACACCTTTCTCCTTCCCATGTTCATGGCTCTCTTCCTGCCTACACGTCTGCCCTTTGACTTGGCTACCTTTCACTTGTATTACAAGACCCTGCCCAGTCTCCATCACCTGCACCCCACGAGACCCGTGTCCATCTGTGGCTCCTTTGTCAGGCCTGTCTCTAGCTAGCTCTTACCTCATTGTAATGAGATTATCTCCTTGTTTCCCCTTCTGGGCTCCACAATTCTCATGGGCAGGCTCTGTGTTCAGGCCTGTCTCCATTGTTCAGCACAGCGTGTGCGGTGTGTTCATAGCAGGCCGCTCGTGATGCTTGCTGAGCTAAGCTAACCTGGCCGTTTTGCAGGAGTTTTGCATCATTTGAAATTTGCCTCATTTTGGCCATCTTTAAACTTCCTAGAACAAGAGCACTCTGTACTTCCTTGGATCTCCTTCTGGTTCTGCCTGGGCCTTGTCAGGCTGTGGAAGAAGGATCATGTCATATAACACAGTGCCTGTGATAGCCTTCCCACATGTGCCCAGCATCTAGCAGTGGTTTTGTCCTATCCAGATGTTGGAGGTGGGAACGCGGCTCTTCTGCTGGTCTCAGACCCTGATTTCAGTCTCTGCTTCTGACAGGACTGGATTTCTGTCATTGCTTACTCTCCTTATCCTGAGAAATTCTAGTGCTGGCTGCTGCTTTGTTGTGACCCATGAAACAGATTCACTTCATTTCTCTGTGTTTTCAGGTGATAGCCCTTTCCGTGGCTCCAGGAGTTTATTGCCAGAGTTATCACGGGCCGCGTTGTTTTTGCAGAGAGAGAGAAATGTGATGAGGATCTTATTAGTATCTGCCACAGCCTGGTTTTCGTTTTGAGGATTGTTGAGCATATTTCTCACTTTTCTTTAAACCCAGGCTTTCTTTTTTTTTTTTTTTTTCTCTGATTACATTTGATTCAGTGTAGCCTTGGAAATATATATTTGTATACACATATGCTGTGAACATTGATTTCTTCTCCTTGTGGAAAGCAATATGTTCTTGTCTCTTTTGGTTCTTTTCCCTCTGGAAGCTTAGGTATTTTTCCTTCCATTCACTGTCACGGATTCCAGCAAAACCACTTGCCCGCCACAGATTTTCCTAATGGTGGGATAGGAAGACAGGCTTTGGTGGTGCCAGGCACTAATCTGGCATGCATCCCCGACTCTCCTGCTTGTACACAGCCTTGTGCCTTTGAGTGCATCAGCCAACCTTTCTGAGAGCCCCAGTTTCCTCATCTGTACCAGCAGTTGGGAATTCAATAAATAACGCAAGTGTTTGGCTCAGACCCGGGGGTGTGGCAGGTGCCTGGTGTTAGTTCTCTCATACCCTTGCCTGTTTTCTTCGACCCTAGGACGTGCTAACCGTCCTGTTTGTGAAATTGCTGTGTTGGGGTCATTTCTCTCATTTTATTCCTTGGACAGAGGCATTATTCTCATACTTACGAAGGGCACTCTTTGGCTCAGAGAGTGACCCGCTGTCCAGGGCTGTCCTCATTCTGGGCTACCCTTTTCCAGCCCATTGTGGCCGTGCAGCCGCTGACATCTCTTCCTGGCTGCGAGTTCTGACAGGCATCACTCAGTGACCTAGGACAGACCTGGCTGGCAATTTCGTGAACATGAGCACCCCTTCCCATTCCCACTTAAAACCCCTAAAACTCCTGCACGCACAGCAAGTTTTTCCTTTATTATTTGTGTCACCCAGATCCTGGTACCAAAAAAAAAGCTATCAAGGAAAGAAATGGCAACACCAGCTAGGCGTTAAAGATGCAGTCACTGGCTCACTCCCGGCTCTAAGCGTGCCCAGCACCAGCTGCAGCTCGGCTCTGCTGAATTCCTAGGTGTTCACACAGGCAGGCGTATTCACCCAGAAAGCTCAGGCCAAACTCCAAACTCTAGACACCTTTGCTCTTGTCACACAGCCCAGTCCGGAAAAAAAAAGTTTTCTACCGTAAAATATGTGGCTATACATGGGATACGTCAAGTCTGTGACTCAGTGCAGGGAGCATGCTGCTTTCGCGGAGACCGTTTCAAACACTTTTTTGAGCTCTTTCAATTGTATTCAACCATCAACCATTAATGAGTCTTCAGGCCACATCAGTGGCAGAGTCAGAGCCTTAGCCTGTCAGCAGGCCCCCAACAAACACATCGTGTTCAGACCTCCTCCTCTCAAGCGCTTGTCTTTGAATGGTCTCCAGTTGGGACTGGTGCAGTTTGGGAATTGCCCCATTTGGTAGGGGTCTCTCTCATGATTTCAGAGTCTTTGAGTTTGGCAGAGCCATGCATGCATTTGAAGTGAACGTTTCGTTTTTTCATTTGTTGACCTACATGCCAAGCACCAGGCTAGTTCCCTGGGATACAAAG
Source organism: Homo sapiens (assembly GCF_000001405.40). Taxonomy (NCBI): domain Eukaryota; kingdom Metazoa; phylum Chordata; class Mammalia; order Primates; family Hominidae; genus Homo; species Homo sapiens. The sequence goes on along the minus strand of NC_000009.12, from coordinate 124,363,063 downwards.
ATGGAGAAGGTGTAGGGCGGACCCCTGATGTTCAGAATTTTCATCCTCTCTCTTTAGAGTCCAAATTCTCATCACACCCAGACTTTTATCTGTTCTGCTCTAGATCATCAGAGGAATGGAATTTTTTGCTATTTCAAATCAAAGTGACAAAAGATAATGAAGATTTTCCAAGCTGCATTTGGATTGCCTTCTTTTTAAAAAATTAATTATTTGGCTTGGCAATAAAAACTGTATATACTTACCATATGCAAATGATGTTTTGAAATTTGTGTACATTGTGGAATGGCAAAGTCAAGCTAATATATTAACATGCATTACCTCAAATTTTTTTTTTGTGGTGAGAACACTTAAATCTTAGCTGTTTTTCAAGAATACAATACATTGTTATTAACTATAACCAGTATGTTGTACAATATATCTCTTGAACTTACTCCTTCTAACTGAGATGTTGTATCCTTTGGCCAGCATCTCCCCAACCCTCCCCTGCCTCACTTCTTACGAGTTAAATCCTTAGTGGTTAATGAAGGAGCAAATGGTTGTGAACTAATGGAACTAAATATAGATTCAGAAAGACACAGGGAAATGGATGAAAGTTGTGAGGATTCCGCCGTGATGCCATCCGCATTCTTGCTTCCCCCAGCAAAGGCAGGAGAGCTGCACCCCTTCCTCCTGGCATGGAGGTGGCGCAGAAGGCAAGGGACACTTGGGTGCTGCCTTGAAAACCCTTGGAGCTGGGGGAGCCCTGTTCCTCAGGAAAAAGGCTGAGTATCTCTTTGTTTTCTGCCCCCTAGGCCAGCTCTTCAGCTACATAAACAATATATTTGCCGGCAAATAACCAATTTTATTTCTTTTTAAATTATTTTAAAAATTTTAGTTACAAATCAGTTATGTCAAATGACTTGCCATATACATGAACTTTCACATTCCAAAGCTATGTATAAAATAGTCTGTTAGGTTTTCAGTCAAGTGCATATTTAATATTTTGCCTGCCTCCAGTGTAAGTAAAGCAGTGTTGAGATGCATAGCTGAACAGTCAAATGAAGAGGGTGTATTTAAAGAGTATTAATTTGATGCTGAACTGTCCAGAGTGCCCATTGGCTGGCACAGCTACATTTTTCTCTGGTGACATTCCCAATCTAAAAATCACTTAAGTGAGAAGAGAAATTCGATTGTAGCTGTAGACAAGAATAATGCGGAAAAAGTTTCTTGGCAGTACTATTTTGGACCTGCACTATAGTGGATGCCGAGGTAATCTATCAGTTTGTGAGTGTCTACAAAATGCAACTCTCTAGATAACAGGTTTAAAGTAAAGATTTAATACAGTCTCCATCTCCTATGATGTTGCAGTGACAGTTTAAAACTCATTCTCTAAATCTCAGCAGACTTTATAGCTAGCAGTGGGCCAATATAAAGTTTAATAGCATTACAACACATAAATCATCTTTTAAAGATGCTACTAGTAGCTCCAATATTAAATGCAGACAATCGCCCATGTTATAAATAATTTATCAAACACCATTTCAGATTTGCCTTCCATGCTGAGTTATTTATTTCAGCCTTTTCTGTATGATTCCTAAGGCACTTTTTGAAAGATCCATTACTGGTCAGTTTAATGAACTTGGGGGTCTGTTTTGTCCCCTCAAGCACTCGGGTACAGCTGTGGTGACCATTACGTGGCCGACGTGGACCTCTTTGTGCCTTTTACAAGTGCTGCCCATTTGTCATGTAGCGGTAAATGGAACTGCACATTGGAGTCCAGGGACACATTGTGCGATGCGGTGATGGAGACAAACAGATAGCTCTATAAAGTGCTGCTTGTCACAGCTGACTTGTAGTACAGTACATCACTCTTATTGTAATCTCATTTAAGAAGCAGGGGTGGCCCGGGGGACTGATATTCCCAGTTAGTTTGGTCTTTGTAGCCATAAAGCAAGAAGTGTTCCTTTTATATTTTCTGAACTTTAGGGAGTATGCTTTTTGCTTGGATTAATTATTATAGGAACTTCTCTGTGGCACTGTGTGAAGATTTGTCAGCAGGTTTCTTTGGCCCTCCTTGTCCTGGCCTGGGGTTTGGTATAGGCAGTTGCTGCTTAGAGATAAGTTGTGTTTTTAGGAGCCCTCTGGCTTGCTTTACTAAATAACTTACCATTTATTAAGCAGTAGCTATGTGCCAGAAACTATAGCAGGTGCTTTCTGTACCTTTATTTCTAATTTGTTAGTAATCTTATGAAGTTGGATTTATTATCATTATATTACAGAGCGGGAGAGTAAACTCAGAGAGGTGTAGTGACTTGTCCAGGGTTGCCCAGCAGTAAGTAGTAGACTGGGGATTCAAACCCATTCTGTCTGCCTCCATGTCTCCTTGAACCTGGGTTCCCCAGCTGGTGTTTAATCGTCAGGGTCATGGTGATCTTTTAGCTGAGCGTCTGAAAGCAAAAGGAAGCTGCTGTTGGCCTGGAGGGCCATTTTTTGGTAACGAGGGTAAGGCCTACTCGCCCATCGCCACACTGAGGTTCCCTTGTGACCTGCAACATAAATGCATAGGCAGCTGGCTGGGGGCAGATGCCTCCCTGGCTGTGGGAGAGAGCATCGCACCTGGGCCTGACCACCTGGGGTCATGGGCTCTGCAGAGCCCTTATCAAGGCCCCTCTGTAGCAGCTGTCCCCGGGCAGATGCTGCCCAGGCCCTAGGTCACTCTGCATCTTCCAGAAAAGGGAGGTGCAGTTTCCCTACGAAGAACTAATCCTAAAGGAAGAGACAGTGCTTCTTGCGCTTATTGTGGGCTGGAGACAGATACAAATGTGGTGTTTTCCCCACCTCTTGCCTTTAGTTTGTGGTTTTTCTTGATAGTTTTCTTAAATATTTGGTAGCACATGTTAAAGACAAAAGTTGTTTAATTGTGAAATTCCACTATAAAGAAAACACAGTATGAATATGCCCAGTAGCATATTTGCATACGTGTCTAGAATTCTGTGTATGGAAATACTGTAGTCAGAGACAGTATTCAGCATTGAAGCAGTTCCTGGAACATAGTAGGTCCCTATAGGTGTGTGTTAAAGACATTAACTGTGTAAGTAGTGGGTGGACAGTAGAGCCTTTGGTCATTTCCACGCTGTTTTGATTATGAGGGTTTGGGGTGTTAAGGGAGGGATATGTTAAATAAGACCTTAGATCTTAATATTGATCTGGTGTTGCATTGTAGAGATGTTGCCCTAACTTGGTTGAGAATGAAGAAGGCCCTTGAAGTGGTAGTCTTGGGTATTTTGGGAAACACTGCCCTCCAACCCCCAATGGGAGTGACCATCAGAGGAGCTGCTGGTTGGCCCAGAGAGAAACCGGCAAACACCATCCTCCTCCTCTTAAATTTACCCAGGTCTTAAGGCTCTTTGGTGGTGGGGCGTGAATGACACAGCCTTGAGTCAGGGACTAGCTGAGGAGCCCCCGGCCCAAGGAAGGTCACTTGCGAGTTGGTGTGGTGCTGCGGCCTTGTGGCTCTGGGGCCTGATGGGCCTGTTTTACTATTTTTTGTTTACCTGCTGTGTGACCTTGTGTAAGTCATTGACCGTCAGCCAGAGTTTCTGACCATACCAACATCAAAAGATGGTTGGGGGCAGGGGTGAACATGATGATCATCAAAGTGCCCAACTCAGGGCTTGGCACGTTAGAGTGCTGGTAGATGTTGATTGATTGATTGTTTTAGTGAGCATATAGGTGCTCCATAAATCTAAGTTTCATTCCATCTCCTAACATCTTCAGCCATGTGTATATGAGACATGGAGTGGGACTGGGGGGAAAAAAGTGAGAAACTTGAGATTTTCTTCCTTAAGGAATGATCTTCCCTAGAATTGGTGGGGAGGAAAGGAATTTAAAAGATGTATTTTCCCAATTTAAAAAAGCCTTTATTCATACTTAAATAACAGCATACATGATAATTTGATGAGTAAATCAAACTATATAATTTTAAAATTTGCATATTTTAAAGTTTTATCAGTTACTTACAGACTGTTTGCAAAATAGAGGGAGGATCACTCATAATCTTACATAGCACTGTCAGCAGTCTGCTGTCCTGTGCCCAGTCGAATGGATTGACACTAGATATGCATGTCTCATGTCATTCGTATATTTCCGTTTCCCCAAGTCTTCACCTGTCCCCATCTACCCAGATCATTTGGGAAATGTAAATGTGCAGTCCTAAGCGCTGCCCGCAGGGTCGCGATGTCTGCCAGGTACTGCTGGCTGGCTCTAGACACCAGCAGCAGTGATAAGAAACAAAGCAGAGGAGACAGTTAAATGGTAGAGAAGAGAAGGGGGAGCAGAGGTGGTAGGCCGGGAACAGGGGAATAAGTATGGTTCTCCCCGCACGTGCCCATGTGCGCACACACCGAAGGCCATTTAAAGGGAAGCGGTTAGGTATGAGGTTGTGTTTGCTGAATTAGTGGTTGGTTTTTGCTGTCTATCTAGATAGCAGCTGCTGCCAGCTCCTCGTCTAAGAGGCTTTCTTTGCTGCCACCTTCACTGGTTTGTGGAAAGCTTCTGGCCCCATAGACTGTTGAGAATTCCAGGAGAAAATTCCTAATTAGCGGATCCCGTTTGAATGCATTCTTACAGGACTGCATATGTACAAAAGAAGAATTGGCTTCATTGGCCCCACATAGATGTCACGTGAGAGTGAAAAAACCTGGGGTATAAATATCAAAGGAACCCCTATCTGCTGGTTTGCTGAGGAGCCCACTTCCAGCAGAACCTTCTCTGTCCTTCTGAGTCTGTAGAGGGCGCTTATGTCACTGGAATCCTAGTCTGGCATGGGGCAGGCAGAGGAGCAGGAGCCCCCAGTGGGTTCAGATCTTCTGAAAACTTGAGGTTAGCGGATCTGCCCTTTGAGGGTCTCAGGCTGGATTTGGGCCTGGAGTCCGTGTTTCTCCAAGGGTGTTGCTTGGGTGAGCGCTGGAGTGCACTTGCATGTGTATGTACTCTCACGCCCTCGTGGACTGGGAAGGCGCCGTAGCACAGGTTAGATTCCCTGCTTTCAGGGAGCCTGGTTCATTTTTGTCCTCGTTGTATATAGAGCTTGAACTTGGTGTTCCCCAGGTCCAGTACCACTGCCGTTGCTGCCTGCCTTCTGTTTCACTGCTGTTTTCTGAGTGCCTCGTGTGCAGCCTGTCCTTCAGCCCTCCCTGAAGCTCTGCTGACCAGCTGTGTTCCCAGCTCCTTTTCACGTGCTCTTTAGCCAGCCTTACCCTGCATTGTACTTACTTGGGTCAGGTGCCCCTGCTAGACTCTTAAGCCCCTAGGGGGCAGGGATCTGGGGGCGTCATCCACCTCTGCAGCCCTAGCTTCTGGTATAGCATGTGATAGGACATAGCATGTGATGGGGCTTCTCGGATAAGAAAGGGATGAGTCCATCTGTTCACCAGTAACTATTAGGGATGGGGATTTGTGTTTAAAGGTGGGGCAAAGGAGAGAGTGATTCAAAGTAATGGATTACTTCAGTGAACCTATAGGTTCCTTAGTAGGAGAGAGAGATTATTCTGGGCAAGAGGTCCCGCCCTTGGTCTGCCAGCATTTCCCCAGAACTACCGGCTTGTGTTTTGGTGTTAGTTTCTTCCTCCTACAGTGCTGACTTTCTCAAGTAACTTTCAGCTATTGTTGGACATTCTTGATCAGGGGATAGTTAGTAAACTGCAGTCAGTGGGCCAGATCTGGCCCACTGCCTGTTGCTAATAGAGTTTTATTGGAACACAGTTATACCCATTTTTTAATGTATTTGTGTGTGGCTGTTTTGTGCTAGCGTGACAGAGTTGAGTAGGTGTGGTAGAGACTTTTGGCCACAAAGCCTAAAATATTTACTACCTGGCCCTTTTAAAGATAAGTTACTAACCCTCTAGTAACTGTCAGCCCATCGTTTTGTGGTGATTGTCTGATGTGGTCAAGAGGCGGTGCATGCATAAAAAGTTTTAAAGGCCTGGGTCGGGAACTTTGGGTAAATAATCAAGGTACTTTGAGATCTTTTCCTCATCTGTGAGATGGGCATTAAAAACAACACCTGTCTCGCGGGAGGTCTTGCGCACTGCTAGTGGACGTACATTGCGGATGTCAGAGCAGGCCCTAGTTTGGCCGGGGACATTATTGCCGCCGTTCTGTTTCTCAGGAGGAGGAAGCCAAGAATCTGGTGAGCGAAGCCATCGCAGCTGGCATCTTCAACGACCTGGGCTCCGGAAGCAACATTGACCTCTGCGTCATCAGCAAGAACAAGCTGGATTTTCTCCGCCCATACACAGTGCCCAACAAGAAGGGGACCAGGTGAGTGAAGGAGACGAAGTTCTTCCTGGGTCCCCTGGCGTCGTGGCCACCCTTGGTATCTCCATGGCATCTGGATGGAGTTTTCCTGGTTCTTTCCACATTAAGTACATCCAGTGTTCCCAAATCAACCTCCCACACAGACCTTCGGCTTGTTACTTGCTTTATGACAGTGGGCTGCTGTCAGGTGTAGGAAAGTGATTTAATTTGATGGGAGAGGTGGAGGGTGGCCCAGGAAAGAGCCCTAGGCTGGGAGGTGGGGCCGGAGAGGTTTGGATCATCTGCTGTCCTTTCTCAAGTGTCTTAAAGAATCCCCTGATTTCTGGGAGAAGGTGCATTTTTCAGGGCAGCCCCAGCACTTTCCCTCAGAGTGCCCCGAGATTCCTAACTGGGTGTAAGTCAGCAATGCTAACAGCCTCCCAGAGGTGGCCTTGGGAGCTAGTGTGTGTGTGCTGTGCTACAGGGAGTTGTGCCATTGAGCCTGAGCCTACATGCCGAGTGGGCCCCTCGGCTCAGTGGTGCAGCGCAGACTCAGAGCAGTGGGAGAAGGTTCTAGTTGATTTGCTGAGCAGAACTGGGAGGTTTCCAAACCTGGTGGCTAGCATGTGTCAGAGGAGCAGCTCGTTTGCAGTGTCTCGTGATTGTCCGGCTGCTTGACCATCCTGTGGCTCCTGACCTCTTCTGGGAGCCCGGGCAGGTCAGGATGGGCTCCCTGAGTGCTGCTTCCAGCTGCAGCATCTGGGTGCAGCACAGGGCATTTATAAACTACGGCTCCCACTCAGCTCCACGGTAGCCCCGAGGAAGTGAGCACCACCTTCTGCAGGCTTGCTTCCATCTCCCACTGCACACACAACTCCACATCAGGAGTAATTCACAAGGAAGGAATGGAACGTTCAGAACCAGCAGGTATTCACTGTGGGCTGCACTCAACCTTGCGGAAGCTCAGTGGGCTCCTGATGGGGTGGGGCAGCACGGGGCCAGAGAACGCTGGCACTGGGGTTGGGGAGTGTTGGTGGCTGGCTTGGTGGCTTCCAGCAAATCAGTCTGTCTTGGAAATGGAGCTAAACCAGATGACCTCTAATGAGCCCACGAAGTCCCTCGGGCCTTTAGCAGGAAGGCAAGCCACCTTTCAGGCCCAGAGCTGTGTTGGGGAACCGGGCTTTGCCGAGCTCCAGGTAGGCAGGAGCCAAGTACTCCATGTAGCCTGCTTCGCTGGTTATTTTGCAAGATGCGTGATTTGAGCAAGTCCATGGTGAAGCGGTGATGGGGTAGGGAATGGTTACACCATTCAGGCTGGCCAGGGTCCTGGGCGAGGACTCTGAAAGCCACGTCTGGGCCAGTGAGAAGTGGTTGCCTAGGGAACCTGTGCTGAGCGCAGGAGTCCTCATCCACAGGGAGTGCAGCAGTGGCACATCCTACTTCCTGGGACATGGGCTGCTCCACTTGTAAACAGAGGCTCTAAACACCCAAGAACAAAAGAAAACCGCCTTGCGGCTGCTTGGGAAGAATCAGCAAGGCGACCCAGAAGCTGCTGGGCGTGTGGTGGGTGTGCAGTAACCTGCAGGGAGCCTGCTCCCCATCGGTGTCCTGGGGCCAAGGGCAGCAAGTGTCCAAGCTCCCTGGACTCTGTTGTCTTCTTTGCCAGTGACTGAAGATGGGGGCACTGCCTGAGTTAGGGGAGCCCTTCCCAGGGTGGATGCTAGGGTGCGGGCAGGGCGATAGGCCTGAGGAAGCATCCCGTGCCATGCGCCAGTGGGCCTTGCCTGGCAAGTCCCTGCTGCCTGTCTGCCCGCAGCCCTCCAGCACACGGTCTTGCAGTCCACTGGCACGTAAGGCGGAAGCTCTGAATGCATGCCGCAAAAATCGGGCACTGTCACCACAGTGGTGAGGAGGCTCTTGTGTGTCCAAGCCTCCCGGAGACACTGAGGGGTGGTTCAGAGGAGTCAGGCACACAGAGGCCACGTGGGACTTTGGCTCTAAGACTGCACGCTGCCACCAAGGTTCCAGCGTGTGAGGGATGAGGGGCATCCTCAAACTGATGGGGTGGGGACACATTGTTCAAAGGTACTTTTGCTTGGATTCTTTAAGAGGGTGGGGGTCGGGGGAGGCTTGGCAGCATAAAGGCAGGCCGCTCTGGGCTGACCGTGCTCCTGACCTGGATGCAGAACTGTGGAAGTTGCCCTCCTTGTTCTGCTTCCTGCTCCCTCTTTTAGCCCGTGTGTCCAGGGGAGAGGATGGGTGTTCCGGGAGCACAAGGCCATGGCACAGCCAGCAGCCTTCTGGCAGTTCCTGAAGGACAGCAAGTTTGACAGAGATATTACCCCAGCTGGGGCTAGAGCAGAGGAACAGTTGGTTGTGTGCTGCCATTTGACAGTATCCTAATTCCTGACCCACTGTGAGCATTAACAGCCCAAATACATATCTTCTAGACAGTCTGGTGCTCAAAGAAACCTCTGCCAGATTCACTCCAGGAAGAAGGTGTTGGGTGTGTCCTAGTGGGGACCCACTGTGTCCCTGAAAGGGACAGTTAACTTTTCTTGAGACTTGAGAGTGGTCTGAAATGACAAGCCCAGAGTCTGGCTGCACATTTTTTTTACACTGTTTATGCTTCCAGATGTTTGTGCAGTGTCTAAGGTAACAGTTAAGTCATTCTTGTTGCTGCACGGAAGAGCAATCATGCCCTTCTCTTGTGTAATGATGGGATTTGCTTCCTGCTGTCCCTGAACAGTATTGTAGGGAGGTTGAAGATTGATGTCAAGGGACCAAGTGCTTCCCAGCACTTGTGGGGATGGTGGGGTGGGGGGAGAGTCACGTGTCCACCAAGGGCCAGGTGCCGTGTTCACTAATGACACTCTTTGCCTCCCAGGCACCCCCATTTTGCAGCACTTGAGAACTGAGGAAGTTGAATCCCCCAAGATCACAGAGCTGGGATCGGGAGAGCCAAGATTCCAGTCCAGCCTGCTCACTGCGTTGCCTGAATATTTATTTTCACTGTCTTCTGCCCTCTGGCACCTTGAGGAGAATCCTAACTCTGTGCTTTTGTTTTTCTCTTACTAGGCTTGGCCGGTACAGGTGTGAGAAAGGGACTACTGCAGTCCTCACTGAGAAAATCACTCCTCTGGAGATTGAGGTGCTGGAAGAAACAGTCCAAACAATGGACACTTCCTGAATGGCATCAGTGGGTGGCTGGCCGCGGTTCTGGAAGGTGGTGAGCATTGAGGCCCAGTAAGACACTCATGTGGCTAGTGTTTGCCGAATGAAACTCAACTCAATAAAAAACAAAAACCAAATTGGGCAGCTGAGGTCTGGGCACTGTGTGGTGTTTTTGGGGGCAGTAGGGGGCTGCTAAGGCCATTGGCCTGGCCCTTCAGGGTGCTGATCCTCCTTGAGCACTGGCCTAGGCTCAGAGGAGAGCGTAGGAGCCATGCGCCCCTCCTGAGGACAGATAGGTTCTGTCTGCTGTCAGAAGTCAGAGTGGACTCCCTTGAGGCTTCAGGTGACCATCGATACCTACCCTTTTTGCTGGCTGAATTTGTTTGGGGTGGCCTCAGGTTTGGTTTGGTTTTGAAATGGGGTGATAAGTGCAGCACACCCTCCACCTCAGCAGCCAAGTAGGAAAAAAATGGCAAAGCCAAAGCTGTGTTCTCAAGCCCAGCTCAGTTCTGAGAACCAAGAGAAGGTGAGCAGGTGCACCGCCAGAGCTGTGTGAAGGTGGGTGGACCTCACTTTGGCCGGTTTCACAGAAATAAAAGGAATGTTTTGGGGTTACGGTTTTGTAATAAGTAGGACATGATCATTTCACAAACACTCAGGCCTGGTGAGTGGCTGAGATCGTGCGCCTCCAGAGGGTCCAGTTGGGCAGATTGTTCTCACAGTGTGGAAAGCGGGTGGCATGCACAAAGTAGGTTGATTGCGTGCTGGGGCTGGCAGTGTTGGGGAGACACGGCAGGGGCTCAGAGAGCTGGAAGCAGAATGTTGGCAAAAAGTTGGTCTGGAATCAGAAAAATCTTCAGTGGTAAGCACTAGGCAGGCGACAGGGACTTGATTGTTCTGTGGAGAGAACATTCCAGGGTGAATCTGCTCTCAGGCCAGCTCCTGTGTTACAGCTGCCAGGGGCAGGCTGGGGAGAACGATGGAATTACCTCATGAGGGCAGAAACTCGGCTGATGATGAGTTTCAAAATTATTTGGGGAGCTTAAAGAAATCCTGGGATTACTGAATGGGGCCTGGGAAGTTGTGTTTTTCAAGGTTCCTCAAGAAATTGTGCTGCAGACGCTGTTTAAGTTTTGAATCTACTGGTTTAAAAGCAAAATCTCCAAAGCCATTTTAAAATCTTCATGAATTCTAAGTAACTCCCAGTCACCCTGTTTTATTTCAACCATGGAGAAAAGTACAGAGGAAAGGCTGCATATGGAGAGACTGTCGGGCTGACGGTGTCACAGCAGATCCGAGTCCACGTGTGGAAACAGCAGCCGCCCGGCCCTGGGTGTTTCCTCCAGGAAAGGCCTGGTCAGTGAATGCCTGCAGGCAGCAGGTGTCAGGAATCACCTGCCCGATGCCAGCGCTGCTCTTGTCTGGAGGGCCAGACTGTCATGAAGTCAGTGACGACAGCTCAGACAATTGGAAGGTTAACTTTACGTACAAAAACAAAATTCAAATGATTTCCTTCAGAGGTGGAGTTTTCTTAGGTTCACATTTATAAATTAGTCTTCACAGTTAATCCTGTTTGGGAACAAGAAATAAGGAACACATTTCTGGTTTCCTACACATGATACAGGTGTACATTAATTCTCGACTTCCGTGGTCCATGGACTTCAGTTTGTGAAGGGTGAGTGGCTACCATTTTTGGATCATCTACTTTTTGTATTAGCTAACTTGCATATTTTATTTCAAATTCTGTCTGTCAGCAATCCTGAAGGTAGATGATAGGTACTATTAATCTCATTGTACAGATGAGGAAATGAAGGCTCAGAACGGCTAAGAAACTTGCCCAAGCCCAAAGTCACGCTAGGAAGTTGCAGAACCAGAATTTGTAAAGGACAGCCCTTCGCTTTTCTATATCCCATGCTTCCTTCCCATGGAGGAAAATGCTTAACACTGATCATGAAATGAACCGCCAGCATTCAAGGAGGTGACGAAGTTCCTGGTACACAGCAGGTGTCCAGGAGAAGATGGCCCAGCCTGGCTGCCAAGAAGATGCTCCTGCTTCCCGATGCCTTTTGCCTGTGACACTCTGGCCAGGTGCAGGGCTCTCATCGTCACTCACCAAGTTATAAAACGTAGATAAAAATGTTAGCAGAATCACCACTCCACGGAAAAAAATGATTTCCACTTTATCCCTTTACAACAGAGTAAATTAAGCACACAGCTTGATTGAAAAGATACTAAGAACTAAACTGAACCCGGTACTAACCATTTTCAAAGGCTCACTACACAAATCACACGGTCTCCTGCAAGTCTCCTGTTAGCATAAGCCTTGACAGGTCACTGGAGGAATTACCCTAAAGATTCACATTACAATCCAGATACAGGGGGCTGCCGTGGCTCGCTGAACCACCTGCCCTTATTGACCCAGCTGAGATTGTCCACAACAGTATAAAGAAAGGACTTTGGAATCTGACCATCAGTGACATGTGGCCAGCGCCCCTCCCTCAGCTGCTCTGCCTTCAGCATCTGCTGTAAGGCTGGGCAGCCTTTTGGGGAACCTGCTGAACCCTGTGGTCTTAGCTGTTCTAGGCTACCAGGTGGCCACTCGAAGAGAAGACGACTCAAGTAAGGCAAAGTGGTGCTGGCTTTGATAAGGCACGGTGCATCCACGCTCAGGTGCTGGACATCCAGATGTGCATCTGCTTGGCCACCTGGTGCACGTATCCGATGTCAGGTCTCTGGTGGGGGTCAGGGCAGATGCACATGCTGACCAGTTCTCGTAACTGCAGGGGAGAGAATGGTGTGTTATTCTCAAGAAAGCAGTCTTACTGAGGCTCCGCACTCCACAGTCTGTCTGCATGAAGGCACTTCATCCTCAGAGCAACTAGATGGTCCCGTTGTCCCCGTTAGAGCTGAAGAACGGTGTTTAGCTGGGGCAAGTAAGGGGTGCGCAGCCGCATGGCTCCCAAGGGCTAGCCAGTACCCCTCCCAGGCCTGTCTAGTCCCAAAGGCTGTGCTTTGAGACCCTAAGAATGGTTAACCTCCAAATTATTTTGAACTTGTAGCTGTCCACACCATTGGGCAAATTGTGTGTGTGTGTGTGTGTGTGTGTGTGTGTCTGCTGTCAGTCACGCAGATGCCCAAACCAGAGGACAAAACTCAAGGCAAGGGCTTATTGATCATAATAAACGCATTAACATGCAGCAGGGCTGCAGTCTGCCCACCCCCGGCCCCTTTATTGTGCTCATGAAAGACGGAGCTTTTAATTATACAGACACTGAAGGCTGCTCCCGCCCCGAGGTGGGGGAGGGGCGCCTTGCGCCTCTGATCGCCTCCATTCTTCTGATAGCCGGAGTGCCAATTATTTTAATGGTAATTAAAATAATGACCTTAAAATGCCTACATCTTACCCTGCATCACGGGCTCACAGCCATTGGTTTCCATTTAAATACCTGCTGCTGGAGGGGTGGTCAGCCCCGCAGGCCACAGCAGCCGAAGCAGCAGCAGCAGCAGGAAGCTGGGTGGTCCTGAACCAGAGGGGGCTCTGGTGGTCTCAGTGGCCACACTCACTCAGGGACTGGGAAGGGCCCACGGGACGTTCTGGAGGCCCGGGGGCTACTGCTGCGCAGGCCCGTTAGGCTGAGGGATGGGGCCTGGGCTTCCTGTAGACTAGGGCTCCTCTCAGCTGATGGGGCATTTTCTCCCTGGGCCACAGAGCCTTAGGGTATCCCCTCGCACCTGCGTGCATGCCTTACAACCGAGAAGCCCAGGTGACACAGGGCCTGCAGCCTGCTAGGCCACTCCCGGAGTCTGAAGTCGCCTGTGGACAAGACAGCTGTTTTCTGAACCTTACAATATTCGGGGGAAGGTACCTGTGGTTGGCCTCTGACAGGTTAAAATACCCAAGAAAACCAGATTCAGGTGAAGTGTCTGTGACCCGAACTAATTTATGAAGTAAACGCACAGTTGTCAATAAGTGCATGTTTGAAGTTTTCAGAATTCAAGAGAAAAATAATAAAAGTGTCTTATTTTCATTTCTAAGCAGCGATATAACTTTAAAATAGGGTGTGCTGGGGGCTCCTGAGCACCACCTCTCACTCCTAAGCATGGGGCCCGGCGAGAGCCAGTGCTCCGGGGAGTGGGGGCTCGTGGCCAGGAAAGGGCTGACTTGGGACAGGGGCTTCAATGTTCATTTCAGCCTCATCACTGAAGTAGAGAGGGCGACTCCCATTTCTAGACTGACAGCCAAAGCACAGAGTTGTCACCAGCTCCAGTTGCACAGCTTCAAGCTTCTGAATCATACACAAGTCCGAATTCAGAAGATGAGAAAGGAAAAAAGCAAATGGCAACTATTAACTTTGTAAAGAGATGCAACTTGTTTTTCCTCCCACTGGGGAGGAGAAATACTTCCTCCAAAAGTGCAGGTCAGAACTTGGGAGCCAGGAGAGGAAGGGCACTGTGCAGCGCCCGACACTCGAGCTCCTCTAGCCCTGGAGTCTGCAACGCCAGCAAGCACAGGCTCAGCACAGGTGCCCTGCGAGGAGCCTCCGGCCTGGACACAAGCGCAGCACCCAGGACCTGCCCTGTGCAGTTTGGCCGGGGCAAGGGCACTCCTTCCAGAGCCTCACCCCAGCTAATTGATGGGCCACCAAAGACATGCCATCAAGAAGCACGATGGCTCCGTGGCTGCGCATGTGGGTTCAGATCCTGCCTCACCGGTCTTTTTAACTTGCCTGTGTCTGTCTGTTCCTTATTGGTAAATGGGTGAGGGGAAGATTCAACTCAGGAAGTCTGAACATGAGCTGTTATTATCGTGAGGTGACGGCCTGTGGTCCTATGGGGTGGGCCCACGGAGGCCCCAGACTCACCCACTAGCGTTGACCTTGAACAGAAATAAGGGTCACATGATATTTAGTGAACACTGACTGAGCCAGGCCCCATCCATTGGCCACTTTGGATGGTGGTGGCAGTGTTAGCCTGGTGCCTTACCTTAATCCTTATGCTGATCCTGTGTGGAAGATTTAATATTATCCCCATTGTATAGGTGAGGAAACTGAGACTCAGGGAGGTTAGGTGACTCACCTAGGAACAGTGCAGAGAGTGTGTGAACATGTATCTACACTTTTGACCCTGCTGTGCCAGGAAACCTGTCCTTTCTTCCTCACCATTATCCACCAAGGAGATTATTAGTCCCATCTTCAAGGTGACGGAGCCGAGGAATAAGATATTCACACATTCCTAGTAACTGGTACAGCCCCATGCCAGACCCATGGGAGCTGTGTCCACGGCTCCCGCAGCCAGTGTAAAATGTTGACAGTAGAAGCCCAGGGTGTTAAGTCTGTTATATAAGGAGGAAACTGACCGGTCCTCCTGCCGTAGTTTCCTGTCATGGGAGCAGAGTGGCCACCACTGGTGGTATGGGGACGCCAGGCCTGCCACATCCTGCCCCTGTATCAGTTCCCATGTCTGGCACGGCACAGACCCTGTCCTGGGGACCTGCAGCAGAGGGCCTCCCACTGGAGCACCAAGTTGGGAGCTGAACAGGTGGAGATGTGCCAAGGGCCACGTGCCACTGGTTCCTACCTGGGGGTCCCACACTGGAGCTGCGTGGTGAAACCCCTTCTTCAGTGCAATCACCTACTTTCCCCTCTCCAAGTCACTTTTCCAGAAAGCTCCCTTTCTGCACCGTGTAAAGTGAGCCTAACCTCAGCCCCACAGCTGTGGTGTTTTGGAGCGGCCCTCATAAGCCTCGGTGGCCTCCTGGGGCTGGCGAGGCCTCCGGCTCCTGCAAACTCACCTTCTCGGAGTAGTGCTCCCCGGGGAGTGGGGGGTAGTCACACTGCTCGATCTTCTGGCACAGGGAGAAGAGATTCATCTTATCTCCATAGAAGGGGCTCTGGAGGGCTGCCATCTGCAAGGGACGGGAACAACGAAGATAAGCTTTCGGCCTCAAGGCTCAGAAGGACTAGAGAGGAGGAGGCTGCTCCAGATTGTTGGGGCATGGGTTCTCTCTGGTCCCGACCGCGGCGAGTCCAGCAGGACTTCTCCCCCGAATCACCGAGCATGCTGGGGTTCAACAGAGGAGCAGGCGCAACACTACCCTGATTCTGTCACTGGATTAAGTGGGCACGAGGGTTTCGGTGACAAAACTTTCAAGGCAATAAAGAAGGGCAGCTGGACGCTGCAAGCTAATTCCCACCTTGCTCCCACCTCAGCCCGGGGGACCCAGGCTCCATGTGGCAGGTTGCCGAGTGCATGGTCTTATTTCCATAAAACGCGATTTTTCCAAGATGCCTGCAGGGGCAGGTCTCTGTGCCCCACATGTTCAGAGAGCTTTCCTTACCTATGGACTGACATTTTGGGGTGGGGTGGGCCGGAGAAGGGTGAGGCATTTCACTGTGGCTGTTCTTGCCAGCCCCTCGCAGAGCTGCTGCCTGTGGAAGCCAGCTGCCGGTATCAGGGCAGGGGGAGCAGGGGGTTCAGGAGGGAGGGAGGCAGCCTCCTGCCCCTGGATAGAGGTGCGCAGCAGCATGTTGGAGGGAACCTTCAGGGTGGGAGGGAAGCGCCTGGCTCCACAGCCAGCCCTAGCTCTGTCCCGACCCCAGCTCTGCACTCGCTGTGTCTCTGGACTTCAGTTTCCTCATTTGTAAAATGTCCCCACCCACAGGCCTGTGGCGAGGCTTGGGCTGGCACACGGAGGAGGCACCACCAGCAGGGCCAAGACCGCCTTTGATGAGGTGAGGCCTGCGGCACCGGTTCTGCCCTGAAGGCCGGCCACAGCCACGGGGGAGCGAAAGGCCTGTGGGGCGGTGGCCTCCTGTGAGTTCTCAGCTGTCAGGGTGCTGCCAGGCTGCCCCACCACTCAGGGCACTCACAGGGGACTCCTCAAGGGGGTGTGCAGGGGCCACAGTGGCCCTGAGGCGGTGGCGCAGCAGCCCAGCGTGGCACCTGCTGGCCCCATTATGAACCCATAATGGGAAAGAGCTTCTCGTCACTCCAGCTCACTGTGGCTGCCTGCCTCCCGGACCGCCCCCCGAGGCCCAATGCCTCCGGCTAGTGAAGTGCCGTCGGGCGAGTGCCCTCCTGCTGTCTGGCCCCGGTTCCCCCCCGGAGGGGCCACCCTGCTCTGGCTTCTTGGCCAAGGGCTCCTGGGCGCCTACCGAGGGGCCCTGGGATACCTGGGGAACCGTCGCTTGTCCTCGCGCCCCAGAGGCTGAGCGGGGAGGAGTCCTTGGTAGCAGGGTTTGAGGGTGCCCGTCAGCTTGGGTTTCCTGGTCTTGCCCCATTCTGTGTTCGTCCATGAACAGGTCTGGTGACCCCAAGGGCCTGCCTCCTTCAGGAGGGCGTGGAGGAGCTTCAGAGCCTGGCACCATCCTTGGGTTTGCAGATGGCCTTTGGGGAAGCTGCTGAGTGCAGCCTGGAGACTGTGGGCTTTCCTCAGCCCCAGGTTCAGCACCCTCGGGACCAGGAGCCCAGGCCAGGCCAAGTGCCTTCAGGTGGGTGTTTAGGGACAGCATCACCTCTGTCTTCCGGCTGGCTGGGAGCTTGGGCCCCTCAGAGAAGGGCTGGGAACCCATGTGGAGCCTGAAACCCACCCTTGGAGGAGGGCTGCAGGGAGGGTCTGGCCAGGCAGGGGAAGTGTGAGGATGCAGAGGCCCTGCCCATTTTGGGGTCTGCTGACCTGACCAGGAGCGGGCTGGGAGCCTGCCAAATGCACCACCCAGGTGACGCATGTCCAGGAATTAAAATGAGACTCTCGGGTGCAAAGGGTTAATCGGGCATTTTCAAAGGACATCTGTTGCCATAACAGAGAGCAGCTGAGACTCCAGGACGGTCACCTGGGGTGATCTGGGTGCCCCCGAGTTGCAGCTGGAGGATTAAGGTGGATTTTCCTGGACTGTTACTGTGCAGCGTAGAAGGGACATTTTGAGTGTTGGTCCTGTGAACGCAGGCCCTGGTTTTTCATGTGGCTGACCCCGGAGAGGAATCAGCCGATCTTCAACTTCAGATCATGCCCATTTGATCTCAATTTTATAAACCTCGCTGCTGGGAACTCCAAAGGCCCCAGAACGCTGAGGGGAGCATTGAGCCCCCAAGCTGGCATCCACTTCCCATCATGTCTCTGCTCTTTCCAGCACTTTCTCCACATCGTTTCAGAAAAGCCTTTTGAATGGGGTCAGCAGTGAGCTATGCCAGAGGACCCCTCTCGGCCTTCCCCAGGAACAGGCCTCCTCCATCCGCCCCAGCCTGCCCCCACTCTGCTGCCGGCCATGGGCCTTCCACCCTCATCAGGGCAATGGGCTGTGAAGAAAGCTCTGGGCTGCGCGGATTACAACGATTACCCTGGACGGCGAGATCTCCTTCTACCAGTGACCACCCAGACTCTGACTGGTCGAAATAGAGAGGACTCACTGTCTGGGGCCTCGTTAGAACTGCCGAGGCCACGGCTCTCAGCGCTGCTCCTCAAATGCCAAGCCCTTCTCTCTGGTGTCATCAGGGTGACATATAGCCGAGGAAAAGGGGGTGGGTGGGCCCTGGCCCCCACCAGGAGGGCTCAGAGAAGCTGGTGTGTGATCTGAGATGTCAGAGGGACAAGGGGAATCTGACTCCTGCCTGTCAGGGCCTCAGACACCCATCTTGTCACCCAGTGTCTCTCGAGCACATCCCAGACAGAAGGGTGACTGGAGGCCAGGAGGTCTGCAGCCCTGCTCCTCCACCACGGAGGGGCGTCCAGGCCTCTCTGCCGTCCAAGCAGCATTCCAAAGCGGCGTCCCGGCCAAGGCTCCGCAGATCTTCCCCTTGAGTCCGCTGTCTCGCTGGGTCTCAGTCCCAGCTGGGCACCTCAAGGCTGCTGCGAGGAGGCCCCCTATGAGGATCCTGGGACTGGCACTGAATGAGCCAATTCCTCTAGCTCCGTAATTGCAGCTGAGCTCCCACATAGATAAAAATCAGTCCTGCAGAGCGGGCAGCCCGCTGGGCACCTCCATGGGCATCTAGGTAACGAGAACAGAGCCCGGCCTTCCGATATCCCAAGCTCGGGCATTGTTGCTCCCAGCTCCCACCGGGGGCTCCCCACCGCCTGGCCTGCGAGTCATGATTCACTCCATGTTCGGGCCAGCACTCCTGATTCCAGCCTCTTCAAGACACTCCGCTGGGGCCCCACCCGAGGGCCAGGTGCGGGGCTTTGTGGTGGCTCCCACTAGCTGGGGTCAGCGCCAGCAACTCCGGTGGCCACAGGAGGTCCTCGGTAATAGCTGATGCCCAAGTGTGAGAGAGGGTATGGGGGACTCAATGGTGGGCCCCAAAGACATCCATCACCGAATTTTTGGGACTTGTAAATGACACTTTATAGGGCAAATGGGATTTTGCAGCTGTGATGAAATGTTGGCTCCTGAGATGGGGGCATTATCCAGGTGGGCCCCAACGTACCCACAAGAGCCCTCATGACAGGGAGCCCGAGAGAGAAGGGCACAGAAGAGGGGAAGACGCCAGGCTGACGCACACCAGAGGCTGTGGTGACACAAGGCGGGGACCGAGGACCGCGGGTGGCCTCTCCATTTTCCATGGAAAACATAAGGAAACAGATTCGCCCCCAGAACGTCCAGAAGGCACCTGCCCGCTGACACCTTGACTTAGCCCAGCGAGACTGATTTTGGACATCTGGCCTCCAGAATCCTCGAGATCTAAGAGAGTAAACTTATGTTGCTTGAAGCCATCGGCGTGGTGGCATCTGTCACTGCAGCCACAGGGATGAGCACAGGGGCTTTTGAGCCTTCCGGGCTGTGCTGGGGCTTGGGGAAGGGCAGGTTTTCTCCGGCTGTGTCTGTCACCAGGGCCCAGGTGACCTGGGTATGTGCCCTGTGCAGGATCCTCAGCTGTTGTCCAGAGAGGGCAGGGGGCTTTGTCACAGCTCTTCAGGCTGGTGCCCCTGGAAGACACCACAGGCTGTGGGGCGGGAGGCTCCGGGCGTGACTGCGGGAGGCCTCTTTCCAATTACATGGCCGTGGGCTCAGATGTGGCTCTCCTCCCTGTCTGCTGGGGAAACGCCTGCTTCACCTTCCCCTTTAGGGACTGCAGGAGTGGGGAGGGGGTCACTTGGCACAGAGCCCCTGCCCCGTTACCCTTGGATGGGCCGGCTATGGGTGGCCACAGCAGCCTGCTGCTGTGTGAGGCCGGGGCTGCTAGGGTTAGGTCAGCGCCTGATGTCCCTGAGGACGCTAATCCCCTCAGGGCTTGACTGCTGTGTTTCATTCACTTCCTACTGCTGACTGGTATCCACCCCTGGCTGTGATCTGTCCCCCCACACCACCCCTCGCTGCGATCGGTACCTCCCCAGCTGCGATCCATCCCCCGTACCACCCCCCGGCTGCGATCCGTCCCCTCACCGCCCCCCGGCTGTGGTCCAGCCCCCCCAGCTGCGAGCCGCACAGCCCCACTCACTCCAACAAATGAGTCAGCTCGGCGTAACCCGAGCCTCAATGCCAGGGAGTCACGAAGGCGGGACTGCCTTGTGAGATGCACATTTAGGTGCCCACAAATGAGGACTCGGAGGAGGACTGCCCGAGCCAGAATTCAGTGAGGCCTGGCACAGGATGGGCTGTGCCTGCCTCTGCAGAGCCGAGACAAAGACTGAGGCAGGGAACGGGGCTGGGAACCACAGGGCCGGTTCTCAAGTGGAGGGCCTGGCACAGGCAGAGGGAGCCAGCTGCTGGCCTCCCGGCCCCAGCCCCAGGGAAGTGGGCACAGCTCTGTCAGCCTGGCCAGCCTGTGTGTGTGTTCATATGCTGTGTGTGTGTTTATGTGTGGAGAGCCCATGGTTCATGGGAGACAGGAAGCAGCTTACAAAAACACAAAGCAGAATGGAAAAAGAAACGAAAAGCCATCTGACCCAGGGACAAGACACATGAGGAAAGGAGGACAAAGTGGAGCCTCCTCGGAGACTGAGGCTGGGCTGCACTTTGGCTTCCCGCTGGCCAAAGCAAAAAGGGAAATGTGGCAAGCTGCAGGAGCCTCGTGCCGGAGGCGGGCAGAAGTGCCCGTGCTTGGCCTGCAGCTGGTGGACAGGCCCGAGGGCCTTCTCTGACTCGGGCACCTCACCCCTAGGGCCTCATTCCTTCCTCACTATGACAAGGTGGGCTGGCCACTCATTCTACATATGGGACACCTGAGGCCCACCCGGGAGGGGCTGACTTGCCTGGATCCTTCCGTGGGTGGGCCCTGGAGCTGGGATTTGGATGAAAGTGAGTTGGTAAGTGAGCTGCCTACACACAGACACGTGCTCTAATTCAAAATTGTGCTCCCCGACCATCCACTATGCTGCGGGCATTAGCCTGGGCCTTGGGAGACCTAGAACGCCTGTCTCTTCCCCTCAGGATCTGACACCGGGTGAACGATGCCCACTTACAGGTGGGTTTGCATCCCCTCCTCAGACCTTAGGGCAAGTGGGGGCAGGGCGGTGACGCTGGAGCCCTGAGCCCAGGGACAGCCGGGTTAGCAGGTGACATGGGCGTGACTCTACTGCTAGCCTCAGCGACCTTGGTGGCCAGAGTGGCCACCTGCCTGGATTTAGAGGAGTCCTGGAGAGACTGGAACTCACGACTCCTCCTGGGGGACACACACCAGCAGCACAGTGGCTCTGCGCCACTCAACAACTCTCCACACCCGGGGCTTTCCCCACCTGGATTTAACGTCTTCTCCGCAAAATAACAGGCACGCACCCTCCCCGGGGCTGTTCGGAATGTGCAGGCACACAGGGCCCTACACCAGCAGGTTTCCTCCTGTCTCAGAAGAGTTTGGACTTAACATGTCTTGTCTCCTATGGCTAAAGACACTGACTTCCCTCCAAATTCTCTCCTACATCCACTGCCCTCCCCCGAGCCCACCCACACACCCTGCTCAACACTCGCCGCCCCAACCCACCCAGGAGCTGGGCTGTGGAGAGACAGGGAGGCAGGGAGGACAAATGGCTCGTCCCCCTTTCACCTGCAGGCCCCTTCCCCATCCACTACACACTCGCCATGGCTGCTCCAGCTAGGTCCTCATTCAAAGAGCTCCTCCTGCAACCGATGCCCTGTGGAGTCCTGGAAAGAGCACCCGGCCTGCTTCCCAGCTCTGTCAGGGCCAGACTAACCCACAGACCCTCTTGTCACCCGCATCTGCTGAGCCCTGGGAGAAGGGGTCCCACCCTCTTGTCACCTGCATCTGCTGAGCCCTGGGAGAAGGGGTCCCACCCTCTTGTCACCCGCATCTGCTGAGCCCCGGGAGAAGGGGTCCCAAGCACCAGTTCCACAAGGACCACACCTCCAGCCAGTCTGTTAAAATGAAATATAGCAGGTCACTGGCTTATAAAGAAAGATGCTGCCAGCCTGGCTAACATGGTGAAACCCCGTCTCTACCAAAAAATACGAAAATTTGCCGGGTGGGGTGGCGGGCGTCTGTAGTCCCAGCTACTTGGGAGGCTAAGGCAGGATAATTGCTTGAACCTGGGAGGTGGAGGCCGCAGTGAGCCGAGATTGCGCCACTGCCCTCCAGCCCGGGCGACAAGAGTGAGACTCTGTCTCAAAAAAACAAAAGAAAGATGCTGTGAAGTTTAAACCCTGCAAACAGATCAGAGTTTTGAACTCATAGTCTCAATCTGTAATGTGGGGAGGGGAAATCTCACCACCAAAAGACCCTGGCCACAAGACCCCCTGGCCACGAGAGCGGCCGCGGGTCCCACGTGGCCCAGCGGTGGGCAGCGTAGCCCTCAAGTTCATGCACAAGGGCTGTGAGGTCAGCCTCAGAGTCGACAGTCCCAAGGGGACAGAGCAATCAGGCTCTGTGGACAACTGCGCAGCACTCGAGGCAGGCCCTGGACACGCTGTCCTGAGCATCACTGCTGTGGACTGTCACCGGCCACAGCAGCTGAGACTGAAGTTCTTTCAGTGTGTCAGCTCCAAGCCAGACCCCACATCTGCTCAAGTCAGCTCCAGGGAAAGCAGAAAAACAGTCAGGGTTCCAACTGTAAAACCAAGCCGGGCTTGGTGTCTAACAGCCTGGGGGGGTTTCCAGAGCCCTTTCCTGTCTGTCATTTATCAGGACTGAGGACAATGCAAGACAGGTGGTCCTGTTCCCATCTTATAGATGCGGAGGGGCTCAGCCAGGTGGATGGAATCCCGGAGCCACCCAGCCTTTGGTGGTCTAGGGACAGTGGGGAGCTTGTGTGGCTGCCAACCTGGACACCGGAGAACTTAGGCCTCCCTCCTGCCGGTGGCTGCAAGAGCTTCATGGCCAAGAGTGGCTCATGCTCCCCACACCTCTCATCACCTGGGGCCCCAGTGTGGCTGGACAAAATGGGTGGGGGGCTTCCATTTATTCTTATTGTCTCACGTCTGGGCTCACTGAAACTCAGAAATGTTCCTGTCCCTTTGTCCAGGCAGGCCACCAGGTCTGGAAGTGGCCATCCCCTAGCTCCATTTAACAGCTCAGGGGAGAGGTGGTGGTCTTTAGGGAGACCCACATTTCTGGGCCTGGAGGGGGTGGCCACCTGTCAGTGGAGAGTGATTCAGGGGCATGAGGCAAGTCTGACTCCTCTCCTGACCCCAGGTGCCCTGCACCGGGCCTGACCCATAATAAAGGATGAACAGAATCGCCGGTGTGTTAATGTGGTTACCAGGGCGACGGGGGCAGGGGCAGCTGGGGATCAGATGCCTGGCCTGTGCTCCCTCTGTCTTCCCTTCCTGGACCCCGCCCACTGCTGTCCACCCTCTAACAGCCTCCACCAGCCTGGCCCTGCAGACCAGGCCCCACGTGGGGCTGAGGAGGGTGAAGGACAGGGCCCTGGTGGTACCGATGCCTCAGGCAGACGTGACATTCCTGGGTTCCAACCCTGAGCTGGTAGGGTGAGCCCTGTCCTAACTGGGCACCCCCCATGCATGTCCCACCAAATGCTGCTGAGCCACGGACAGAGACTCACCTCGTACAGCAGACAGCCCAGGGACCAGATGTCGGACTTGAAGTTGTAGCCGTTCTCATGGATCCTCTCCGGTGACATGTAGTAGGGCGTCCCCACTGCAACACAGCAAGGGGCGGGGCTGCTTATGCTCCATGTAGGGCAGGGGCAGGGCACAGAGGTGAGGTTGGAGGGAGGGCACACGGGAGCTGGGGAGAGATTGTGCCTCGGTCTCTGAGCAGCCCTTCTCCCTCTCTGGGCCTGGGCCTTCCTCTGTCAGATGAGCAGTTGGATCAGATTAGAGGTTCCCATGCTAGCAGGGCACTAAACACCTGGGGTGCCAGGGACTTGAAGCAGATTCCCTGGACCCACCGAGACCAAGAATCAGGCTGGGAGGCTGGGCGCCATGGCTCACGCCTGTAATCCCAACACTCTGGGAGGCCAAGGTGGGTGGACAACAGGGCAAAACCCCGCCTCTACTAAAAATGCAAAAATTAGCTGGGCATAGTGGCAGACACCTATAATCCAAGCTACTCAGGAGGCTGAGGCAGGAGAATCACTTAAACCAGGGAGGCGGAGGCTGCAGAGAGCCAAGATTGCGCCACTGCACTCCAGCCTGGGCAACAGAGTGAGATTCGGGCTCAAAAAAAAAAAAAAAAAAAAAAAAAAATCAGGATGGGGCTGGAGAGCTGGGGGTTGGTGTTTCTGCCAGCTGCCCAGGGGAAGGGGATGCCTCCTCGGCCCGGCTGGGGGAAGCAACTGACCACATGTCCTTTAAGGGGACTGTCTGAATCTGCAAGAGTCAGGATCAGGCTCTGAACAGTGAAAAAACCATCACTGTGGAGGCTGACCAAGATCTTCCATGTGTCAGCTCATTTCTGTTCCCAACAGTGCTATGAGGCAGTATCTCCATTTTCCAGATGGAGAAACTGAGGCTCAGATGGGTGAAGAGGTTTGCACGAGAGTGGCAGGAATTAGTTCAAACCCAGACCCTCAGGTTCCAGAAACTGACCACTTAGCTCTGCCCATGGCCACCCGCCAATTAGCCGGTCCAGACTCGGGTTGGCCGAAATCTCTTAAACAGGATGGAAAAGGCACTAACCAAAAAGGAAACGTGTGTAAGGCATTAAAACTAGGAACTTCAGTTCATCAAACCACACCAGAGTTAAAGGCAAGTCACAGACTGGGAGAAAATCATCCCAACACATACACCTGACAACGGACTCTTCACAGAACATATTTCAAAGCTTCTGCAAATCAGTACATAAGAGACAAACTACCCCCTTATTCAAATGAGCAAAAGCCCTGAACAGGCACTTCACAAAAGAGAATATCCCAGTGGCCAAGAAGCACATGAAGTGAGGCTACTTTTCTTACTACTCATCAGGGAAGGGCAAATTAAAACACAATGAATGGCACGGTGGCTCACGCCTGTAAACCCACCACTTTGGGAGGCCGAGGTGTGGGAATTACCTGAGGTCAGGAGTTTGAGACCAGCATGGCCAACATGGTGAAACCCTGTCTCTACTAAAAACACAAAAATTAGCCAGGCATGGTGGTACACACCTGTCATCCCAGCTACTCAGGAGGCTGAGGCAGAAGAAACCCTTGAACCCAGGAGGTGAAGGCTGCAGTGAGCCGAGATCATGCCACTGCACTCCAGCCCAGGTGAGAGAGTGAGTGAGACTCTGTCTCAAAACAAAAAACAAAACCAAAAAAACACAATGAGGTACAATTACGCACCCATCTGAATGTTTAAAGACAAAAAAACCAAAGTTAAAGAAAAACAAGGTCGATGATGTGTGGAGCACCTGGAATGTCCATGCTTTGCTGATGAGAAGGTAAAATGGTACAACTACTTTGGAAGACCATCGGCTGGTTTCTACCATGGCCAAACACTGCCAACACTATAGCCCAGCAATTCCGCTCCTAGGTAGATGCCCAAATGAGTGCTTCCATCCATCAAAAGACACAATCAAGAATGTGCAGAGTGGCTTTGTTTGTAACAGCAAAAACTGGAAACAAATGTTGGATCAATTGATAAACTGTGGTCTGTTCACACAGTGGGATACTGTACAGCACTGCAAAAGAACAAATCTCAGTTATACACGACAAAATGAATGCAGCTCATGGACATAATGCTGGGTAAAAGAAACCAGGCACAAAACAGCACATTATTGTATTTCATTTATGTGAAATTCAAGAACAGGAAAAGCTACTCTATAGGAGTGGTGACCAGGAAAGGGCTCCAGGAGCTTCACTGTATGTATATTATACCTCAGTTAAAAAGTGAATGAGGAAAAAGGTGTTAATGGTGAAGATGGGGCTCTGCTGCCAAGAGGGAAGCCAGAGGGCTTCAGGGCCTGTCCTCAGGGTCCCTCTTCTCCCCGCAGGAAACGCCAACACTGAGGAAATTGTGGAGGGCTGTGCCCTGACCTCCCAGCACCTGTAGGGTTATCTCTGGGCAGCAGGGCACATATTGGATGAGCTGGAACCGTGCAAAGATGGGAGGATTTCCTGAAGCAGTGAGCTCTCCATCACCAGAGGCATGAACACCTCAGCAGAGGGGCTGATTTAGCAGGTCTGGAGTGGAGCCCAGGAATCTGGTCCTGTAACCTGACATTCTCCTATCAGCCCATTGAGTGGATGGCTATTCTGGAGGCATAGGCCCGGAATTCTTTTTTTTTTTTTTTTGAGACAGAGTCTCGCTCTGTCGCCCAGGCTGGAGTGCAGTGGTGCGATCACCTCTGCCTTCCGGGTTGAAGTGAATCTCATGCCTCAGCCTCCTGAGTAGCTGGGATTACAGGCACGTGCCATCATGCCCAGCTAATTTTTATATTTTTAGTAGAGACGGAGTTTCACCATGTTGGCCAGGCTGGTCTTGAACTCCTGACCTCAGGTGATCCGTCTGCCTCGGCCTCCCAAAGTGCTGGGATTATAGGTGTGAGCCACTGCACCCAGCCTGGCCTGGATTTTTAAGGTTGCTAAACTGAGAACATTTTCACTGGCCTGGAGACACCATGTCATGTGACAGAGGCTGCTGCTGTCCTCACCAGTCTCTGTGGTGAGCTGGAGTCCCAGCGTGGCAAAGGCTGGCTGAGATGTGGCCTGTGACATGAGGAAGAGGGGATCCAGGACCCTGGGAGGAGAATGGACCATTCAGGGGCTGGACTCAGAAGGCACCGGGCCGAGGCCTCAGGGTTTCACGGGTCAGGAGATTTCGGGAAAAACACAGGTAACTTTTAATTTCATGAAGGAAGCATTTAAAAAACACAAAGCCCCCAACTACCATTTAGTGTCAGTCACTATGATTTTTAAAGAAAAGACAGCTTGGCATGATTGAGAAAACCCATTTCTCAAAACTGAGGACAGTTCTTTACAAAACTGAACAAGTTTAACATTTTGAAC
This sequence comes from Homo sapiens, assembly GCF_000001405.40. Taxonomy (NCBI): domain Eukaryota; kingdom Metazoa; phylum Chordata; class Mammalia; order Primates; family Hominidae; genus Homo; species Homo sapiens. The sequence continues at coordinate 124,336,281 of NC_000009.12, read as the reverse complement.
TTGATTATATTCTTGTTTTTTCTTTCTTCTTCTTTTTTTTCTTTAAGACAGGGTCTCGCTCTGTTGCCCAGGCTGAAGTGCAGTGGCGCGATCTTGGCTCACTGCAACCTCTGCCTCCTGGGTTCAAATGATTCTCCTGCCTCAGCCTCTCTAGTAGCTGGGACCACAGGTGCACACCACCATGCCTGGCTAATTTTTGTATTTTTAGTAAAGATGGGTTTTACCACGTTGGCCAGGCTGGTCTCAAACTCTTGACCTTGGGTATCTGCCCGCTTTGGCCTCCCAAATTGCTGGAATTACAGGCATGAGCCACCACGCCCCGCCTAAAATTCTTTGTAGAGAGAGGTTCTCACTATGTTGCCCAGGCTGGTCTCAAACTCCTGGCCTCAAGCGATCCTCCCACATTGGTCTCCTAAAGTGTTTGGATTATAGGCCTGAGCCACTGCATCCGGCCTTGTTTTTCTTATCTTAATGGAGATGGATGAAGAACTACCTCGCAGTTTTTGGAGAGGCTGTAATGGTGTTGGAAATCTCTGATCTGGGCTGTCAACTCCCAGGGGCAGGACTTTGTTTGTTGCCGCATCCCAGTACCCTGCGCAGGACGGCTCATAGTGGGTGCCTTGTGGGCGTCCGCTCACTGGATGAATGAGTCCGCCTGCCTGTGAGCTATGTGGCGGCGCGTGCCACTGCCCACAATTCTTCCTTGCAGCTGAACACACTGCTCATTTAACTGATGGCTGCCCGGAGCTCAACTGTCTGAAATGTGATTATTGCTTCATCAGGATACCAAGCTCCTTTTCATGGCAATAATCCCCAAACAAGCGCAGCAGCCCTCACTTAAAGCCCTGCTTGTGAGAAAGGTGTCATCCTCTATGCATACTTGATGAGCGAAGCCAGGGGCTAACCGCTACTCAGCAGAAAGGGCTGTCAGTCAACATATGAATCCGTGTGGGGTTCTTATAGGACAGCAAATCGCAACTTCCAGTAGCAACACCTTGTATATTTTGGTCACGAGGGAGCAAAAGTAAAGGAACAGCCCAGTGTGAAATGGATGGCTTGTCGTAGCCAACCATGGGATGAAACACACAGTTCTCGGTGAACAGTGGGAACCTCAGGACAAATGTAAGTGGATTCCAGCACCTGGGTGCTATGGATGGATGTGCCTACAGGTTGGACAATGATGTAGGGCTGATGGGGTGCACACAGAGATGGCAGGGGACAGATGCAGGCAGGGAGTCCTGTCCCCAGTGAGAGACACCACTGTGCACTGTCTGGCTAACACTGAACCCTTCAGACCCCTGGCCAAGCCCCTTCCTGTCTGACCCTACAGGCTCTTCCCACCCTGAGTCTCCTCTGCTCACTGTGGATCTGCCTGGGCCTCTACAGGAGGGATGCTGTGGGGAGAGGTCACCTACACTGGGGCCGGGGTGTGGCCTGGCGCTGCCTTGGCCAGGACCATCGGAAAGCAAGGGCTTGGAGTGCCTGGCCCTCAGCCCGGGTCCTCCCACAGCGGCTACTCCAGCCCCAGCCCCAGCCCGCTTTTCCACTCGCCTCTGTGCCTTTGCACGTGCTGTTCCCTTTGCCACCTTGCGGGCTCCTTTAAGGTCCCCTCCCCTGGCCAGGGAGAGCCGGCTGCTCAGCAGGACCCAAACGTTAGGTTTGTCCCTTTGTTCTGTCACCACCTCCTCCCTCTGCTGGAGCTCCAAGGCAGGCCGACAGATCCCTGTCTCAGCCTGGCTTTATATTGAAAGCCTGGGCACGTGGGCAGAGAGAGATTGGGGGCACCAGCCCTCCGTCCCCTCCTCTCTTCACCTCATTCCTCTGCCACCTCACTGCTCTCTCTGCTTACCCCATTTCCACTGGTGTACGGAGAAAAGGCAAACATCCAAATGCAATTTGGAGCTTTCTTCTAAGATGCTAGTGTTGCAAATTGCCATCCATCCATCATCCACCCAACTGTCCAACCATCCATAATTGTCTATCGTCCATCCATCCATCCATCCAACCCCCATTCATTCATCCATCAGTCTGTCCATCACCCATCCATCCAGCCAGCCACCTGCCCACCTCCAACTAAGATTAACTGAGCCTTGACCCTGCTGGGACCTTGCAGGAGTGGGCCCATCAGGAGGCAGGGAGTTAGTTGCCTGTCCCAGGAAGTATTCAGAAACAGCCAGTAGACCATGTCTATCAAGAATGGACTTGGGCCGGGCGTGGTGGCTCACGCCTGTAATCCCAGCACTTTGGGAGGCCAAGGCGGGTGGATCACGAGGTCAGGAGATCGAGACCATCCTGGCTAACATGGTGAAACCCCATCTCTACTAAAAATTTAAAAAATCAGCCGGGTGTGGTGGCACGCGCCTGTACTCCCAGCTACTTGGGAGGGCAAGACAGGAGAATCTCTTGAACCCGGGAGGTGAAGGTTGTAGTGAGCCGAGATCGCACCACTGCATTCCAGCTTGGGCAACAGAGCGAAATTCAGTCTCAAAAAAAAAAAAAAAAAAAAAAGGACTGAAATGATCCATGCTGCAGCTGAATTGCCTGGAGAGGCTGGTTAGAAATCTGGATCTCCAGTCCAACTCCAGACCTGGGGGCCACAATCTCCAGGGGTGGAACCTGGACCCTGTATCTCTTACAAGAGATGTTACTGTTAGTTCCCGTCTAAAAGGAGCTGCCAAAAGGCCTCACTCACCCACCTCACTCTTTCAGACGCTCGGTGAGCATCTGTGCAACGGAAAGGTAAAGAAAGTGAAGGAACTAGTGAAGCCTTAACTGAGAGAGGCTTGGCCCATCCTGAGCCTGGCAGCACAGGGTCCTCAGGTCCCTGCCTCCCGGCAGGTTCCCCAACCCCCTGACCCAGGGGAGGGGCTGCTCCCCCTTCTATCTTAAAGTCAGGGTGCTGTGTCTCACTGGGGGGCAGGGTGTCCTGGACTGCAGCTAGGGCTGTGGGAAGCTACAGGAGCAGATACAGCACCTCTTCCTGTGATGGCAACTTGTCTGGGAATAAGTCACGTAAAGCCTGGTGTCTACGCTGACAATAGCCACTCAGACACTACAGAGCACAATGCCCAACTCGCATGAGTTTTGAAGATAAAACAAGAGATTTCAAAGAAACCCCCAGCTTGCAGCGGGCCACTGGAGGATGCATCCCCAGACGCCAGGAGAGCTGGGATTCTGAGGAGTCGTCGGGGAAGCTGGCAGGAGGAGGGGTCTCCACAGACAGCGGGGGTCCTGCCCAGGACGACCTCTGTGTGCAGTGCAGCCCGGGCCTTATCCCGGCCCATCTCCCGGCGATGCCGAGACGCAGAGGCAGAGCCCTGTGCAGCCTGGGTTTCCATGCCCCTCCCTGAGACTCCCACCGCCCCCTCCTCTTGGTGGGGGACGGAGCTGTGTGTATGAAAGAAGAGCCTGACAAACCCTGACCTTCCCGGAATCTTTACCTAGAACTCCCGATTTCAAACCCAGCAGATATCAGAGGAGAATGCGGGATCTGAAAGAGGGAGGCTGATTAAAGGGGCCCCGCTTCCCCAAGATGCGCCGGTCCTGTCAAAACAAACTTTGCCGTGTTTTGAAATGCTCTCGGTGTTTGAAACATGTTCATTAGCTACGAAAAAGGCAGATTTCACAGGAAGGGGAGGCTGGTGTCTGCAAGCTGCCCCTCTTCCCCAGATGGTGGATTGGAAAGCAGCTGGAGAAATGCGGTCTCCTTGCTGACATCCGTCCAGCCGGCGGGACATTGGGCTGGGGGGCTGTGCCTTGGCACTGAATCCTCCATGGGACAGACAGGGGCAGGTGGGGACAGCAGTGACATGGAGCTGGAGCTGGCTGGGCTGCACCTGCTTCCTCCACTCCCTGGCTGAGAACAGAAACTCTCTCTCAGCCTCGGTCTCCCCATCAGGAAAACAGAGGGTCCCCCCCTGACCTCTGCAGACTTGGTTTCCCTCTCTGGAAAATGAGAAGCAATTGTTGGAGGAGTGTTTGGTTCATGGTGAAGACTAAATGGATTCTCCTACCAGGCTGTATCTTCCACAAAGGCAGGGGCCAAGCCAGCCTTCCCGGGGAACGGCCCAGGCCCAGCACAGATCCTTGTCGAATGGATGAACGAATGAATGAACCAAAGAGCTGGAGTTTACATCCCAGGTCCAGATTGACTCCTCACTTGCTGGCCCCTTAAGGCCCTTCCCTCTCCTTCCCTCCCCTCTTGGCATCAGCTCATCTCTTCCTAACAGTCTGTGCCCCTGAAAATGCCAGGAAGGTGGCAGACCTGTGACTGCCACCGAGGGGTTAGTGCTCAGAACCTCGGCTGAAACTCAGGCCTGAGATCCATCTGCTGAGGCAGGGATTCTGGGCCCGAGGGACTGACAGGATCATTCCCAGGCATCCTGCACTGTTGGGATGGGACGCAGGGTGGGGCTGGGGCAGGAGGCGGCCTGGGATGCATCTGCATGGCCCTCCGCACCTGCACGGACAGGTGTCCCCAGGGATGCCTGGCCATGAAGGTCGTCCATCCACTCAGCAAATGTTCCACAAGGGCCCCCATGCCAGGCCTGGGCACAGACGCAGCACAGCATGGTGTGATCCCCGGCAAGGCAGCGCTGACACACACCATGAGAGGAGGCTCTGTCCTTCCCTGTGGGGCCCAGGATGAGCTCCAGGTCGTCCACCAACACCTGCTGCTGGCGAGGTCAGGTGGGCTTTTCCTCAGGGATGGAGCGCTCAGAGCCCTAGGTGTTCCTCGCACCTGAGGTCTCGCTGGGGATCCTCTCTCGACCCCTTCCCTGGGCACCCACAACCCAAACCCTCCCTGGGCCATGCTGTAGGCTGATGCCTCGAGAAGGGCTCTTCAACTTGAGCTGATTTCCCGTGGGGCTCTGGTATCTGGCTACTGGGTGACCACAGGGATGTGGTCTCTCTTACTTCCCTGGGCCTCAGTTTCCTAATCTGTAAAATGGGATAATAATAAGCCTTGTGATGATTTACAAAAAAGCAAAATGAGCAAAATGTTTTGTTTTTTTTTTTTTTGAGACAGAGTCGCTCGCCCAGGCTGAAGTGCAATGGCGCCATCTCAGCTGACTGCAACCTTCACCTGCCGGGTTCAAGCAATTCTCCTGCCTCAGCCTCCCAAGTAGCTGGGATTACAGGCGTGCACCACCAGGCCTGGCTAATTTTTTTGCTATTTTTAGTAGCGACGAGGTTTCACCATATTGGCCAGGCTGGTCTCAAACTCCTGACCTCAAGTGATCTGACTGCCTCGGCTTCCCAAAGTGCTGAGATCACAGGCGGGAGCCACCACGCCTGGCCAACGAAAAAACAAAATGTTTTTTGAACTCTTTTTTCTCCGTCTTTAACTCATCTTTTCAGTGAGTTCAGTGGCTACAGAGTAACGAAGTGAGGGCGGCTCTGGGAGGGGTGGAGCCACCCTGGGCTCCCTGGGGCTCTGTATAGAATCACAGAGCCCCACGCCTGCCCTGCCTGCCCACAGTGGGCCCCAAGAGGCAGTCCCACCTGTCCCCTCACCATGCCACCTGGCATGGACTGTGTCTGTCCCCTCGAAAGCTGCATAATCGCATATCCCCAGCACACAGCCCAGGGCCAGGCAGTTTGCTCAAGGAAGAAGAAGGAAGGGGTTTGCGCCTCAGCGCCAGGCTAAGCCCTGGGAGACCCAGCAGGGCCGTGACCTCGAGTACCTGATGGGGTCACCCCCAACTAGACTTGCTCTCCCAGCCCCCAAGAGGCAGCACGGGCCCTGCATGGGCCTGGGTGTGACCAGCCGCCCTTCCTGCCCTGTCACCCGTGGCTGCCTGTCACCGAGACTGTCCTGTCACTACAGCCGAGGAGCCAGGCCTGCCCGCCCGCTCTCCCAGCCCCGTGATTTGTCTTGCAGCTGCTGCCGTTGCTCGGAGCGAGACACTTGCTTGTAGCTTGTGAGCTGTGTATAGGCAAATCTTTCATTTTTCCTGCATTACGCCGGCGTGTACTGTCACTTAATTTTTATGTATGCAATCCTTCCTGACAAATATGATCTGCTGCCTGGTAATTCGTCTGACGCTCATTCTGTTCCGCGCTCTAATTACGGCTCCTATTTCTGACACCGAGGCAGCCACTCTGCCACCGCTGGGTACCGCACCTGTCAGCCCGACCATGGCACTGACTAATGCCCTTTCATGCCAGCCTCGTGTTAGCAAATACAGAGGCGGGGAGGGGGCCCAGGGAGGGGGGAAGTGGGAGGAGACCAGATTTGCATAAGCCCAGCTCTTGGGTCAGCAGCCTTAGGAGATGAGGTGGTTGCTGGGGCAACGTGGCTGCCACCACAGCATCCCCACATAGTAGGTGCACATGAGATGCGGCAGATGCATAATTCATCCCCACGCACAGGGCGTGAAGTGTCCCTGGCCCCTGTGCCCCTCCTGAGTCACGATGCAATGGTAATTAGTTCAATCTCTTGCCCAACCAAACGTGTGTGCAAGACTTAGCTGTTTGCAGAACCTCTTGGTGGAAGGGGTCTTTCCCCTGGGTCTTGGAGATACAGGTCCTGGGCTTTAGCTTGGCACTGTCACCATTCTAGAACCTGGTGGGTGCAGGCCCTTGGTTCTGGGAGCTTGTCCTGCTGGCAGGGACTTGCTCAGCTCCGTGCAGGCCTCAGCTCATTGGGCATCTCTCCTGGATGCCGGGCACAGAGCCCGGAGTGGGGACAGGCCCCAGGAGGGCTCCTTCCACCCATCATGTGGCCTGGTCGGCGCTCGGAGGGCTTGGGAAGAGCCCGGCTTATGAGGGCGGCCTTCTCCCAAGTTCCAATTCCTTCTCATTAATATAATAAGTGCACCAGTCCAAGTCAATAAAATCATACTGTCGGATGAGACGCATCTCTGCCCATTCCTAATGATGCGATCCTAACCCTCTCTGACGGAGCGCCACAGTCTTTTTTCTGCAGTGGGACAGAGAAAGGCTCGGTGCTGACTGACGGGGGACAGGACGCAGCGGTTCTAACTCTTCTCTTTGACAGCTTCCCTTGAATTTCCTGGTCTTTTCGAAGCCCTTCAACCACACAGGTAAACAGTCCCAAACTGACCGAAACACTTGGTTTTTCACAAGGGAAGTAAATGTTTGAGGGGACAAGGAAAGACGAGGCTTCCTTCCAGCAACGGAGAGTCAGTGGCCCGGGTCCCCAAAGGGGGACTCCAACGGTATCTGCCGAGGCCCCCGGCCCTCGTTTCCTGGAAGCAGCGTGGGTTCTGAAGGAGAGGCCTGCTGCCATGTGACCTCGGAAAAATCTCTCGAGCGCCTGGATTTCTGATTCTTCCTCTGCTAAAGGGAAGGATGGCTGGATGCTTGGGGCTGTCAAGGGCATGAGTGGAACGTCCCATACTCCCTGGGGGGTGGGTCCCTACACATCTTCCCTTTGGAGCTAAAGGAAGAGCTCCTGAGGCCTGGCCAGGTGGGGACAAGAGTTTCAAAACAACCCCCTCCCCGCCAGCCCCGCTGGCTCCATCAGCTGCTGGGAGTCGCTGGTCTCTAGGCTCGTACATTTCTCCTAAGTGTGTGTGACGCGCTGAGAGTCTCTCTGGAACCTGTATGAACAGTGACACTTTCCACAAGACACTGTGACTTCCAGAAAGTGCCTCCGCCCAGACAATGCTGCTGTCTCTCACACCCCGCTTGCCGCAGGCACTCGGGGGTCTGGGGATAGGAGACGTCCTGGCTTGAGCCATGGAGTGGGGTGGAAATGAGCTGGAATGGGGCGGTGTTCAAGGAGGCGGCGGGCAGCTCCTGGGGCCCAGCCCCCTCCTGGGGAAGCGGATGCTGGTGGGCACAGCACACAGGGGGTGGGCCTGGGGGCACCTTCCACTGCAAACACACCTCAAAGAGCCAGGAAATAGCCCTGAGAAAGCAGGGGCCCTCGCCCACTCCATGGGCCTCTGGGAAATGTTCCCACAGATGGGCGTGGTGAAACCCAGACAGCCTTGTAGTAACGCACAGGAGACCCTGCTCCTGTGTTCCACTGGTGGGGAAGCGGGGGCTTTCTTGGTTCCTTTGTTCTCACTAAATGAAAAATCCCCCATCGTACAGCATTCCAAGTTTCACATTTGGTTACATACCCAGTGTGTGGATACTGAAGCTTGCCATTGCTTCACCTGTCCCCAAAACACATCTGACCAAGTCTCTTCCGGAGTCCAGCCCTTCAGCACCCCCCGACCCATAGGGTGGTGTCCAGCCCACTGAGCTCAGAGTTCAAGGCCCTGCCCGCTTTTCATGCCACTCCTGCAAGGACCCTGGTCTGTGGCAAAGCCAAGCTCAGCCGCACACCGAGGCTCACCCACTGTTTCCTGGAACGCTGCTCCCTCCCCTTCCCTGTCCCAACAGCATCTGGTCTCCCTTTATGGTCCAGCTACAATGTCACCTCCTCCCTGGCAGGCACCTGGTCCCCACAGCCTCAAAACCGCCAGTTTAAAAGCCAGAAACTAGGAACAGTGCAAATGTCCACCCCCTAGGAGGGATGGACCAAGGGTGCTGCCCGTGAACGGGACACTCACAGCAGTGGGAAGATGACCGCCCTGTGCCACAGACACGCCCCCTGCTCCAAGCAACCGGCTCAGTCAGCTTCTCCCGCAAGGGCTGGGAGGTGATCAGGGGGTGTGGGAAGCCCCAGCTGGGCTCCTCTGGCCACAGCTGATTCCCTTCTGGGTCACTATTCTGAACAGATGAGAAAACCCTGGGGCTTAAAAAAGGCATCTTCCTGCACTAACTGACCAAACACACGTGGGGAGAATGTTTGCGTCTCCCTGCATGGTCACCAGGACCGCTGGGGGCTGCTGGGGCACAGACAGGTCCCCCTTACCTAGGGAGTGGGCTGCGGTGGTCTCAGAGCTGAAGAAGCGGCCCAGACCAAGGTCACCGAGCTTCACGACGCCCGTGGCTGTGATGAACACGTTGGCAGGCTTGATGTCTGCAGGGCGAGGAGAAGGAGATTGGTGTGGGGTAGGAGGCTTGGGGTAGGTGGGGCAGGACGAGAGGAAGGGGGAGGAAGGTGAGGCCTAGCCCAGGTCCTGCTCCCTCAGGGCAAGGCCCTGTCCTGGCTCTGGCTGTGGGACCTCGGGAAATTGACCATTTCTGAGCCTCAGTTTCTTCATATGAAAAATGGGTCTCCCTCCACCAACTTGACAGAGCTGCTGTGAGGGTTAAGACAGCAGGGGTTTCTGTGCTCCTGTTTCCTGCTCTAGAGCTGTATCCTCCATGCCTAGAACAGTGCCTCGCACACAGGAGGCCCTCAGGGAAAATCTGCGTAATGAATGAACGGAGTGCTCAGTGGAGCACCCAGTGCCGTACCCCCCAGTGAGGGCGGGGCCTCCAATACAGCAGACACCAAGAGATACAGGTAGAGTGAAGGAACGGAGGTGTCCATGAAGCAGCCTACGTAAAGGACCTCGTGCCCTGCCGGGCACCCAGCAGGCTCCTTTCTCACAACTCGGAATCATGTCAACTGTGGAAACACCCCTCTCAGGTGCCTCCCCTTCTCAGCCCAGCCCGCTGAGACGGCAAAGCCCCCATGAAAGTCCCCTCTGTGCGAGGCTTCCTCGACCTCCCTCCCAGGCTGCTGTGGGGAACTGGAAGTGGTGTGCCAAGCGGGGCCCCTGCCCCCTGGGGCTCATGTCACTTTCCACCTCGGGGAGGTTCCTGACCCGGGCGCGTGTGTGTGCGCGGTTGCTGGGCAGCCCCCTTGCCTGGGGAATACAGAGCGGTCCAACTTCCTCAAGGGGCTGCCCCTGAGGACCCTGGAGGAGCCATGAGGAAGTGTCTTCCTGGGCTCCAGGTGGCTCCGGGCGGCTCCTGGCGGGTGGCACGTACCTCGGTGCATCACCCGGCGTGAATGCATGTGCTCCACGGCGCTGCACAGCTGCACAAAGTACTTCCATACTGTCCTCTCCGGGATGAGCCGCTTCTGCTTCTTAAAGTACTGCAGTGGGGGAGACAAGCAGAGGGATAGGCCCGGGTGAGCGGGCTTGGAGGTGGGTGGCCACAGGGCACTGCCTCTGTCCTTTCCCCAGTGGGTAACTGGTGCCTGGCAGGGGCGGGGGGGGGGGATTGAGCCACTGAGCAAACAATAAGCCCAGAACCAAGAGTGCTGTGTCCACGCCTCTACTTCTGCCTGAATGGCACTCTGCAGCCACCCTGTCCCAACCCAGCAAGCTCCGTGAGGGCCAGGCAGGCCTGGCATGTCCGGATGGCTTTGCTGCATGGACACCCAGCTCAAATATGCTGAAAGTGGCCCTCAACTGCATTTTTCCAGAACCTCCTGGACACCCCCTCCACAGGGCACTCCTTGCAAGACTGAAATGGGTGTGGACTCTCCCTGTCCCCAGCCCCAGCCTGGCCCAGGAGGGTGGCACCCAGGACACACGTGGTGGTTAAATCACAGCTGCCCCCATCTCCTCGGAACCAGCAGATCTCAGTGCACTGGAATTCTTAACAAACGCGGCGAGAACCTTGAGGAAATGGGCTTGACGCACTCAAAAGGAACCCCAGTTCCAACGGGCATCAGTCTGCTTCACTGCCTGGGAAAACATATTTAGTGCTCCAGGAAGAAAACAAAAACTAAAGGTCCCCGGCCACACTGAGTGAGCTGTAAGTAACAGAAGGTCCTGGAGAGGGCAGGCCCAGAGCATGTGACAGCCACGGCTCAGCTAGAGACGGGGGTGGCTCTCAGGTGCCAGGCCCATGCCTGTGGGGCAGGACTTCTTCACCAGCTACCTGCATACCAGCTTTTTGTGCAGGGGCTTTTTGCTTCAAAGCAACCACCTTTCCCCAAAGCAGGCAGAGGCGGCGCTGTGGGCCTGCTGGTCAGGGCAGCTGCTCTGGTGCTGGGAAGCTGGGAACTGACCAGGACACACTGGCCTGGAAAGGGGCATGGGTGGAGGAAAGGAGCTGGGCCAGCACTTTCAGACCACCTGCAGGGTGTGGCCACCATGCCGGGCCTAAGAGGGAGGGCTAGGCCCATCTTACAGACAGGGAAACGAAACTGAGGGCCACGTAGAAAGAGGCAGAAACACAGCTCAGCCCCAGGCCTCCCACCTAGAAAGCCCAAGTCCTTAGCCCACTTCTTTTTTTTTTTGAGATGGAGTCTCCCTCTGTCGCCCAGGCTGGAGTGCAGTGGCGTGATCTCAGCTCACTGCAACCTCCACCTCCTGGGTTCAAGCAATTCTCCTGCCTCAGTCTCCCGAGTAGCTGGGATTACAGGTGTGCGCCACCACGCCCAGCTATTTTTTGTATTTTTAGTAGAGATGGGGTTTCACCACGTTAGCCAGGCTGGTCTCGAACTCCTCACCTCAGGTGATCTGCCTGCCTCGGCCTCCCAAAGTGCTGGGATTACAGGCGTGAGCCACCACGCCTGGCCCCCTTAGCCCACTTCTAATAACACCAGTAACCATTGATATGGGAGACTGAGCTCAGAGGTTCAGGAACATGCCCAAGGTCACCCAGCACCCAGCTGGGACCCAGGTCTGGGTGCTTCCCACGGTGGGACAGTCGCAGTGGGGAGCCCCTGACCTCGCCGTAAATCCCCTCGAGGCTGTTCTGAGGTACAATTCTGGGAGGCCCTCTCAGGTGAGCCGTCCCAGGTCTCAGCACAGACCCCACCCCCAGGCCACCTCCAGGCCTGTGGCGGGCCAGGCCGGGATGTTATTCACGCTGTGATGTGAGTGAATCCTCATTACAGCATTTAAGCAGGGACGCGCGTGGCCGAGAGTGGTGATTTTCTAAATGTCATGTCCTATAAGCGCTGTCTGACATTTAGCGGGGAGGCGCAGAGTCTCTGGTGGGTTCTGGGGCTACGGCAGCTCCTAGCTTCACTCTTCCTCGTAAATAACTCGGGCACCATGGCTGTGATGGCGCAGCTCAGCCCTTGAGGCTGCAGGCTCTCGGGACACAATCCCTGCTGCCTGACAGCCTCTGAGGCCAGTGGGGCGACCATGGGGTATCCCCTGTTCCTCTGGAAACCCAGAGGTGGCCTGAGAGCAGGCAGAACCAGGGGAACCGAGCTCCCACCAAACCCCAGGCATTGTGCTGGTATGTTACAGATGAGGCAACTGAGGCACAGGGACCCGCCTGAGGCCATCCAGGGGACGTGTCTTACTCGAGTGGGTCTCTGCACTGCCAGGCCTCCCCTGCTGGCGGCTGCACCGAGCCAGCTCTGCAGGTGAGGGCCCCTGAGCCGGGTTGGAGGGAACGGGAGCAGGCAGGGACAGTGGGGGGAGAGAGGTGGGGACTGTGGGAGGGGGAACCATGCCAGGTGAGGAGGAAGGACCCGAGGCGTGGGGGGCCAGGTGGCTGCTCAGAAACTGAGGCCACACCCATCCTAGACTCAATCCTGCTGGGTTCATGACTGACTTGAACCCTGAGCCAGTGTTGGCTCTGGTGAAGCCAAGGAAGGGGTGCACAGGGAAGGAGACACCCCATCCCAGGCCTGGCATAGAGAAGGGATGCTGGATAGAATGCCCCCATGTCTCCTCTTCTCTCTCAGCTGAGGGAGACTGCACCTGGCCTGGGTTTCCTGCAATGCTCCCTCCAAGAGGTTCCCGGGGACAGGGTGGAAACTGAGGTTCAGGGAAGAGGGATTTGCCCAGCCCCAGCCCCCCATCTGCCTGTCTGACGGCAGCCCCACTCCGTGGACTGAGAGGCCACAGTGTCTGGGCTCCACTGGGGCTGAGAGGGTGAGGCGTCCTCTCCACGGGCTGCGTTCCCGTGTGGCAGCAGGGAGAGGCCTCTCCTTCATCTCCTGCTCCTCCTCCGTCCCTGCCCTCACCTCTCCTTCCACCCGGCCTCCAGTCTTTCTTCTAGAACACAGAGCTGACCACGTTTGTTCACCGCCATGAATCTTAGGAAGCTTCTCTGACCTTAGGGCCTGGTCCTGGACCCCGAGCCTGGAGCAACAGGCCCTACGTGATCCGGTGGTCTCCATCTCAGCTCCCTTCCCTTTCCCATCCCTGTGGGACCGTTTCTGCTTCTGGACAGCCCACCTCCCCTAACAGCTCAGCTCAGTGTCACCTCCTCCAGGAAGCCTTCTCTGACTCCCACAGGCCCTGCACATGGCTTGTTCACACTGGCTCCTAACTACTCATTCGAGGGTCTGTTTTCCTGTTAGAATCTGGGATCCCTGAGGGCAGGAGCCATGCTGGCGGCAACCCTAGTTCTTGGCATGAGGGCTGGCACACAGTGGATACACGATGCTTGTATGTTCAGCAAGGGAATCCGTGTGAAGGAGAAACAAGTAAAGCGGGGGCGGGGGAGAGGAAGAGCTAAGACATGATCTAGCACATCTGTTCCCACCAGGGATCTGTGTGCAGATTAACATCCCTGCAAAGGCATTAATATGTCAACGGAAATGTAAGAGCAGGTGATAACAGCTCAAGTAATGCCACTTCCCAGTGACGCCTGTATTCCTAGGACCCAAATTTCAGAAGAGCACTGAGCAATTGCTCAATCCCCAGTGCCTGATGGGAAAGACAGAGAACCCACATCCGGCCCCGTTTCTAAGTGCGGCTGTGAGCAGGGTGGGGGCTCCAGCGGGGCCCAGCCTCACTTGGGAGCAGGCAGGCTGCATCCAGGGTAGAGAGGTGATGGGGCCACAGCAGGGCCCTGGGGACAGAGGTCCAAGCCAGTAGGGACGTGAGGACCTCCACTAAGGAGCAGTGGAGTAGGGGCTGAAGGTTTGGGCCTGGGGGTCAGGCAGGCCTGGGGGCTTCCACCTAGAGGCTGAGGTGCCTTGGGCAGGAGACTAGACCTCTCTGAGCTTTGCTATTTGAGGACGGCGGGGACTCAGTGAGGGACGCATGAGCGTACTGGGCTGGGTGGAGGCTGGCAGGAGGTGCTGCTGTTTCACTGAAGCTGCAGTGGTCCTGGACACCAGACTCATGGTGAACTCCGCCCTGTGCCCTGGGTGGTGGGATGAGGCAGGTGAAGATGTATGTAGGGGCGTGGAGCATGAGCCAGTCCTGGCGCTGAGCCTGCCCATGTGACTCGAACAGTCACTCAATCTCTTGAAGACCCCAGGCCTGGGTGTCAGCCCTAACATGGAAATGAAGTTCCCCCTCTAGGGCTGGGGAGAGCATCTTGGGACCATGTCCACCAAAGGGTCCCAGGCCAGGAAAAGAGACCTGGGCCACAGGCATGGCTCTGTACCCACAATGCTGGGTATCCTCAGGCAAGTCTCTTAACCTCTCTGGGCTCAGTTTTCCCCTTCTTTAAAATGAGGTAGTGGATCTACAAGATGCTTTCCCAAGAGCTGGGGTCTGACCAAACGGGGTGCTGCCCCTGCTCCTTCTGTGAGGCAGGAGAAGTGGCTCATGTGCCTGTGGTAGGCTGGGGCACTGGGGGTGGCCAGAGGAGTTCCTTCTGCCCATGGCTGGCCCCCTCCCAGCCACCATCCTGTCTTGGCACCACCTTCGCCTTGCTTTTGCATATGGGCTCTTTTGAGCTGAGCTTCCCTGAGGCCAGTGGAAAGAAAGAGGCCTCCAGCAACAGCAGCTGGGGACGGACCCTGAGAGGCCCTCACCAGACTGCAGCTGAGGCCTGTGGGCATCTGCAGGGGGGCGCCCAGGGTCCCCGGGTGGCCGCCTCTGGCTAAAGGCAGAGCATTGTGGGACTGGGCTAAAGGAAGACTGCCACCTTTGGCTCCAGATCTGCGCAGCCCCCAGCACCCCCACCCCGCCAGGCGCTCACCTTGATCATCTGCGAGAGGTCCCCTGCGTCAGCCAACTCCAGCACAATGTTCAGCTCGTTGTCTTCGATAAACGAGTCCAAATACTTGATGATATTTGGGTGGTTCAGTTGCTGCATGAGGAGGGAAAGAGGGAAGGGGGCACCAAGTGAAGACGGGACAGACCCAGTGCCTGCCTGCCACCGGCACCCTGCTGGCACCCGGTCACTGAGGCCCTGGCATTTGCTAGAGAAGTGGGTCCCAGGGAAAGAAAGGCCTGTGCTGGGGAGTCAGGAAGGCCTGGGTGACACTGGGAAAGCCACTTTGCATCCCCAAGTCTCAGATTCCTCATCTGTAAAACTGGCATAATGTTTTGAAGCATAGTTGTGAAGACGACATGGGTCAATACTCTTGAAATGTGTAACAGGGCAGCCGCACAGAGCTATGTGAGACTCAGCATGGACTTGTGGAAAGGACCCTCCCCCTCCTCCTCACCACCCCGACCCTGAGGGCGGCATTGGGCCCCACCTCTCTGTCCCTGTGCCCAGACACGGCCAGCCTGCAGGTGCTCCTCAGAAGGACCATCTCCTGCCTTCATCCTTCCCACTCTTTCTCAATTCCTGACCTATCTCTTGTAAAATCATTTTTTTTAAAATATTTTTTTGTAGAGATAGGATCTCACTATGTTGCCCTGATTGAAACTGAACTTCTAGGTTCAAGCGATCCTCCCACCTCACCCTCCTGAGCAGTTGGGACTACGGCTGCATGCCACCATGCCTGGCCCTTGTGAAATGTTGAAAAAAATCCCTGGAGGCATGAGAGCTGCCCGGCTGATTTGCTCATGCTGAGACGCTGCCTCTGTCCTTCGCACCACCGCCTGCATGTTTGCTGCAGTGGAGCATGGAGCTGGACAGAACGGTGCCCCCCTGGCTGGAAGTCAGGCCCTCCAGGCTAAGAGGAGCCCCTGGCATCTGTTCATAACAAAGCTGACTGTTTATATCAAAGAGACTCCAGGATCTGGGAAAGCAGAGGGGACTCGAATATCCTGCCCTGGTGTGGGTGTGGTCAGCCTAGTCCAGACACCAGCCAACCACCAGAGGCCGATAGTGAGCACATTTCCCAAAAGGCCCGGAAGTCGTTGGGAGAAGGATGCACTGTGCCCATCCGTGGATTCTAAAATGAGGGGAGCCTGGGCAGATGTTACAGAGCCATGCAAGCCCCTATTCATTCATTCATTCATTCCCCAAGCCAGCCCCCCATGTGTGGGCCCTGGGGGCCAGAGCAGGCTCAGCCACTGGCCCCAGCTCCTCCCCATGCGTCCATCCTCTCACCAGGTCCCCCCAGAGACTGATCCCTGTCTGCTATGGCGCCCACTGCCTGTCCAAGTCCTCAAACCCCTGCTCTGGACCAAGGTCTGGCCCTGAGGTGGGTGTGCTGGCCCCTGCCTGCCCCTCAGCCAGCAGCGCTGTGGCTCAGTGAATATCCAGACACCACTGCGAGGAACCAGGCACCCTGCACAGCTGAGGACGCAGGTGCAGCACATTCAATCCTGGTTCCCAGGGGTGGCTGGGAGGGAGCCCTGTTGCCATCTTAGCAGCAGGCTCCCCTGTGGAAGAACCTTGGTCAGTAACAAATGTAGGTAATTTACACAGGGTGACTAGACTTCAGAAGGCGGCACACAAAGCAATCCTAAGCAAAAAGAACAAACCTGGAGGCATCACGTTACTGGACTTCAAACTATACTACAAGCCTATGGTAACCAAAACAGCATGGTACTGGTACAAAAATAGATACATAGACCAATGGAACAGAATATAGAACTCAGAAATAAAGCAGCATACCTACAACCACCTGATCTTCAACAAAGTTGACAAAAATAAGCAATGGGGAAAGGACTCCCTACTCAATTAACTGGCTAGCTATATGCAGAAGAATGAAACGGAACCCCTACTTTTCACCATGTGTAAAAATTAAATCAAGATTGATTGAAGACTTAAATGTAAGACCTCAAACTATAAAAATCCTAGAAGAAAACCTAGGAAATACCTTTCTCAGCGTTAGCCTTGACAAAGAATTTAAGACCAAGTCCTTAAAAACCATTGCAACAAAACCAAAAACTGACAAGTGGGACATAATTAAATGAAAGAGCTTCTGCATGGCAAATGAAATGATCAACAGAGTAAACAGACAATTGACAGAATGGGAGAAAACATTCATAAACTATGCATCTGACAAAGGACTAATGTCCAGAATCTATAAGGAACTTAAATCAATAAAAAAAAACAAAACATTAAAAAGTGAGCAGAGGAGGCTGGACATGGTGGCTCACGCCTGTAATCCCAGCACTTTGGGAGGCTGAGGTGGGCGGATCATTGAGATCAGGAGTTCGAGACCAGCCTGGCCAACATGGCAAAACCCCATTTCTACTAAAAATACGAAAATTAGCCAGGCATGGTGGCAGGTGCCTGTAGTCACAGCTACTCGAGAGGTTGGGGCAGGAGAATCGCTTGAACCTGGGAGGCGGAGGTTGCAGTGAGCTGAGATTGTGCCACTGCACTCCAGTTTGGGTGACAGAGTGAGATTCTAAAAATAATAAAAATAAAAATAAAAAATAAGTAAATAGGCTGGGCGCAGTGGCTCACGCCTGTAATCCTAGCACTTTGGGAGGCCAAGGTGGGTGGATCACCTGAAGTCAGGAGTTCAAGACCAGCCTGGCCAACATGGTGAAACTCCGTCTCTACTAAAATACAACAATTAGCCGAGCATGATGGTGGGTGCCTGTAATCCCAGCTACTCAGGAGGCTGAGATGGGAGAATCGCTTGAACCCGGGAGACGGTGGTTGCAGTGAGCCAAGATCATGCCACTGCACTCCAGCCTGGGTGGCTGAGCAAGACTCTGTCTCAAAATAAAAAATAAATAAATAAAAATAAAATAAAGAGTAGGAAGAGGACATGAACAGTGATTCTTCAAAAGAAGACATACAAGCAACTAACAAACAGGAAAAAAATGCCCAACATCACTAATCATCAGAGAAATGTAAATCAAAACCACAATAGGCTGGGTGCAGGGGCTCATGCCTATAATGCCAGCACTTCATGAGGCTGAAGTGGGAGGGCTGCTTGAGCCCAGGAGTTTGAGAACAGCCTGGGCAACAGAGTGAGACCTTGTCACTACAAAAAAAAATTAGCTGGGCTTCGTGGTGCAGGCCTGTAGCCCAAGCTACTTGGGAGGTTAAGGTGGGAAGATCACTTGATTCTGGGAGGCTGATGCTGCAGTGAGCCATGATCACACCACTGCACTCCAGCTTAGATGATAGGGTGTGACCCAGTCTCAAAAAAAAAAAATTACAATGAGATACCATTTCACACCAGTCAGAATGGCAATTATTACGAAGTCAAAAAATAACAGATGTTGGTGAGGCTGCGAAGAAAAGGGAACACTTCTATGCTTTTGGTAGGAATGTAAATTTGTTCAGACACCGTGGAACAAAGTCTGGAAATTTCTCAAAGAACTAAAAATAGAACTACCATTTGACCCAGCAATCCCATTACTGGGTATATACCCAAAGGAATATAAATGGTTCTACCAAAAAGACACATGGGTTTGTATGTCCATCACGGCGCTATTCATAAAAGCAAAGACACCGAATCAATCTAGGTGCGCAGAAATGGTGGGCCGGATAAAGAAAATGTGGTACATGTATACAATAGAATATTATGCAGCCACAACAAAGAATAAAAGTCATGTCCTTTGCAGCAACACGGATGCAGCAGGAGGCCATTATCCTAAGAGAAATAACACAGAAACATATCTATACTGCATGTTCTCACTTTTATAAGTGGGAGCTAAATCCTGGGTACACACAAACATAAAGATGGAAACAGTAGACACACTGGGCTCTACAAGAGGGGGCGGGAGTGGGGCAAGGGCTGAAAAACTTCCCATTGGGTATGATGTTCACTATCTGCGTGACGGGATCAGAAGCCCAAATCTCAGCATCACACAATATACTCTTGTAACAAACCTGCATGTGTACCCTCTGAATCTAAAATAAAAATGGAAATTTAAAAAAGAAGGTGGGCCAGACGTGGTGGCTCATGTCTGTAATGCCAGCACTTTGGGAGGCCGAGGCGGGTGGATCACCTGAGGTCAGGCGTTCAAGACCAGCCTGGCCAACATGGTGAAACCCCGTCTCTACAAAAACACAAAAATTAGCCGGGTGTGGTGGTGCACACCTGTTATTCCAGCTACTCGGAGGTTGTAGTGAGCCGAGATCGCACCACGGCACTCCAGCCTGGGTGACAGAGCGAGACCCTGTTATCAAAAAAGGAAAGAAAGAAAAGAAAATCCTCTTGCCCAGATTTTGTGTTGAAAAGGACGTCCTGCGCGAACACTGGCCATCACATCGCTGCCCTCAGCACACATCATGCTCCATAGACATGTTTTTCAGTTACCAAAAAAAGTGTCAAAGCAAGTGAATGGCAAGTTGAAAGTGCCTTCAAATCTCTGAGACATGACCTACGGCGTGGGCAAGCTGCTATGAGGATAAATGGGAACACCCTGCTCCTTCACCCTCCTCTTGAACTTCACCTCATTATGTCACCAGGAAATCTCACAACCTCTCAGGGAGGACTCCCCAAAAACTGCCCAGGTCATCAGCAGTCCAGGCATGACACAGTTTCTCCAACAAGGGAGAAATGAGAGGGGTTGGGTAGGAAGTAAAGCCCCATCAAGGAGGCGCTGGTTCCTGGGGAGGGGAGGAGGGAGACTCCTCCCCCATTTCCCTGCACGTCTGAGGGCAGGGGGTTAAGGAAGGGCTCCCTTAAATGCCCAGGCAGTCTACACAGGCACAGGCAGAAAGGGGCTCCAGACGTCCATTGGGCTAAATCGCCAAGGTCCAGAGAGGGGAAGGGATCAGCCACGGGTCCACAGCAAGCAGGGGCCGAGCTGAGTCTAGAACCTGGTCCACATGGAGTCCACTTCACAGCCTGTGGCCTCTTGGTGGGCCCAGGTGGGTCTGGAAGGGGACACACTTGGGTCAGGGACAGGGAAGGTGCTGCAAAGACGCAATGTGGTTGGGCTTTGTCTGGCTGTGGTGGTGGCCAGAGGGAAGGGAGGGAGAGCTGAGAGTAAGGGTCCCTGTCCTTTGAATCTCTGCCATCAGGGGCTCTGCTCCCAAGCTCCAGGCCCTCCCGGATGTAACACAGAGTGTCTATGATCTGTCTTCTCCACTGGGCTGCACCCTGGTGTCCAGCATTCAGTGGTGATCAGAAATTGCACAGAATGAATGAACACACGCCTGCGTTCCAACAGGACCCACCTTCTTGTCCCACGCTTGGCAGCTGCCGACCCCACCAGCCCCCGCACTTGAGAGGTTTTGGGTTTGGGTTCTTTGCATGAATGATGTGATATGTCAACAGTCACCCCTCCGAAAACCACGTTTCCTTTTGTTTTGTAGGAAGCACCTCGTGCCCTGGCACATCCTGTTGACTTCCCATGGGCTACCTGTGGAGTGGGACCCGTGTTCGGGAAGGCGGCTGGCATTGGCGGGCAGAGGTGGCAACCATGACAACTGGGCTGCCTTGGGCGGCGAGCGTACCACACACCAGCGCTGCCCTGAGCTCGTCAGACATGCTTCCTCACTGACTCCTCCAGCGTCCCTGTTGTCATCATGCCCCCTTTACAGATGAGGAAACTGAGGTCCTGAGAGGCCCATGGCTGGCCTGCAGCCACACAGCTAGTGAGCGAGGGGTGTGTCCTCTGAAACCCCGGCTTGGTGCCCTTGGCTGCATGGCAGCCCTGGAGAAGGGACCAAATCCCCTCTGCAGCCATGTGGGTTTACGCCAGGCTCAGGCTCCTGCAAGGCAGGGGCTGCGGTGGCACATCTGTGTGACCAGGGACCAGACCAGGCTGTGCTCAGCATGCTCACCTGTGGGTTCCTTCACTCGGGGAGAAGGGCACATGAGGTGGGGAGGGGGCAATGGGTGATCAGGACAAACATTCCTCAGGGCTGGGTAAGTGGCAGCAAGCTGACCATTACTTAAACATTTAAACAATGTTTTCGAGGGATATTTTTTGACCTATAATAGTTAGTGGTAAGGACACCTCCTGCCTCCAGCCTTGACTCCCTCACCCACTGTGGCCGGGGGCCACCAGAGCAGGCACTCACAACTCACACCCAGCCATGGCCCCCCGACTTGCAGCCACTTCAGGGGCTCCCCTTTTGTTCTGAGTGTGTATCTGGCTCTGCTGCCATGTCCAGCCTTCTGTCTCCCCAACCTCCCATAATCCACGGTGCTGCGGTGCCTGGAAGAAGGCTCACTTCGGCCTTCCAGATTCTGGGATGGTGCCCTGCCCTCTGTGAGGCCTGCCCAGGAAGCGGGTTTCCCTGGGGCTCCTGGCCCACCAGTCAATCTGCATCACCCTGGAAGGTCACCATCTGCTTCCTACCTGCTTCCCCACCAGCCTGGAAGTCCCCAAGAGCAGGGCCAAGGCCTGAGAACACAGGGCAGCGTGTGGCAGAAAAAACTGCTAATCTGAAATTCTGCAGCTGTGGCTTCGGCGGGCAGCCCTGCCACCAGCAGTCCCACTTTGCTGGAAACTGCCGAGCAAATCCAGTATGTTTCATGGGGGGCCGGGTGCGGTGGCTCCCGCCTGTAATCCCAGCACTTTGGGAGGCTGAGGTGGATGGATCACCTGAGGTCAGGAGGTTGAGACCAGGCTGGTCAACATGGTGAAACGCTGTCTCTACTAAAAATATGAAAATTAGCTGGGTGTGGTGGTGGGTGCCTGTAATCCCAGGAGACTGAGACAGGAGAACTGCTTGAACCGAGAAGGTGGGGATTGCAGTGAGCAGAGATTGTGCCACTGCACTCCAGCCTGGGCAACAAGAGCAAAACTCTGTCTCAAAAAAAAACAAAAGAAATAAAAAATAAAAATCAGGTGTGGTGGCATGCGCCTGTGGTCCCAGCTACTCGGGAGACTGAGGCGGGAGGATTGCTTGAGCCCAGGAGTTTGAGGCTGCAGTGAGCTATGATCATGCCACTGCACTACAGTCCAGGCAACAGAGTTTGCCTCTAAAATAAAAAAAAAACCCACCACCACCACCACCACCACCACTACCAACAAAACCAAAGAAAAAGGCTGAGAGGAGAGATGGAAAGAGGATGAGAAAGAGAAAAACAGGGAGACAGACATAGAGACAGAGGCAGAGCCAGACAGGCTGCAGTCTGGATGTGGTCCCCACAATGAACTCCTCCCCTAGCCAAGCCTGGTCCATAGGCCACTGCGAGGCAGGGTCAGGGCTGCCCTGTGGGGAAGGACTTCTATGCCGGGTACTGCCATGTACAAGCAGGAGGGGCGTGCAGCAAGGAGGAAAGGCTGTAGGCAGCGACCCCAAGGGCTGGGCAGAGCGATGAGGCGGGCCGCTCCTGCCTGGCCAGGAGAAAACTCACTAGCCGCTGCCCCTAGAAAGCTATCGTCTGTTAACTTAGCAGGGGCTGCGGATTCCTGGCACCCAAGGGCTGTGATGGACATGATGTGGCCCAGCCGCGGCCCCAGAACCTCCCCGAGGAGGCAAAGCTCCCGCTCGGCCCAGGGTGCTCACCTTCAAGAGGCCGATCTCCTTGACACAGTCCTGCCTCGCCTTGGCGTCCATCATCTCAAAGATCTTGGGCGGGAGGAAAAAGAGAAATAGAGTGGTTACAATCTGTGTCCAGTGACCCAAAGGAGGCCACGGGGTCTGCTTTCCAGTCCCGGCTCTCCCACCTCCTCACCAAGGGACTCTGTGACCCCCCCCTGCACTCCCAGCCCCTGTAGGGCTTGCTCACTGTGGGTCCCCCCAGCACTGTCCCACCACAAAACCCATCGTGGCACTAAAGAACCAAGACAGAGAGCCCAGGTGAGCCCCTCCCCAGAAGATGGAGAGGGCGGGCCAGGCACAGTGGCTCACACCTGTAATCCCAGCGAGGCTGAGGTGGGTGGATCACTTGAGGTCAGGAGTTCGAGACCAGCCTGGCCAACATGGTGAAACCCCGTCTCTACTAAAAATATAAAAATTAGCTGGGTGTGGTGGTGCACGCCTGTAGTCCCAGCTACTCAAGAGACCTAGGCAGGAGAATCGCTTGAACCCGGGAGGCAGAGGTTGCAGTGAGCTGATCACGCCACTGCACTACAGCCTGGGTGATAGACTGAGACTCTATCTCAAAAAAAAAACAAGATCAAGAGAGAAACTGGTCCTTTTTTGGACAGAGAGGACCCTGCTACTCCTCCAGCGCCCTGAAGCTGCGGGTGTTCTCTCCCCATTTCCCCAACGCCATTCTCTCTCCCGGCCCTCCTCTGCCCAGGCTCTCAATCTTGTTCTTTAAGGACAAGTAAGCAAATCAAGGGGCTTGGGAAGCTTTGCTGGAGGATTTAAAGCCATTTCCTCCGGCAAAGCTGTGTTCAGACGGGCCCAGCGGCTCTCATGGACATGGCTCCTGTCCTGACTTTGCCGCTTGACCTACTTCCTCCATTTAGGAGGGACGCAGAAGGCAGGAAGCCCAGAACTGTGGAGCAACCGCAGGCGCAAGGATGGGTGGACATGGTATGAACCTCAGCTCCCCCAAGACTCATGCTGGGGCCCTGGCGGTTATGAGATTTTCCTCATCTGAGAGATGAAATGACAATCCCCACCCACGGGACTGTTGAGAGGCTCCATGTGCTCCTTGCATGACCCAGTACACAGCAGGCGCTCAATGCATGCTCGTTTTTCTTTTCCTTTGCAGTTCACAGTGAACTTTCATCAATAGGAGTCCACCTGGTTCTCTCTGTAACCCAGTGAGTTGAGTGCTGTTTCCCTCGTTCACAGAAGAGGGGAGAGAAGGGACTGGCCCGGGCACCCCGTCCAGATGCAGAGACCACCTCCCGAGATGCAGGTTTGACCCCACGGGTTGTCAGCTCACCTGCACCTTCTTCAGAGCCACTGTCTTCCTGTCCAGCAGGCAGGTGGCCTTGTACACCTCGCTGAACTGTCCTCGGCCTATCTTCTTTTCGATCTGGAAGTCCGCCAGCGAGCAGCGAAAAGACAGCGTGTTGGGATGCCTCTGGAACGGGGGACAGAGGGCCTCCGTGAGCAGCCAGGCTGCAGCAGAGGCCTGGGGACGACCCCTAGAGGCCCAGCACCCCAACAGCACCCTCTAAGGTGAAGGAGGGACTCTGCTGCCAACCCTGCTCTGGG
Organism: Homo sapiens; assembly: GCF_000001405.40. NCBI lineage: Eukaryota > Metazoa > Chordata > Mammalia > Primates > Hominidae > Homo > Homo sapiens. The sequence goes on along the minus strand of NC_000009.12, from coordinate 124,312,374 downwards.
AGCCTCCCAGGCACCCCCCCAGGGGGCTTTCTGCACAGGGTCCCCTGGGTCCCCTCAAGGACCCCCAGTGCAGGTGAAAAACTGAGGCTGTTCATGCTCCCCACTGCCCTCATCACCACCTTCATTGTCTGACTGCTTGTTTGTTTGCTGTCTCTGAGTCCCATCCCTGGGGGCTAGCTCCGTGGGACCACGGGCGTTGCCCGTCTCATCCTCTCCTGAATCCTTGATGCCCAAACTGGGGTCCGGTAAGCCGGGTGCAGCTCATGTATCCCCAGCCCGTGGCCACCATGCAAAATGCCCCAGGTCATCATAAGAAATGGCAAGTTCCCTTCCTGGGGCAGCCGTTCCCCATCTCAGACAAGAAAACCAAGGTTAATATTCATAGCCTTGGCCAGGTGTGGTGGCTCACGCCTGTAATCCCAGCATTTTGGGAGCTGAGGCGGGAGTTCGAGAGGTCAGGAGTTCGAGACCAGCCTGGCCAACATGGCGAAACCCTGTCTCCACTAAAAATATAAAAATTAGCTGGGTGTGGTGGCCCATGCCTATAATTCCAGCTACTCAGGAGGCTGAGGCATGAGAATCGCTTGAACCCAGGAGGCAGAGGTTGCAGTGAGCAGAGATCATGCCACTGCACTCCAGCCTGGGTGATGGAGACTCTGTCCCCCTCTCAAAAAAATGTGCAGCCTTACACCCTGAGCCCATCCTTTAGATAAACTGCCTTTTTTAGGGTGTCGTGAAGAAACCAGAGCTCCACAAAGACTCTGCAGGGGCCAGCATTGGAACACATGATCCTGCGCTAGGACCTGCCCAGGGATGGAGCCTCCAGGTGAGACCACAGTGGCCAGGAGGACCCCAGGACACCTGTGCAGTGAGCTCTCAGGAAAAGGCAGGAGGGGGCGCCAACAGTGGGCCAGGGAAGGAGGAGACAGACAAGGGGAGAGGATGCCACATCTCTGGCCTGCCCTATGGTGAGATGGGCCCGGCTGTGTCTCCATTTGCCTGATGAGGAAACTGAGGCCCAGAGGGGCCAGCCATGCCCACATCACCCAGCTCCATGCCACCGCCCCTAGTGAAGCCAGAACAAGCAGTTCAACTTTCTAGCATGAAGTGGGTCTTTGGTGAGGGTCACACTGAGCCGGGCACCGTACCGAGGCGTCTTTAGGAGCCAGCACCCTGGCGGAAGGCATCAAGACCAAACCGAGAACTACAGGACTGGCCCTTCTGACAGCTGCTTCCCCACCTGGAAACACCAGGAACTGCTGGCCGGACCAGCTGCGTCTCAGCCTGAGATGCCTGCGGAGCAGGGGCACGTCTCCTGGGCAGGTCTAAGCTGGGTCCATCAACTTCTCCTCTGTCCTTCTCCCAGAGTGCCTGAGGGGAACCTGGTTATGTGGTGATCCCTACTCTGGGACCCTGAATCATGACTTAATGAATAATAGAAACTCACTGGAAAAGCAGGGAAAAAAGTAAAGTGAAAATGTCTCTTCTAGGCCAGGCGCAGTGGCTCACGCCTGTAATCCCAGCACTGTGGGAGGCCGAGGCGGGCGATCACTTAAGGTCAGGAGTTTGAGACCAGCCTGGCCAAAAAATTTTTGTAAAAACACAAAAATTAGCCGGGTGTGGTGGTGGGTGCCTGTAAATCCCAGCCATTTGGGAGGCCGAGGCAGGAGAATTGCTTGAACCTGGGAGGCGGAGGTTGCAGTTGGCCTAGATCGTGCTACTGCACTCCAGCCTGGGTGACGGTGAGACTCCATCTCAAAAAAAAGAAAATGTCTCTTCCAGATTTGGCTGAGGGAACTCTACAGAACACCCTCCTGCGGGAGTGAGTGATGGGAGTCCAGGCCTCACAGCACACAGCAAGGTGAGGGCTGGGCCAACCTTGACTTTGAAGCCTCGAGGCCTAATTACCTCTCATGGTGGGTCCTGCCAGAGGACCCGATCTGGAGGGCTGCTGGAGGAGGAAGATGATGATTTTATCCACCATGTGCCAATGTCTGTCGGGTAAATACACCTGTACACAGAGCACCCACCTAAGAAGAGCAGGCATCCTGAGTGTCTACTGCATGCTGGGCTCTGTGCAGACACCGCCCACGCGCCCACTCTTTGGGTCCTCAGAACAACCCTGTGAGTGGGCCTCACTGCTGTCCCCATTTCAGGAATCTGAGGCTTGGAGGGGTAGCAGTGACCTGTTCTGATCAGGCAGCAAAGAACAGCAGAGCTGGGGTGTGACCCCAGGACTGGGGACTGTGGTGCCCAAGCTCTTGCTCCGTATCGGGTGGGCTCTCAGCTCAGATCCCTCCTCGGCTTTTCACTCAAGACCCCCTGACCGGCCAGGCCTGCCACTTCCTGCTCCAGCCTCCATTCTTTCAGTCACCTGAGCCCTGCCCCAGGCCCCGCCCCAGGACCCGCCACCGGCCTCTTCAAAAGGGGGCCCCTGTCTAGTCCCCTCCACGTCCTCTGCACTGAGGCTCTGACCCCAGAGCAACTGCTTGGAGCATGTTTGTGGAATGACACATGGAATGTGCCTGACACGACCTGGCGCACAGTGGGACTCTGTGACTCAGACGCCGTCACCTCTAGGAATGCAGCCAAAATCACATACCCTCATAAACAGCCAGGGCGGCTTTCTGAGCACTTAGAAGAATCGCACGTACTCATAAAAATAACCATGAGGTGTTGTACGTTAGACGCCTACTATGTGCTAGTTTCCAGCTGCTTAGACAGCTCTATGTCTCCAAACTCCTAATAGCTTCATGAAGCAAGGGTTATGAATCCCATCTCGCAAATCAGGAAACAGGCTAGAACTCCCTGTCAGATCTAGAGCCAGCTGCACTGCTGGTGATGGGGGTGGGCTCCCTCCCCTCTTGGGCCTCAGTTTCCCCCAGGCACAGTGAAGGGTTTGGAGGAAGTGGTCCCTGAGGGTCTTTGCCCTGGAAGACCAGGCTTCTTACTGTGACTAGTGGGAGTCTGGCCGGGGTTCCCAACACTGCCCGTCCTGGGAGGCTACACCGTGCAGCTCCACAGTGGGGCCGAAGCTCCTGGTGGATGTGGGTGGAGGTGGCTGGGGCTCCAGCTGCTCACACGCATATGGATGACCCAGATTTGCATTTCTTGTCACAGTCCATCCGACCCAATTAGAGGCCAGCTCCTCTGGTGGGGCAGCTTCCTAGATGGAGCACGTGTGCTGGGGACATGGTCCAGCAGGCTCTGGGGCACCACTGCACTCCCAGGGCTGCCACAGGACGCTGTCCCCAGGGTGGCCTCTGCTCAGGTGTGGGGCACCTTGAGACACCAGGCTCCTGGGGGCAGCTGCCTGGGCCAGCAGAGTCCTGGCCCTGGTGCACCTGGGGGCTCTCAGCAGAAGGGAAAGGGTGAACTGTGTCCTTGGCCTGGAAGGCCTGGCTGCTCCGTCGCCACCTCCAAGACCTCCCCCGCTCCTGGGTCAGCTCCCCGCAAGTTCCACTTTTGCCCCTGCAGCCAAGTGACCCTGGGCTGGTCGTCCACACACAGGCACAGTAACACTGGCTCCAGGATTTCTCTGAGGACTCTGGGAGATGATGTTGGTGATTAGTGTCTGGTGTGGCTCTAAACTGCAAGACGGGCGTGGGGCTGGCCCCAGAACAGTGCGCCCAGGGTGGCCCCAAATGTGATCACTGCTGACTAATGACCGACCACCCCGATGGCCTTTCAGAAAACTGGTTTTTTTTTTTTTTTTTTTGAGATAGAGTTTTGCTCTTGTCACCCAGGCTGGAGCGCTGTGGCGCGATCTCGGCTCATTGCAATCTCCGCCTCCCGGGTTCAAGCGATTCTCCTGCCTCAGCCTCCCAAGTAGCTGGGGAGTAGCAGGTGCCCGCCACCACACTGGGCTAAATTTTTTGTATTTTTAGTAGAGATGGGGTTTCACCATGTTGGCCAGGCTGGTCTTGAACACCTGACCTCAGGTGATCCACCTGCCTCGGCCTCCCAAAGTGCTGGGATTACAGGTGTGAGCTACCTCACCCAGCCCAGAAAACTGGTTTCTGTTGCTCACTGTCCCTGCTTTGTGTGAAACCCTGTTGTGGCTCCTGGGGAAAATAACACCCCCAACCCCACCCCAGGGCACAAGTTGGCAGAGGGGTAACCACTGCTCTGGCTCTGATGTTGAGACTCCAATGCTGGGGCCTGGAGGCTGGGGCTCAAACCTCAATTCTGCCACTTCCCAGCTGTGGGCCTTGGGCAAGGCTTCTGGGCCTCAGTTTCCTCTTTGGAAACTGAGGAGATCATAACAGTACCCCCTTCAGGGGGCTGCTGGGGGTTAAATGGATAAGCAAATGCAAGCCCTTGGAAGAGGGCCTGGCACTAGGTGCTGGGACATGTCATTCTCCAGTCGTGGTGACGGTGATTGTGCTGCTATCTGTCGAATGGGCCTAGTGGTGGACCTGCTTCCCCGGGGACTGGGACGGCCTGAGCAGTGGACAAGCCCAGGGGGTTCTTGGCTGTTGATATCATCACCCTGCCGTTCCCACCCCTCGGCGGCTGGCGGTAACCTTGGGGGCTGCAGTGAGGCGGTGGGGCTGACGACGTGCACCTGTGGGCAGGTAAGAGACACAACCTTGCGACTTTGTCACCCAGGACCATTTGTCAAGGGACCATGCTAGGCAAGAGCTGCCCTCAGCCTCCCTTCCAGGGCTGCGCTGTGGGGCAACACCATAGGAGGCCACCTCTGACTCCTCAGGCTCCTCTGCCAGGGCACGGAGGCCCTCAGCTCTCCCCAAAGGCAGAGGAGACTGATCGAGGGGCCGGGGGACAGGGAGGCTGACCCTGCGGTGTCACCACTCGCTGTGCTGCCTGTCACCGTGGGCACGAGGGAGAAGGCCTGGGCTGCCTGGGGCAGGCACATGGGATTTGAGAGGAGGAGGGTGGAGGAACCGCTGGAACAAGGGCCCTGGGGAGCAGCAGGAAACTGGTGAGCAGGAGCCAATGAGATGGCCAAGGTCCCCGAGCCACCGCCATCCCAATCCCACCTCCCAAGAAATGTCGCTGGCATTCTCAGGAAGAGGCAGGGCATGACTGGGAGACTGGGGGGCAGGGAGGATGTCTCAGACCACTATAGCTACCCCCCACCCAGAAAGCTCTGAGAAACCCACGCTGTCTTCTCCAAGTCAGATCAAATTAGGCCACAAACACCCCCCACCCTGCGCTAATTTGAGTTTAAAATGTTTGAACCACAATCAGCCTCAGCCATAGACGAATCTTTTTTTTTTTAAACAGGAGCATAAAATTACATGCTAAAAGAATAAAAATGCATTCGCCCAATTAATTTTCTGAAATCTCATTAAAAAATTTAGCCTGACTAAGTCAGACTTCTGACCTGAATTTTAATCATCTTTACACTGGATGGGTCTTTTTTCCCTGATATTTGCAATGCATCATTAATTTTAAGGCAACCGTTTCTATGATTTTAAAAAGCACACTTCATCAGGATGACATTTCTTATAAACGAATTTCACCTTTAAAGACATCTGACACTGTGGGTAGGGAAACTCTAATGGATTTGGTAGATGTGTATATAGCGATATATTTTAAATCTGTGTTGCACAAAAGGGCACAATTTACAAAGAGTTCACATTGTCAGACTTCTTCTGAGGCCAGCCCAGCTCAGCTCCTCACGATCTGCCTAACTTCAGACCCAAAGCCCATCTTCCCTTTCAAAGATCTAGCTGCCCAAAGCGGCACTGTGGGGTCCCATGGGCCTGGACCCAATCCCAACTCTGCCCCTTGACGGTGCGATGGCAGATTATGACATCAGCTTCCTTCCCTGCAAAATAGAGCATTGAGTAAGCAACTCCTCTGAGTCAGCAGGAGTACTAAGTGAGATGAGTCCCAGGCACTGGGCTGTTGGTACAAACACCACCATTACTGGCTCAGCTAAGACGTCTGCACCGCACTCCGTGGGCCACTGGCTCATGGGATCAGTGAGCCAATGCCCATCGCATGGAAGACTCCTAATAACAAAACCCAAAACGATCTAAATCATTATGGTTCCCCCAGGACAATTCTCATTAACAGAGTCTGGAAAAAGCTAAGCTTACACATACGAAAGATGATATGGAACCAGCTCCGACGACTCACAAGCAGAGACATAAAGGGCGAAACCACAAAGAGTTCCAGCTGCCACTCCTGACAACCCCTCTCCCTCATCCCTTCCACTACCAAGTGAGGCTGCTTTCCCCTGGAAGTCTCTGGAACCCTCTCTCCCCATGTCCAGCCCCCAGTGCTGTAGCCCCATGAGGCATCATCTCACCTGGTGAAGAAGGGGCCTCCTCACCTCCCTATTTTCACCTTCCCTGAGCCTTGAGCACGAGCCACCAGTGATCTATCTAGAACCCAACCCAAGTACCCCCTTGCCACCTGAAAACCCATAATGGGCTCCTCATTTGCTACAGATTCAATTTCAAATGAGATAGTATGGATTTGAGACCTTCATAAACACCATACATTCTTTTACCTTCTCTAAGCATAGGTATTTCAACAACTTCTCTAACCTGATTGGCCATGCACCTTCAGGTCTGGGGCCTCTCCCTGTCCCACCCCAAATTCCTGATCATCTATCTAGCAGAACTGGCCTCCCCATTCTCTGGGCTCTCCCAGCATCTGTCCATCCCTCCCGGGGAGCTTCCACCTCTCTGCAACATGCAGAGCTTCTCAGCAGACTGGGAGCCCCCAAAGGCAGGCACTGGGCACTTCCCATGGCAGGAAAAAAACCCCAAAAAAACAGTTGCTGAATTGACAGCAGTTAGCAGACACTGAATTTCTTTTCTTTTTCTTTTTTTTTTTTTTTTGAGATGGGGTCTCACTCTGTTGCCCAGGCTGGAGTGCAATGGTGCAATCTCGGCTCACTGCAACCTCTGCCTCCCAGGTTGAAGCGATTCTCATGCCTTGGCCTCCCAAGTAGCTGAGATTACAGGTGAACACCACCACGCCCAGCTAATTTTTATATTTTTAGTAGAGACAGGGTTTCACCATGTTGCCCAGGTTGGTCTTGAACTCCAGACTCAGGTGATCCATCCACCTTGGCCTCCCGAAGTGCTGGGATTACAGGTGTGAGCCACCGTGCCCGGCCCACTAACTGAATTTTAATAGCCATTGATATTTGGTCATTAAACCTTAACCAACTAGCATCACTGCTTTGGGAAGATTCTGATAAAGATTTTGGCCTGTGCAATGCACACCTAGAAAGAGCTGACCCAATCCCCTGCGAAGTTCTCTCGGAAGAGCACCCAAATATAACTGAACTTGGCACATCCCAACTGGCTTTGCAAAGACTTTCCAGATGGAAGACACATTAGCCGGGGCTTTCTCAGGCAAGAATACCTTTCCCCTTCTTGGAAATTCACGTGGTTCTTAGTGTGTCAGGTGAGGCTTACACTTCATTCCCAATGAAAGCTCTCTGCAGCACATTGGTAAAATTTAAAAAGCATGAGGCATTTTAAGCTTCTTTCCTCAATTCCATTCATTCATTCATTAGAAACCTCTATAAAAGCAAGTATGTTCAGCTTTCCTAAGTATATATGAATTTCATATATGGTTCTGCCGGTTTCAGCAAATATTTTTTCATGTGCTGCTGGCTCTCAAGGCTAGAAAGCTTCCTGAAATGAACAAGCCACTAGCCTTGGGCATAGCAGGTTAACAAAAACCACAGTTCAGGTGGTTGTAGTTTCTTTCTTTCTACACTGGGGGTATTATCCAGCTCGGAGGCCTTTAGCTATGAAAACAGAAATGGTTTTTAAAATATAAGATCCATGACATACCATTTCCTCAGTACCCACGATGTGAGGTGCTGTGTTGGATGTTTACAGTAACTATCTCACTTAGTCTTCACAGCCGCCTCATGAGGGAAGCGGCATTATTATCCCATTTTATAGATGAGGAAACTGAGGCTCAGAGAGGTTGCTTTCCTAGTCTCACCCGGCTAATGAGAGACGGAGAGCTGGGTGCGGAAACAGCCTGGCCCACATCAAAGCATTCTTAGCCTGGCTCCTTCCTCTGAGGATGGTTTCAGGGAAGCAGCGGTGCCTCCTGCTATCAAGGAAAATGCCTGGCCCATTAATTCCAGGTGCTTCTATGTCCTGAAACAGGCGAGACACGGCTGGGATGTCTCCCCAGACAGTGTTTAAATCCCCAAGGCTTCAGGAGCCGAGGAGAAAGTCCCCCTTTCCCATCCCAACCTGGAGCCGGCACGGCACATGGGTGGCCTTGCGCCCCCATTCTGCAAACCCAGCCAGATGCTGGTGGGACTGGGGGCATCGTTGCCCGACAGCCGCTGCCCAGAGCAGCCCAGCTCCGAGTAATCGTAACTAATTACACTTAACTATGTCATTACCCTCTCCAACATGAACGATGAGACGTCGTGAACGCTGCCACTGCAGCCCACCGCCTCTTCACCTTGCTCATGAAATAATTACAGGGCCCTCTCCTCTGCCAAATGAGGTTGTAATTAACCCTAATTGCTCAAAATGCAACTGGCTAATTCTGGGAGATTAATCAAGGGGGATTCAATTGTTAGTGAATGACTTAATATGACAAATTGCTACATTACCCGAGGAGGCCCTGCTGCCCCCAGCCATCAGCACCATGTCCTGGTAGACTCTGGACCCACAGTGTCCTGGGGCTTCCCAGCTTTCTGGGATCTGCCTCCCCAAATTCTACCTAGGAAATGGGCCCCTGCATGAGTACAAATAGCATAGATGCCCCATGGACCCTCTGCATGCTTGTGTGTATGCATATACACACACCCCCACCAGATACACACACAAACATAGTGTCCACTAAGCTCAACGTGTCGCCTCTGTGTCAATCTGCAGCATCACCGCCCTCCTTGGGCTGATGCAGCTGTCCACCAGGGAGCATGGCTTGGTGATAATGCAAGCACAGGAGAAGGATTTCAGACCTACCTGCCTCCTTAGCCCAGAAGCTTTGTGCAGTGCATAACCTGTACAACTGTACATGGCAACCTTGCCATTGAGGTCAAACATCAGCCAATCTGAAGTCTTCCAAGAGGGATTAGGCAGTTAGAAGCTGTAATCAAGCCCTCCATGGCTCAGGAGGGTGGCTATCTCTGAACCTCCCCTGAATTTAGGTCTCACATCCTTTGGAGAAAAAGCCAACACCATATAAGAGAACTTTTCATCATTCTAAGCTGGCCACAGGACCCTACAGGATCTGGCTCTGCTCAACCTGCCCAGACAAGCTCTCTGTCCCCTCCAGGCCTTTGCATGCCACTTCCATGAGGAAGCCTCTCTGGCCCCGGATCAGGTGCCTTGCTGGGCTCCCTAGGCCCGCAAGGTTCTTCTGCTCAGCTCCTTATCTTTCTCTCCCATGAGGCTGTGTGCTCCGTAAGAGCAGACCTGAGTGTTTTCCACACAGCCCCGTCCCAAGTGGGTACACAGCACACACATGCACAGTTCCTTAACTCAGCGAGCACGCGGGGCCCCTCTGTGCCCGGTGTGGGATTGTCCCACCAGCAAAGCCCTGCTCCAGGGGAGCTCTCCATCTAGAAAGTGAGGCAGACCCAGGAACTAGTGCCCCAGTGAGATGTGATCACGGGCATCACCCAGGTGTGTGGACACAGGTGTGCGGGCAGCCCAGAGCAGAGAGCAGGGTGGAAGTGGAGGTCTCCCCAGAGGGAGCAGCATTTGCACTGACTTGGAAGAGGGGTCAGAGAGGGCGTGCCAGGCCCGGGCAGCATGGGGTACACAAGGCAGTTCAGAAACCTACAAGTCACCTTCAGAAAAGCTGCTGAAGGCTGCCTGGCTCTCCAAGGTATCTAGAGAGAGCGAGAGGCAGGCGTTAAGAAGCCAGTGTTCTCCCAAACTCTGCTGGTTCTAGAAGAGGCTGAAGGGGGCTGAAACACAGTTAAGACCAAAATGGGAGGCAATGTTGGCTCACTGTAAGAAAGAATTTTCTGACCCACAGTACAGTCAGCCCATTCCTCTGAGTCCCTCGCTGTTCTCAGGGCCTCCACAGCACCCTCTGTACCCTTCCAACCATGCTGATCCCTGAGATAAAGCTGTTCCATCCACTTGGAACACTCCAGGGGCAGGATCAGGGTGCAGGGTCCCAGCCTAGAGCTTGGCAGAGGAGGCTTCTCTGAGTATTACTGAATTCAACGATGAGCTCACTAGATTTGGTAGCGAGCTCCCCATCACTGGAAGCATTCAAGAGGTTCTGTTTCAGGGAGCTGAAGGGTTTCCACCAGTAGGAGTTTGGACAAAGGAGGCTCAGGGATCCGTATTCCTTGGGAACTCTTCAGTGTGCTGCAGACAAAGGTAAGGGGCTTACCTGTGGGTCAGGAGGATGCACAGGCCCCAGGGTGTGGCAGAGGTTGTTGGAACTCCCTCCATGGGGCATGTGGCCGGGCTGTCCTGCCATCCTGCATGCCAGCCTCACGAGGGCACGAACTGCAACAGAAAACAGCGGCCTGTTCACTTTCTCTTTGAGACCCTCAGAAGGAGGAGGGACTTTCGCTCACCCCATTTTACAGATGCGTGAGCTGAGGTGCAAAGCCGTTCAGTAATTTGCCCACGGTCACCCAGCTCCGAAGTGGCAGGGCTACAACTTGACACCCCCGGGTGACACAGTCTCCTTCTGTTAGACTGTCCTAAGTCACTAGGATTATCCCCACTGGAAGAGGCTCCAGGCAGGGAAACGTCCATCAGCAGCCCCCAAGGCCAGGAAGGAAGACACCGGATTCAACCCCACATTTGCTGGAGTCCAAAGACTTGTTCTTTCCACAGCACTGCCCCTGCTTCTTGGGGAGCAGTTCTGTACCCCTATCCCCCATTGTCACCCCCACCTATACCCATGCTGGCAGCCTGGGTGCTCAGAAGAGAAAGGCCTGGGTCAGGCTGCAGACAGCTGCTGTGGGAAGGAACCTACGTCCTTGTCCTGGCTGGGCCCTGGCGCACCACACGTGTGACACAGGGAAGGCCAGGGCCAAGAGGTCCTGTTTGCCGTCCTACTTAGACCTCTGTGCAAAGGAACAGCCCCCCTCAGCCTCCAGGGCTTGGGCTGCCCTGGGAGAGTCAGAGATGCTGGTCATAGGTAGTCACAGCAGCCACAGGCCCCTGGTTAAGCACCCACTGTGTGCCCAGTCCTGAGCTCAAGGCCATCTGGGCATCTCCCCCAATATTTTAGCCTCTGGCCTCCCCCATCAGACAAGTGCTTCTGGGGCAGGGTCTGAGGTTATGTGCATAGAACCTGTGTGACCCAGCCACCGGGATGCTTCCTGATGCCAGGGGAAAAGCCCTCCTCCTCCCCAGAAGGAGAGACCTGCGCTCACCCCACAAGCATTTCTGCAGCACCTCCTGTGTGCCAGGGCTCCCACATGGTGTGCATGGAAGGGACTAGATCACACATGTGATGGGGCCCCTGTTTCTGGCTGCTGCTCCTTCTCCCAGACAAGCCCTGGATGTCCCGAGGGGCACCTCTCATGTGACCACATCCTAGGCAGAACCCCTTGAGGCCTGGCCTAGGCTCCTGGAGCAGCTCAGCTGTACCCCTGGAGAGCCAGAAGTCCTGAGGAATGGAGCCCCCTCCCCTGCGGTGGCCCTTATTCAACAGCTGAGGGGGCGAGAATGAAAGCCAGTCCCGTCTCAGGTCGGGGCCCTCCAAGATGTGACTCGTATCCTAGAGCCCCCGGCGCGGTCAGCGGGTTTTGTCTGAGAAGGAACCTCTGGTCCGTCTCCTGCCCATTCCTGGCCTTGCCCTCCCTCCTCCCTGAGTGGTTCTCCCAGGGGCACTTCATAAATCCCATGCCTACATATCCCCATCTCAAGTTTGGCTTCTGGAGGACCCAGCCAAAGACGTCATCTCTCTCCAGACAGACCCCGCCTCCTGCTGTCTCACCTGGTCACCTATGCCCCAGTCAAATTCCAAACCAAGAGTCTTCCCCCGGTCTGCTGGGCCAGCAGCCCTGCCACTCCCTCCCAGGTAGACCCACGCCCCCATTAACACGGGGGTGTTCCAGGAGGTGGGAAAGGCATCAACACCCTCCGGGCTGTCACAGCCAGCTCCTAGAGGTCCGGCCACTGTGTCTCAGGGTGCAAGTCACTCTTCCTTCCTCCCCACTGTAGTCTGTTTCCAGCCACAGTGGTGGGCCGACCAGACCTCTCAGGCTCCAGGGATATCTGTGACACCCTTTGACATGTCAAAGGATGTCCACCAAACCCTAACTCACCCGCTGAGCTTGGCCTCCCAAGTTGTGCCCTCAAAGGCACCCTGAGGCTCCCCAGAACTTGCAGGCTGGCTCCCAGCACCCTTCTCCCTCTGTGTCCTCAGGGCGGCCCAGCTCTCCTCCCTGCCCCACACCTTCCACAGACTGTTCTGGGGTAAACCTGCTCTCTCAAAATAGATGACAGGATGTGAGACTGCAGGGAAGTGGATGGTATGGACTGCAGAACACGCCCAACTCAGGGTCAGGGGGGCCCTCGCTGGCTGCAAGTCCTGCCAAGCCTGGCTCATGCAGTCTCCTGCTTGGGAAGCTGCAGAAACTCAACCAACTTTGACCCACAGACTTGGCCATTTGATGTGGTTCATCCTAGTGTGGACAGATCAGTCAGTAGGTCTCTTGTTGTCTTTTTAGTCTGTGCACACAGAGCACTGTCAGATCAGTGTCACACGGAGGGGCATTATGGGTGCACCTGCCTCTTCCCTCCCCACCCCTGCCTCTGCCTCAGCACAGGCCTCATCTCCCCACCTGGGTCTCCCAGCGCTCAGTGCTCTCCCTGCCAAGCCCTCAAATGCAGATGGGAAAATGGCACCCTCGGTGTCTCCACCATTTGTGCCGAGTTCTTGCACTGGAGCGCAGGTGACATCCCAAGGTGACACAGGGGAAGACCCAGGGTATAAAGAGCCCCAGGATAAACAGATAAACACGAGCACCTTCCCCAGGCATCTTTGTTAGGGGGAATATGAGAGAGAGCAGAATGTAAAATGCGCATGAATTTGAAGATAAAACTGAGCCTCCTGCAGGCTCTGCAGCTGCTTCCAGCTGCACCCCTAGACCCCTCAGGGTGACATGCTCACTGTCCTCTGCCCTTAGGGAGACCTCCAGGGAAAGAGTGGAGAACTGTCTTCAGTGAGAAGGTTCCATCTTTATCTCAGAAGGCACCAGCCTTGGCCCACAGGTCACCCCTGCGAGACCCATGCACACATCGGCTTACCCGCCCACCTGCCCTGGGGCCTCCCATGTACTGGAAACTGTGGCAGTGGAATCTAGACCCTGTCACTCACCAGCTGAGACCTTGGGCAAATCCCACTGGGGAGGAGCCTAGCGGGTGCTTGGGAATGTCATTCCTGCCCTCCCCACGTGGCGCTGACCGCATTCTCCAACAGCTGCAGCCAGATGCCATGGTCTGCACACTCTCAGGAGCTCACCTGTGGCCTCACATGGGCAGGGCTCCAGGAGCAGTGCAAGGGGGACCGGGAATAAGAGCTAATAATTGCAGGGCCCTGATCATGCTGGGCCCTGCCCTACGCTCTTCACCTCTATTAGCCCATCTCATTTTGTCAACAACTCCATGAGGTAAGGTCTATTATGGTCCCATTTCACAGATGAGAAAACTGAGGCACGAAGAGGTTAAGAGATTTGCCCGGGTCCCAAGGATCACAGACAAAAGGAGCCAGGATTTGAACCAACAACTGCATATTTGTCCAAAACTACGGTACTGCACTCCCCACAGGTTCTTACACAGCAACACCATCATCTCTCCAGCTGGCTCCACCCCGAATGGGCCCTCTCTCCACTTGAGAATGGGGCCTGTGCTGCTGATGCACAGGGGTGATCTCAGGGCTGGCGGACCACAAGGGCCCATTTCCTCCACAGGGTCCCCAGGGGCAGGAGCCCCCGGAGACTCTGCCCCACTGACCACAGCAAGCTGATGCAGCACCACTGTCTACCCCAGTGGTGCCTTTGCTGCCAAACCCCAGTCATTACGAGCTGCTCTGTTCAGAACCTAATGGAACCTGCGGCACCGTTAGCCTCCAGGGAGGAGCCGGCAGGTGTTGATGTTCCCTGTTCTAGGAAAGCAGCAGCCACGGAGGACTCTGCAAGCCCCTACCCACCGAGAGCCAGAGAGGGTCCCTGCTGAGGGGAAGGAGGTGGGGAGGCGCGAGGGGGAAGGAGGAAGGGAGAAAGGAAGGGATGAGGGTTCCTGTGGGCCAGGTCTTTCCCATTCACCCTCGGGGCTATTGGTAGACCCATTTTATAGATGGGGAAACCGAGGCTCAGAGGAAGAGGCTCGATGCCATTAGGCTGATAAGCTGCAGAGAAAGGATTCAAATCCAGATCTCAGTGACTCTAAACTCCCTCTTTGTTCCAAGGAATCTACTGCCTCTTGGGGCTCTCCATGGGTATTGGATTTTAGGGCATTTTGTTCTATTGGTCCACACCCCAACAGAAACCCAAGCCCTGTGCTCTGGAAATTCCTGTCAGAAACTGCTTCTTAGGGGGTTCAGATGCAGAAAGGCCAAGGCAAAGGGGACGTGGAAGGACGAGCCACACGGAGCAGGGAAAAGACCCTTAGCACATGCGTGCAGGCACCTCGGGGTAACACTGAGGACTGCCCGTCCCCGGGATCCCGCGGCTCCTGCCAAGTTGCAGAACAATGAGGTAGTAGCTGCCAAGCCCAAGTCAGGGGCCAAAAATCCATGGAATGCAAGACCCAGAGCTGCAGGCCACACTGAACACCACCTCAAAGAGGGCTTTTCTTCTGCCTCAAGCAAGGGCCCTACATTTGCAAAACACTGTGGATAGCTGCACAGTGAGGCTTCCCAGCTCAGGTTCCTGGCTTTAGGCTGCCGTGTGCTGTGTGTCCCCAGGCACCGAGGGACCAGATTGGGAGAAGCCTCAGGGTTCAGTGAGGCTGGCGGGGAGCTGGACTGCAGGAGTCCAGGTCCTGGCCCGGTTTCATCTAACCATGCTGCGTCTCAGTTTCTTCATCTGGAAAATGGGCTAACAGTCAGATCTTCCTCTTAGGGTCACTGTAAACTCCTTAGCACAGAGCCTGGCACATGGGAAGGGACCTCTGAGGCTTTAGCTATGAGGCTATTTAGCTATTGAAGCTAACCCTCACTTGTACAATGGAGGCGTGATCACCTCCATGTGACAGACATGGGGCCTGAGGCAGGGACTTGCCCAGGGTCATCCCTGCCCCAGGTAACACAGCTGGTAAATGACACAGCTGGGGCTGTTGGACCCAAGATTGCTGCTCTATGTCCTACGCAGCATGGCCTCTTTAGGACTGCTCTGGAGCAAACGTCTTCATCATCTACGTGAGCCGTGGCTGCCTCTGCAAAGCCAGCTGCTGTGCCGCACCCTGCCCGGCCATGGATGAGGCTCTCACTAATGTGGGCTGTGACCCTAGGGAGACATGAGCGCTTGGTTTTAATCCAGGCACCTGCTGGAAGGGATCGGCTGCTGTAATGGGCTGGCTCTGAGGTTCCAAGTGGCCTTTCTGACCAAGGCTGTCATTGGGCCCTTGCCTCTGAATTTTTGGAAACTTCACCTAGGGGGAAGTCATTCCTGTGCCTCCTGTCAAATGCCACACTTCATGGAGACTGGTGGCTCATCGTGGCCCGGCCAGTGAAGCACGACCTCAGACACCAGGAGGGCTCTGTCCAAGGACCCTGCTTGGAGCAGGTTTGGGGGCATGAGCTTGCAAGGGTCCATGTGTACTGGGGTCCATGCATGGAAGTGCATTCATATACTGGATCTTACACCTCTCCTTGCTCTGAACCCTGGAGGTGGTAACGGTGTGTGTCCTGCCTGCCTCTTCTGCTCCTGTGTGTGCACGTGCACAGGCATGATCAGGGGTCATCTAATGTCCACCAGGCTCGTTCTGTCCACTGAAGCAGAGGGTAGACGTGGCAAAGGCAGTTGTGGCTCCCAGACTGACAGGTGTTGCCAAGCCCAGGGAGAACCCACTCCTGGCCTTGGAGGTCAGCCTTGGCCAGACACTGTACTCCCCTCTCCAGTTTCCCTGAGCAAGGCCCCTCCTCTGTGCCTCCAGCCGAGGGCACAGCTTCACAGGTTGTTTTCCCTAAAGCAGGAAGCCGTCCCTGTGGCTTCACACTCAGGCACACACAGCTTTCTCTCCGCCCCGAGCGAATGGTACTGGCAGCACCAGTGCCAGCACCAGGGGTGATGTCTGTTGGTCCAGCTGGCTCCTGGTGGCAGAAGCCGAGGATGGATGCCCACTGCCTGGGGCCTTCAGCCAGCCTGCAGAGGCTCCACTGCCCGACACATGCCCCAGGGAGCTGAAGATCGGAGGCCCGGCAAGGACAGCTCACTGCACTGGCCACTGGCTGGGTCAAGGCCGGACCAACTTCAACATCAGCCAACATCCACGGGTGAAACGGCATCTCCCAAGACACCTGCAAAGTACCATCACCCTTGTTTTGTTGATGAGGAAACTAAGGCTCCATGGAGAAACATGGCTTGCCAAAGTTGAGTCCACACAGTGGAGAGAGCTGCCATTTGAACCTGCTTCTCAGACCAGCCAGACTGAGCAATTACAGAAAGAAACTCAGCGCAAGCCCAGGGGCTGTAAGGAATGCCACGCCCAGGCACACTGGCTGGCAGGGAGCACCAGAATAACAGCCCCCGCCAACAGAGCATGCACCACACATGCGCCAGGCAGGTGCCCAGTGCCGCTCATACCTCGTTCACACTTACAGACCCCTAGACGGGCCCTGCTATGATCCACACTGTTCAGAAGAGAAACCAAAGTTCAGACAGGTTGAGTGACGGGTGCCAGGTCACACAGCAGGCGGCAGGCAGAACTGACACTCGAAACCAAGTCTGCCTTGGTCCAAACTGCCTTGGAAGAGGGTGTGAATAAATGACTGACTGAATGAATACTGGCCCAGAGCTGTGGCTCTGGCTGCTGGGCCCTTCCCCAGCCCCAGCCCCGCTTCTTGTCTGGTCTCAGGATAAGCAGACGTTGCCCATTCATCACTTGACAGGAAGCAGCCCGATCTCAGGCCAGAGTCATGGGGGCCTGTCAAGCTGGAGGGGACAAGCCACAGATGGAGTCTGGTTTCCGGCCGGGTCCTGTGTTCCCTCACGCTCGCCCCAGCTCTCCACCTGCAAAGCCAAGCATCCTGCCCGGATTCTGCAGCTCCATGACAGCGGAAGCCTGGCTGCTCTAAGGTGCAGGGATGCAGGACCATGAGCCACTCCTGGAAGGTGGCCATGCAGACAGGTTCCCCGCTGCCCCCTTCCTCAGGGTGGTGGGGCCTCCCCCAGGGTGGGCCTGCAGCATCAGGAGGCCAGCTGATTGGGGGCCACACGGTGCCCACCCAGAAACAGGGCTGCTGTAGCCTCCGGATGCCTCGCCCTCCCCCAGGACCCACACCTGGTCTTCATCCAGTCCCAACCATTCTTCCTCCAAATGTCTTCACTCACCCCAGGGCCTCCACTCTGTGCTGGCCTTGTCCCTTCTCATTGGGTCCCTACAGTTACCTTCAGCCTCCACACTCCCCTGCAGCCCAGCCTCCAGCCCACCATGGAAAGGTTTTCCTAACACACAAGCCTGAACCTGCCAATCTCTCCTGAAACTCCACAGCAAAAGGTCCGCACACCGGAGCAAGCCATTCCCTGACCACCTGACACGAGCCTGCCCTCATGCATTTGCCCCCAACATCCCCCAGGCCTTGCGTGCAGCCATATTAAATGAGCGGTCCCCCTCCCCAGCAACACAGCACCCTGGTCCTTCCATGTCATTCCATGCACCAGCCTTGGACTAAAGACCCATCGGTGCCTCTCAATGGGCAAAGTCCCACTTGTCTGCCAGGACCAGATCTCTCGACCCTCCTTCATCTCGGCACTTTTTTTTTTTTTTTGAGATGGAGTCTTGCTTTGTCGCCCAGGCTTGAGTGCAATGGCGCGATCTCTGCTGACTGCAACCTCCGCCTCCTGGGTTCAAGTGATTCTCCTGCCATTTGAACCTGCTTCTCAGACCAGCCAGATGGAGCAATTACAGAAAGAAACTTAGCACAAGCCCAGGGGCTGGAAGGACTACCACGCCCAGGCAGACTGGCTGGCAGGGAGGAACTGACACACTACTCAGGCTCCCGAGTAGCTGAGATTATAAGCACACACCATCACGCCCAGCTAATTTTTGTAGTTTTAGTAGAGACGGGGTTTCGCCATGTTGGTCAGGCTGGTCTCGAACTACTGACCTCAGGTGATCCTCCCACCCTGGCCTCTCAAGGTGCTGGGATTACAGGTGTGAGCCACCATGCCCAGCCATAGTCTTGGCACTTCTTGTGGGACCTTGGGGAAGTCCCGTCCCCTCCCTGAGCCTTAAACGTCCCCATCCACAAAAAGGAACAGCCCAAGCTTGCAGGGAGGCTGCGAGGACTCTGTGAGCACACAGTGGGCAGCCAGGGGGCACCAAGGCCCCTTCTTCCCTTTCCCATCTGGTGGCATCTACACAGGTTTCTCCCTGAAGGTGGGCTGTTGAGGACACAAACTGCTTCCTTTGTCAGCATGTCTGCCTCCTCTGCCAGCCTTTAAGGGCAGGGACTGACCTTCGCGGTCATCTGTAAACCTCCAGTGCCTCACCCAGGCCCGGTGAAAAGAGGGCCACCCAGGGGGCGTTGGCAGAATGAATCTCTGACTAGTAGGTGGAGGGGGCTCTTCCCACCCTCCTGCAACCCCAAGAAACCTCTGCTGAGGGCTCAGCATCCCTGTGGTCACAGATCAGACAAAAGTCACTGGAGATTCAAAACCAACTGGGCCGCACACTGCAGGGTTCCCAGGGCCTTTTTGAAAATCGAGGAGCATCCCAATCACCTTTCACTTCCTCCTCAGGTAATAAAACCCAATTCTGGAAGAAAAAAAATGCAGAAGCTGTAAACATCTTGTCTCTCAGTTAAAGGAGCAACAAAGCATTTGGCTTCTGCCCAGAAGATTCTTGACTCTGGGACCTGGTCAAGGCTGGGTCCGCTCCCAGCCTCCCTGAAGATGAAGCTGAGATCTGCTGAGTGCTTCCTCTGTGTCGGGCACTGCAGGCAGCAGCTCAGCACATCCCTGCTGTGAGGTCTGCAAGCCCTTCACTTTTACAGATGAAGAAACTGAGGTGCAGAGAAGTTAAATGACTTGTCGAGCTCATGCAGCTGATAAGCAGCATGGCCTGTTTTTGAACTCAGATCCAACCCTCTCCAAAGTCTGCATTTTAATCATTTGCCTGAGGTGATCCTTGGTGACCACAATGCAGCTGGGGAGAGCTGCGGTCTCACTCTAGGAGTCCCAGGCCCGCTAGCAGGCCCACCATCCCAGAGACCCCTGCCTGCCTGGGAAATGATCTTGCTCTCACCTCGAGGCCTTGGCAGGCTCTGCTCCTCCTGCCGGAAATGAGCTGCCTCCCAGCAAACTTCTCTCCTGGGCATCTCCTCCAGGCAGCCTTCCTGGACTCACCCCGTCACTCCCAGCTCCACAGCCTGCTCCCCCGTGCTGTCTCTAATTCATGTGTCTTCTTCTCCTTGAACATGGAAATGTCCTTGAGGGTAGAGACTAAACCACTCTCTCCATGGCCCCAGCAGTTGGCAGAGGAGAGGCTGGGTAACTGGTTGCTGACTCAGTACAGAAACACCTGAGGCCAGGAGGGAGAAGCCTGGCCCCCCGAGACCAACTCATGCCAGGGGGACCACTGGGGAGAGGCTGGGGCTTAAGGGAAGGGATGGATTTCAGAGCAGAACCGCAGCTACTACCCTGCTGACTGACAGTGGAAGAAGGACCAAGTGGAACAGCCCCGGGGGCTGGAGGGCTTCGGTGTTTGTAAAAAACTCACCCTGGGTCCCAGGCGAGCATCTAGAATCCCATCCAGTGGCCTCCATGCAGGGAAAGCTTTCAAGCCCGTGGCCTCCCCTAATTTTCTCTCCTTCCCACAGGCAGGAAGGGGCAGACAAAACCCACCCTAGAGAAAGAATTGCTTTTTCTGCTTCCCTGGAAACTCAGAAGTTCTGGCCAAGCCCAGGGATTACTCAATGTGAAAGCAGCCATCAGCAGCCACCCCTGTCCCAGGCTAGTGGCAAAGGTCCTGTCAGGTTGGTGGGACTGGCTGAATGGGCAGCCCCACCAGCAGGTGGCTGAGCCAGCGGTGGGTGGCAGAGGTGCAGCCAGGTCAAGGTCCCTGGAGCTCCAGCCCTGGAGGTCCCTGGGGCCTGGTTCCCCATCCCTCGCTGGACACACCCCTAAGAGCAAGCGGTTCCCACAGCAGGAGGCAGAGAAAGTCAGGGTACCTTTTGAAGTGGCTCCTGAGAAGCTCCAGGGAAGGTCTGCTCCACTCTGGGTTGAGGGCAGACATGAGGTGCCTGGGCCTCCAGGGAGCTGGGTCGCCTCTCTGGGCTGGGGTGGGTGCAGGAAGAAGGGCCTCTGTCTCCGCATGGGACTTCCCCTTCCCAAGACTCCGGTCCCCAGACACCGCCAAAAGGAAACTCCCCCACCATGCGCTGCTCTAAAAATAGCTCCGGCTGCCACCTCCAAAGTGAATGGAACTTGTCACAGCCGCCACGGAGCCCCCTGCTTACCAGGGACTGGAATCTGATGGCAGCACCACCCGATTAGACCAGTGTAGGCTCAGGGAGGGACAAGGGTCCTTTCCTTTGGTCCTTGTGCTCGCTCCCCACCTATCCACACTGGGGCCCAGCAAAATGCTGAAAAGCATAACTGTTCTTGCTGTTTGTTTATTTATTTATTTATTTGAGATGGAGTTTCGCTCTTGTTGCCCAGGCTGGAGTACAGCAGCATGATCTTGGCTCACCGCAACCTCCGCCTCCGAGGTTCAAGCGATTCTCCTGCCTCAGGCTCCCAAGCAGTTGGGATTACAGACACCCACCACCATGCCCGGCTAATTTTGTATTTTTAGTAGAGATGGGGTTTCTCCATGTTGGTCAGGCTGGTCTCGAACTCCTAACCTCAGGTGATCTGCTGACCTCGGCCTCCCAAAGTGGTAAGATTACAGGCGTGAGCCACCGTGACCGGCCCTTGCTGTTCCTTTAAAAGCTTAACCCTTTCTATTCTCTCCTTTGTAAACTGGGCCCAAATCCTTGGTTGCCCATGAGATGAGAGCCCTGGCAGGCGGCAGTCCTGGTTCAAGTTCTGGCTTAGCCACGTCCCAGTTGTGTGCACCTGCATTCTCACGGGTAAAACAGGGACAAGGGTAGTATCTACTGCCCGGGGTGCTGGTGGGTTACATGACATTGCACGAGTTGAAAGAGCTTAGGGCCAGGCGGGGCACAAGGCAGATACCCCATCAGTGGGGTTGTTATTTGATTGTTATTGCATCTTTATTCGGGCCCTGCATTCTCCAAAACGAGGGTGCGGATCCAGGATCAGAGGATGAGGAGTGTTCGTCTTCCCTTCGGGACCCTGCAATGACTCAGACACAGTTCCTGTTCTTACAGGTCCCCAGGAGCAGGCCCTGGAACTGCTACCCACAAGCTAAAAAGAGCACGAAGCTGCTCAGGAAAAGGACCCATGGCTGCTGCTTCTGGCGGGGCCAGGTCACGGGGAGCTTTGGACAACAGGTAGAAAACCTGAGGTGGCCCAGAAGGACCAGCAGGGTTTGGACTAAAGGGGAGGGGGATTCCCAGTAGAGGACACCGTGGGATCAAGGGCACAGAGGCCAGACAGACCCCCCGCCACCCAGTCTGTGAGAGGAATCTGGGCTCTGCAGGCCAGCCCCAGCCCCTGGTCCCCAAGAGGGGCTCTCCGTGGCCAGCACCTGCTTCCTTTTTCAGAACGAGCCACTTCTGCCCTGGGCAAACCACCCCTGTGCCCCATCTGCAGCTCATCGCCACTGGGACTGACACAGGCATACAGCAGCTGAGGCCCTGGAGGACGCGTGAGTGAGATCCTGGCACCGAGGCTCCGCCACCTGACACACACCTTCCCACCAGCCGGCCCCAACTGTCGGGCACATGCCAGGTGCCAGCACCCTTGGGGGCGGAGGCTGGGCCCAGGCCAGCCATCCACAGGCCCTGGGGGCCGGACTCCCAGTCAGGACCTGGTGCGTGTGGCACCCCTTGAGGAGGTGGCCACAGATCCATGTCCCCTACAACCCTGCTAGTGGGCGTTACCAGCCTCATTTCACAGAGAAGGCTCCAGATAGGCCAGGCCAGGGCCTCCTGAGAGTCACCGTGAGCCCCCAGCATCATCTCCACGTGGCTGTGCACACCTCAGTGCATCCAGGTGGCGGCGTCTTCTTTGCCCAGTCCTACCACCCGTACGGTGTGACGGGGCTGGCGCGTAATCACAGCATCTGGGGCCACACCATGGCAACCCCTGCACCTTCCTGTGTCGCTCTCCTTACCAGGATCCTCACTGAACCCTGGAGTTGGGCTTAGGAAGTATGTGGCCATTTTTAGCTCCGCAGGAGTGGCTTGTGCTCTGAGCTGTGCTGTGTGTGGTCTGGTGGCCCAGGACTCATACAGGCCAGACTCCCATAGGGCTGCATGGTCTTGGGAAAGTCACAGGCTATCTTTGGGCCTCAGTTTCCCCACCTGCAACATGAGTGGGTTGGACTCCACAGTCTAGAAGCGCCCTTCTTGTGCAGATGCTTCTTATACGGCTGACAAAGGATCTGTGATTCACTGGGTTGCTCTGGAATTAAACTGGGGATCCTGTATTTAATCACGTGCTCATTTCTGGGCACTAGAAAACCAGATCTTTTCGGTCTGGAATTGCTAAGGGAATTTGTTCTTGGACCCTGGATCACTTCTGAGCCCTCCAGCCCCTGCACACTGCCTTCCTCATGCATAGTAGCCATAGTGACGTGGGGCTGTGGCTTGGATGCCTCCTGGGCTCCCCAACACACAGCCATGGAGGTGTGTATATGGAGGCATGCATCCAGGGCACCCCATCAGTGTCGGGTGCTGGGCCAGATCCTTCAGGGATAGTGCCAGCCTGTGTGCTCACAAAACAACCCTGGAAGGCAGACAGTGTATCCATTTGACAGATGAGGAAACTGAGACTCAGGGAGTCCTAGCTGCAGAGGCAGAGCTTGGATGGGAATGCAGGCCTGAGTCCTGACCTGGACATCCTCAGCAGTGTGTCCAGAGCACCCTCCCCTCAGCGAAGGAGCAGATGGAGTGTGTGTGTGTGTGTGTGTGTGTGTGTGTGTGTGTGTGTGTGTGTGTGTGGCGGGGGGGGGCGGGGGGGGTGTCCAATCAAAGTCTTAACTAGGTCAGGCGTGGTGGCTCACACCTGTAATCCTAGCACTTTGGAAGGCTGAGATGGAAGGATCACTTAAGCCCAGGAGTTCAAGGCTGTGGAGAGCTAGTATTGTGCCACTGCATTCCACCTGGGTGAAAGAGCAAGACCCTCTTTCTAAAAAAACAAAAAACGAAACACCAACCAAAAAACCCCAATGTACTTAACTGCGTTGCTGAATCACAGAAGGGGCCGTTAATTTCAACGTGGGGCAATGAAGGGGGCTGCAGGGAGGCAGTGTCCTGGATCTGAGAAGAGCAGGCCAGGCTGTGGGGAGGTGGAGAGGCAGCAAGCTCAGGGGTCTGAGAGCCCCGAGTACAAATTCGGTGCTGCCTCCATCCGCCCATGTGAGCCTGGGCCAGTCCCAGGGTCATCCCTTTGCAGTTCCCTCTTTTATAAACTAGTAGCCACAGTAGGACCCATCTTGTAGGGCTGCCGTGAGGACCAAGTGAGGTACTTTACATGCAGGTAAAATACCAGCCCAGGATTATCAGGGCCCGGGTATGCAGAAGAGCTTAATAAATGTGGGTACTGGGCCGAGCAGGGTGGCTCACGCCTGTAATCCCAGAACTTTGGGAGGCCGAGGTGAGTGGATCACTTGAGGTCAAGAGTTCGAGACCAGCCTGGCCAACATGGCAAAACCCCATTTTTACTAAAAATACAAAAAATTAGCTGGGTGTGGGGGCGGGTACCTGTAATCCCAGCTGCTCAGGAGGCTGAGCACTGAATCACTTGATTCAGGAGAATCACTTGAACCCAGGAGGCAGAGGTTGCAGTGAATTGAGGTCGCGCCACTGCACTCCAGCCTGGGTGATGGAGTGAGACTCTGTCTCAATCAATCAATCAATCAATGTGGGTACTGCCACTGTTATGATTCCTGTTATCATAAACAACCAGCCCTCACGCAACAGCGATATCCCTGCAACAAGTATTTCCAGAAACCCACTTTCCAGGGAACCCCAGCCTTATGGACACCAGGCCTTTGGGCCTGTGGACCTGGAAGGAGGTGTCCAGGGCCTCTGGGGATCCGCCTTTTGGGAGGGCGAGAGAGGCTGCACAGCTCCTGCTGCATCCTCCCAGGAGCTGGGAAGTGATGGCAAAGCATTTTACAAAGTTACCAGGACAATGAAACTGAGCTGGCCCCCTCCCCCACTGTCTCCATAAAATAAATCTTGGCCCGTGGCTGGTGAGAGACCCTATATATTTACATGACGATTGTGCCTCATGATCACAGGGCTCATGGTTCCAGAGGGTGAAATGACACATTTCTTCTGGGCGGTTTTTTTTTCTTTTTTGAGACAGTGTCACTCTGTCACCTAGGCTGGAGTGCAATGGTGCAATCTTGGCTCACTGTAACCTCCACCTCCCAGGTTCAAGAGATTCTCCTGCCTCACCCTCCCAAGTATCCAGGGTTATACCTGCATGCCACTACACCCAGCAAATCTTTCTATTTTTAGTAAAGATGGGGTTTCACCATGTTGGCCAGGCTAGTTTCAAACTCCTGACCTCAGGTGATCCACCCACCTCAGCCTCCCAAAGTGTTGGGATTACAGGCATGAGCCACCGCATCTGGCCTGGTCAGTTCTTGATGGTCTACAGAGTGACTTTTGTCCACACTATCATAGGGAGCCGCATGACAACCTTGAAAGGTGGGAAGAGTGGGAATGATGTTCATTTTTGAGATGAGGAGATGGGGGCTCAGGAGTGGCCACGACTTGCCCAAGGCCCCTTACCAGCGGGTAGCAAGGTGGGGCTCGGCCCCGTGTCTGCCTACGTCGTGCTCCAGGCCCACCTTGGCACCCATCTCTGAATTCCCAGGCCCAACCAGGCTGGCCCCTGCTGGTGCCAGGGTAACCTGAAAGTGAGCCTACACAAAGGACAGGAGGACCTGGGGGCCCCAATCCTGGGTTCGAGTCTTGTCTCCATGACCTCCTGGCCCCTAGGTCTTTCCCCTAGGGATCCCCATCACTAGGCCAAGAGGGCTGCACCCTGTACGCTCCTGACCCTGATGTCCCAGGGTCTGTCCCCAGGCTTCCCGGTGTGGCCAGCTGTCCCTCTGTCCCCCGCAGCCAGGGGGGCATATCACAGCCGGGGGGCAGCAGGTGGACATATCAACACCTGCTGTGCCCCAGCTGGATCCCAGGTGAGCCAGGGCCTTTCGGGCAGGAAGGAAGAGGGGAGTGAAGTAGGATAGGGCTTGTGTACCTCATCTCACCCTGCCAGGCAGGGCTCATGCACCCATTTCACAGATAAGGAACTAAAGCTCAGAGAGGGGAAGTCCCTACTCATGTCAGCAGCTTCGGAGACAGACTCACACCCTAGGCTGGCAGCCTCTGGAGCTCATGGCTGGGGCGCCCAGCAGAAATCAGAAGGTGACCAGGCCCCTCAGGTCTAATGCCCTGGGGCCTGCAGATGGGACACAACTGGCCCCCGGGCCTCAGCCCCGAGTGGCTCAGGAGCCCAGGAGCACTGCAAGGAAACAGGAGAGCGAGAAAAGTGCAGGCCAGGCTGATGACTCAAATCACCTTTGACACGAGGAGGTGGGCAGAAGCACGCAGCATCTCTGGTGGGTTTCGCCTCGCTTCTTAGAAGGATGCGTCACCAGATTTTGTTTAATCAGCACTCACCCGACCTTCGTCCAGGGTGGCACTTCTTGGCTGGCTTGTCTCTGTGGCAATCACAGACTGGCAGGTGGGGCCACCTCCCTGTCAACAGAGGACACCTTCTCATTTCACAGCCGGGGAACCTGAGGCTGGGGGATTGGTTCCGGGACACACAGCAGGGACTCAAGTCTTCCAACTCCTTTGTCAAGAGGTTAATTTTTCTATTTGTGGAGAAGGGAAAGGAGGATCCTATAGAGCTTTAAAAGAAAGAGAGGGGAAAAAAAGAACTAACAGCTGAATAGAATTGCAACAAGGCCCCCAGCCAGCCCGAAGAGGTTTCAGACATTCTGTGCAGTCGGAATTCTTGTGGGCTGAAGGGTCACGCGATTTCCTCTGCAAAAGGCAGTGTTTAAAAAGTCTGACTGCGGGGGAGGGCAGGGAGGGGGGAACCGTTCACGAGACTAGGAGTCATGAGTTTCAGCCTTGGCTGCCCCAATGACTTGCTGAGTGACCACAGCGAAGTCCCTTGCCCTCTCTGGGCCTCAGTTTATCTGTATTTATTTAGTATGTACCCAGCATCGTTCTATGCACTTGAGTGATGTTAACTTACTTTAATCCTCATAACAGCCTTGTGAGACAGGTAAATTATTATCTCCGTTTTACAGAAGGGGAAAACTGAGGCTTACAGTATGCTGCCCAATAGAGGTGGGAAAACTGGGATCTGAACCCCGGTTGTGTGGCTCCAGAACCCACACTCCTAACTGCTGGTGGCCCGGCCCTCCTGCCTGCGGCCGGCCCTGGCTGCTATCTCGTGTCCTTTCTGTCCTAACAGGCTTTGCATCTGCGGCTTGGACACAGTGGAGCCAGCGGGCCTGTGTTTGGAGATCCTGAACCATCCTCCTCAATCTCGGCTGTTGCTCGGATCTGCTGCCTCTTCCATGAACTCTGATTTCTTCAGTTCACTCAGTAGCCTTCAGAAACTATAGCCTGGGAGACTCTCGGGAGGCTCCCTGGGTCATGGTGGCCATCGACCCAGCTCTTTGAGCCTTGCTGAGAGCCTCAAGTCCAAGCAGGAACAGACGAACCCACTCTGATGTCCGCTTGGAGTTTTACATGCAGGTCGGCCTCTGAGACTGCAGGAGGGGAGCCTGCCATTCAGGCATCCAAGAAAAGAGTGAGAAAAACATCTATTCATAGCCAAACAGAGCCTGCTCTGTGGAAACGGTGCTACCAACGCGACAAGCAGACCAGCTGTGTGAGGGCTTCCCGAAAAGTCTGACCTCAGAGCACCCGCATGGAGGGCTCAAAGGCTTGAGCGGTCACCAAGCCTGTAAAATATGCCTCGACGTTCAACCGTGCCGTGCCTGAGGGAATACGGTTCTGACCCAAAACCTGGGCTTGCCTTCCAAAACGAAATTCTTCAAACAACAGACATTTTTTGGCTTAAACAATCTGCTGATGTGTTTTCCTCTGCTCTCTAAAGTAAGGAATACTCACACTAACAGCCACAAAATCACGTGCCACTACTCCGTGGCACCTACTGCACCACGTATTTGGGTCCACTGGCTCACCCCATGAGGTGGGCATTCCTGCCTTCATTTTGCAGATAGGGAAACTGAGAGTCAGAGTGGTGTAAATTTGAAGACCTGGGAGACAGCAGAGGCAGGGGCTTGAACACTGGTGCCAGCCTGGAGTTGGGGATGAATCTCGGCAGATCCTGTGTCATTAAGGGAAGCTCCCACCAGACATGCAAGAGCAGAGAAAGTTCCACCAGGCGGTGCATGTGGTCTTGGACCCCAGACACACACATTCTTCCCTCCACAGGCGTCCGGAGAATTCCTGCAGGGGCAGGTGTGGAAGGACAGGGCCCAGCTGCAGTCAGAACAACTCCATAGAGACCGCCTCAGTCCTGCCTTTTTAAGACACTGGAACCCATTAACTGGGAATTTTGTGCTGAACGCCCAGAAAATCCCCGGAGCTTTGCTCATAGTTTTGGGTCAACATTGGATAATCATTAAACAAACGTGTGCGTGGTCGCTGCCACGCTCCCATTCCACTCCTGGGAGCAGGAAAGACCCGAGTCCGTTCACTTGAGGCCTCATGTTTCACCAGATCCCCAAGGACTCCATCAGTCCACATCCAGTATTTTATTTTATTTATTTACTTAGAGACGGAGTCTCGGTCTTCGCCCAGTATGGAGTGCAGTGGTGCCATCTTGGATCACTGCAACCTCCGCCTCCCTAGTTCAAGCAATTATCGTGTCTCAGCCTCCCAAGTAGCTGGGATTACAGACATGCACCACCACACCTGGCTAATTTTTGTATTTTTAGTAGAGACAGGGTTTCAACATGTTGGCCAGGCTGGTCTCGAATTCCCAACCTCAGGTGATCCTCCCGCCTCAGCCTCCCAAAGTGCTGGGATTATAGGCGAGAGCCACTGCGCCTGGCCCACATCTGGTATTTTAAAGATGGGGAAACCAAGCCACACAGCAGAGGCGTCACATGCCTCCAGACATTCCATTATTTGCTCACTCAATGGACACACAAGTGCTGGGCACCAAGCGTGTGCCAGGCAAGGGGGACCAATCTCCATCCTCAATGGGGCTCTCAGGCGTCCCTTAAACTACAACCAGGGTGCCCGCTGCTCTGCAAAGCAGGGTGTGGAAACACAAGAAAATGTGCGTGCAGTCTACCTGGGGCATGGGATTTTTCCTCGGAACGGGAAGCAGCTCTGAGTGGAGGAATAGGGGCAGGGCACTCCAGGCAGAGGGCATGGCACGTGCAAAGGCCTAAAGGTGAGGCAAGCCCTGTGCGAGTTGTGGGATAGAGGCCGAAATGACAGCAGTGGCATCAAGCCTGCAGAGGGGAGGTTCAGGAAGTAGGATCCACAGGGCACTGCCATGACCTGCACATGGCTGGTAAGGGGTGCAGAGCCAGGGCTGGCACCCAGCTCTCCAGGCTCCCTTCCAGGGCTCCCTGCACATGACCCTCCCTCCCGCGATACCAAGTCTAGGTGGGTTTTCCTCAATGCCAATCAATGCCTGAGATGCAGCTTAGCAGCCTCTGTCCTCCGTCCAGTGCTACACCCGTGCACTCAACTTCCCCACCCCTGCCCGGTCGTCTCAGCTAACTGTGTCCTAGGACGTGGGGAAGGAAATGCCTATAGATTCTCCTTCCCAAGAGGCCCCACTGAGGCTCCGTCGCAGGAGTGGCATGAAATTTACGTTCTGGGCTCCAAGATGCTCTCTCTCATTCAGTATTGACTGAGCACCTACTATGTGCCAGGCCCTGGGCTAGGCACGGGAAGGGTTTGCCTTGTCATCCCCAGCCTTCCTGAGAGGGTCAGGGCTGGAACTGTGCCTCCTACTTCACAGGAGAGAAGTGGGGCTCAGCAGGGCTCTGGGACTCCCTTGCTTGAGATCACTTGGCAGGGAGTTGTCAGGGCGGAAACGTCTGATCACAGGGCCTTTGCCAAAATAGATAAAGGCCTCTGGGGGAACAGGGGAGGCTGGATTCCCTCCTTCCTGCCCCACAGGCTGCCCTTTGTCCACAAAGCGGGGGAGGCTGTGCTGGTGGGCGCTGCCGGGAATGGCGGGCCCTGTCATTACTGGGAGGGGCCGCTCTCTAACCCAAAAGAGCAGAGCCAGGGCTGGCGGCCTATGCTGGGCGCTGAGACGTTCTCAGCCCTCAGTGGTCCTGGCTGGTGCCACCAAAGGACCAAACGCTGCAAGCCTGTTTTTAAAAAACATCGTGCTGAAGACCCAGATCTACTCAGCACTTGTCTTTGGGGCCTGTATGAAAGCGTAGGAATGAATCTGGGATGCAGAGAGTCAGGGGGATCCCGGCCCTCCCGTGCCCCTGAGTATTCAGTGGGCGTGTCTGACCCACCCCCTGTGGCCCCAGCCTGGCCCTTGCTGTGGTGACAGCGTTCCCCCGCCAGACTCTGCTCCTTGGTCTCCTGTCTCCTCCTGGGAATGAGGGCAGGCTCCCTGGACCTGCCCTCCTCATCCCTTACGCCCCCAGAGTAATGTTCCCCCCAAACCCTTGTCTATCTGGAACTGGGGCATAGGCCCTTACTTGGAGATACTAATCAAGTTAAGCTGGGGTCACATGGGATTAGGGTGGCCCAAATTCAATGACGGGTGTCTTTCTATGAGGGATGGACACAGAGACAGACGCACAAGGAAGAAGGCCATGTGGCGACAGAGGCGAGCACTGGAGGGATGTGTAGACGAGCCACGGAACACGGAACAAGGAACAAGGAGGGTGGCTAGCGCCTGCCAGAAGCCAGAAAAAGGCACGGCAGGTGCTTTGTCAGAGCCTCCACGGGAACTGAGCCTACCACCAGCCTGATTTCAGGCATCACGCCTCCAGGATTCTCCAAGAGAGAATGAATTTCTATTGTTTTCAAGCACCCAGTTTGCAGTAATTTGTTATAATATCCCTAGGAAACCAATACGCCCCACCGCACACCAGGGCAGAGCCGGGGGCTCACGTGTGGCCATGACTCAGAGGTTCTTGAGGCATCAAAGTCTGCCCCGGGCTCCACTTCTGTGTCTGGGGTACAGAAGTACATCAATGGCTTCCGGGCCTGGAGGTGTCACAGGCCTGGACAGCCTCTCCCACATTTTGAAGATAGACATAGGTTGCCAGAGTTTTCTGGCATCTAAAATAAAACGTCCACCTAGTATCACCATCTTTCATAAAAGAAAGGACAGGCCGGGTGTGGTGGCTTACGCCTGTAATCCCAGCACTTTGGGAGGCCGAGGTAGGCAGATCACCTGAGGTCGGGAGTTCGAGATCAGCCTGGCTAGCATGGTAAAACCCTGTCTCTACTAAAATACAAAATTAGCTGGGTGTGGTGGCAGGCACCTGTAATCCCAGCTACTCAGGAGGCTGAAGCAGGAGAATCACTTCAACCCTGGAGGTGGAGCTTGCAGTGAGCTGGGATCGCACCACTGCACTCCAGTCTGGGCGACAGAGTGAGATTCTGCCTCCAAAAAAAAAAAAAAAAAAAAAAAAAAAAAAGAAAAAACAGCTGACATGGAAAGTAGCTATGCCAAGCCAGGCCTTCCTTTTCTTATTTCACCGTGGGTCCGCGGAAGACTTCACACGGCCCTAGGCCTGGCCTGGGTCTGGGATTTGGGAACCAGTGGACTCAGGCCACTGTGCTAGGTGACTTTTTCAATCGTGGCTGAGGAGAAGCATGGCCGGCCTCCTCCATTCTCCTATGAGTACAAAAAGGGGGTCTCCCTCTCAGAAATCTGACCAGTATATTCCAGTGAACATGAGGGTAATTCTAGTGAACACTCTCGGAGTACTGGGTGATTTCCTGGTCTGAGGGAAGAGGCCCCCAGGCCAGTCACCAGGCAGCCTGCTGGTGAGGAAGAAAAGAAAACACAAGCGAAAAGCGGGAGATGCAGCAGGGAAGCTCTGATCTTTCTCAAGAAAAACAAAAGCGCTTTGTGAGGCTGAGGTGGGTGGATCACCTGAGGTCAGGAGTTCGAGACCAGCCTGGCCAACATGTGGAGAAACCCCATCTCCACAAAAAATACAAAAATTAGCTGTGGTGGCATGCACCTGTAGCACCAGCTGCTTGGGAGGCTGAGGTGGGAGGATCCCTTGAGCCCAGGAAGTCAAGGCTGCAGTGAGCCGAGATCACGACACTACCCTCCAGCCTGGGCAACAGAGCAAGACCCTGTCTCAAAAAAAGAAAAAAATGAAGAGAAAAAAGCAAAGCAAAGCGTGAAATTATACACAATGTGCAAATGTCAAGGCTGAGGACCCCAGCTCTCTGCAGGGTCCCCTCATAAACCCGTGCCTAGCCACAGAGCGAGGTGCCAGATGCCTGGTGCTCCAGGAATAGCTTTCCAAACATGTGGCCCTGGAGGCCTGATGACCCAATGGACACTGGTCACCTCGTGCTTGGAAAACGTCACACCCATGTCTGCCCCACGGTACCCAGTGCTGGGACAGCAGCCCAGGGAAACATTCGCATGAGCGTGAGGAATGTTTCTTCTCCAGCAACTCCAGGCGCTGCTGCCATCTCTAAGGACGCTCCAATGGTGGGGATACCCTCTCCTGGAGTGCTCGGCTGGGACAGTCTCAGCGTGAGCGGCAAGCCTCACTCAGATGATAAGGTCTGACGCCGTACCCTTCCAGGCCCCGATTTCAACTCCCCTCCCTCCTGTTCTGCACGCCTAGACCAGGGGCAGGGTGGGCCCCAGTTCTCAGGAAGCCAGGAAACACACTCTTTTCTGGGCTAAATGCCCAGATTCCTCGAGCAGTCACAGGACACACTTTTTCTGAGCTGATCCAAAGCCACAAGTGTGGACTGGAAGTTTCTTTGGGCGGTGTGAACCTGCAAGGACACAGCCAGGCACACCTGGAATTCCAGGCTCAAAGCTGGTCAGTGAGAGAGGCCCCAGCTGACCCTGGACAGGCAGGGGCTCCAATCCTGCCCTGGCAGTGTGACCCAGGGATGGGCCTGCCCTCTGTGGGCCTCCATTCCCTTTTTGAGAACACCAGGGTTAACCCACTCTGCCATCATTTGCCAAGCATTTCTTGAGAAGCTTGTGAAGCCATGTGCTGTCCGAGGGGTTGGGGACACAGGAGTGGACAAGAGAGAGAAGGCCTTCCCCTCCCACAGGTTTTGCGTGGTTGGGAGGTAGACACAGACATGAGAGTGAACAGACATGGTCATTTCAGACAGCGATACGTGCCTTGAGGGAAACGCAGCCAGGGAGTGACTGGGTGGTGCCAATAAGGGGCCGGGTTTCAAAGAGTCACTGGGGCCATCAGATCAGATCATGCAGCAAATTCCTTGGCACATAATCAGCACTCAACAGACAAAGGGGTTCTCCTGTCCTCCCACTGCACAGGTGGGGCAAGTGAAGTCAGAAAGAGAAAGGCTGGGCCAGGCGCGTGGCTCACGCATGTAATCCCAGCACTTTGGGAGGCCGAGGCAGGCAAATCACTTGAGGTCAGGAGTTCGAGACCAGCCTGGCCAACATGGTGAAACCCCTGCCTCTACTAAAAATACAAAAATTAGCCAGGCGTTGTGGTGTGTGCCTGCAGTCCCAGCTACTCGGGTGGCTGAGGCAGGAGAATCGCTTGAACCCGGGGAGCAGAGGTTGCAGTGAGCCGAGATCGTGCCACTGCACTCCAGCCTGGGTGACAGAGTGAGACTCCGTCTCAAAAAAAAAAAAAAAAAAAGGGAAGAGAAAGGCTGGAGTAGGCTGCAAAGGGACTGGGCTGGTGTCGGGCCCAATCTAGCCCCATGTTTCCCAGGGGTCCGAGGGGGAGCTCCCTGCCCTGTTTGCCCCCATAAAGACCCTCCTGCTCTTTCTTGGTGGGAAAGTGATGCCTCCGGTATCACAGCCCAGGCTATCCCACCAAGACAGGTTGAAGCCCCCCATCCTCTCCAGGCCAGGCCAGAATTGAAATATGGGACACTCCACCTATTTGCTGGGAAACTTCGCCCAAATTGATCACCTCTCTAAGCCTCACTTTTGTGATCAGAAAACCAGGAAAGAGATCTACTGAAGATGAGACTGTGTAGGCAAAGTGCCCCGGTACACAGGAGGTCTGAGATCGTGCTTGGTCCCCCCACCCTGGTCTCCACTGATCCTCCCCAGCACTGCGGCAGGGGCTGGGACGGGTGCTCTAGGTGACGGGAATTCTCAAGGGAGCGGGGAGTCAGATGTGGTATGAAGACTTCTTTGCTGGGCATCTTAGCCAAGACCCTCAGCCTCTCTGAGTCTCAGTCTCCCCAGCTGTATAATGTGTCAACCAACATACATGAAGTCATCCAGCCGGTATCTGACGCATGCGTCTCCCCACCCTCATGCGCCCATTCAACCTAAAAATATTCTGACCGCATCCCAAGTGGGCACTAAGTCCTATGGTGGGCCAGGGGTGGGGGGGTGTGGCTGAGCCCCCTGTTGGCGGGCAGAACCCAGTCTCCTCTAGAATCCTCCTGCAGCCACCTGGGTCTGCGAGGGGGTGAGGGCTTGTGGGCTAGCCTGGGCTCATCTTCTTGAGCAACTTCTCCTCCACGGAAAACGACACCCGGACAGACCTGGAAACAGCCCTCCTCAATGCCTGGGACACTACTGCTCACCTAGGGGAACCTACAAACCCAGCCCATGCCCCCAACGCCTACAAAGTACCACAGATATAAACAGTCACACATCGCTTAGCGACAGGGACACACTCTGAGAAATGCATGACGAGGCGATTTTGTCACTGTGTGAACGTCTTGGAGTTGACTTACACAAACCCAGACGGTCTCGCCTCCCCCACACCTAGGCGATAGGGTGTCGCCTGTCACTCCTGGGCTACACACCTGTACCGCATGGTCCTGTACCGAGTACTGCAGTCGACAGTAATGAAATGGTCAGTATTTGTGTGTTTACACGTGGAAAAGGTACAGTCAAAAGATGGCATTATAATCTTATGGGACCAACGTCACATACGCAGTCTGCTGTTGACCAAAGTGTCCTTATATGATGGTGCATCCCGTATTAAAACTCAAAGGCGCCCCTTCTCACAGCTTCACTTTGGACTTCTCAGACCCAAATAAACAAATAAATGCAGGGAGGATCAGAAATCAGTCACAGGGACAACACGATGCACTCTCCACAGCACATGAGGAGCAGGGCTCTTGCAGATTCACGAGGCAGCCTGGAAATTGGGGATACAAATGAATTCCGTGGCCGCCGACCTGCCTGGATGGGGCCTGCGGGCGCGCTCCCGTGAACGCGGGCCTCTCTCGTCCCCAGGAAGCAAAACAACTTCTCTGACAGGGAAGAGAATAAACGACACGCAGAAATAGGAATTTAGGGAAGACAACACTTTCCTTCCTCTCCCCAGGCAGTGCTGGGAGCGTCACAGATTTTATCATTTATTCTCACAAGTCGGCAGGCATCGGCCTGGTTTTTCACAGGAAAGCCGAGAGAGGCTGAGGGTGCCAAGGGGAGAGCCCTCCGCTGCCCCAACACCCAGCAGGAAAGGGTAGGAGAAGGTGGTGGGATGGGAGAAAGAGCTGAGGATTCTTTGTTTTGTTTTTGAGATGGAGCCTCACTCTCTTGCCCAGGTTGGAGTGCAATGGCACAAGCTCGGCTCACTGCAACCTCCGCCTCCCATGTTCAAGAGATTCTCCTGCCTCAGCCTCCCAAGTAGCTGGGATTACAGGCGTGTGCCACCATGCCTGGTTAATTTTTGTTATTTTTAGTAGAGGTGGGATTTCACCATGTTGGCCAGGCTGGTTTCGAGCTCCTGGCCTCAAGCAATCCACCTGCCTTGGCCTCCCAAAGTGCTGGAATTACAGGTGTGAGCCACCACACCCGGCCCAGCCAAGGACTCTTTTTGGGTGGAAGTGCGGCCTCAGGTAGCTGAGAGGCTCAGGAATGTCCACAGTGGCATCAGCACCTGGGCCTCCCCACTGGCCTCTAAGTCCTCCCAGCCTTAGCACCGTCATTTTCCACACGCGCCACCAGACACATATTCCTAAGACCCCATCTCCCCTTCCTTATCCACCTTCAAGGTTTCTGGGTTGCCATCCCTCCTGAGCTTAGCACCTAAGACCCCTTGACCCATCAAGCCCAAGCCCAGGTGATGTCTGTCCTCCACCACGTCAGCTCCACGGAGCCACTTATGGTTCCTGCAACTGCTGTTTCCCACCTCTGCACCTGCTCACGCAGTCTCCCCATGCTCTAACTGCAGGCCTTCGCCACCTGGCCAACCCCTACTGATCTGAAGGGTGCTCTGATGAACGAGCCACAATAGCAATAGGAGGAGGAATTATTGTTTAAAAAGCTAATAGCTAATATTTACATATCAATAATAACATACTGTTAGGATTTGCATGTATGGAGGAGGGGCTGTGAAGATTCAGGCTCAAGCACTGGCCCCTCTGCACACACTCCAGCCACACATAGACAACCACTGTTCCAGCCACTGTCGTCCTGAGTCCACGGGGATTCAATGGCCCCTTCGATGTACCACGGGCTCATTATTGCTTCATGATTTTTCTTTTTCCACTCTTGCTCTTAGGCTGACCCTATGGCTTCTGTGGGCCTCGGCCTCACCCTGCTCCCAAGCCAGATCCAGGTATGAAGGGCCAGGGTCAGAGGAGAGTCAAGGGCAAAAAGCACATTGCCCTCCTTGACTGATGAGGAGACTAAGACCAGGGCCCCAGCCCACCCTTGCCCCAGTCACCCATCCAGAGATGATTCCTGAGACTCTGGAGCCACTGAAGCCCCTGGGGAGCATTTCTTCTGACTTGCAGCCCAGAATTCTTTACTCCCTGATCCAGGGGTCTCCAGGTAGGAGCTCAGGCTGTGGACACCAGGTGCCCGGCACTGTTCCAGGCTGCTCCCCACTTCTCCCCACTCTCCCCAGGACAGCCCCGTTCCCCCTCCTCTCTCCTGAAGTTCACAGCCGCCTCCCAGCCCCCCAGCCTCCACGGGCCACACTCTGCTTCAGGGGGGCCACTCCCCTGCTCAAAACCTTTCCAAACACCCACCTCCCGCAGGATCAAACCTAACTGTCGTTTAAAGGATCACCGCAGCAGGCACAATGGGTATGTGAGTCACAGAGCTGGTTCCATCCGTCCCGCTGACCTATCTGTCCCCAGAAAAGGCCTGGGCTTTGGACACAGTGGTCTCAGCATCTCAGCTGTCCCCATGGCCACAGGCCTGAGGAACAAACGAAGGGTGCATTGCTCCCTCCCCTCATTACCGTCACCGAGGCCTTTGCCAGGCCAGGCCCTGGGCTGAGCACTGGGACCACAGAGGAAAGTGGCTCAGTCCTAGCCCTGGAGGGGATCCTGGGGCAGGGGACTGGCCATTAGTGGGCCTCACAGGGTGGGGGGCCATGTTGGGGAAGATGCAGAAGGGGCTATGGAGGCACCAAGCAGGGGTTTCTAAGCAGTGTGCTGAGGTCAGAGGAGACTCCCCAGAAGCAGTGATGTCTGAGAAGTGAGAAGGAAAGCATTACAGACCCAGAGAACCAGGAGCTCCGCCTGGCAGAGGACAGGGCCCGGCAGGCGGGGGCAGGCAGCTGGAGCTGACACTTCTGAATGCTGACCCCGTTACCCATGGGTTCTGGGCTCCATGACCGTCATCAACCAGGTCACCCCTCCACAGTGCTGGGAGTGAAGATGAGGAAACCGAGGCTCAGGCAGGTGAAACCATGACTCAAAGACATCCGGCAAGTTAGTGACGTGGATGAAATGGCCCTGGTTTAAATAAGTGGGCACCTACATCTCATCCCTAGAAGTTTAAAATTACGTTTTTAAAAACATTCACTGTAGGATTCCAACTGTTGGCTCTTTGGGGGCTGCAGAGCCTTCATCAATCCTTCCTTCTGTTATCTGTGGAATTCCCACTGTGTGCTGTGCACAGTCTCACCCTCCTGGAGTTTACTGGGATGGAAGTGTGGTGAGGCACACGATGAACTAATCACAAGAACTAAGCAGAGCTCGTGCCCCTGGGGTCCCTGCTCAGGTTAAGAATTGTACTAAGTTAGGTCGGTCCTTTTCACATCCATCTTTTCATTCCTGTGCACACAGCAGACATTGCTAATCAATGCCAGTCTCCAAAGCCTTCTCAACATGGCATCTCGGGCAGCCCCTATCAATCTATCAGAGCCGGCACTGGAGAGGACAATGATTGCCAGCCTTGCTACAAATGGACATGCAGAATGGCAAGCACAGTGCGTCAGACCGGTCAGCTCCCAACCTCCCTCCCTCATTCTCAGGATCCCAGACCCCTGAAATTCTATCAGATGTCCAGGTGGAATACATGATATTCAGCATTGTCCTCGATCAGCATTCTTACATGAAAGCAAAAACCCTCCAGATGTCTGCTCACTTTCTTGGGGAATTGGGAGGTGATGCTGGGACAGGCTGCTGACAGGTACCCGGACTGTGAGTCCACACTCTGCTGCTTCTGGAGCCTCAAGGAGGGGCACTGCTGGTCCTCCACGAAAATGGACAGACTGAGGTTCAAACTTCAGTGCTACTGCTCATGAGCTGTGTGACTCAAAGCAAGTGTCTACACTCTCTGGGACTCTGCTGTTTCATCTAAAAATGAGGACAGAGATACCACTTCCCAAATTTTGGCCAGCACAGTGCCAGGCATCTGTCAGCAGCCCATAAATGCTGGGTCCCTCCTTCCCTTCTTCTGAAGTCAAGGGGCTGTGGTACACAGGTGTCAAGCCCCGTTCACATCTGCCACTGGGGCCATCACATGCCCTGCCACAGCGAGGCTCACACGGGACATGCGCAGGAAGCAGATTGGATGGGCCCTGCGGCCTCTGTCCTCCATGGCCAAGGATCTTTACCACCCAAGGAAGCATCCATTTGTAAGAGTTTTCTCTCCCTCTCTTTCTTTCCCTTCCCCTCTAAGCAAAACTGCCTGGCGGCCAATCCTGCCTCTGTCCCCAAGACAGTTCCAAAGGGCCCATCTCATCCCACAGAAGTGATGGCGGTAATTCCATTAATGGGAAGCAAGATGAATGGTACCCTGTGCCCAAAGTGTATGAGGCAAGACGGAATGGGGGGGCCATGTGGGGAAGGAAAGTGTTGCTGGAATTCACCCTCCGTTGGGGCCTTATTAGGTCCTGGAAGAGCCGCCGCACTCGCTAAAACCTGCTTTTGCCAGCAGAAGCCTCATTTTACAAATATACAACAACAACAAAAAAACCCGTAAATGGGAAGAAAACCCTGAAGATTACGCTCCCCTGCTGCAGTGAGGCTGCGAGCCGCCACTCAGAACTGAAGTCTTTAGCCTCCTCAACTCCCGCTTTAAATAAATGGCCTAAATGCCAGCTCACCATTTCGTGAATGCAGAGCACGGCTGTTTCTTTGCCGTTTAAGGACTGCTTGCCAACGGTGGGACGGGACAACTTTGGAAACATTTTCTTATAAAAGGCTTGCCTGTTCCAGATGCTATAAAACCCCATCACCCTGGCTGTCGGTCCCAGGAAGGGTGGATACGGGCCCCTCTGCTGTCACAGACACACGTGCCCTGACTGCCCGCTGTCATTTCTTAAGTCTTCTCCTGCCCTGAGAATCAGTGGCATTTTGAAGGCAGTTTCGCTGTGGAATGAGTGTCCATTTCCACAAGCATGCAAAGGGTTCCGTCCCCTCCCCCATTCGGGATCAAGCCCTGAATTGTTCTTTAGGCCTCAGTTTATCCAAATGCAGGATGTTGGGGAGGCCAAAGCTAGTCCGGAGACCACCATGGATGATGGCAGACAGAGCAGGTGGATGTGGAATAAGGCCGCCCGGGGCTGTGTGACCTTGGCAAGCCACACAGCCTCTCTGAGCCTCCACTTCCTCATCTGTCACATGAACCTAACCCCACACACCTCACAGCCTTGGAGCAAGGAGTCAACGCAATCCTGGCTCACGCGGAAATGGTCATTTTTCAGGCCAATTTTAGCACCAACAGTCTGTCTCTATTCTTCTCTGCAGAGCTCTCCTGCAGCACCCAGCACAGCCCTGACACATGGGCCGCTGAGAGTCTACTGCTTTGAGCAGAATCTTTGGTTTTTCTGCTGCCAAGAATTAAAAAAACATCCATTCACACTAGGGCAGAGTGGTTCCGATAGTGTGGTCTGGAAGCCACGGGCGTGGGTTCAAATCCTGACTTGGCAGTGGGCACACTGTGCTCCTCAGCAAATGATGCAGCCTCACTCAGCCTCCCTTTCCTCATCTGTAAAATG
Source organism: Homo sapiens (assembly GCF_000001405.40). Lineage (NCBI taxonomy): Eukaryota > Metazoa > Chordata > Mammalia > Primates > Hominidae > Homo > Homo sapiens. Next base: position 124,272,781 of record NC_000009.12, on the reverse strand, counting down.
AATTAATAGGACCTGACTCTCAAGGTCACCAAGAGAGGTCGATGCGATCACATGTGACCAGGGCCTGGCCCAGGTGGGTCTCCATGACCAGCAGCGTTAGGGGGAGCGGTTGTGAGTCTCAGGAGAGCCTGGGGAAAACTCCCACATTGCAACTGGAAAAACTGATTTCTCAAAGACACCTTGAAGCAAAGCAAAGCCCGATGAGGCCTTCCCAGGACGCTGGGAGTGCTGGGACCTCACACGAAAGGCAGCATGTTAAATCCCCAGGGATTGCCCTTTAATGGAAGAAAGAGATTGAAGGAACTCCATTCTTTGTGGCAGCCATGGGCCACCACGCTGTCCCAGCTACCTCTCCCCAGCACTGCCTGGCCAGGAACCCTGCACCGGTTTCTTGTTTAGGAACCACAGCACCAGCCCTGTGCAGGCAGGGACTTCATGCCTGGGGCTCATTACTGTATCTCAGCAGAGCGCCTGGATCTGTGGGATGAAATGAATGAACAAAGAAAACAAGGAAGGGATGAATTCCTTAGGGAGGGCAGCTCTGGACTGAGAGCCTGCCCTGTGGCCTGGGGAAGCGCTCCCCAGAGCGTCACAGGGGCCACCAAGCTCCGAGCTCACCCCATACCATGTCGTTTACCATCAACACAGAGTATCAAAGGCCTCTTCTGGGCCTGGCGTGGAACTGAGGACTATACACCCTTACCACAATAGATTGGGAAAACTGCCCCAGAGACAGGATCTGCTATTACCCCTTGCTCCACAAATGGGAAAACAGAGGCCTGAGTGGGCGGTAACAAGCCCAGGAGACACGGGGAGCACAAGGTGGGTGTGGCTCACGGCCAGGTGTGCCTAACTCTGCCGCTGCCACCTGTCTCTCTGGGCACAAGTACAGCCACAGAGCTGGCCAGGCCTTGCAGGAGAAAAGCTGGAGCTGTGGCCCTGAGATCTGCTCCCTGCCAAGAACAAGGATGGACTGCTCAGGGGCAGGAGTGGACAGGCAGCAGCGCTGAGGTCTGGCCCCTGTCCTGCAGATGCAGATGCAGCAGACGGTGGGGGCAAGAGGCCCAGCCAGGGAGGGACCTCAGCCAGCCAGTGTGCCTGGGATTCGTGTGCAAAGAGCACTAACTCTGGGGCCAGCCGGGCCTGGGTTCAAATCTCAGTTTCCAAAGTGTGTGGTTTATGGCTTTGGACTGGCAGCTTCATTCTCTGAGCCTCAGTTAACTTCATCTGAAAAACAGGATCAGCTCAAAGTTGTCACGAGGATTAACGAAGGCAACACACGGAAAGTACTTGGCCGGGTCTCCGGTGCACAGTGGGTACTAAGTAAGTACCCCTCACCTGAGCCTCCTTGTCCATGTTTTCAGAGTAACCAGACGTCACTCCCTGTGGGTGCTGAGCCTCCCCATTTTGGGGCTGGGAACAGCGTGACAGCTGGTGGAATCCAAGCTCCTCACCCTCTCTGATCTCTGGGGCACCACGTGTTTGGCGTTGTTCCTGAGTGAGAAGGTTGGCAACCGCGCCACTCGATTTCTGACCCTTGTCACTCAAGGAGCGGAAGTCAGAGGGGTTGGGTTTGTTACTGCAACAATCTCTGGCAATGGTGTGAGAGATTAAGTCAGGGAGGGCTGACCATGGTGTGTCTTTGGCACCAGAGGCTCCGGATGAAGAGGGAGAGCCCCTGGCTGGCCGACTAACCTGCTGGGCCAGCAGTCTGCAGACAGTGCTTAACACAGAACTTTCCCTTCAAATCAGATCTGGCCCCAGCTCTGTGGAGAGAACCAACATAAGGCCCTTGCTCTGTGTGAAATGTGTGTGTGGGTGCTATGGCCCCTCCCATCAGGCTGGCTTCATGTCCAGGTGACCTGGCCCTGCCCTAAGAAGGGAGCCCCAAGCGTAGGGCTTCATGCTGTGCTTTCACTGTCCTGAAATGCTTCATGTCATCTTTGAATCTGTGTTAAGTGGAGTCTGGTGGAATAATGGAGCACATGCTGGCAGCACAGAGTCTCAGCTGCCTCCCCAGGACGGGTATTCAGCTGCCTGCTCCCGCACCCAGCAACCTCTGCCACCCGTTACCTGCAGCAGGGGCCCGGATGCAGGCAGGAGGGTCGGGGGCAGGTGTGCCCACACCTGTGAGGTCTGCACTCACCCTGAAAGTATCTTGTGTCCAGGGAGTGAGACATTAAATAGCAAACAAAAAACATCATGACAGATGGAAAGAGATTGCAAAGGAAAGGAAAAAACTTTTGTGTTTTTTTTTTACTGCTTTTTGAACAAGGGAACTTGCATCTTCATTTTGCACTGGGCCCCACAAATTTTGTAGCTGGCCCTGTGTTTTATTTCCATGGACTTCTGACCCTTCCCCTCCCACTCTGGGGACCTGGGGACATCCCTAGGCCTCTGCAGAATGGGAAGACACCACTAGGTCTAAGACCATCCCTTCCCAAGAGGCTTCTTGGACACTCAGCCCCCGCCCTGCAGGTCTTGTGGGGTGAACTTCTAGGGTTGGCCGTTCATTGCCGTCTTGTGTGCCAGGCCCCGCTCCAGGTGCTGAGGATGTCTGATCAACCTTTCGAGGCCTCTGTGCTTGAGGGGCTCCAGGGCACAGAGAAGTAACGCAACAGGCAGGACCAATGGCAGCAGATGCCGGGGGATGGAGCACATGGGGAGATGGAGCACTCAGTGGCAAGCCCCACAGACAGCATGGGGGGGGGGCGTGGAAGGAACGGCTACTGCAGCTGGCACATTCCAGGTGGCTCCCAAAGGCAGGGATGCTGCGGTTGGCTCTAGGAGACTCCTCTATAAAAGGGGAACACCTTGATTTAACTGGCTGGACTGTGGGAGACTGAAAGGGCTGTCAGTTGATTCCTCCCAGGGCACTGCAGGGAGAGAGAGAGGCTGAGGCAAAGGCTCAGGGGCCACAGGACACTTATATGGGGGACAGTCTGCAGTAAACTCCCTTAATGACTCTGCAAAACCAACAACAAAGAGAAGGGCAGAGGCTCAAGAACCACATTTCCTGAGCACCTACTATGTGCCAGGCACCGGGCTGCAGTGGCCCTTCCACACGACTCCCTGCCCCTCCTAAGCTATTCATTCCTTGTGCCTTCCAATCCCATCCGACATTTTACAGACATCACCTTCCTTTCCTGTGATTTAGAAAGTCCACCGAGGCAGGCGGATCACTCGAGACCAGCCTGGCCAACATGGTGAAACCCATCTCTACTAAAAATACAAAAAAAAATTAGCCGGGCGTGGTGGTGGGTGCCTGTAATCCCAGCTACTCGGGAGGCTGCGGCAGGAGAATTGCTTGAACCCGGGAGGCAGAGGTTGCGGTAAGCCAAGATCGTGCCATTGCACTCCAGCCTGGGTGACAAGAGTGAAACTCCATCTCAAAAAAAAAAAAAGTCCAGTTAGCACCAAGCAAGGGGTCACCCAGGCAGGGGTGGGGGGTTTTCAGATATGACCTGTCACCCCTAGAGTAGCACGGCACAGTAATTAAGAGCTAGAATGCAGAATGGGGTCAGCCTGGATTTGCTCCTGGGCCACTCACTAGCTGTGGGGTCTGGGGTGGACCACTGACTTGCCCTGGGCTTCAGTTTCCCCTCTGTAACTTGGGGTTAATAAGAGCCCCACCATCTGGGAATGCTGTGATGATTCAATGACATGGTATCAGTGAAGGGTACAGCACTCGGCAAGCGCTCAATAAATGTCAGCCACTGTTTTTGTCATAAAACCCCAAAACATCACATCAGAAACCCAGGTGTCCTGTGACGCTTCTCGGGATCACAGGAATCTGCTCCCTCCTTCCCGCATCTGCCGAGACTCTGCTCCGAGCCTCCTCTCTCCCCCATTGTCATGTCGCATCAGTCCATAAATATTTAAACAACATGTCATCAGATTATTATAACATATGATCTATAGCACTGATGTGCTGCAGTTCTGTGCATTTGGGCTTCATTTTCAGAATATCGAGACATAAAATATTTATGTATTTAGCCAACCACGCGATCTCACATTCTGTCTCAAAATGCTGGGTGGTGGCAAGACGCTGAACTGAGACACAACGTGTGAAGGGGATGCCTTGTTCTCACGTCGGTTCCTGGGGCATCTGGATTGTTTCTGGTTCATTCTGGGGACGTCACCACGTGGCCTGTGAACAGTGGCTGACTGGGTATATCACAGCAAGCAGAGAGAGAGCCAGGACTAAAGACCCCATCAAAACACCACAAGTGTCCAAACCACTACGGACTGTGCCATTTGCATTTCTGCATCTCCATGAGTCTGCACACAGTAGGTGGTTGTTAAATGTCCACTGGGAAGTGAATGCATTCACCTGTGGCACACAGCACACCCTATGGGCTGGCACACAGTAGGGACTCAGTCATATTTGTTCTGTTTCATTCCACCCCCAGTACCCAGCACCAGGCCAGGTACATCAGCAAACAGTGCTGGATGAATGGCAATTGAAGGAGTAAATGTGTGACCAGATAAACCACTTAATTAGCTAATAAATGAATGAGGGATAATGACTCCCTATCTGCTGGTCCAAATTACACTGTGTAAGACCCTCCTCCTGAGAAATAAAGGCTCTCCAGTAACCTGCACTGGGTAGGAAAAGGGGTTTTTCTGGGTCATTAAATATCTCAATTGCTAACATTAGCACATCACAGTGACCATATGTCCTGAAATTTTCAGGACTGGGTAATTTCAAAGATGCCACCCCATAAGCCATTTGAGCATCCAGAGACTTCGCACAGCAGACAGCATCTTCCAAACCATCTCTCCTGTCCCTGAATGGCACTAAATACTTCTACAGATCACAGCCCGTTTGGGAGTTTGGAAAGTGGGGCCATGATGTGTCTCACCTACAGGTGATCAATGTCTGAAGACACAGAACACCATAAAGGTCTGTGCGAGTGAAAGGTGTTAGCTCAGAGTACAAGTATTTTCTCTGCATGTTTCCCCAGGAAGACGGGGCAGGGACCTCATCTGATTCCTGTGTGTTTCCCCAGGGGCCAAGAAGGCATGTGGTGCTCAGCCGTCCCTTGCTGAATGGCATCATGAAACCTGGTCACAGGGCTTCCTCATTTCAGGGTCCCAGTGGCCAGCTCAGGGGCGGCCCAGCACCTGGTGTGCCCATCACCCCTTGGAGAAAACCACAGAATGTTTTCCAAATGCCACGCTGTCACCACTAGGCTGGCTCCAAGAGCAGGCGGCTCCCACACTTGTCCCAGCGTCTGCACAGACAAAAACCCAGTCCTCATTTCCTCTTGGGTTAGGTAAGGAGGCTGGCATTTAAAACACACACAAAAGGCCACTACATTCCCGGAGGAGACGAACAAAGGAAATGTACACACACTGACTCAGTCCGGCACGCCGTGCCCACTCGAGGTCCTGTTGTAACTGAATCCAGGCGGACTCGACCGGACCTGCCAAGCCCAGGGGCGGACTCCCTCTCCTTTGCTCTCTTCTGTGTGCCATGTGGTGCCCAGTGATCCTGCCATCTGGGCACCCACGCTGGTGGCCCGCCAAGGCCACATCAGCTGCAGAATCTTTCCTCTTTCAATGCTGGGTTTCCTACTTTCTAAGATGGGGTGTAATCTGGGGTCCTGCTCATTTGCCAAAAAGTCATGTCTGTGCTCAGAGGTGGCTTGGTTAGCCTTTCCTCAAAGCAACCCCAAAAGATATGCCCTCTAAACAAAGTGTGTGCTTGGTAGAAAATGCAGCTTTAAGACACAGCACTGACCCATTCCAACCCAAAGCCCTCCTATGCAGACATGTGGGAGCTGCCTCGGCAGGGAAGGGGCATAGGAAGGAGAGCCTGTAACTCTGGGAGGTAGAGCCCTTCTGGGCTTAGGTTCCTCCTCATTGGAATAATTCGAGGATGAGCATTTCTCTAAGAAACCTCTTCTCCCAGGGAAGGGCCAGCTCAGCTCAATACAGCCCTGCACAGCCCACTGAGGGGAGTGAGGAACGTTTGCTAACAGATTCGTTCACTCCATATAAACATTCTCCAAGGATCCGGCCGCGTGCCTACTTAAAACTTCCCATTCACTCAACAAATATTAATTGAGCTCCTCCTATGTGTCAGGCACAATGCTGGCCATGGAGAACACTGTTGTGGTCCACAGACCAAGTCCCATCCCCTTCTAGAGTGCATGTTCAGTCTGTGAGGCAGGTTACAACTATGCGATGACAAGACGGATGCTCAGGGGCCCTGGCATGGTACCTGGGTGCACACTGTTCCTTCCAGCTGCCTGGGGGCCCTCACACAGGTCCTGAGCTGGGCAGCTGGTCACTTCCTGAGGGCACATCCTGGTCACTTCCGGAGGGCAGCCTCTGTCCTCCAATTTTCAGCTCAGACCCCCATGCTGTGGGTGTCCTCACAGCACTCAGGCTGATGCTCGTCAAGCACCACAGATCCTGGACTCTCTGGGTCTCTGTTTCCTCATCTATAAAATGGGCAGAACGATACCCACATCACGGCATCACTGGGAGGATGAAGTGAGTTCCCTCAGGTTAAGGGTTAGATTAGAACATGGCCCACAGTAAGTGCCTGGTAAGGCCATCTACCGACAGGAGCAAAGGCCAAAGAAGCAGGAGGAAGTTCCACAGCCCCACCTCTCACCCACCGGCCCCACCTGCCTCTCCACCTTGGGGTCTACCTGCCCTTCACCCCAGCCCTCTCAGCCCTCTGGCAAACCCCACGTCTCCCTCCAGGTGGGTTCAAACACCCCTCACTGCCGGAAGCTCTCCTACTTCCCCAGAGACTACATCCCAAAAAATGCCACCTGCAAATTGATCAAGAGCACCTAAGAAGGGGTTGTGACAGCCTCTGTCCCCACCAGGTGGTGAGAGGCCAATGGGTGGGGCCATTAGAGGGTCTTCGTGTGGGCTCCCAGCACAATGCCTGACCCAGGACTTCCATCCGGACATACGTCATGAAAGAATGAGATAACGTGCCACACACCAGCCAGCACAAGCATCTCTGGTTAGCAGAAGGGAGTCCACTTAGCCCATAGGACAATGGACGGTCTGTGTTTTTGCATCAAAACTTTTCACCCGCAGTCCAGGCCCAGGTGTCACAACCAGAGCCTTGACCTGAAAGCTGGGACAGTGATCTGATTTAGGCTACAGAGCAGCAGGCTGCATGTGGGACCTGAGGCTGGTCATGATGTCTCTCTGGGCCTCAGTGTCGCCATCTGTAAAAGGAGAGGTATTTTTTTTTTTAAAGCAAGACAAACTTGTCTTTTTTTTTTTGAGACGGAGTCTCACTCTATTGCCCAAGCTGGAGTGCAGTGGCGCCATCTCGGCTCACTGCAACCTCCGCCTCCTGGGTTCAAGTGATTCTCCTGCCTCAGCCTCCTGAGTAGCTGGGATTACAGGCACACGCCACCACGCCCAGCTAATTTTTGTATTTTTAGTAGAGATGGGGTTTCACCATATTGGTCAGGCTGGTCTCAAACTCCTGAGCTCGTGATCCGCCTGCCTCGGCCTCCCAAAGTGCTGGGATTACAGGCGTGAGCCACCGTGCCTGGCCAAAACTTTTATGTTTAACATTTTTCTCAGATATATTTAACCACTTTAAAGCAAACCGCTGGATGGGATGTATTACAATCACAATGTTGTGCAACCACCACCTTCATCCGGTTCCAAAACGTCTGCGTCACCCCAATAAAAACCCATGTCCCTTAATCAGTCGCTCCCCAGTCTCCCCTCCCCAAAGGCCCTGGAAACCACCAATCTGCTTTAGGTCTATGTGGATTTATCTATTCTGGCTACTTCATGTATCTTAAAATGACTCCTATGCAAAACCTCCTTATGTAAAACAGGCAACAGGCAGGTGGCTTTGCCCCCTTCGCCTCCCCGGAGCTCACGTTCCTCATCCTTAGTGGCCTTTCAGGGAAAGCTCTGATGCCAGGTGCCATTCTTTGCAGAACTCTTTTTTTTTTTTTTTTTTTTTTTTTGATACAGAGTCTCGCTCTGTTGCCTAGGCTGGAGTGCAGTGGCACAATCTCAGCTCACTGCAGCCTCTGTCTCCCAGGTTCAAGTGATTCTCACGCCTCAGGCTCCTCAGGCTCCCGAGTAGCTGGGATTAAAGGTGTCCACCACCACGCCCAGCTAATTTTTCGTATTTTTAGTAGCGATGGGGTTTTGCCATGTTGGCTGGGCTGGTCTCAAACTCCTGACCTCAAGTGATCTGCCCGCCTCGGCCTCTCAAAGTGCTGGGATTATAGGCATGAGCCTGTCCTGGTCTTTGTGATTTTTACACTACCTTTTTTGTCACATGGTACCTCTTAGCAGAATTCTAATCCTAAAGTTGAATTTCTAAGGCAGATCACCCCCAAGGGTGCCTGAGGATCACGGGGCTGGTGCCTGGTGTTACTGGCCCGTTTTCCGGATGAGGGAGTAGAGGCTGGGCCCCTGTGAAGCCCTCCTTGCATGAGGTGACTACAGAGGAGTGGACCTCCAGAGCCTGGTGACACCCTCTCCCACCACACAGACTACAGCTGGGTCTAGGGTGTGACGAGCTGGCAGAGAAGCCGCCCCAGAGCGATAGCCACTTCCGGAGGACAAGGATCTCTCCACCGGCTCAGGAAAACAAGCCAGTTTAAGGGAAACCCAAATGGCTTTGGGGGGCGGGGGCATAAAATGTGCAGGACTCCCTCAGGCCTTGCCATGCAGACCTTTTCAGGAGGACTGCCAGGGGAAGACGGCTGCTCACTTCTGCCCCACGGCCAGGCCTGTGACAGCCGCTCCTGTCAGCGCAGTCCTCTGCGGGGCCGACGCTGTGTAAATAATTAACAAAACATCTGCCTTGCTTCATAACACACCGTGGCTGACACAGCTCTCAGGGCCTTCAGAGACCCTCCAATGCCACGCCGAGGACTTATGGCCTCGCTTTGTGGGGACAGGTGGGAACGAGAGCAGATACTGACAGGCAAACATTTTCCTGAGGCGCCACAGGGCCACCCTGGTGCTTAAATCCTGCCTCTTTGCAAACTGCGCTGTCTCCTTCCCTTCCGTTTTGGGAGCCATGATCCTAGGAAGGTGCTCTGGTGGAATCCAGAGGGGTCCCCGGCACCTGCTTCTGGCCTTGTTTAGGGCCTCAATGCAGGGGCACTGGAGACACTCTGGGCCACGGACCAAGGGTCCCGGCTGAGTGACCCTGGGTGGGTCCTTGGTCATTAAAGATTTTCCATGTCTCTCATGTAATCTTGGGGAATGAGCATCAAGCACTTAAAAGGCGCTGAGCATCTGAAATGCATTATTTCACTTACTTCCTCCCCCGAAGCTTCTGAGGTCATAATATTATCCCTGTTTTCCAGATGATGACGCTGAGGCTCAGTGGGCGACGTGCTCATGAGAGGCAGGTCTGGGACTCCAGCCTCATTCACTCCATCGGGTGCCCAGGCTCAGGCTCTCAATGCGGCTGTGGGGGAGCGCCTTGCTCCCTCTGAGCCTCAGGTTCTGTTCCGTGAAACAGATGGGTGGCAAGAGTCCTTCAGACTCCAAAAGTCCACAATAAATAAACCCAGTGCTCGTCTCAACCCCAGTGGGTGTGTGCGAAGCTCTCTGGATTGGGAGCCCAGTGAATTCCTCATCAGCAGCTTGATTCATTAGAGCTGAAGGTCATGTGCATCCATCCTTTTGCAGGTGTCTTCCCAACAAGCCCAAGTTTCAAAGACGTTGAGGACAAGGAACAAGAGAGGGCAGGCATTCGAGAAGGGGCCTGTGGACTAATTCCCATACTGCCACTCACCTGCAGTAAGAACGCGCCTCTGGAACATGGAGAAGTTCTTCTTAAAGGGATCTCTGTTCACCCAGGTCAACATGACCCACCCCGCAAGCCTCAGCCTAATTCTGAAGCATGAGGGTTAAACAATTCGGGGAAAATGCAGGCACTGCAGGCTCTGAATGGCAACTTCCCTCCCCCTTCCCCTGTCCAAATTCCTTCACACTCTATGGAATTCCTACATAAAGCCCCTTTTTTCTTAGAATTCTATGAGGTCACCACCATGCAGATGTCTAAGAGAAAGAAAGAACGGCTCCGTGCAGATCCAGGCCACTGCAACTGAATGCATTTCAGATCTCGGCCACCCCATCTTTCAATTCCCATGGCCCCCCCACTCGCCCAGCCACAGCTACAGCGGTGGTGGCCAGTCAGGTCTGGTGGGGTGCTGTGATCCTGCCCTTGCTGGAGGCCAAGAAGGCCTGGCTAGAAGACCTGTGCCTTTACCACCAGATCACCCGAGAAGTCATCTGTGGAAAAATCCAGAATTGGAGACAATGGCGCAGCCATGTATGTGGGGGTCTGTTTCCACACAAGCAAGTCCTGTTAGAGGGACACATGTCAAAATGCTAGCTCCCACTCCAAGTTCAAGTTCCCAAAGTTAACATCACAGGAAATTACACCACCAACTGATTTGCCCCAATGTCGGCTCCTCTGTCTGGAAGTCGAGTCTGAGAAGGCCATTGGTTTAGTTCAGCTTTGGCCAAAGGAAGGGACCAGCTCAGACAGGAATGAGTGAAAGTGCTGGCCTGATTTTTTTTCTTTTTAAACTAACATTTTCCCCAAAAGTTATCTTGCCATTACCCAAGAGTCATAAGTGAAAAGACAGCCAAATACCAAAAAGCCACTGAGGCCCTCAACAGTGCCTGCTCATTTCAAAGCCATTTCACGGACAGCCAGGGGGTGCCTGGGCCACCGCAGACCACCCCTCACTCCAAGAGCACTCCTGCTCCCCAGAGCTCCATGTTCCATGTAAAGTTCCACGGCATGTGCACACCACTTCCTAAGAATGATGTCAGCAAAAAAAAAAAAAGATAAAAATGTGGAAAAAAGGACTATTTTTACCTCCCCAAATCACAGGCCAGACGGGAGAAAAATCCATCAATGCCAGAAATGTGGCTGAGCCTTCGCACAAGATCTATTATTTCACACCTTAAATTAACGCATCTCAAAGCAATTTGCAAATGTTCGTCAATTTGCAGAACATACATGGAAGGGAGAGAAATACCTTTTCCTTTCAACACCGAAGGACACTGGCAGGGGGGCACAACATGGCCCAAACCACACAGGTCCTCACACACAACATTCATTTCAAGCACATGTAGTAGAAGCCGTGATCGAAATGGAAATGAGCAGGGAAAAAAGGCAGGCAGGGGACTTAAATGACAAGTGACAAGAAGCCTACCTACAAGCGATCTCGCTGTCAGATATTTAGGACTGTGAGTCAGGCCCGTGAAGGTGACATCAGGGGGCCAGAACACCGGACTCTTCCTGCGAACAGTGTCCCAGCCTCATCTCCACACAAGCCTGGCAGTGCCTGCCCGTATTTAATCTTGGATGATTCACCAGGTCCCTCCACTCTCCACCCTCCAACTCCCTTGCTTGGTCTAGCCTGAGAAGAGGAAGGAAATATTCTTCTCCTTTTGACAATTGTTTTGACACTTCCCTTATGAAAAGTATCTGGGGCACTTAAAGAAAAGAAAAAATGTGAACAGCAGCCCTTTCTCTCCAGTAGCTCTGGCCCTGGGCGAGGAAGGCCAGCAGTGCCTTCTGGAAGACCTCTCCCAGGTCTCGGGCAACCCAGCCCTGCAGGAACCTAGCCTGTCTTAACCTACTTGGCTTTGCAGCATGCAACAGGAGCAAAGCACGACAAAGGCAGCCAGATGTGGTTTAAGGTGAGGAACTCTGGAATCAGAGACATGGGTTCGAATCCCGACTCTGCCATTTGTGGGTTTATGACCCTGCCCAAGTTACTTAACCTCCCTCTCTGTAAGATCAGGAAAACGACACTGAACCTCAGCACAGGCCAGGCATCCAGCCCACAGTGCCTGCTACCTTCCTAGTACAGTGGGGAGACCATGGGCTCTGCTCAGACAAGCCTGGGTTCAAATCCAGCTCTGCTGCGTATTAGCACATGGTCTTTGGCGCATTCTCTCATCTCTCTGTGCCCCAGTTTCCTCATCTGTAAATGGGCATCGTGACAGCTTCCATCTTAGTGTTGGTGAGTGGACTGGGTAAAATACAGCACCAGACCTAGCACACAGTATATCCTCAGTAAATGGGGACATGGCCGGGCATGGTGGCTCATGCCTGTAATTCCAGCACTTTGGGAGGCCAAGGCGGGCGGATCACCTGAGGTCAGGAGTTCGAGACCAGCCTGGCTGGCCAACACAGTGAAACCCCATCTCTACTAAAAATACAAAAATTATCTGGGCGTGGTGGCACCTGCCTATAATCCCAGCTACTCAGGAGGAGGCTGAGGCAGGAGGCTCACTTGAACCCAGGAGGCAGAGGGTGCAGGGAGCTGAGATTGCGCCACTGTACTCCAGCCTGGGCAACAGAGTGAGACTCTGTCTCAAAAATAAATAAATAAATAAATAAAAATAAATGGGGACCATCTATCGTGGTGCTACTTTAATGAAATTATGCAAGTCATGTCTCTGAACCTCAGTTTTATCATTTGTGAAATGGGGATAATAAACCCTATCTACGATGAGCAGAAAATGAACGGATGTGTGCTAAAGTACTCAGCACTAGGTCTGTGCACCTTAGCCAGTCAAATACCATATCCCAAGTGCAATGGAAAGAGGAAAGGCTGTGAGGCTGGGCAGGTGACTTCGGATTCTGCCCCCACCTCCTCTCAGCTGCCCCAGGACACAGGCTTGACCCCCGTGTGCCTCAGTTTCCTTGTGCACAAAACCAAAAGCATTTTCTGTCACAGAAGACCAACGGGAGATTCACACCCCCTAGAACGGCTCCCAGCACACAGCCCCTTCTGCTCCGCAAAAGGGAACTTCCTCCCCATTTCCCTCCTCTGCCCTTGTTCAAACCCACCAGAAATGCCACCAGTTAAAGCCAGGCGCTCCATTTCTGGAAACCCAAACAGCTCTAAATCCAGACCAACCTGGGTCTAAGGCCTTCAGTCTGAGACTTTATTTTGTGGAGATACAAACTACTTTTTAGTCATTTCCGAAGCAGACGGGACAGCAGAGGCTGACAAACCACAGGGACCATTTTAAATCCTGGGCCTTTTCTTCTGGGAAGTTAGGCAAGAACCTTCCCAAATGTTTGCCCGTCAGGCTCTCTGCCAGGGAGTGACTCATTCCACGGCTCCCCACAGGCATATTTTATTTGGGGGTGGGGGACGCAGCGAGGGCTTGGCCTTGATGGGGGAAGGAGAGGGGGCATTTCCAGCAAACCCAGAAGGTGTTTTCTTTTTTTCATTTTCAGGAGAAAAAAGAAAAAGAATGTGGGTCTTTTTTGCTTCCTTCCAGGTTTTGTTTGCTAAAAGAAGACGTCCAAAGTTCATTCGGTAAGCTCAAACTCGCTGAGTCCAAACTCGCTGAGTCCGGGGCAGGCGCTTCCAGACGGCTCTGCGTCCCTTTCAATGAAATTCTTCTTCCATTAACGACAGGGTTTTTAAACGTGCCTCCAAGACCTGCCTGCACGTACTGTACACCAAACTAAGGCGACATTTTCCCCCAAAAAAGGCAAGCTGAATTTGGAAAAGTCAGACCAACTAGGGAGCTCTGGAATTTCTAAAGTTTGCCTTAAAGCAATTAAGACTTTCAGCTGCAAAGATTTTCAACAGTTAGAGAGCACGCACACACACAAAAGCCTGTCAGTCAAAACTGCAAGGACAGACCTCGGAAGCTGGTGTCCCAAGCCCGCTGTGATCAATTTGTTACTGTCCTGGGATTCACACTTGGAGCCTAGGAGAGGTATAAATAAATCAAAAGATCCGTCTACTTAGCAGGGCAGGCAGAGAGGCCCCCACATACACAGGCAAGTCTAGGGTCAGCCCCCCAGGCCTGGCTGGAGAGAGACAAGAACAAAGACAGGAGAGCCTGGAGGATATTTAGGAAAACACACGTCCTCGGGTGCCCGGCCGAGGGGCCCACCACAGCCTCCGCTCGCCCAGCCTGTGTATGCAGAGAGGGTCCTGCCAGTGGCCCTGCCGCAGCCTGGCTCTAAGACCTTTGCCTCTGTCAGGCCCAGCCAGGCTCTGAGTCTGCCCTCCTGGCCCCTGGTTCACCGGATCAGGCCCAGCCCCGACCCCCAGCCCATGCCAGGCCGCTTCTCTCTCCACGGGCTCCCTGGCTCGGGGGCCATCACTGTGCAAAGGCCTGGTGGGCGCAAAGGGGGCCGGCCCCTCAACCTCAGTAATAAACACGCTCGCACGGCCCTGCACACTCGTTATACTCACACCCACACAGGCATACTTTCGCCCTTCTAGGCTCACGCATGTGCTTGCACACAAATCACTTTGGAATGCACACACGTGCACACACACACTCCCTGAGACCCGCACGTACTCCCTGCGGCGCCCGGCACACTCCTCCGCCCGTCGTCCCCACTCGGGAAGTGGGTAGCGGGGAGCCATGCCCGCGTCCCCGCACGCACTCACCCCAACAACGCCACCAGACGCTCCGGGGTGCACACGCACACCCGCCGGGGACGCGCACACCCCGGGACACGCGGACACGCCGCCCCCGCCCGCCCGGCCGCCGACACGCTCAGCCCCGCGCGGCCACACTCGCGCCCGCCTCCCGCTCTCCCCCGCGGAGCCGTGGGCGCGCGCCCGCCCTCGGCCCGGCTGGGGGTGACGGCCCCGCCGCCCGGCCCCCGCCCTTCTCCGGGCCGCGGGGCCCCACCGGCCCGGCCCCAGCCCCAGGCGACTCACCGGCGCGCGGGCGGGCTCGGCTGCCGCTGGGGGACCGGTGCGCTGGCCCGCGGGCGGCTGGAGCGGTGCGTCCCACACGAGTTTGCGGCGCAGCGGCCGCACGCCCGTCAGCTCGGTTCCGCCGCCGCCGCCACCGCCTGCGCGGGCCCGCGCGCCCGCGCGCCCGCCCCTCCCCGCCGCGGGGCCGCGCCGCCCCCAGCGCTCGTGCGCGCTGCCGCCACGCAAGCTTGAGGGGCGGGGGGCGCCCCGGCGGCGTCCTTCCTGGGCCTGGACCCCTCGACTCCGCCGAGTTCTGCGGCCGATCCGCTCGGCCGAGGAACCCCTTCCCCATTTCAGAGATGGGAAGACTGAGGCCCAGACTCACAGGGCGCAGGCCGGCGTCTCCCCATCTTCTCCGGCTCTAGACTTATGATGAGGGTCTGCAGTCAGCCAACCCTTGGACTCCTGTGCGTCTTCGGATTCCCCATCGCCTAGCATTGCTCCTACCACAGCCCTAGTCATACTGAAATTGGCACAGTAACAAGCACTTATTGTGCACCAGCTGAATGCAGGCACTGAAGTAGGCTCCAAGAGTATTCCGATGAGGGGAAGGCCCTGCCCCCTGCCCTCAAAGTGCCAGCGACTCTTCATCTGGAGCTCCCACTTCCTGTGGCCCCCGGGGGACCAGCAAGAGCCAATGTGCAGAGGTTTCTGGAAGTAGTAAAAGTCCCCACTAAAGAATGTTGAACGCCCCCTCTAGAAGTCAGAGCCTCCCTGAGACCCAAGCAGCTCAGTTCTCACTTCACCTCCTCCCCGCACCGAGAGCGGCCGCTCCTGGCTGGGCTGTTTCCACCCCTGCTGCCTCCCCTCCACATTCAAAACTGTGCTGCACCCCAGGAGGGCTGGAGCCAGGGACACTGACTGCCTGCTTGGGCGCAGCACTGTACTGGGCACAGGGTGAATGCCCGTCTGGCTTCTGTTTGCCAAATGAGTGGAAGTGCTTCAACTGGCCGTGATCTGTAATAATGACACCAACGGAGCGTCCACCACGTGTGCCAACGTTACCCTTGTGCCCATTTTACAGATGGGCTTTGAGGCTTAGAAATGAAATTTCAGGCTGGGTGCGGTGGCTCACACCTGTAATCCCAGTACTATGGGAGGCTGAGGTGGGAGGATGCCTTGAGGCTGGGAGTTTGAGGCCAGCCTGGGCAATATAGCAAAACCCCATGTCTACAGAAAAATGTAAGAATTAGCTGGGTGTGGTAGTGCCTGCCTGCAGTCCCAGCTACTCGGGACGCTGAGGCGGGAGGGTCTCTTGAGCATAGGAGTTAGCAGCTGCAGTGAGCTATGATCGCACCACTGCACTCCAACCTGGACAACAACAATAAAAAGCAAATTCTTTTGTTCAAAGTCACCCAGATGGTAAGTGGTTGAGCTGGAAAGTGCACGGCAGATTGTCTAATTCCAGTGCCTGTGTGGCCAATCACTAGGCAGCCCTGCCTCAGGAACAGCATAGCCCTGGGCTTCTGGAACAAGAGGGCAGACGAGGCAGCAGCTGGCCCACAGGAGCGGGCCTGGTCCCAGCTCTTGTGGATGAAAATGCAGACATCACAAACCAATGGGGAGGAAATGGATTGTTCTGCAAATTGTTTAGCCGTTTAGCTGGAGATCTGTTTACAGCCTTGCCTCCCATGATATACACCACAATAAATGTCAGACAGATTGAAAAGTTAAATAGAAGAAATAAACACTGCAACAAATAATAGAAAGAAATCGAAGTTCTGAGACAGCGTATTGCAGTGTTACTAGAGGATTTGTGATACTGGCCATATTCATGCAGCAAACATTAGTTCAGTCATTGGTTCACCCGACACATCTATGAGCACCTTCCATGGGCCAGGTACTTTTCTAGGCACTGGGATAAAGGAGTGAACAAAATATGGCCCTTTCTTGGGGCTTCAGTCAAGGGGGAGGGATGGGGTGGGAGGAAGACACTGAATATCTGCCATTTCAAGGATAAGAAGTTTGGGCCGGGCGCGGTGGCTCACGCCTGTAATCCCAGCACTTTGGGAGGCCGACGCAGGCGGATCACAAGGTCAGGAGATCGAGACCATCCTGGATAACACGGTGAAACCCTGTCTCTACTAAAAATACAAAAAAATAGCCGGGCATGGTGGCAGGCGCCTGTAGTCCCAGCTACTTGGGAGGCTGAGGCAGGAGAATGGCGTGAACCCGGGAGGCGAAGTTTGCAGTGAGCCGAGATCGCGCCACTACACTCCAGCCTCAGTGACAGAGCGAGACTCTGTCTCCAAAAAAAAAAAAAAAAGAAGTTTGGTGGAGAAATAACTCGGAAGGGTAGGAGGACCCAGGGGTGCTTTTTTATAGGGGGTGCTGGAAGAAGGCCTTTCTGATGAGGTGACATCTGAGCAGAGGCCTGAATGAGGGAGTGGGAGAAGTCAGTAGGGGCCCACTGTGTGGAGGGCAGGTCCCATGTTCTGGCAGCTATTCAGTTAAGCTACAGAGCAAGAACCAGAAACTCCCTTTTGAAGGAAACTTTGAGAGCCGCACCAGGCCACTGGGAGGAAAGGACTGCCCCCACCCCCAACACACAATATCTATGTAAGACTTTACTGCTTGCAAAGCCCTTCCCCAGCTTCACAGAACCCGTATGACAGATACTTGTGATGTCCTCATTTTCCAGTTAGGAAACCGAGGCTCAGAGAGGTCAAGCAATCTGTCCCAGGTCACACAGCCAATGATAATCAACAGAGGTAGGTCTGGCTGCAGGCAGGCTGAGTGTTAGGGGAATAAAGAAGCCTTGTCCTGGGATACAGGAGTGAACAAAAATCTAGCTCTGACTCTCTTGGGGCTTCAGCCAAGGTGGGAGAGTGGGATGGGAGGAAGACACTGTGAATGTCTGGCATTTCAAAGATAAGAAGTTTGGTGGAGACCAGGCGCAGTGGCTCACCCTGTAATCCCAGCACTTTGGGAGGCCGAGGTGGTGGATCACCTGAGGTCAGGACTTTAAGACCAGCCTGGCCAACATGGCGAAACCCCATCTCTACTAAAAATAAAAAAATTAGCTGGGCATGGTGGCACGTGCCTATAATCCCAGCTGCTCGGGAGGCTGAGGCTGGAGAATTGCTTGACCCCAGGAGGCTGAGGTTGCAGCGAACTGAGATCATGTCACTGCATTCCAGCCTGGACAACAGAGCAAGACTCTGTTTCAAAAAAAAAAAAAAAAAGTTTGATGGAGAAATAAAGCAGGGATAGGTAGGAGGACCCAGGAGTGCTTTTGCATTGGGGGTCCCCCTCCCCCTTGGATGGGAGCAGGGTAGGGGAGGCCCATGCACCCCATTTTCCTGGCCTTCCTCCTCCTCCATCCCTCATGGCCACTTCTTTCCCTCTGTCCTGGGCCCTGTGCAGATGGTCCCAGCTCCTGGTGACACTATGGGGCAAATATCAGGGTTAGCCTGCTCAGAGATTCTTGAATTCCCTGCAGTACTCTGATACACTGACGAGGGCACAGTAGAGTGATAAGGTACAATGCAAGCTGAATCCCACTCAACTTTTGTTTTTAACTCAAAGGAGTTTTTAGGGAGTCCCAAAATGAGTCATCGTGAAGCAGTGCTTTGCAAAATGACACCCAGAATTAGGATGAGCGTCTCCCTGCACACGTTGCCTCACACTTCTGCCCACCGAGGCGTTGTTCAACTGGTCTGGGAGAAAGTCTGTCTCCGTTCACCCCCAAAGAGTTTCAGGATTCAGTATGTGTTGTTTCATTATTTCTCTGCACGAAGGGAAGAGAAACTACCGCTTGCCGGGCACCTTCTCTGCATCTGGCTCTGTAAGAGACAGTTAATTCTTATAGCATCCCTTGAGATAGGGGTCATGATTTATGTTTTATAGATGAAGAAACTGAGGCTCAGAAAATAGCCAGGATTTGAATCCAGGTTAACTCAAGTCCTTTATTGTTGTTAGTATTGGGGGAGGGGGTAATGGGGGAGAGAGGAGAGGCAAGAAGAACTTAGAATCAGGCCATGTTCCTTTGAAGTTCCTTTGTTACAAAATATCTTCTTGCCATCTTCCCGGTAATGGGATTTTTTGTAGGGGGTGAGTTCCAATTTTCCCAGAAGGATTCATTCGCTCTTGTCATCCGGGTGCGATTATTGACAGCAACCCCTTTCCCTCTGCAAGTGTCTTGCTTTGGATGATCAACTTTAGGGTCACCTTGGGTGTCTGCAAAGGCCACTGCGTTGGGGGATTCATTTTTTACATTATACAAAATGGGGGTGTCTTGTCTGCTGGGCTCTTCGCCACATACTGATGTCTGGGTGTCCCACCAAGAACTTCCAGGAGAGTTTAAGCAGTTAAGTCACATTTTTAGGAGCAGCAAACCCTGCTGGCTGCAGAAGGAGTTGGGACCCTCTCCACCTCCTCCCCAGCCCTGCCACCACTCCCTGTGTGACCCCGGGCCACTTCCTGCCTAGCACAATGTGGGGATGGGTCTCCAAGAGTCCTGTCAACCTTGACCTTCTAAGATTTCCTGTTACTTGATGACCCGGGGGAATTTCGGTCAGGATAGGGATGTAGGAGTCATCACATCATCATATGGCTCACTTTATAAAGTAGCTGGCTCATTTTTTGTTATTTAACTTAAAAAATGTTTAATTTGTTGCTTGAATAGATAATACTTGCCCACAGTTCAAAATTCAAAAGGCACAGAAGGGGACAAAGTGAAAAGTGTCCTTTCTACCCCTACCTCCCAGCCACCTGGTTCTTATCCCTGGAGGGAGCCAACGTTGCCGAATATATGCTGTCCTAGACAGTGTGTTTTGTGTGGGTGTGTATATATGTATGCACGTATATATGGTCGTGTGTATGTGAATGTATATGTATTTCTTCTTATTTTTTGCTCATATAATAGCATACAATCTACACTATTGTGTATCTTATGTTTTCTTCACTTCTTGGAGACCATTTCCTGTTGGCTCCAGAAAAACTGCTTCCTTTTATATGACTGCATAGTATTCCAAACGATTTGCATTTAATTCACATAGAGGCTGGGCGAGGTGGCTCACGCCTGTAATCCCAGCACGTTGAGAGGCCAGGGTGGGTGGATCACCTGAGGTCAGGAGTTCAAGACCAGCCTGGCCAACATAGTGAAACCTTGTCTCTACTAAAAATACAAAAATTAGCTGGGGGTGGTGGCGGGCAGCTGTAATCGCAGCTACTCGGGAGGCTGAGACAGAAGAATCGCTTGAACCCAGGAGGCAGAGGTTGCAGTGAGCCCGAGACTGCACCATTGCACTCCAGCCTGGGCGACAGAGTGAGAGTCTGTCTCACACACACACACAAAAATTCCACATACAGCAAGCATCTGCTCTGTTTAATCCGCATAGAGCAAACACTCTGTGTACTGTTCTAAGTATTGTGGGAGAGAACAGAAGTTTCAGCCATGGCCCCTGCCCTCAAGATTTTATGGTCTGGTTGGGGACAGGAACATTGGAGAGGAAGAGAAGAGTACTCTCTCCACGGGTCCCCATGCCTGTATATGAGGTTAGCTTTGGAGCTAATTTTTAAAACTCTCTGCTCCAGGCATCTGTAGAGTTGTTTTAAGAGTCCAGACATAGGTTCTTTTGAGACTTGAAAACTCAGTCTGCCTCTTCTCTGCAGTTCAAGTTCCTGCCATCCATTTCCCCACTGTGGGCCTCAGTTTCCTCATCTGTCAAAGGGGGGCAGGCAGCCTCTCTTGCAGGATTGGGGTAGTCGCCTGAGATTGTACTCCTGAAAATGCTCAGTGAAGAGTTGGAGGCTGTGCTCCAAGGCTAGAGGATCTGGGAAGAATGAGGTGGGGCTTGGAGGAATACTTTAAGTGCAGTGTGTCATCGGCTCTTCCTGCCGCAGGGAAGCGTCGGCTCTTCCTGCCGCAGGGAAGCATTTTGTCTTTCATGCGTTGCTGATCTTGTGACAGGCCTGCTAACTGGTTATCTCCTCCTGCCTTTGGCAGTGACTGCTGCCAACTCTGAGTCCTCGCCCGACACGGTTGGAGACCCCACTCCCCAGGTGGTTTCTGGAATGTGGAAAAAAAAGAAGTTATCAAGGATTATCATTCCCACCCTCACTTTACAGATGGGACTTGCTCAAGGCCACACAGCCATCAAGAGGCAGAAATGTACTCTCTGATTTCCCACCTCCCCGCACCTCCCTGAACTTCCCTCTACCACCCGCTCTAATATCTGCTGTTTCAACTAGCAGACTCAAATCCTACGGCCTGCAGGGAGCACCATGAACTGCATATGAACTGCATTTCCTGTCTGTTCCCTTACCTGATACTCTCAACTGCACTTTGAGGTAGAGATTGTTGCCCATTGTACAGATGAGGATACAGACTCAGAGACCACGAATACTAAAATCACAAAGGAGTTGGTGCGATGTCAGTCGCCCAAAGAAACTGTCAAAATCATTGTGCTCCTCAGGAAGAGAGTAGGAGTTTCTGGCTGCTGAGAGGCAACAGACATGGCAATGGGGTATTGGGGGAATGTGATTTTGGCCTTTGAAGGTGTTTTGCAAGCTCACAGTACACTGGGACTCTATCCCCGCTTGCTTTCTGGCACCTGTTCTCTCCTGATGCTGAGTTGAATAGGCCGATCTGTTGCTGGCTTCGTCTCTCTCCTCCCATGAAGCAGGAGTGTTGATGGATATGCCTTGGCTTCCAGCAGCTGCCCAGAGCCTGGCACAGGAAAGACCTAGGATTCATGGTGTGACCAGTGAGCCATATGATGGTGTGATGTTTCTTGCATCCCAATTTTTACTGAAATTCCCCAGGGTCATCGGGTAACAGGAAATCTTAGAAGGTCAAGGTTGACAGGACTCTTGGAGACCCATCCCCACATTGTGCTAGGCAGGAAGTGGCCCGGGGTCACACAGGGAGTGGTGGCAGGGCTGGGGAGGAGGTGGAGAGGGTCCCAACTCCTTCTGCAGCCAGCAGGGTTTGCTGCTCCTAAAAATGTGACTTAACTGCTTAAACTCTCCTGGAAGTTCTTGGCGGGACACCCAGACATCAGTATGTGGCAAAGAGCCCAGCAGACAAGACACCCCCATTTTGTATAATGTAAAAAATGAATCCCCCAACGCAGTGGCCTTTGCAGACACCCAAGGTGACCCTAAAGTTGATCATCCAAAGCAAGACACTTGCAGAGGGAAAGGGGTTGCTGTCAATAATCGCACCTGGATGACAAGAGCGAATGAATCCTTCTGGGAAAACTGGAACTCTCTCCCAACAAAGAATCACCTGTGCCTGCAGGATGGTCCTGGGTGATGCCTACTGTCCTGGCATAATTAATAATAGTACCCCCTGGCTGGGTGCGGTGGCTCACACCTGTAATCCCAGGACTTTGGGAGGCCAAGTCAGGTGGATCACCTGAGGTTAGGAGTTCAAGACCAGCCTGGCCAACAAGGTGAAACCCCGTCTCTACTAAAAATACAAAAATTATCTGGGCGTGGTGGCACGTGCCTGTCATCCCAGCTACTCGGGAGGCTGAGGCAGGAGAATCGCTTGAACCCGGGAGGCAGAGGTCACAGTGAACTGAGATCATGCCACGGCACTCCAGCCTGGGTGACAGAGCGAGACTCCATCTCAAAAAAAAAAAAAAAACCCAAAACGACAAACAAACAAAAAAAACAGTGCCCCTTTTCACACTCACAAGTGGCCCGGATCAGATAATAAATCATATGGCCACCCTGAATTTCATGTCACATGAAACAATTACAGGCAGGTGACTAAATACAGGAACAAACAGCCTCTCACTCATTCAGGCACTGAGTCCTGCATGTAGGTAGCACCAGCACCAGCTCTCTGATGTGAGTATCCATGTCTCAGGTGAGAAAACATGCACAGGAGAAAACTGATGCTCAGAGAGATTAACCAGTTTGTCTCAAACACACTTTGTTGTTTTGTTTTGTTTGTTTGTTTTTTGAGACAGGGTCTCACTCTATTGCCAGGCTGGAGTGCAGTGGCGTGATCATAGCTCACTGCAGCCTCAACCTCTCAGGCTCAAGCAATCCTCCCACTTCAGCCTCCCAAGTAGCTGGGACTACAGGCATGTACCAGCACACCCAGCTAATTTTTTTTTTTAAGACAGAGTCTTGCTCTGTTGTCCAGGCTGGAGTGCAGTGGCATGATCTTGGCTCACTGCAACCTCTGCCTCCCGGGTTCAAGCGATCCTCCTGCCTCAGCCTCCCAAGTAGCTGGGATTACAGGTGTGTGCCACCACACGCAGCCAATTTTTGTATTTTTAGTAGAAACAGGTTTTGCTACGTTGGCCAGGCTGGTCTCAAACTCCCAACCTCAGGTGATCCACCCGCTTCTGCCTCCCAAAGTCTGCGATTACAGATGTGAGCACCACGCCCAGTATATTTTGGTATATTTTGTAGAGATGAGGCTTCGCCATGTTGCCAGGCTGGTCTCTAACTCCTGAGCTCAAGCAATCCACCTACCTCAGCCTCCCAAAGTGTTGGGATTACAGGCATGAGCCACTGCACCTGGCTTGAGCACACTTTGTAGCAGGATGTCTGACAGGCTCAGAATCTGTGTTCCTATTTTCCCTGTGCTACCAAGCATGACGGGATAGGGGAATAAATGAACTGAGTCCACTGGGTCCCACCCTGGCCACATTTCTTCTCCAGGTGTCCAGGTAACCCCTTGGCTTTGGAGATGAGTGAGGGGGCCCAGACACCCTTCCTGAAACTCCTGGCTGATGTGGCTGGAGTGAGTCTCTCTTGTGAGCTCGAGGCCTCCTCTGCATGCCCAGTAGGGCTGGCTGCTCTCAGAGCAGATGGAGGCAAGAGGCCCCTTGGATTTGGGGCCGATGACATCATCTGTCCATCAACCCCAAATCCCAAATGTGAAGCAACTGTTCTGAAGGAAGAGGCAGGCATTTGGTTGTGGGTTTCTCAGCCCTGGCCCTGGTTGGCTGGGAATGGGTGTAATTTTTCCAGGCATCAGGACACGCCAGGCTTGTCTTGGGGGGTGGAGTGGGGAAAAGGAACCAGAGGAGAAACCTGGCAAAACAGGTATGGGAGCGGGTAGGAAGAGGGCAGGGGCAGGGAATCAGAGAAGATTCTTCAAGAAGGGGCTTGCCAGGGTCTGGGTACTGCTACTCCCTCCCCTCAGCCCCAAACCTGCCCTCCATACCAGGACTGTAAGTGGCCAGGGTCTAACCCATCATCAAGAAAGAAAATTAGGGCTGGCATGGTGGCTTATGGCTGAAATCCCATTGCTCTGGGGAGCCGAGGTGGGAGGGTGGCTTGTGGCCAGGAGTTTGAGACCAGCCTAGGCAACATATTAAGGCCCCATCTCTACAAAAAAAAAAAAAAGAGAGAAAAACAAAAGAAAAAAATAAATTAGCTGTGCATAGTGGCACGTGCCCGTGGTTCCAGCTACTCGGGAGGCTGAGGTATGGGGATCACTTGAGCTTAGGAGTTTGAGGTGGCGGTGAGCTATGATTTCGCCTCTGCTCTCCAGCCTGGGCGACACAGTGAGACCCTGTTTCAAAAAAAAAGAAAGTCCCCTTCCACCATTCAAATGGTATTCTGAGGGACCTGGTTGGGGGTTGTGCTTGCTGTTTTGGGGTGATTCCCCTGAAACAGGATGAGTGGCTAGAGAGGCACACTGGAGGAAAGGCAGTAAATGTGGGGCTCCGGAGCCCTCAAAGAAGGAGGCATGTGTGAGCTGCATGGCTCAAAGCTGCAGACTTCAGGATCGAGACGAGTTGCTCAGGCAGGCCCCTGGGATAGGTGGCCATTTGGCCATATACATTCTGCCTGCAGCCTGTGGCCAAATACCACAACCACTGCTCTGCAGTCAGCACCCCCAGAACTGGACTGAGGCCAGGGAGTCTTGGCAGAGCCCCAGCCTTGGAGCCAATCAGACCAGGGTTCAAAGCTTGGCTCTGCCACCTTCTAGCACTATGGCCTTGAACAAGTCACTTTACTTCTCAGAGCCTTGGAGCCTCATTAGGAAACTGTAGGTGTTAACATCTTTCTCACCAGGTTACAGTTCTGTATGGGAAGACACTGAACCAGCATGTGGCTGAAATAATATCAATACCAATTGTTCATCAAGCTCAGAGCCTAGCACTTCACATTTTCCATACGTCATCTCATTTCATTATTCCAACAAGCCTATGAGGCGAGTGTCAGGGTTATCCTTTATAGATACATAGATAGCTGGGAATTTGCCTCAGTTTCCCCACCACACACACAGAAAAAGTTCAGAGAGGTAAAGTGACTCGCCCAAGGTCACACAGTTGGGACGTAGGAAAGCTGCAATTCATAGCAGACATGCAGATACATTTGGCTAGCACAGCAAGCCCCAGAGTCACTTATTTATTTATTTATTTATTTATTTATTTTTTGAGACAGAGTCTTGATCTGTTGCCCAGGCTAGAGTGCAATGGTGTGATCTCAGCTCACTGCAACCTCTGCCTCAGGGTCAAGTGATTCTTATGCCTCAGCCTCCCACGTAGCTGAGATTAGAGGTGTGAGCCACCACATCCGGCTAATTTTTGTATTTTTGGTAGAGGCGGGATTTCGCCATGTTGCCTAGGCTGGTCTTGAACTCCTAGCCTCAAGTGATCTGTCCACCTTAGCCTCCCAAAGTGCTTGGATTACAGGCAGGTGTGAGCCACCCTGTCCCACCTCCAACATTAATGTTAAAATAGAGATCATTAAGACTGACAAAACAGACTCTTAGTAACAACAAAATACCAAATTATAGGCCGAGTATCGTGGCTCACGCCTGTAATCCCAGCACTTTGGGAGGTCAAGGTGGGTAGATCACTTGAGGTCAGGAGTTTGAGGCCAGCCTGGCCAACATGGTAAAATTCCATTTCTACTCAAACTACAAAAAGTAGCTGGGTGTGGTGGCACGTGCCTGTAGTCCCAGCTACTTGGGAAGCTGAGGCAGGAGAATTGCTTGAACCAGGAGGCGGAGGTTGCAGTGAGCCAAGATTATGCCACTGCACTCCAGCCTGGGCAAAAGAGTGAGACCCTATTAAAAAAAAAATTATAAACAAGACTTAAGGCCATCCCAGGCTCGGGTTAAGTCAAATACCCTACAGTTAAAAAATAAACTGTGTTTTAACTGCCACAAGCTTTGTCTTTTTCTCTGACAACTAAACAAACACCGGCCTCAAAATAACATTAATATTAAAACAATTGCAATTCATCCAACTCACAAATACTGACTTACTGGTCCACCAACCACAACTACAACTTTCACTAGACAAGAGACTAACTTCAGTAACTTTCTCCTGATAAAAAGACCACCGACTGTAGACGGGCCCTGGTAGGTTTATGGAGATGGTACACTTGTGTGCCTTGTGTCCCGAAAAGACCTTTTGACTTATAGGGCCTAATTATAATACATTTAACTGTTAAGTCTCCATCCCGAAATGAACATGGGTCCTATGTTACATACCTGTTTGTTCAATTCACATGTGTCATGACCACCTTCATAAATATTCTTTTGTAACCTGTTAAATATATGTGTTTTTAGGCAACCTGTTTAGCATCAAGCATCTACCCCAACCCCTCCTCCTTCGAAGTAACAGTCTCTGGTCTTATCCAAAGACACATTTCCCTGCTTGTGGGATGGCCCCTTTGCAGGCTGTAACTCTTTATAAGAAACAAAGTCTCCTCTCCTTTTCCAAATTTATACATTGTAATTTTTTTTTTTTGGTTGACTACCATAATGATCCCCTCTATCACTTCTTACCACTGAAAAATTCCATATCATAGGCCAGGCACGGTGGCTTACACCTGTAATCCCAGCATTTTGGGAGGTCGAGGTGGGCGGATCACGAGGTCAGGAGATCGAGACCATCCTGGCTAACACGGTGAAACCCCGTCTCTACTAAAAATACAAAAAATTAGCTGGGCATGGTGGCGGGCGCCTGTAGTCCCAGCTACTCCAGAGGCTGAGGCAGGAGAATGGCATGAACCTGGGAGGTGGAGCTTGCAGTGAGCCGAGATCGTACCACTGCACCCCAGCCTGGGTGACAGAGCAAGACTCCGTCTCAAAAAATAAATAAATAAAATAAAAATTCCACACTATAGGCTTTTATGTATTTATTTATTTTTATTTATTTTGAGATACTCTCACTCCATCACCCAGGCTGCAGTGCACTGGCACAATCTCAGCTCACTGATCCATCTCTTGGGTTCAAGTGATTCTCTTGCTTCAGCCTCCCTAGTGGCTGGAATTACAGGCATGCACCACCACACTCAGCTAATTTTTGTAGTTTTAGTAGAGACGAGGTTTCGCCATGTTGGCCAGGCTGGTCTCAAACTGCTGGCCTCAAGTGATCCACCCGCCTTGGCCTCCCAAACTGTTGGTATGACAGGCGTGAGCCACCGTGCTCGGCCATATAGGCCTTTATTTAAAAAAAAAAAAACTGTCACTTGAGGTCAGGAGTTCAAGACCAGCCTGGCCAATATGGTGAAACCCCATCTCCACTGAAAAAAATATATATGTACAAAAATTAGCTGGGTGTGGTGGCACATGCTTGTAATCCCAGCTACTTGGGAGGCCGAGGAAGGAGAATCACTTGAATCTGGGAGGTGGAGGTTGCAGTAAGCTGAGATTGTACCACTGCACTCCAGCCTGGGCAGCAGAGACTCCATCTTAAAAACAGATAAATAAATAAATAAAATAAATACAAAATAAAAAATAAAATCCTTCATTTGTAGAGTTTGCTGATTTCTGTGGTGTAAAATACTCCTACCATGGCTGGTATAAAGCTCCCAAAAACAACTCCCAAATATTTAATAAGCAGCTCTTATTTAGTAATCAGCTCCTGCCCACCAATGCACACCAGTTCTAGCATACCACTCACTGGTCCTATCTATCCCCCTCTCAGGCTCCATAAAGGAATGACCCTGGTCTCAGAGCCTTAAGATTCCATTTTCCTTTGCTGGGGAGAAGGAAGGCTGCCTGCACTGAGCACTCACTGCGTGCCAGGAATGAGGCTGCTGCATCCCAACCTGGGACCTCTTTGAATATTTACAACAACCCGTCAGTGAAGGTATTATGATCTCCACTTAATAGATGAGGAAACTGAGGCTCAAAAAAGTAGCATAGGCCAGGCACGGTGGCTCACACCTCTAATCTCAGCACTTTGGGAGACCGAGGCGGGTGGATCGCCTGAGGCCAGGAGTTTGAGACCAGCCTGGCCAACATGGCAAAACCCCGTCCCTATTAAAAATACAACAATTAGCTGGACACGGTGGCGGGTGCCTGTAATCCCAGCTACTTGCGAAGCTGAGGCAGGAGAACAACTTGAACCTGGGAAGCGGAGGTTGCCATGAGCCGAGGTTTTGCCACTGCCCTCCAGTCTGGGCAACAGAGTGAGACTCCATCAAAAATAAATAAATAAATAAATAATAAAAATTAAAAAGTGACTTTGACTGGGCGTGGTGGCTCACACCTGTAATCCCAGCACTTTGGGAGGAGGCTGAGGTGGGAGAATTGCTTGAGCCCAGGGGTTTGAGACCAGCCTGGGCAACATAATGAGGCCCCATCTCTACGAAAAACATAAAAATCAGCCAGGCATGGGGGTGCACACCTATAGTTCCTGCTACTCGGGAGGCTGAGGTGGAAGGATTGCTTGAGCCCAGGAGGTAGAGGCTGCAGTGAGCTGTGATCATGCCACTGCACTCCAGCCTCGGTGACAGAACAAGACCTTGTCTCAGAAAAATACCACAAAGAACAACAACAGCAAAGTAATGTCTGCTAGCCAAGGTGGCCCAGAAAGTAAATGTCAGAGTCAGGACTCGAGGCCAGGTCTGTCTGATAAGACCCTTTGCACTGAAGCACTCTGCCTCAGGAGATCTAGGGCTGATACAAGCAAGTTTTGTCTTCTTTCTGAACCTCGATTTCCCCATCCATAGGGAAAAGAATTGGACAAATTAATTTCTAAAGATCCTTTTGGGCCTAGTGAGCCATAATTTTAAGACTGCAAGAGTGTAGTGAAGTGGGGACGGGCTTACATCAATGGAATGAATAAAATCCCCAAGGGAAGAATTTCACTAGTTAACCAGGGAGAAGGGTGCAGGAGTGGCGATGCTTCCAACTGTACGTGGCCATATACACTTGGGAGGTGATGTGATACTGTGAAACCAGCCTGGGTTTGAACCTCTACTTCATGGCTGTGTGGCCAGGATTCTTTTTTTTTTTTTTTTTTTGAGACGGAGTCTTGCTCTGTCGCCCAGGCCGGAGTGCAATGGCACGATCTTGGCTCATTGCAACCTCCGCCTCCCGGGTTCAAGGGATTCTCCTGCCTCAGCCTCCTGAGTAGCTGGGATTACAGACGCCCGCCATCACTCCCAGCTAATTTTGTATTTTTAGTAGAGACAGGGTTTCACCATGTTGGCCAGGCTGGTCTCAAACTCCCTACCTCAGGTGATCAGGGCCTGAGAGGGGGATAGATAGGACCAGTGGTATGCTAGAGCTGGGGTACATTGGCTGGCAGGAGCTGATTATTAAATAAGAGCTGCTTATTAAATATTTGGGAGTTGCAAGGCAGTTGTTGGGAGCCATTACTTAATCCTAGTTCACCTCTCTGTTTTTGGTTCTGCTAGTAGTCTGCCCTATTGTTCTAGAAGCCTAAAGGGACAGTAAAGGGTCCCAGTATGAAAACCTTTGTACCTGGTGTATGTGACAAAAGATCTTCCACCTTTACAAACTATCGTGCCATCTTTCCTTTTCCATCTCCCTAAGTGGGTTTGGCAAGAGCCAGTGCTTTTTGCTCCCTGGTCTAGAAGTCCCATAAGCTGAAAGGGGAGGGGGAGGCCTGCGGTTTCTCTTTTCAGCAAAGGCAGAAGTCAAGCCCCTCACTCTCCCCCTCACCGTCTGGGCCCTTCTCCCTCTGGCCTGCACCGGCTGGTTGGTCATCTCAGGTTTCTGGAAGCCTGTGTTCCCAGAGGAGGCATTAAAGTTGGAGGAATGCAGGCCCTGTGAGTGACGCGTTAAGGAGGCTGTGCAGAGAAGCAGTCTGGGGGAGAACCCCCCCCAACTCCGCCAGCTGCGTCCCAGCCCTCACCGGAGAGGAAGAGAAAGGAAGCGGAAAGGAAACTGATCCAGCAGGCTCTCAGAGGACTTCCTGCATTCGTGTGTGGGAGGGGTGGGAGGCAGGAGGGCTTAGACCATCTGGAGGAGTATGAAGGCAGCGGTTCCTCTGGGGGCTTGAAGCAACCGTGGACCAGGGTCCCAGAGCAAAGGCGCTTGCTGGTTAAGATGGCAGGGGATGAACGTTTACTAAGCAGCTACTGCCTTCTAGGCATCGGAAAAGCGCCTTTACTTTCCTAACCCAACTCTAAGAGTGCCTTCCTGCTCCCAGCCGAAGACCAGTCTCTGCAGGAAGTTATAACCAAGAAAAAAGTGAAGCAGCCAACCAGCGTGCAGAGGCATAAGGTTACAAAACGTATCCAGCCCCAATCCAGCTCCCAAACTGCTGCAAAGCAAAGCTGCTCTTTCCTGAAGTTCACCTGGGACCCAGAAGAGGGGAGCGAATCGGTACCTCCCGCAGAAAAGCCTCCCAAAGCCTGCTTGGGCACCACACCCTCTCTCCAAAGATTGCGCCTCCTGGCACCTGCTCACATCCCTCCTCAATCGTGTCCCGCTTCCGCCTCTCCATTTCAATTTCTGAATCTCCACTCATCACCAGGGGCATCATAAACTCTGGTTTCCTTAGGACAGCCCAGGTTTATGGCTGTTTATTACTAACGGTGCCCCCTTTCATGCTCAAAGTGTCCTGGGAGAACAATCAATGATACAGCCTTCCTCCTCACTCACCACTGACCTGCAGCTTCTGCAAAAGTCCGGCTGCTGAGAGATTCTGCAAGCAGAGGGCACCTCATAGGAGGTGAGGGCGGAAGCAAGGCTCTCTACCACCTCCTTTTACTATTTTGTCTCCAGTCCCCAGAGTTTTTTCTTTTTCTTTTCTTTCTTTTTTATTTTTTTTTATTTTTTATTTTCGAGAGGCGTTTCACTCTTGTCACACAGGCTGAAGTGCAATGGCACGATCTCGGCTCACTGCAGCCTCCGCCTCCTGGGTTCAAGTGATTCTCCTGGTTCAGCCTCCTGAGTAGCTGAGATTACAGACATGCACCACCATGCCCAGCTAATTTTTGTATTTTTAGTAGAGACGGGGTTTCGCCGTGTTGCCCACGCTGGTCTTGGACTCCTGACCTCAGGTGATCCACCCACCTCGGCCTCCCAAAGTGCTGGGATTACAGGCGCGAGTCACTGTGCCCAGCTGCCCCCCCCCACCAGAGTTTTTCATTTATTCCATTCAACGCTAATCTCACCAATCAATTCCTTGTTTTGTAGATGGGGAAATAAAGGCCCAGAGCTTAGCACTTGGTCCAAGTCAAACACCCAGTCCATTTCCAAAGCAGAGATTCAAACTCAGCTCTGCCTGAATCTGAAGCCCTCACATTCTCCATGATGCCAGGTCAGGGAGGCTGGCAGAACAGGATCAGCCTGGGACATCTTCCATTTCCAAGGAAGCAATCAACAGGGTCCCCATGCCCAGAGGGGTCTGTGCCTTGCTCAAGGTCACAGCTCATCAGCAGCAGAGCTGGTGCTAGAACTTGACCCTTAAAACATCCCTGAGTTTTTCCTGAGCTAACAGGAGGCCTCAGTGCCACTCTAGGGGGAGGACTCAAAGCCAGGGAAGCTCAGGGAAGCTCAGGTCACCAGTGTCTCCACCTCCCACTGATTTGATCCCACTCATACATCTGAGCATTGGCCTCAGTTTCCCCACTCAAAAGGCTCTCTAGAGCCCCTTGGCTGAGCCTCTCTTCCTGACCCACCTTGCCAGCCCCTCTCCCAAGAGAATGGAGCCTGAGCCTGGACCCCTAGTAAGAGCTCTGCCCCATGTAGATGTCGTGGACCTGGGAGAGGAGGCGTGTCCAGACCCTGAAAACTCTCACTGCAGTGCCTGTTCAACTGGGTCACCAGTGTGGAGTGCCACATCAGAGAAGTCCTAACCGTGTCTCCCAAATGTAGTGGCATTCGAGACCCTCTCTGCTCTCATGCCCCACCTTCCCCCAACACATCTTATGCTCCAGCCGTGGTTTTTCCTGTCACCAGGATTGAGCACGTAGTGCTCCCTTTGCCTGGGGTGCCCTTTCTTCCCACTTGTCGAAAGAACTCTTATTCATCCGCCAGCACCCCAATCAATGCCCCTTCCCAGGGCATTCATCATCAGCTGGTAGACACTGGTGGGTGCTGTGGATTGTTTACAGCCAGTGTCCTTTCTGATTGGTCAGTGACTGTGACAAACAGGTTATTAAAGATTTAAACTCTCGCCCCCAGTCTCTGTCCCTGTGGAGTCTTCCCTGACCCCAGGCAGGATCCTCCTTCCCTTTTGGGGCCCCTGTGTGTCCCTTTGCTGCAGCCCTATCCCACGTGTGGCTCTGCCTGCTTAGGCTCTGTCCTCCTCCCTAGACTTTGTGCTCCGGAAGGGCAGGGACCATAACTGGTCCATCATGGTAGCTCCCCAGGGCCAAGCCAGTGCCTAGGCCAGAGCACTAGCACTTTAGGCACAGGTTTTACTCCTTGGAAGGGGGCTTCTAGAAGCTAGAGGAATGCTGAGAAACCTCCTAACAGCTCCCACTCCCTGATGAGAGGTGTTTCCTGTGGACTGGCCCCTTCCATAGGATGATGGTTGATCCCACTTTACAGATGGAGAAACCAAGGTGCAGAGAAGTGAGGGACATTGGCCAAGGTCACACAGCAAGTAAGGGATGGAACCAGGATTTGAACCCAGGTGTGAATCTGAAGTTCCTCCTCTTCCCATGCAGTCTCTTTGAATCCCAGGCAGCTATTTTTGGGCAAGGAAGATCAGTCTTAGCTCAGGGGGCTTTCCCAGGGCCTCCAGTACCCCTGCTCAGGATAAGGATAGGGGAACGATGGCCACTGATTTCCTCCATCAACTCACAGGGGCCCAGGCCGGGAAGGCTGCACAGGATGGACTGACCCTTTTCTCTGATCCCCACTCCTCAGGCCTCTAAGCCAGTCTTGGCCTTTGGCTGTCCTTGGTGTAAATTCCAGATAGGGATACCAGGAAGCAGTTCTGCAAAAGATGTGGGACTTTCCAAGACAAACCAAAAAGAGAAGACAGGAATGTCCCTCCCACAGGGTCACATTAGCACTGCCCACTGAGAACATCCTCTCTAGCCCTGTTACCCCCCACATGCCTGGCTCTTGGTTGCTCTCAGGGGGACTTCACAGTGGCTTGGTGGAGTCAGCCTCAAGACTTGAGCCATGAGATTTGGGTTCCAATCCTAGCCCCAGGGCTTGACTTGCCTGTGGCCTTGGTCAGCCACTTTACCTTGTTGGTAATTGCAGGCTTTGCCTGTGAGTGAAGGGATTGCTGGGGAAATTAAATGGAATAATAAGTACCAAGTGCCAAGTGCGTGACACAGGGTTAATGTTCCCTCCATACATGGGGATCGAGTGACACTCTAGAACATCTCTGGTCCTCCTCCCCTTCCCTGCCAATCTTGGTAACCTACAAATTCCCCAGGGAAGAATACCAAGTCTTCTTGCTTTAACGTGATCTGGTCTGACCTTCAGTCTCTGTGGGCGGGGAAAACACAGTTTCCCCTTTTCTCTGTAGTCTGGAGCCTGCCCTCTACAAGCCCACGTGGGAGGCCCTGGGCTTCTCTTAGATGAGATTATTGCGCAGGAGAAAGTCCCTGTACCCTTAAAACCATAGAAACTTGAGTCCTGCCACCTTCACCTCTATGCGGTTTGGACTCACACTTTTCAGAACTTGGTTGAGCTGCAAACCCAATCTATAAAAATTCCAATTTATTCAACACAAAGGCACACCAAAGGATTCACTGCTGGCTTCTTTTCAATAGTCAGCTCCCTTGCGTGTATTGTAAATGGGTCTCCTTTTATAGAACTTCAAATTCTGGACAACTTCTTAGATGCCTCTGTAGGGCCAACTAAGGTATAGTCTACCTGAAGTCCAGCCACATTCCAGCAGCCACCTGAGCAGACGTTTCAAATGGAAGCTTCTACCCTCAGCTCTACAGATCACAAAGCCAGCTCACACCTGGAACCACACTTGTGACTAAAGGGTTTTCTTTTAGGGTAATGAAAATGTCTTGGGGCTGGGTGCAGTGGCTCATGCCTGTAATCCCAGCACTTTAAGAGGCCAAGGCAGACACATCAGTTGAGCCCAGGAGATTGAGAGCAGCCTGGGCAACATAGTGAGGCTCCGTCTCTACAGATAATTTAAACATTAGCAGGGTGTGGTGGCACACACCTGTGGTTTCAGCTATTCAGGAAGCTGAGGTGGGAGGATTACCTGTGCCTGGGAGGTTGAGGCTGCAGTGAGCCGCGATTGCACCACTATACTCCAGCCTGAGTGACAGAGTGAGAACTTGTCTCAAAACAAAACAAAACAAAAACCAAGAAGAAAAGAAAAGAAAAAAAGAAAATATCTTTTAATTAGACAATGTTGTGCTGGTTCCACGCATTGCGAATGTACTGAAAACCACTGATTGTACACTTTAAAATGATTGAACCAGCCCAGCGCGGTGGCTCACGCCTGTAATCCGAGCACTTTGGGAGACCAAGGTGGGAGATCACAAGGTCAAGAGATTGAGATCATCCTGGTCAACATGGTGAAACCCCATCTCTATCCAAAATACAAAAAATTAGCTGGGCATGATGGAGCACTCGAGTCCCAGTTACTCGGGAGGCTGAGGCAGGAGGATCGCTTGAACCCTGGAGGCGGAGGTTGCAGTGAGCTGAGATCGCGCCATTGCACTCCAGCCTGGCGACAGAGCGAGACCCGTCTCAAACAACAACAGCAACAACAACAACATCAACAACAAAAAACAAAAACAACAACAAAACAAAAAAAATGATTGAACTGGTAAATTTTCTGTTATGTGTGTTTTACTACAAAAAAAAAAAAAAAAAGATGTAAGGATGCATCCATTCTCAGGAGCCGACCTTCACTTACATGCCCTGGGTGAGTACCTCTTTTTATTTTGGGTCCTGGATACCTCACTCGCCTTACCTAATCCTGGTCCTGGGGCCCAAGGCCTGCCCCATGGAGAACGAGAATTCTGTGTTTGCCTTGTAGCTTCTTTTGCACCCACCACTCCCCAGGAGAATCCTTTCTTTGGCCATTCAGGTTATGGGCTGATGCAGGAACATTTGAGGGGGGAAAAGGAAGAGAGAGAACTGGAAACATGAATAGCTTGGGAGCAGCCAAGAAATACTTGTTGGAAAAAAGAAAAACTATGGAGATAGGAAATGGAGAGCGGGAGAAATGTGAAGATTCACCTAGCTCAATATTTTTATTTAAAAAAAACAGCTTTATTGAGATATAATTAGCGCACAATCCACTTCATCCATTTAAAAAGTACAATTCAGTGTTTGTTTGTTGTATAGTCACAGATATGTGCAACCATCGCCACAGTCAATTTTAAGATGTTTTCGTCACCAAAAGAGAAATCATCCCTTCCCCCACCGAGCATCAAGCAACCACTAATCAACTGTCTATCTCTCTGGATTTACCCATTCTGGAAATTTCAGAAAATGGAATCAGATAATATATCTTTTGTGACTGGCTTCTTCCACTTAGCGTAATGTTTTCAAGGTTCATCTATTAACGAAATAAAAAACCTGTCAAACTATTTCCCAGTATGGTTGTACAGTTTTGCATCCCTGACAGCAATATATATTCTAGCTGCTCTACATCCTCACCAGCACTTTGTATTGTTAGTATTAAAAATGTTAGCCATTCTATAAGTGTGTAGCACTTGGTCATTGTGGCTTTATTTTGCATTTACCTAATGAATAATGATGTTGAATTTTTTTAATGCACTTATTTGCCGTCCATATGTCTTTGAAGAAGTGCCTCTTCAAAGTACTTGACTATTTTATTGTTGGTTAGTTTGTCTTCTAACGATTGAGTTATGAGTTATTTTAAAATTGTGGAGACCAGTTACTTATCAGACATTTTCTCCCAGTCTTTGGTTTGTCTTTTTATTTTCCCAACAGTGACTTTCATAAAGGAAAAGTTTTTAATTTTGAAGGCTAATTTTTCAATTTTTGACTTTTATGGTTTATGTTATTTGCATCCTGTTTAAATAATCTTTATCAAGATCACAAAGATATTTTCCTTTATTATCTCTTTGAAGGTTTATATTCTATTTAAGTCTATGATCCATTTGAAGTTCTTCATGGTGTGGGAGGTAAGGGTTGAGGTTCTTTTTTTTGGATATGGATGTCTAATTGTTTCTTCACCATTTGTTGAGAAGACTATTCTTTCTCCATTGAAATTACCTTGGTTCCTTTGTCAAAAATCAACTGACCAAATGGATATTGGTCTATTTCTGGAATCATTTCTGTTCCACTGATCCATAGGTCTAAGCTTACGCTATCACCATGCTGTCTTGCGTATAGTAGCTTTATAGTAAGTCTTGAAATAAAGTAATGTGAGTTCTCCAACTTCTTCCTTCTTTTTCAGAATTGTTTTGGCTATTCTAGGTCCTTTGCACTTCCATATATAATTTAGAAACAGCTTGTCAATATCTACCAAAAAAAAAAAAAAAAAAAAGCCTGCCAGGATTTTGATTGAAATTGCAATATCAATTAGGAAAGTACTAACATAATTCTTCAGAATTGTTAATATTTTGTTAAAGTAGTGAGTCTTCTCATCATGAACATTGTATATCTCTCCTTTTATTTAGATTTTTTTTATTTCTCTTGGTAATGATTTTCCATTTTCAATGTACAAATCCTATTTCATGATATTTGTCCCTTAACTTTTCATGTTTTTAATGCTATTGTAAGTGGTATTGGTTTTTAATTTCTTCTTCTTTTTTTTTTTTTTTTTGAGACACAGTCTTGCTCTGGCCCCCAGGCTGGAATGCAGTGGCTCAATCTTGGCTCACTGCAAGCTCCACTTCCCGGGTTCATGCCATTCTCCTGCCTCAGCCTCCCAAGTAGCTGGGACTACAGGTGCCTGCCACCACACCTGGCTAATTTTTTTAAATATTTTTAATAGAGACGGGTTTTCAACATCCGGTTTCAGCCGGATGGTCTTGATCTCCTGACCTCGTAATTCACCACCTCAGCCTCCGAAAGTGCTGGATTACAGGCGTGAGCCACCGTGCCCAGCCGATTTTTAATTTCAATGTTAAATTTTAAAATTACTGTTAAGTAGAAATACAATAGACTTTTGCATATTGGCTGTATATCTTACAACCTTGCTAAATTCACATATTTCTATTAGCTTTGTAGTATACTTTTCTATGTAGATACCATGTTCTCTACAAACACAGTTTCACTTAATCCTTTCCAATCTGCCATTTATTTACATATTTATTTATTTGCTTGTTTGTTGTATTGTACTATCTAGGACATCTAGTACAATGTTGAATAAAAGTGGCAACAGTAGAGATCTTTGCATTGTTCCCAATCTTAGTGGGAAAGCAATCTTTCATTATTAAGTATAGCGTTAGCTGTAGGTCTTATTGTAGATGTTATTTATCTGATTGTGAAATTTCCCTTCTATTTCCAGTTTGCTGAAAATTTCTTTTGTAAAAATCATGAGTAAATTTTTATCAAATGTTTTTTCTGCCTCTATTAAGATGATCATATAGTTTTTCTCTTGCCACTGCACTCCAGCCTGGGCGACAGAGCGAGATTCTGTCTCAAAAAAAAAAAAAAAAAAAAAAAAGGATGACTATATAGTTTTTCTTTTTATGTCTATTGATATGTTGAGTTACATTGATTTATTTTTGAATGTTGGACCAACCTTGCATTCCTGAGATAAACCCTACTTGGTCTTCATATATTATCCTTTCTGTACGTTACTAGATTTGATTTGCTAATGTTTTGTTAAAGATTTTTGTATCTGTATTCATTAGGGATATAGGCCTATAGCTTTCTTTTCTTGTATCTTTGTCATGCTTTAGTATCAGGGTAATTCTGAGTTCATAGAATTAGTTAGGAGTTTTGCTCTCTCCTTCTACGTTCTGGAAGAGTTTCTGTAGAATTAATATTTCTTTTAAAATAAATTTAACTAATAAAATTCACCAGTGAAGCCATCTGGGCTGGGAAATTTTTTCATGAGAAAGTTTTTACTATGAATTTCTATTCCTTAATTGATGTATAGGACTATTTGGGTTTTCTGTTTCTTCTTTTTTTATGTATATCAAAAATAGACTTTATTTGGCAATGGCGTATTTCAAGCATGAACACCATATTTTGGAAAACAATAGATTTGACACATATTTGTTACCTAATGTTTTCACAGCAGAAGGCTAGAACAAAATTTGACTTGCTTTCCACAGCTTTTAGAAATTTTTAACCGAGAATATCACTAAACAGCATGAAAGACATTTTCTTGGTGAGGCACTACTTTGCCAATCTTTTTTCACTCCTTTTTTTTTCCTTTCCATGTTTCTTTCTCAGCTTTTCTTACTATTTTTGCTTGGTTTTTAATACTTCAGCCTATTTCATAGACCTCCCAGTGACACCCTTAGGTGTTGCTTTATTTAAACAGTGTACTCAAAGCCAAACATATTATGGCTGGACACAGTGGCTCACGCCTGTCATCCTGGCACTTTGGGAGGCCGAGGAGGAAAGATCACTTGAGGTCAGGAGTTTAAGACCAGCCCGACCAACATGGTAAAACCCCATCTCTACTAAAAATACAAAAATTAGCTGGGTAGGTGTGATGTCACACACCTGTAATCCCAGCTACTCGGGATGCTGAGCCAGGAGAATCACTTGAACCCAGGAAGTGGAGGTTGCAGTGAGCCAAGATTGCTTCACTGCACTCCAGCCTGGGCCACAGAATGAAACCCTGTCTTACAAAAAAAAAAAAAAGACCGGGTGTGGTGGCTCACGCCTGTAATCCCAGCACTTTGGGAGGCTGAGGTGAGTGGATCACTTGAGGTCAGGAGCTCAAGACCAGGCTGCCCAATATGGCAAAACTCTGTCCCTTCTAAAAATACAAAAATCAGCTGGGCGTGGTGGCACACACCTGTAATCCCAGGTACTCGGGAGGCTGAGGCATGAGAATGGCTTGAACTGGTGAGGTAAAGGTTGCAGTGAGCTGAGATCGTGCCACTGCATTCCAGCCTGGGCAA
The DNA here is from genome assembly GCF_000001405.40 of Homo sapiens. Classification (NCBI taxonomy): domain Eukaryota; kingdom Metazoa; phylum Chordata; class Mammalia; order Primates; family Hominidae; genus Homo; species Homo sapiens. The sequence continues at coordinate 124,233,908 of NC_000009.12, read as the reverse complement.
CAGAGCTAGACTCTGTCTCAAAAAAAAAAAAAAAGCCAACACATTTTATTATTTCAATGCTGATGACAGTTTTATTGGTTTTGCTACATATATGCTAACATGAAATCACTAACATACATATTCACATAATAAAATTTTAGGCCGGGCGTGGTGGCTCATGCCTGTAATCCCAGCACTTTGGGAGGCTGAGGCAGGAGGATCACAAGGTCAGGAGATTGAGACCATCGTGGCTAACATGGTGAAACCCCGTCTCTACTGAAAATACAAAAAATTAGCCAGGCGTCGTGGTGGGTGCCTGTAGTCCCAGCTGCCGGGTAGGCTGAGGCAGGAGAATGGCGTGAACCTGGGAGGTGGAGCTTGCAGTGAGCCTAGATGGCACCACTGTACTCCAGCCTGGGCGACAGAGTGAGACTCCGTCTCAAAAAAAAAAAAAAAAAAAAAAAATTAACTGCTAGTTTCTCAAACTAAAAGAGAGAAAAAGTAATGTTTTCCCTCTTTTTTTAAACTTGTATTTTTGGTTTGGGGGTACATGTGAAGGTTTGTTACATAGGTAAACATGTGTCATGGGGGTTTGTTGTACAGGTTATTTCATCACCCAGCTATGAAGCCCAGTACCCAATAGTTATCTTTTCCGCTTCCCTTTGTTTCTTCTTGAGAACTTTGCTAGTTTGTGTCTTTCAAGGAATATGCCCACTTCATCTAAGTTGTCAAATTTGTGGTCATAACTTTGGGCACAATACTTCCTTATTATCTTTTTAATGGTCACAGGATGTGTAGGGATGCCCTCTCTTTCTTTCTTTTTTTTTTTTTTTTTTTTTTTTTTTGAGACAAGGTCTTGCTCTGTCACCCAGGCTGGAGTGTAATGGCGCTATCATAGCTCACTGCAGCCTTGACCTCCTAGACTCAAGGGATTCTCCCACCTCAGCCTCCCAAGTAGCTAAGACTACAAACATGAGCCACCACACCCAGCGAATTTTTTTACTTTTTGTAGAGACAGGGTCTCGCTGTGTTGCCCAGGCTGGTTTTGAATTCCTGGCTTTAAGCAATCCTCCTGCCTCAGCCTCCCAAAGTGTCAGGATTACAGGCAGAGCCACTGCACCCAGGCTTTCATTTTTCTTGTTGGTAATTTGTGTCTTTTTTTTTTTCTTTGAGATGGAGTCTTGCTCTGTCGCCCAGGCTGGAGTGCAGTGGCACTGTCTCGGCTCACTGCAAACTCCACCTCCTGGGTTCAAGCAATTCTCCTGCCTCAGCCTCCCGAGTAGCTGGGACTTCAGGCACACGCCACCACATCTGGCTAATTTTTTGTATTTTTAGTAGAGACGGGGTTTCACTACATTAGACAGGATGGTCTCCATCTCCTCCCCTCGTGATCCTCCCACCTCGGCCTCCCAAAGTGCTGGGATTACAGGCATGAGCCACTGCACCTGGCCCGTGACTTTCTCTTTTCTACTGATTGAAGATGAAGTTTATCAATGTTGTTGATGTTTTCAAAGAGGCAGCTTGTGGTTTCATTTATTTTCTCTCTTGTTTTTCTGTTTTCTAGTCATTGATTTCTACTCTTATCTTATTATTTCTTTCTTTCTACCTGCTTTGGGTTTAATTTGCTCTTCTTTATCTAGTTCCTAAAGGTGGAAGCTTAGCAAATGTATTTATTTTGGGACTTTCTTCCTTTTGAATAAAGCCATTTAATGTTATAACTTTCCCTTTATTGTATTGCTTTATCTGTATCACATAGGCTTAGATATGTTACATTTTCATTGTTATTCAGCTCAAAATATTTTCTAGTTTTCTTTGTGATTTCTTTCTATATATATATATATATATATATATATATATATATATATATATATATACTTTTTTTTTTTTGAGACTGAGTCTTGATCTGTCAATCAGGCTGGAATGCATTGGCACGATCTTGGCTCACTGCAACCTCCGCTTCCTGGGTTCAAGCAATTCTTGTGCCTCAGCCTCCCCAGTAGCTGGGATTACAGGCATGTGCCATCACACCTGGCTAATTTTTGTATTTTTTGTAGAGACAGGGTTTCACCAGGTGGGCCAGGCTGATCTCGAACTCCTGACATTAAGCGATCTGCCTGCCTCGGCCTCCCAAAGTGCTGGGATTACAGGCATGAGCCACCGCACCTGGCTTTCTTTCTATATATTCTTTGTTGATGTATACAGGCATACTAAAAGTTTTTTAAAATCCACAGGTGAAAAGGATGCATAACAACTTCTAGATGGGTCTTATTGCTGGGAGTGAAGGGTAGATGGAAATGGGATAAGAAAAGCGGTAGATATTAACAATGCTCACCACCATGTCAGTTCTCTTCTGAGCACATGAGAGGATTATACTTCACTTCCCCTTCGAAGCTGGACATGGACACATGACTTGCTTTAGCCAATGAAATGTGAGGAGAACTGACACATGCCGCTTCCAAATGGAAACATCTAAGAGCCAGCACCTGAGTCTTCTTGCTCCCTTCCTTACCTGGTGAATCTTGAAGCCTTTTGCTGAGATCACAGCATCATAAATAGTGGAGCATCCCTCAGACTGGGTTCCTAAGAGACTACAATGAACATAGCCCAATGTAGTCAACCCTCACTGGATCGAGAATGCGATAGAAGCAGACCTTTGTTGTTTAAAGCAACTGAAATTTGGGGTTTGTTTGTTACTACAGCATAACCTAGCCTTTCCTGGCTAACATGGGGACCTTTGATTATATTTGTAAGTTTTTTGTTTGTTTGTTTGTTTGTTTGTTTTTTGAGACAGAGTCTCGCTCTGTTGCCCACGCTGGAGTGCAGTGGCGTGATCTTGGCTCACTGCAACCTCTGCCTCCTGGTTCAAGCAATTCTCCTGCCTCAGCCTCTTGAGTAGCTAGGATTACAGGCACATGCCACCACACCCAGCTAATTTTTGCCTTTTTAGTAGAGACGGGATTTTGCCATGTTGGTCAGGCTGGTCTCGAACTCCTGACCTCTTGATTTGCCCACCTCGGCCTCCCAAAGTGCCGTGGTATGAGCCACCGCGCCCAGCCAGTTTTTATTTTTTTACGAGCCTAAAGTTTCATTTTTTAACAGGGGTAGCGGGTACATGAGTATTTGTCATATAATTTTCTACACCTCCCGTATGTTTTAAGTAACTGTTTAAAAAAATTTATTTGTATATTTTTTGAAGACAGAATCTCTCTCTGTCACCCAGGCTGGAGTGCCATGACCTGATCACCACTCACTGCAACCTCCGCCTCCCAGGATCAAGCGATTATGGTGCCTTAGCCTCCCAAATAGCTGGGATTACAGGTGCACACCACCATGCCTGGCTAATTTTTGTATTTTTCATAAAGATAGGGTTTTGCAATGTTGGCCAGGCTGGTCTCAAACTCTTGGCCTTAAGTGATCCTCTTACCTCGGCCTACCAAAGTGCTGGGATTACAGACGTGAGCCACTGAGCCTGGTCTGTTTTAAGTAACGTTTAAAGGAAAAACAACATTAGAGGAGAGGGAGAAGAGAAGAAGGAGGAGAAGGCACCTGGGGAGGTGGGTCCTTTTTTCTATTCCCCAAGTCGTTTCTCCATCTATCCTCTGGGTTTGGGAAGTCAGTGGGGAAAGGTTTGACTGTTTCTCCAGCCAGATAATCATCTATGAGCAGTGGCCCCTCACCCTCACTCTGCTTGTCACCATCTGGTACATTACATATTTAGTGTATGGTTATTGTCTCTCTCCCCTTGAGAAGAGGGACTTTATTTTATAACCCCAATGCCTAGAACAATGCCTGGCACACAGAAGTCACTCAACACCTGCTTTTTTTTTTTTTTTTCTTTTTTTTTGAGATGGAGTCTCGCTCTGTCCAGGCTGGAGTGCAGTGGCCCAATCTAGGCTCACTGCAACCTCCACCTCCCAGGTTCAAGCAATTCTCTGCCTCAGCCTTCTGAGTAGCTGGGATTACAGGCGCCCGCCACCACGCGTGGCTAATTTTTATATTTTTAGTAGAGTTGGGGTTTCACCATCTTGGCCAGGCTTGTCTTGAATGCCTGACCTTGTGATCCACCCACCTCGGCCTCCCAAAGTGCTGGGATTACACGCATGAGCCACCATGACCGGCCAATACCTGCTTATTAAATGAGCACGTGCAAAAGATCGCCTCCCTCACCCATGTCTGCCTAGGGAGGACAGTGACCACGTTCTGTCCCTATTCCATGTTCCTTCTCACTTGCCTTTCCCCCAGAGTGAACACCCAGTGGAACTGATGAAAGTGTAAGCAGCTCTTTACTCAAAGGTCCAGATATTTGGCTAGGCATGGTGGCTCATGCCTGTAATCCAGCACTTTGGGAGGCCGAGGTGGGTGGATCACCTGAGGTCAGAAGTTAGACCAGCCTGGCCAACATGGTGAAACCTCGTCTCTACTAAAAATACAAAAATTAGTTGGGTGTGGTGGTGGGCCCCTTTAATCCCAGCTACTTGGGAGGCTGAGGCAGGAGAATCGCTTGAACCCAGCAGGGGGCAGAGGTTGCAGTGAGCCAAGATCATGCCATTGCACTCCAGCCTGGATGACAGAGCAGATTCATCTACCAAAAAAAAAAGTCCAGATATTTGTTCCAACACCATGTTTCTGTGTTTTGTGTGTGCATATGCATGTGTGAGTCTGTCCGTCTGGGGCTGGGATGAGGGGACTAGGGGCTGTGCCCCTCATGCAGCCATTTCCTTCTACTCTATTCCCTGCCCAGGTAGGAGTCTGGTTAAGTGCACCCCGAGAAGCATGGAGAGACCCCAACTCCCCATCGGGGCCACCCTTCAGCCTCCGGGAGGGGCCTGGAACTCGGCTTTCTCCAGGAGATTTGGGGAACATGTTACCGGGGTCCTTCAGCGGCCTCTCATCCACTTCTTGGCTGCAGAAATTCCCTGGCCACCTGGGCACGGAGACACTCTGGCTCCACCAGCCCACGCAGAAGCCTGAACTCATGTAATTAGACATAATGACACATGGCGGGAGCTTCCAGAATCTCACAATCTAATGACACACCCACCTCCCAACCCACCTCAGGGGCCAGCAGAGCTCCTAATTAGGTCTGGCGCCAGCAGGTGGGAGATCCAAGGGTTGGGGGAGCAAGGAGAGAATCCTGGCCTTGGGGTTTGTCAACCTGTGTGCCAAGTCCAGTTTGATTACTTTTTGACTATGAGGCGCTGGGCAAGTCAATTCACTTCTTCAAGCCTCCATTTTCTCATCTGTAAAATGGGGTTTTGTATTTACACCACAAAGTGCTGTTGTGAGGAGTGTGAGTTCCCTCCTGCTGGGAGGCTGTCAGTGGGTGGGTCTGGGGGAGACTGGCCTGCCATGCCCAAGGCCAGGGCCTGTGTCCTGGGGTGGGACCTCTTTCAGGTGTAGGGGAAGCTGCCACACCTTCAAAGGCCGATTGGACAAAAGGCAGTTCTCCAAAACTCATTGAAGGACCACTGCCTCATATTACCGAATTGACTGGTTTTTCAAAAACTTGTTTAAGAAATATTCTTTTTGGCTGGCATGGTGGCTCACTCCTGTAATCCCAGCACTTTGGGAGGCCGAGGAGGGTGATTCACCTGAGGTCAGGAGTTCGAGATCAGCTTGGCCAACATGGCGAACAAAACCCCATCTCTATGGGTGTGGTGGCACACACCTCTAATCCCAGCTACTCAGGAGGCTGAGGCAGGAGAATCACTTGAACCCGGGAGGCGGAGGTTGCAGTGAGCCGAGACTGCGCCATTGCACTCCAGCCTGGGTGACAAGAGTGAAACTGTGTCTCAAAAAAAAAAAAAAGAAAAATTTTAAAATTATGTTTAATGTACATTCTTCCAATGGCTATATTCCATTTTAAGGACTATTTAATTTGTCCAAAGTTCATAATACATTTGCTCTTCTAGTGCTCCTCCTCCTCTTCTTCTTCTTCTTCTTCTTCTTCTTCTTCTTCTTCTTCTTCTTCTTCTCCTTCTCCTTCTCCTCCTCCTCCTCCTCCTCCTCCTTCTTCTTTTAGATGGAGTCTCGCTCTGTCACCAGACTGGAGTGCAGTGGCACGATCTCAGCTCACTGCAACCTCTGCCTCCTGGGTTCAAGTGATTCTCCTGCCTTAGCTTCCTGAGTAGCTGGAACTACGGGCATGTGCCACCACATCCAGCTAATTTTTGTATTTTTAGTAGAGACAGGGTTTTACCATGTTAGCCAGGATAGTCTCAATCTCTTGACCTCGGGATCCGCCCACCTCAGGCTCCCAAAGTGCTGGGATTATAGGCATGAGCCACTGTACCCAGTCTATTCTTCTTAAATAATATCCTATGAATATGTTTTTCACAGTATCACATGGGAACTTTAGCTTTTAGACTGATTGTTTTTAAAAACCTCTGAAAAAAAGTAATTTTCTGTCTTATCAGAACTTTAGCATCTGAAGGATCCTTTGAAGATTTTGTTAAATGGTCAACTCAACCAATTATCCAAATTTACTGCTTATCTCAAAATGTATTTCTCTTTTTTTTTTTGAGACTGAGTCTTGTTCTGCCCCACCGGCTGGGGTGCAGTGGCATGATCTCGGCTCACTGCAACGTCTGCCTCCTGGGCTCAAGTGATTCTCCTGCCTCAGCCTCCTGAGTAGCTGGGACTATAGGAGTGTGCCCCCACGCACGGCTAATTTTTGTATTTTTGGTAGATATGGGGTTTCACCGTGTTGGCCAGGCTGGTCTCGAACTCCTGACCGCAAGTGATCCACCCACCTCGGCCCCCCAAAGTGCTGGGATTACAGGCATGAGCCACTGTGCCTGGCCTAAACATGTATTTCTTTTAATTATATTTTTATATTTTGATTTCACTTTCAAAAAATTTTACATGCATTTTGTTCTGCAAGACTTAACAATGAAAAACAGCTGTCTCCTGTCTAATCCATCTTTGCTCCCAGTTCCCAACCATCAGAGGTAACTGCTTTTTAACAAGAAACAAGTTTCTTTTTTATTTGCCTTTATGCTTCCACTGTTATCACATGTCTATACCGTTATTTCTGGACTTTCAGTTTTATGTATAATCTACTCTCTTCTTACTTTGGAAGATTAGAATTTGCTTCCCATACCACGCTGCCCCTACTTCCCCTGGTACCATCTTCCTTATATGATCATCTCATCTCATAATTTTTGGTTAGATAAATATTGGGGGTTTATTTTGTGGCCATGTGAACAGTGTTGATAGCCCAGCAATGTAGAGTACTGTGATTGCATTTATTCTCTTGTGCAGCTTTCTGTTTTTCCTAGAATTGTTCATTTTCTGTCTATTTATTTATTTAGAGATAGGCTCAAGCTATATTGCCCAGGCTGAACTGGAACTCCCGGGCTCCAGTGCTAAGCTAATATCCTGTTCTTCACTCCATTTACATCCCTAGTTTTAACCTGGTTCCATCGATGTTTCTTACCTGAAATAATAATTATGATCATATTTGACAAAGGTGGTTTTCCTTCTTTCTGTATGATTTGACATTCTACTGTCAGGAAAAGCTTTCTCTTCTGTCCGGTTACTTATTCGTTTTTTTGTTTATAGCAGTTGGAGTCAGGGGTTTCTATTTTATTCAGTGGGTTATCATTCATTGCTATCATTATTAATTTTGATTTTTCAATTACACCAGATTTGGTGTGGCCCCATCCAGCTGGCCCCTGTGTCCCTTTGACATGTCCACACTATGCTTTGAATGCTTAGTGACTTTTTGCCACAACAAGGTGTTCCAGGTTCATCTTGTTCTTCCTCTCTCCCAGCCAGGACTCAGCCTTCCTCCAAATGGCATTTTGAAAACAAGATCTTGGCACTGGGTATGTTCATTGCTACCAGAGCATTGCTGCTCCCATACCTTCTTGGTGAACAGAGCTGAAAATACACACACACACACACACATCAAATATGCATATATGTATACACATATGCATGCAGGTGCATATACATGTATATATATAGACACACCTTTCTGTCTATATTCTCTCTCTCTCCACATAAACACAGATTCTCACCATGTGTTCTCACTGAGAGCTCCAACTCCAGCCCAACACTATGGGCTTCTTCAGTTTCCTCCTTTTTTTTTTTTTCTGAGACGGATTCTTACTCTGTCACCCAGGCTGGAGTGCAGTGGTGTGATCTCGACTTACTGTAACCTCTGCCTCCTGGGTTCAAGTGATTCTCCTGCCTCAGCCTCCTGAGTATCTGGGATTATAGGCACACGCCACCACGCATGGCTAATTTTTGTATTTTTTAGTAGAGATCAGGTTTCACCACGCTGGACAGGCTGGTCTTGAACTCCTGACGTCAAGTGATCCGCCCGCCTCGGCTTCCCAAAGTGCTTGGATTACAGGTGTGAGCCATTGCACCTGGCTTTTTTTTTGTTGTTGTTGTTTTGTTTTTTTTGAGACAGAGTCTCACTCTTGTTGCCTAGGCTGGAGTACAGTGTCACAATCTCGGCTCACTGCAACCTCTGCCTCCCGGGTTCAAGCAATTCTTCTTCCTCAGCCTCCTGTGTAGCTGGGACTACAGGTGCACACCACCATGTCTGGCTAATTTTTGTATTTTTTAGTAGAGACGGTGTTTCACCATGTTGGCCAGGCTGGTCTTGAACTCCTGACCTCAGGTGGTCCGCCTGCCTCCGCCTCCCAAAGTGCTGAGATTACTCGCGTGAGCCACCGCACCCAGCTGGTTTCCTCCTTTCTGCATCTGTGCCTCCCTGCCTCATCAAGGAGAAACCTGAATCCTCTTGTCCATGCTAAGCTATACCTCTGCTCTGCCCCGGTGCATACCCATCTTTGATTGCAGCAGGCTGCCGCCCAGGTCCAGCCTCACAAGGGCCACTGTGACTGTCATCCTCGAGCCTCATGATTTTGACTGGATGCACTGAGAAAGGTAGGCAGGCAGGAGGAAGAAAGGAAAGAAGGGAGAGATACAGAAAGGCAGCGAAGGGGAGAGGGAAAAGACAGGCAGGCATGGGATGGGTTTTTAAAGCTTTAGAAGATTTCTTGGATTTTCAGGAATGTTCAGTTTGTCTCTACCCCATGTCCCTGATGCTGCCACTGGAGGGGAACAGAATAGAGATCTAAGCCCAGTCTGGGCTGCAGGTCCCAGAGGTGAGAGGGATCTGAAGGCCCCAGATCCTGACCCCCCGTAGCCATGATGGCCTTGCTAATTCATTTCATGCACACAGTGGGAACTTTTACAAATTAAAACAAAATGAAAAAAAGCTCACTGGGGTGGCTCATGCCTGTAGTCCTAGCACTTCAGGAGGCCAAGGTGAGCAGATCGCTTGAGACCAGGGGTTTGAGACCAGCCTGGGCAACATGGCGAAACCCCATCTCTACAAAACATACAAAAATTAGCCGGGTGTGGTGGTGCATGCCTGTGGTCCCGGCTACCTGGGAGACTGAGGCAGGAGGATGGGTGGAGTCCGGGAAGTTGAGGCTGCAGTGAGTTGAGATTGCACCACTGCATTCCAGCCTGGGTGACAAGAGCAAGGCCCTGTCTCAAAAATAAATAAATAAATAAAATGTTTTAAGTCGGGATAGATTTGTTAAGCTCAATGATCTGGTGATATGGCACAGTGACCCTTTGACTAACTGACTTAGCCACGGTAGGTGTGGAAAGGGAAAGTGGTCTCTACTCACGGGCTCTGGGGTCCCTTCCTTTTGCACCCACGGTAGCTCTGCTCATTTGCATTAGTACTGTCTGGCTTTGGATTATATTTCTTTTGATAAAGGGTTTGAAAGAAAACTGAGCTGGGCGCGGTAGCTCACACCTGTAATCCCAGCACTTTGAGGGGCCGAGGCGGGCAGATCACCTGAGGTCAGGAGTTTGAGACCAGACCGGCTAACATGGTGAAACCCTGCCTCTACTAAAAATATGAAAAAATTAGCTGGGTGTGGTGGCACGTGCCTATAATCCCAGCTACTCAGGAAGCTGAGGCAGGAGAATCGCTTGAACCCAGGAGGTAGAGGTTGCAGTGAGCTAAGATCACGCCACTGCACTCGAGCCTGGGCCACAGAGTGAGACTCCATCACAAAAAAAAAGAAAAGAAAAGAAAGGAAACTGAGCCTGAGTTCCAGTCCTCCTGGGCCTCCTTGCTGGGTGACCCTGGGCAAGCCTTTCCTTCCCTGAGCTTCAGTTTCCTATCTGGGAAAGGACAGGTTGGATGCTGAGTTCTGTGCATCTCAGTGTCAGGTGTGTTGCACACATAGCTGGGGACCAGCCACCAGTGCCCAGGGAGGGCCACCAGTTCCCCAGGCAGGGGAGGGAGGAACCACTTTCCCCACCCTCTTCCAGAGAAACAGGTCACTGGCTGGGCTTGGGCCTGCAGCCAAGGGGAACTCAGAGACAATAAGCCCAAGTCACCCAGCTGGCAGGTTGTGCAATTTCCACCAGCGCCTGCAAACAAGATGTTGGCCCCTGAACTTTGGACTCTGGGCAGCCTTCTCCCCACCCCTCAGACCTAAACCACCCAGTTTAGGGGACAAGGCTGGGGGTGGGCAGGGTGCTCACTTAGTTCCAAGGACAGCCAGGTGGCTCTGGGCGCCTTGAAGAGAGAGGGTCCCACCAAGGAGGGTGTCAGAGCACCTGGCTGTGGGGAGTCAGTGGAGGAGGCTGGCCATTGGGGAACTGTCAGAGTGTGTGTGTGTGTATGTGTGTGTGTGTCTGTGTCTGCATGTGGACAGGCGGCACCTGTGAGCTGAGTTGCCTCTGCCTATGCATGGAGCCATGGTTACTCTCAGGGGAGTGACATCAGCAGATTGTCGGATGCTGGATGCTGCTTTGTGACTGCAGGGTGGTCCATGCACGAGTCTGTGAGGGTATGATGTGTGTCCTCGTGTGTGAGTCATCCTGGCTATTGATAGGCGTGTGTGTTATCTGTTTGCATGCATGTATGTAATGGGGCCCATGGCAGAGTGCAGATAGGTGAGACTGCACACACGTGTGATTCTGTGGGGGCACGTGCAGGTGTGTGGCTCTGATTGTGTGCCGATGAGTGTGCATGTGGGTGTAAATACACGCATGTGTGCACAATGGTGGGTGGGCATGTTTACCATCAAGGATACGTGTGTGTGTGTGCATGCCTGTGTGAGCCCCATTTGCTGGGCCTGTGGTCTCTGTGGTGGTACTATGGTTTGTAAACACGCATGACCTCTTTACTACACATGAGTGCAGGTAACATGGATGTCCACGCAAGTGCCAGTGTAGGACCCGTGTCCCTGGAGCTTTGGCCCAGCTTGTCACACGCTTCACCCCCTGTGCCCCTACCAACCTGTCAATTACTTTCATGCTTCCAGCAAGTCTCTATTCTGAACCTCAGTTTTCCCATCTGAACTGCATAGGAGGAGGTTGGACTGGATGAGCCCTCAGGCTCCTCCTACCTGTGCAGCGACTTGGATACCGCGTCACAAAGAACATGCAAACATGAGGAAAGTGAGAGCCCAGAACGCCTAGAATTTACCTCAGTCCCTGGCTGAGGGACAGGAAGCTTTGAAGTGACAGATGAAGCTAGGGACCCAGATCCTGGGATAGGGCAGGCCCAGCAAGGGCCTGAGGGACCCACTGTCTTCCGTCTGGTGAGCCACCACCATGGGCTGGAGGGAGGGGACTGACTGATGGGACCTCTGCCGGGGAACCTGGAAGGGCAGATGGGAGTGGGGAGGCCAAGGTGGGAGGACATCTGTGAGCAGCCTCCAAAAGGAATCCCAGAGACACTAGGTGGGAGGCAGTACCACCCCTCTACTCACAGAAAGGAGTCTGTCCCCACTCCTTTGTTCCTTAAGGAGTGGAACCCTGGGGCAGCTGTCTTGACACAGAACGAGCCTTCATTCCCCTTAGGGCTGGTTCCAATATTTGAGGCTCCAGCCTGATTTTCAACAGATGCTGAAGGGGAAGGAATGGATACCCTGCTGAATGCCTCCCCTGTACTAGGCACTTTGCTAGTGTGCCAGGAAGGGCTTCTTTGCCCCCTTCACTACTTTCTTCTCTCCCCTGGTTCTCGACAGCTCCACCCACCCTTTGTGCAATAAGTCTTCAGGAAGGTGAAGTAGAGAGACAGCAGAGTAGCGCAATGCTACTCCACCTATGTCACAAGAGACAGTCAGTGGTAGCATGAGAAAGCTTTGCTGTCTTGTAGTAAGTTTACTGCAAAGAGCTAGAAGGAGCTAGAGCCTCTTCCATTAGTCCCGCCTGTGACATGCCCTCAGGGGTCTGATGCTGCCCCTCTAGGATAAAAACTCTGTAAGTGGAGAAGAGAGAGACAATTCTTGGGCCAAAGATGCCCGCTGTAAAATTCAAGGCCAGTCAGAAAAACAGAAACCACTCTAGGTATTTCCAACAGAGGAAATTTAATATAGGGAATTGGTTACCTGGAAGAGGGAAGAGCTGAAAAGCCAAACAGCAAATGGTGAGGCAAGTGCTTGTTCCACAATGGCAAAAGGTGCTACCACTTAGGGGTGGAGAGACAAAAGGAAGAGGCAGTGATACTGCCCAGGAGTAACTTGAATCATCAGAGCCACCTGGAGACTTGGAACTGCAGATGACCGGGTGGTTCTAGAGCAGCCAAAGACACAGAAGAGAGCAGCCTGTGCTGGGGAAAGGCCACTCCCACTCCCTCCCTAAGCAGAGGGAGGGAGAAATACCCAGATTGTCCCCTCCTCCCATGCTCCAATCTCCTGCCAGTGCTTCCCCTTGGCCCAACCTAACAGGAAGCCAGTTGGCAAAGGAAACTGGGAAAAGCAGTTTGCAGGAGAGGGGCAAGCACACAGGACTGCCCAGCACACTTGCCCACGATGCACACTGCAGGGGCTGAGAACGTGTTGGGAAAAGCAAAGAAATACTTGGCAGTGTCCCCAGGACTCTGGGGATATGATTAACTGTTGATCAGAGTTTCATGGACTGAACACACATACGCTTCCAGGGAACACACTGAACACACATACGCTTCCAGTGTGACCTGCTCCGTGAGTGTGGCTTCAAATTGTCTCCACCACAGGCCAACAAATTTAGGACAAGCCTCCCTCCCCATGCTGCAGTGGAGGAAACGGAAGCTTTAGGAAGAGAAGTGCCTTCTACAAGCTCCACGGCTGGAAAATGGGCAAAGTCAGGACTCAAACCCTGGTGACTCCAGGGCCCCAGGCCTGGGAAAAAGGTGAGAAGTCAGGTGTCAGGTGTTACCCTTGGGAGCAGATGCTGGTTATTGATCTGAGTTGGAGGCCCTGGGTAAAATTCTGAGAAGGAGAGCGGCGTTGAGCTTGAGTGAGGCTGACTGGGGAGAGAGCTGTTGATGGTGAAATGGGAAGGGGGCATAGTGTAATGGTTAAGGGTGGGACTTAGGAGCCCAACAGTTTGGTTCAGATCAGCTCTGCCATTTACTAGTTGCGTGACTTGATCTCTCCATGCCTCAGTTTTCTCTTCTGTTAAATAGGAGTCATAGTGATCACAGTACTTGCTTCATAGAACTGTCATGAGAACTAGCGTGTTGCATAAGCGATTGCTAGGATCATTGTTGAGTCCTTACGCTGAGCCAGTACTCTACCAAACACTCTACCTACATTATCCTATTTCATTCTTAAAAACAAAATATCGGCCGGGCACTGTGGCTCACGCCTGTAATCCCAGCACTTTGGGAGGCTGAGGCAGGTGGATAACGAGGTCAGGAGATGGAGACCGTCCTGGCTAACACAGTGAAACCCCGTCTCTACTAAAAATACAAAAAATTAGCTGGGCGTGCTTGCAGGCGCCTGTAGTCCCAGTTACTTGGGAGGCTGAGGCAGGAAAATGGCCTGAACCCGGGAAGCGGAGCTTGCAGTGAGCCGAGATCGCGCCACTGCACTCCAGCCTGGAAGACAGAGTGAGATTCTGTCTCAAAAAAAAATATCGGCCAGGCGCGGTGGCTCACACCTGTAATCTCAGCACTTTGGGAGGCCAAAGTGGGCGGATCACCTGAGGTCAGAAGTTGGAGACCAGCCTGGCCAACATGGCAAAACCTCGTCTCTACTAAAAATACAAAAATTAGCCGGGTGTGGTAGCACATGCCTGTAATCCCAGCTACTAGGGAGGCTGAGGCAGGAGAATTGTTTGAACCCAGGGGGCGGAGGTTGCAGCAAATCGAGATCACGCCACTGCACTCCAGCCTGGGCGACAGAGGGAGATTCCATCTAAAAAATAAAAAAATAAATTAAAAAAGGTCCTTTTTATTCCCATTTTTACATGTGAAAATACTGAAGCTCTGAGACATAAAGCAACTAGGTTGAGGACGAGCATCAGTAGGAAGTAGAATATGACTGCAAAGTCCTATCCCTGGGCGGCTGCACCATTCCCTGTTTTGTTTCTCAGTCCTTCCATTGGAAGACAAGCCCCTGTATTAAATCCCTTCTGTTCAAAACCTAGGGCATTTCAGGCTTCCTGATGAGATGCTGCCTGATACAGTAGTTACTGTTTATTGTGGGTTTCCTGGGAACGGGCACTCTTCTATGCACTTTACATACAGTAATGTATCTAATCATGCCCTGCTCATCCTATGCATTAAGTGCTATGATCTCACTCGACAGCAGAGGAAGGAGAGGGGAAGCCACTTGCCTGGGATCCTGCAGCTCATGAGGGGCAGAGCTGGGGTTTGAGGACATGAGGTTCAAATCCAGAATCCACATCCTGACCCATGGCAGGAGACCACCCTACTTGCTGTTGGCCATCACTACTGCCAGGCAGCAGCCAGCCCACCAGAGCCTGGCCCTGGTGGCAACCAGTTAGCCTCTGTGACCTCCCCATCTGACTCCATCTTCCCCCTCTGCTGTGGACCTTGTCTAATTTCTACCCACTTCAGAGACTAGGACAAAGATGGCATCTCCAAGGCATTCTCTTCTCCAAGCTGAAGACCCCTGTGTCTGGGAGGGGCTGGGAGGTGAGGTGGGGCCTTCCTGGAGGATACTAAAAGGGCTCCTAACCCTGGTGTCTCTTCCCTCCCAGCCTGTCCCTCTTATGCCACTCATGGCATCAATCCGTCCAGAGGGACACTCCGATGACTCACCCACCACAGCACTTTCACTTCCTTCTTCTCCAGAGGAGGCGTCTGACCTGCTGCAGCTGCACTGAAGGGCCTCTTCTCAGGGGCTTCCAAGGCTATAGGGGGCGGCCAGGGGCCCTGCTGCAGCCTTGAGGTCCAGGCCTGGGGCCTAGAGTGCTGCCTCTGTAGGGAGCAGAGTGACCGGAGGGGCTTTGGGCCTCCTTGCTAGAGACTGGCTTCAGCTGAACCCTGTCCAAATTGTCAGTCACCCTCAACACCCATGCAGGGTTGGCACACAGGGAGATGGACCTTGAGTTTTTTTTTGAGACAGAGTCTCACTCTGTCGCCTAGGCTGCAGTGCAGTGCAGTGGTGCGATCACAGTTCACTGCAGTCTCCACTAACGGGGCTCAAGCAATTCTCCCACCTCAGCCTCTCGAGTAGCTGGGATGACAGGTGCATGCCACAACGCCCAGTTAATTTTTGTAGAGATGGGGTTTTACCATGTTGCCCAGGCTGGTCTTGAACTCCTGGGCCCAAGCGATCCGCCCACCTCAGCCTCCAAAAGTATTGGGATTACAAGGGTGAGCCACCATACCCAGCTGACCTGGAGTTTTAAAGCTGGAGTTGTATCTCTCATACTTCCTGATGGCATTGAAGGGACCCATATTCATTCATTCACTCATTCATTTACTCCTTTATTCCCTCATGTAACAAATCTGTCCTGGGCTTCTATATACCAAGCAGTCCCTAGGGTACCAAGAAACCAGGGCTCGCCCTCTGCCCATGAGGAGCTCATGGCCCATCTATGGGTGGGGGTTGTGGGAGTGGCGGGTAGCAGGGCGGATCCATAAATAGAAAACCCCGGTACAGTGAAAGCGGGCCTTGGAGAGGGCTGGGGAAGCCCAGGCAGTGCAGTGGTTGTGGTTAAGTCACAGGGCACCGCAGGGTGGACCTAGGATTTGTGAAGTCTGAAGCTTTTCAATTTTGGAAGCCCCATCTGTAGAAACAGAATACAAAATTAGATTCAAAAGCATTTATTTAGAAGGAGAAAACAAAACCCAAGACAGTATCAAGGGCTTGGAGATACTTCTGAGATCCCTTCACACAGTTTACCAGAAATGTTTACATGGAAATGCTTCCTCATTACAAGCTGGTTTCCCTCTCTCCCTAGAGTACTCTATAGCTCCCAGCTACTCCAGGGGTGCTGGGAAGGGCAAGGCTGAAAATGAAGCTTTGCTAGGGTCACAATGCAGCCTCCTTGGAGCAGGCAAGTTGCACAACACTGATCCCATCCCAGTCTCAGAGGATAGTGCATGGTTCAATGACCTAGCTGTGGAGTCAGACCTGGGTCACACTCCCCACTCAGCCATTTTCTGACTATGCCACCTTGGGGAAGTTGCTCATCTCTGAGCCTTGGTTCACTCGTCTGTAACATGAAGCTATTGATAGAACCACACATTGTGTTTTTGTAAACATTCAATGAGATCATCCATGCAGAGCAGTTCATAAACATGAAGCACTGGATGAACGCCACTGTCACAGTGAATGCCACTATTCATGATGAAGGTCTGTGGCTGTCTTGTCCTGCCTCTCTCTCTCTCTCTCTCTCTCTCTGTGTGTGTGTGTGTGTGTGTGTGTGTGTGTGTGTGTGTGTGTGGTGGGTGGTCAGGGAAGGCTTCCCAGAAGAGGTGACATTGGTGTTGGGCCCTAAAGGAAAATGTAGAGAAGGGCATTCCAGGCAAAGAGAATGGTGCATGAAGTGACTGGTGTCTTGAGGAAGGGAAGAAGCCCAGCCAGCCAGGAGCAACCTAGAGGGATTCTCTAGCCTCTGGGTGGCCATATTAGGGCTGGGCCTGAGCTTCCCAGGCCCTCCTGGTTGCAGCCCCAAGGCTGCAGCCTGGCAGAGGCCAACTGTTGTGTCTGGGTGGGTGGGGGGTGCCCAGCTTGGTCTCTGCTATGCTGGCAGAAGTTTCAGCCTCTCACCTCTCTGCCTCCCCTGTTTCCGGTCCTCCACTTCCTTCCCCTCCACAGACCACAGAGGCGTTTCAGAGGAAGCTGCTACTTATTTTAGCAGTAATCCCCGGACACCCCCACCCACAGCTGCCCCTGGCCCCCTTACAAGGCACCAAGTCACCCTCTGAGCCCCAGCCCACGGCACTCATAAGTGAGGAACAGGCCCTGTCCCCGGGCCAGCCCTGTGCACCCCTTCCCCACAGCACAACAGGGAGCCTTGAAGCTGGGAGATGTGGCTCCAAGTCCGGCTGTGACACTAACTTACTGTATGATCTCCTGAAGTCCCTTCGCCCTGCCAGGCCATGTCCCCATCTGTGACATGAGGCCCAACGGTGGACAGGCCCCGACCTCTGGGCAGAGTATGGGAGTGGGGTAAACATGGGTGCTCTGCCACCCTGCCCCTGGTCTTTCATCCCAGCTAGAAGGATCTGAGAGAGAGTCTTGGGGTAGACTGGAGTGGGGAGCCTGAAGACAAAAGAATCAAATTCAAACTTACCTATGAAAGTGAATTTGTATTCCAAAAGGGCCTGTGCAAGTGAGGAGCCCCAAAGCCGATGCTTTCACAGTGCTATGGCAAACCTGCCTTTAGACAGTGTCCTCAAGTCCTCAGGAGACGGTGGAGAAACTGAGGCTCAGGGAGCGGATGCCACAGGCCCAACACGGTCACATAGCTGGTGAATGGCAGACCAGGATTTGAACCCACGTTTGTTAAAAATCAATGTCCGACTGGGCGCAGTGGCTCATTTCTGGAATCCCAGCACTTTGGGAGGCTGAGGCGGGCGAATCATGAGGTCAGGAGTTCGAGACCAGCCTGGCAAACATGGTGAAACCCCGTCTTTATAAAAATACAAAAATTAGCCGGCGTGGTGGCGGGCCCCTGTAATCCCAGCTACTCGGGAGACTGAGGCAGGAGAATTGCTTGAACCTGGGAGGCAAAGGTTGCAGTGAGGCGAGATCACACCACGGCACTCTGTCTTAAGGAAAAAAAAAAAAAGGTCCATGTTTCATCCACTACCTGCGACAGCCTCTGGAGAGCTACCCCTGGGTGGGGAGAACGTCAGGGAGGCAGAAAGAGAGACAGAGAGAGACAGAGAGACAGAGAGGGCCTGCAGCAGCATGGTGCAGGAGAGGACACAGGCACTGTGGTCACAGACCTGGACTCAGGTCCTGGCTGTGCCCTGTCTAGCTGTGTGACCCTTCCCGGGCCTCAGTGTCCTCATCTGTAAAACAGGGTGACACAGGGCAGTTGTAGGTGCCCCATAGAAGCTGGCACTGCTTTCACTTGGGTCTTCCAAGTCCATTCAGAACCATATTGATGAGAATAACATGTGTCCGATGCTTCCCTAGTGCCAGGCATTGCTCCAAGTATAGCAGTCTAAACACATTCACTCATCAGACCCTCCCCAGGACAGGATGAAGTGGATGCCATTATCCCCCCATGATTCATGTGAGGAAACTGAGGCACCGCATCCACGCTGGGCTCTGTGTTGGGCACTGGGGGTACAGCTGTGACACAGACATGCTCTTTGTTCTTGAGGAGCCCATGGCTGGTGGGGGACAGATGTGTCAGCATCTATGTTGTTGTAACACCAGATGGCTGCCAGTAAGGGTCATGTTTGGGGTTCAAGGGAAGCCCCCAGGGACTGGGGGGGAGGAAGGGATTCCTTTTGACTGGAAAGCTTGGTGCACAAGATGGTATTTGAGTGGAGCCCAAACAGGCACCTAAAGGAATTTTTCAGGTTGGTTGTAGCTGAAGGCCTTTCCAGGCAGGAGGAGCAGCACATGCAGAATCAAGGAGGTTGGGGGATGTTTGTGGGGAAGGGAAAGGAGCCCTGAGTTTGTGAATCTGGCATGTGGCCAGGAGTAGTACACGTGTCCGCCGTCCACAGGCAGATGTGTCCACCCTCAGGTCTGTCTGTGGGTCTGGATGTTCAACATGGCCCTGTAGCAGCTTCTGTTGATGTACCGCCCATATCTCCTTGGAGCACCTTTGAGTTCCCTGCCCTGCAGTGGACTGTCCCCACTACATGTTCTCACCCCTAGTCCCCTGCCTGGGCTTTCTCCGGCACCACAGGAGCTCCCAGCGATCAAGTTCACACAGGGTAACCCAGAAATGTCAGGGCTGCAAAAGTCCCCAGGGGAGGCCCTCCCCCAGGGAGGGGCGGCGGGCAGTGAAGACCCTTGGCGGGGCCCCAGTGGAACTGAGCCCCGTGCGCCCACCCAGGGACCTGCTCATTTGCACAGGAAGACCCTTATTGGCTTTTCTCTCTTCCCTGCCCCACTGTCCCCACTCTCTCTCTCCTACTTCCTGTGATCACCGTCTCCCAAATAAGCCACCGACACCCATCTTCTACCCCATCTCCCCTCCCATTCACATGTTCACATTTTTGTCCAGATGGCAAATGCCCATGGTGCCCACTCTGCCGGACCCTGTGCTGGGGCCAGGGGAGCAGAGATGAACTGGGCACAGCCTTGCCCTCGAGCATCCACAAACTCGCGTAGCTGAGTGCTCACCCTCCCTCCCCCATGGCTCTCCTCCCACCAGATGAGCTGGGGCAGGAGGAGGGTAGGTGCCGAGCTAGACCACTGCCTCACAGGGTCGTGGCTTCCCCACCCTTGGCTCTCTCTAGCATGTAACTTCCCAAGGAAGCGTGTGCTATGTCCAACAGGAAGGAGGAAGTGCTTTGTGCTCACTACACATCCGGCACTTTCTGTGTATTAAACCCATTCATCTTCCCAGCAGCCCTATGAGGTAACTACTCTTCATATGAACCCCATTTTATAGATGGGTAAACTGAGGCACCAGATGCTTTGCTTGAGATTATATAGCTCATAAGAGGCAGAGCTGAGATTTGAACCCAGTCAGTCTGACCTCAGAGCCTCTGGCTTAACCTCAGTGCTTCACTGTTTGGGGAAGGAGGGAAGACAGAAGGGGAGGTGGTTCAATGCAGAAGAAAAGATTCAAAGGCACACAAAGGTCTGCAAGAAGGCAGATCAGCCTAGAAAAACGTGCCCGAACACATACGTCCACACTAGTGTGCTCTGACACGCACAAATCCATGCACGCTATGTGTACGGTGCACACAGGTCTACACAAAAATGCGTGTTTAGCTAATGCACATATATCCACGTAAATGTGCTCATACGTGCATGCCCCATACAGTCAGGGATCTTTTCATACTCCTGGGCATCCACACGTGTGGCTCATATCCGGGCATCCACAAGCTGCCTCCCTACACTTGCACATGCAAACATGCATGCATATTTGCAGACATGCTCACACACGCACATTACATTGGTTTGCAATCACGCATGTCTCACTGCCCAAGGGTACACACACAGACACTCACATACGTATGTCTTCCCAGGCACCGGCACACACAAATACAAATTAGTTACCGGTTCGAATTCTTTGCTTAAAGAAAACTTGTGACTGTATTAAAAATGTAGGACACATCAGCCAAATAATTAAAGCGAGGAGGGAGGCAGTGGGACTTCTCGCCACTCTCTCGGGGCTGCCTGTGCTGGGCTGTGCTCAACGTGCCTTCCTCCTATATATTTGAGGAAGAGGCACTTTATTACAGTAATTTATCACCCCCATAAATGTGGCTCCTCGGTAACGTGGAATAATTTGGGAAGAAATATGTTTTAAAAATTAAAAATGCAGTCGGCATGCGCCCCGTCAGGTCTGCAGGGAGACATCGCTGCAACTCCAGTAACTGCCCGTGTAGCTCTAATACCTACAACTTCCATTATTTAAAGTGTGATTATATTTTTCCTGCTTGGAGCTTTGTCAGCTATAAATAAAAGATAAGGGTGAATTGTTGCGGGGCCTGGTAAGCACTTCCATTATTGGTACTTAAGGGGGCTTGGAGATGGAGGGAATGGGCCAGGATGGGGAAGGAAGGGGAGGCCACTAGGGGGTACTGACTGGGCCTGGCTGAGCTGTTGGCATGGGTGGGCCCCGTCTCTTTTCTGGTTGTGTTTTCCTTTGGATCCAGGGTGGCGTGACCCTGTGAACTTCAGCTCTATTGCCCACGAACATGGTGGACCATAAAGAAAACCACCCACGGTGGTTGCTGCCTGCAACACATCCCGATGTGCCTGCCCTGATCCTGGGTCTCCCCAGGGACCCCACAATCACAGGACACACACATGGGAGAAGGTCTCACAAGATAAAGAGATTTATCCACTTGAAGATGTTTGTTTCTCCACAACCAGGAGCTGTTTCCAAGTGAGTCCAGGGATGCGAATGGATGAGGAAGGGGACTCACAGGACAGCGTTTGTGGGGGTGGAGAGGTTTCTTTATTAGCCAAAAGTAGGTCATTCCTGAGTCAGAGGACTATTCCAATTAAACCGAGAGTAACGGAGAAGGAAAGGACATTCCTTTGAGAACAATCAGATCGGAAAACAAACTGGTTTGTTATGTCAAAGGGAGAAAAGGAGCAACAAAAAAAATGATTAGAAAAGAAAGCCGGAAATAATCTCTCTGCCCCAACTCTCAGTCGTGCACATTTCTGTAAATCTGAAAGCTTGGATTGGCATCCTGGCCATGCCAGTTCACAGATATGTGACCATGGGCAAGTTTTTTTTCACCTCCTTGAGCCTCAGTTTGCTCCTCAGTAATTTGGGGATAACAGCGTCTGTTTTCAGGGTTATTGTGGGTTTGTTTGTTTGTTTGTTTGAGTCAGAGTCTTGCTCTGTCACCCAGGCTGGAGTGCAGTGGCATGATCTTGGCTCACTGCAGCCTCCGTCACCTGGGTTCAAGCGATTCTCCTGCCTCAGCCTCCGGTGTAGCTGGGACTACAAGTGTGCACCACCATGCCTGGGTAATTTTTTTGTATTTTCAGTAGAGACAGGGTTTCATTATGTTGGCCAGGCCGGTCTCGAACTCCTGACCTCATGTGATCCACCCGCCTTGGCCTCCCAAAGTGCCAAGATTACAGGCATGAGCCACTGTGCCTGGCTGTATTGTGGGCTGTTATTAAATAAGGTAACAGACATAGAGTGTTGGGCCTGGCTCCTGCCGCACTCCAGGTGCTTGATGCGGTTGATGAAATAAAGTCAGACAGAGGCCCGGCAATCACACTCCTTGTGTTTACCCAAATGACTTGAAAACTTATGTGCACACAAAAACCTGCACACAAATATTTATAGCAGCTTCATTTATAATTGGCAAGATGTGGGAAGAACCAAGATGTCCTTCAATAGGTGAGTGGATAAACAAACTGTGGCCCATCCAGACAATGGAATATTATCCCGTAATGAAAAGAAACAGACTGTAGGAATGAGGAGTTATGGTTTAATGGTTATGGATTTCGGTTTGGGTGATGGATGGTGGCACGACAATTTGAATGTACTTCATGCCACTTCAAAATGGTTAAAATGAAGCCGGGTGTGGTGGCTCACGCCTGTAATCCCAGCACTTTGGGAGGCCGAGGCAAGTGGATCACTTGAGGTCAGGAGTTTGAGAGCAGCCTGGCTAACATGGTGAAACCCCGTCTCTATTAAAAATACAAAAATTAGCTGGGCATGGAGGTGGGCACCTGTAATCCCAGCTACTTGGCAGGAGAATCATTTGAACCTGGTAGGCAGATTTTGCAGTGAGTCGAGATCACGCCATTGCACTCCAGCCTGGGCCACAGAGTTAGACTCTGTCTCAGTGAAAAATTTTGTGTTTTGTATATTTTACCACAATAAAAAAAAGAAGTGAACTATTAAGTCATGAAAGAGCATGGAGGAGCTTTAAATGCATATTACTGGGTGAAAGAAGCCAGTCTGATTAGGCAACATACTGTATGATTCCAACTATATGGCACTCTGGAAAAGGCAAAACTATTAAAACAGTAAGAAAAAAAAAAAGACCGGTGATTGCCAGAAGCTGGGGGTGGAGGAAGGGAGGGGAGATGACGAGGTGGAATACAGGGGATTTTGGGGCAGTGAATCTATTTTGCATGATGCTGTTACGGTGGGTGCTTGTCATTATATGTTAGTCATTGTACATTAAATGTGTATACATGAGTCATCATGCATTATACATTTGTGTTGTGCATTCTATAGTGAATCCCAGTGTGAACTATGGACTTTAGTCAATAATAATGTGTTAATACTGCTCACCAATTGTAACAGATGTACTACAGTAATTCAAGATGTTCATCATAGGTGAAATAATGGGGTTGGAGGTGGTGGGGTATATGGGAATTTTCTGTGCTTTCTGCTTCTTTTGCTGTAAACAAAAAAACTGCTCTAAAAAAAGTAAAGTGTTTAAAAATAAAAATTAAAGTGAAAAAATGAAAAATGAAAGCTCTAAAACTTAATAAAAAATAAATAAAATGGGCCAGGCACAATGGCTCACATCTGGAATCCCAGCACTTTGGGAGGCCAAGGCAGGTAGATCACCTGAGGTCAGGAGTTGGAGACCAGCCTGGCCAACATGGTGAAACCCCATCTCTACTAAAAATACAAAAATTAGCTGGGTGTAGTGGCGGGCACCTGTAATCCCAACTACTCGGGAGGCTGAGGCAGAATTGCTTGAACCTGGGAGGTGGAGGTTGCAGTGAGCTGGGATCACGCCACTGCACTCCAGCCTGGGCGACAGAGTGGGACTCCATCTCAGAAAATAAAACTAAAAATAAAATGGACATCAACACTGGCCTTCCCTTAGCATTTAAAACCATGAGCAGGGCTGGACATCTTAGTAATTATTCGCCCAGTGGTTTCCAAACACTTTGAAATTTTTTTCCAAGCGTAAATTTATGGTGTCCCCCTCCACCCCCAAGACACTTCAAAAGCTCATTATGACCAGAGCAAACTAGATGAAACCAGCAAACAGGTTTGGAAGTGACTCCAGCTCCATCCTGTCATGGGGTCTCTCTAACTGGGCCCGTTCTCAACTCTCTGGGTTGGCCTGATTTTAGCCACAATGGATCACTGAAATCCATCTGAGCTCAGTGAACTGGTCAACTGATCTAGCTGATTCAAACCATTTGAAGCTGGCAGTGGCTGGTTGTATTTGTCCTAATTCAGCTCAAACCAGTTTGAACTGGCTGAAATTAGGCCCAAACTAAGAATCAAGAAGTGCATCCCCAAAACAAAGCCTCAAAAGGAAGAGAGGCTGAGATTCCATTCGGAGTGATAGAACAGGGGGTCTCGGTGGCTGGGGCCGGAATAGCCTAGTTTGAACAGATGAGTGTTCTGCTGCTGAGGCTGGAGAGAAGTGGAGGGCCTGGAGCCCCTTACCTCCTGCCTTTACTCCTACAGGGCCTCCCGGGAGCCCTAGGACTCCGTTCAGAGGAATAGAGGCAATAGGGTTGGGCTAACGAAAGGAAGATGGGAGGTGAGGAGTCAGAGGCAGCTCTACAAAGATAATGGGAGGAGGAAGGGAGGGGAAGGGCCCAAGGTGGGAGGAGTTTTCAAGATGCAACACCCCGGAGCAGGTCTGTGGGCTAACAGGAGAGGGAGGTACTGATCAGGAACACACAATAGGATTCAAGCCCTTAAAAAGGCAAGAAGCGGGGTGGATGCAGCGGCTCACTCCTGTAATCCCAGCACTTCAGGAAGCTGAGGTGGGCGGATCAGGTGGTCAGGAGTTCAAGACTGGTAGAGACAGTCTCTACCAAAAATACAAAAATTGTCCGGACGTGGTGGCATGCGCTCATAGTCCCAGTTACTTGGGAGGCTGAGGTAGGAGAATCGCTTGAACCCAGGAGGCAGAGGTTGCAGCAAGCCGAGATCGCACCACTGCATGACACAGGCATGGGCTACAGAGTGACTGTGTCTCAAACAAACAAACAAACAAACAACCAAAAAACAAAAGGCGAGAAGGAATGGGATTCAGAGCACAAGTCATGGCATTGGCCTCTGGGAAGAGAAGGGACATGGCCTCTGGATGCCAGGAAGGAGGACACAAAGACCAAGGCAGATGAGATAGGTTCACAGGGATGGGGCAAGACCAAGAAGGCAGTCACGCCTCTTGAGCATCTGTTCCATCAGTGGTGTTTGGGGCATGGTTACCTATTGAGAGAGATGGGGTGGCAAGGGGGTGATACATTTGAAAAGTGAAAAGATAGGAAATGCTTACTCCAGAAAAGAGAAACACAGGAGGCTCTGTGGGGCAGCTTGAGGTGCCCATTTGAGGTCTGTGGTCATGAATTTAGAGTGAAACCCGGAAGCTTAGCTGTGTGATTTTCTCCAGTGATACTCACTTGGGTGGGGTGGCACAGGCACATAGAGTCAGGAAGTCACCGGGTGTAGTAAATTGAATGGTGCTCTCAAAGATATATGTCCATAGCCAAACCCCCCAGAACCTGTGAATGTAGCTTTATTTAGAAAAAGGGTCTTTGGGCCGGGCGCGGTGGCTCACACCTGTAATCCCAGCACTTTGGGGGGCCAAGGCAGGTGGATCACTTGAGGTCAGGAGTTCAAGACCAGCCTGGCCAACATGGCAAAACCCCGTCTCTACTAAAAATACACACAAAAAAATTAGCCAGGCGTGGTGGTGTGCACCTGTAATCCCAATTACTTGGGAGGTTGAGGCAGGAGAATCACTTGAACCTGGGAGGTGGAATTGCAGTGAGCCAGGATGGCACCACCACTCTCCAGCCTGGGTGACAGAGCAAGACTCTGTCTCAAAAAAAAAAAAAAAAAAAAAAAAAAAAAAAAAAAAAAAGAGGGAGTGGGGGTCTTTGGAGATGTAATTGAATTATGGAGATGTAATTAAAGATCTCAGGATGAGATCATCCTGGATTATTCCTGTAGACCCTGAATCCAATGACAGTGTCCTTATAAAGATAGAAGACAGCCGGGCGAGGTGGCTCAAGTCTGTAATCCTAGCACTTTGGGAGGCCAAGACAGGTGGGTCCACTTGAGGTCCGGTGTTCAAGACCAGCCTGGCCAACTTGACGAAACCCCGACTCTACTAAAAAATACAAAAAATTAGCTGGGTGTGGTGGTGGGTGCTTGTAATCCCAGAGACTCAGGAGGCCGAGGCACGAGAATTGCTTGAACCCAGGAGGCAGAGGTTGCAGTAAGCCGAGATGGCACCACTGCACTGTAGCCTGAGCAACAGAGAGAGACTCCCTCTAAACAAAACAAAACAAAACAAAACAAAACAAAAATAACAACCACAAAAAAAAAAAAAAAGAAGAAGACAAGACACAGAGGAGGAAAAGATCATGTAAAGATGGAGGAGAGACTGTAGTTATGCAGCCCCAGGCCGAGGTACACCTGGAGCCAGAAGTTGGAAGAGATGAGGAAGGTTCTCCTCTAGAGACTTCACAGGGAGTTCGGCCCTGCTGCCGCCTTGATTTCAGACTTCTGGCCTCCAGAACAGTGAGAGAATAGACTCTTTTGCTTGAAGCCATGCAGTTTCTGGTAATTTGTTACATCTGCCGTAGGAAACTCACACACCACCGGGAAGATGATGGGGTGAAATTGAATCACTCAAGTAGAGGAAGGAAGCCAGGAGGGGACCAATGGATAGTGAGAAGAGGTGGGGCCAATGGACTGGCAGTGCCAATGAGAGTCCAAGAATTATGGCAGTGGTGGTACTTGAGCAAGGGTCTGCAAGGGTACGAGGCAAGTGTGGTGTGGCGTGTTTCTAGAGTGGGGAACTGAAGCCAAGCCAGGGAGGTGACTTAGCCAAGCTCCCACAGTTATTTGTGGCAGAGGAAGAGACTTCCAGTTCTCAGCCCCTACCTAAGTCATTCACTCATTTATTCAATAAATTCTCATTGAGTGCTAGGTGCTCTGAATACCAAGACCAAAAGATCCAGTTCCAGTCCTCGAGGAGCTCATTGTGTACATACGAGATAATCTCATCATTCATTTAATCTGTTAAATATACATTGTAAATATACATTTTACGTAGCAAAGATACATTAAATGTCTATTAAATATACATTGGTGAACAAAATCACCAAATACACATCGGTGAAGAGTCAACAGCCCTCATGGAGCTTGAAGAATAGTGATTTACTTGCTGTGGGATGTTGGGCAAGTATCTCCATGTCTTAGTACCTCCGTGTCTCATTTTCCTCACCTGTAAAATGGGGATCCTAATAGTAGTCAACTAACAGGGTTATTGTGAACATGAAAGGAGTTAACAGCATGTAAAATGCTTAAACATAGTAAGCTTTCAGTAACTTCGCTCTTTTTATTCTTTAGTAATTGCAATGCATGTATATCTTGTACTCTCAATAGACCTGTTGCTGCAGTCAGTGCCCCACCCAGATCCCCTGGGTACTTGATTTTCTGGTACATGCAGATGGTGTCCTGCACAAGCACCTGTGATTGATTTTCTGCCTGAGTGCTTCCTCTTCACCATATTGCAGAGTTGGTTGGCTGAGGCCAGAAGCATGGGGTTGTTAACACCCTCAGGAATAGCATTCAGCCAAGGGTGCACAGGAGTGGAAGGACAAATATACCAGCTTCCTTTCCCCTTGAGTAGGACAGCTCTACGGCATGTTCTACTCTGACAGTTCCCTGGTGACATGGAGCCTTAGTTGCCCATAGTGGGAGCCTGCTTATTAACACATATACTTTATTGCTTTTCCTTCTTTGTGTTGCTTCCCCATTTCCCTATTGTTATTTCCTGAGATCAGCTCTAAAATAAACTAGCTGCTTACACTTAATCCTTGTCTCAGGATCTGCTTCTAGGGGAACATAACCTGAGACAGTTGGTATTGCAAATGGTCCTGGGAAGTAGATTCTCAAGATAGGCTTCTTGGACGCAATCACTCACAGTCAAGATGGCAATAAAAACCACATTTCTGGTGGTAAGTGAAGTGGTGGTAACACCTGGTGTGCTGTAGCCTCAGTCTTGCTAAGGCTGTCACCTGATTGGATTGGGAAGATTTGTAGGTGGAAGGAAACACAGTGGTATATCTCTATCACTTGAGAGATAGGGGGCAATGGTAACTGTAAGGATTGCAGAGTTGTTTGGCTGAAGTTAACTGCAATTAAAGCCCTAAACAAAGAAAATGGCAGGCTCAGATTAGCCAACTATCAATTTATGTCCCAGTGTGAAAGCCGGAAGGCTCACAGGGTGGTGCTGAAATAGACCATTAACTCCTGAAGCCAGAAGGCAGACTGTGCTGAAAATCAGACCTAAGATCTGATTGCAAGAGTAGTGGCAGTACACAGGGGGCTAAATTCACTACTCCAGAAAGACTTCTATGCTGAAATCAGAGAGCCAGTAGGGAAAGACTGGGACCCTGAAACCTAGGAGGGGAACATTTGTGTGGGTATTCCTGTTAAACCGGACCCTCAGATTCCCCTGAAAGTCTGGACTGGTAGAAGTGATCTCCCATCCTCTTTGCTAGAGAAGAGCAGCCTCCCCTTGGTGGGAGACAATGCAAAGCCTCACCTGAGGTGGATGATTTGCTTCTCAGGATAATGTGGATTCTTCTACAACATCCTCAATTTTTCCCAACTGCTATTCAGACCAATAACTAGGGTCAGGTCTTGGCATGGTCTAAAGTTTCTTTAGTAGGAGATGAATTGTGCAGGAGCTGGCTCATGTGTACTTGTAGGAACTAGGAGAACACCCCTGGGGGTGATCATCCTATATTAGAGGACAGAGGATATAAGGTGATATGGATATGAGGATATATGGGACACTCTCCTGTGACTCCGGAGCCCTGGTCCCATTTTATAATGCTGCTGGGATGGCTACTTGGGGCTTGGACATGAAATGAGCCTACAGCAAATGAGATGGAGATGACGAAACTGCCATGGCAAAGTTTCAAGGAAGGAATAAAAAAGCTGGCCAGGCACAGTGGCATATGCCTGCAATCCCAGCGCCTTGGGAGGCTGAAGTGAGAGGGTTGCTTGAATCCAGTTCAAGACAAGCCTGGGCAACACAGTGAGACCTCATCTCTTCAAAAAATAGAAAAGTTAGCCAGGTGTGGTGGTACACACCTGTAGTCCCAGCTACTTAGGAGGCTGAGGTGGGAAGATTGCTTGAGGCCAGGAGGTTGAGGCTGCAGCGAACCGTGACTGTGCCTCTATACTCCAGACTGGATAACAGAGTGAGACTCTGTAAAAAAAAAAAAAAAAAAAGGGCTCATAGAGGTGGATATGTCAGAATGGACTGCCCCAGCCTGGCTAAGATAGTAAATCAGAAGTGATACCGCATATTAGAAGCAATTGCAGAGATGAGAGCCACCCTGAAAGACTTAAAGGATGCAGGAGTGGTGGTTCCTATCATACCCCCATTTAGGTCACCAAGAGGGCCTTTGTAAAAACCTGGTGGTAGCTGGGCATGGTGGCTCACACCTGTAATCTCAGCACTTTGGGAGGCTGAGGCGGGTGGATCACCTGAGGTCAGGAGTTCAAGACCAGCCTGACCAACACGGAGAAACCCTATTTCTACTAAAAATACAAAATTAGCTGGGTGTGGTGGCGCATGGCTGTAATCCCAGCTACTCGGGAGGCTGAGGCAGGAAAATCACTTGAACCCAGGAGGCGGGGGTTGCAGTGAGCCAAGATCACGCCACTGCCCTCCAGCCTGGGCAACCAGAGCAAAACTCTACCCCAAAAACAAAACAAAAAAAAAACAACAACAAAAAACCTGGTGGATCATGGCAGAAGATGGTAAATCACTGCAAATATAACTAAGTGGTAGGACCAATCACAGCTGCTGTGCCAGATGTGGCATCTTAATTGAACAGATTGTCATCACCTCTGGCTCTTAGTATGTGGCTATTGATCTGGAGAGTGTATTCTTTTCTATCCACATCGGAAAGGTGGATGAAAGCAGTGCGTATTCACATCGGGCAGACATCAGTCCACAGTCACTGTCTAAACCCCAGATTATGTTAACTAACGTTCCTGCTCTCTGTCACGGTACAATCTGAAGGCGTCTTGATGATCTGAACTGAGGTGGCTTTGTATTGTGACAACTTGACTGAACTGAAACTATGTTTCCCAGATTCCCTTCCCTGCATAGCTCTGGGGTAGCGTCGGTCATAAGACATTTTGAGGCCAGGCACGGTGGCTCACGCCTGTAATCCCGGCACTTTGGGAGGCCAAGGTGGGCGGATCATCTGAAGTCAGGTGTTCGAGACCAGCCTGGCCAACATGGCAAAACCCCATCTCTACTAAAAATACAAAAATTAGCCAGGCATGGTGGCGGGCACCTGTAATCCTAGCTACTCATGAGGCTAAGGCAGGAGAATCCTTTGAACCCAGGAGGCAGAGGTTGCTGTAAGCTGAGATTGTGCCACTGCACTCCAGCCTGGGTGACAGAGCAAGACTCTGTTTCAAAAAAAAAAAAAAGACGTTTTGAGTGAGATTTGGAAGACAGAAGTGAAGCAGCAGACATGTGCATTTTGCGCTTGGAAACTGGGTACCAGGTGCTATTGTCCAGTACCTGCCAGCTTACCTTGCAGTCAAGGGGCAGCAGCCAGGTCTCTAGCTTCTCTGCCTCCTGACGTTCCTCTGTTCAGGTGCCTGTGTGCCAGGCACAAGCCCAGGTGCTGGGGGTATCGTGCTGGGGAAGACAGGCAGAATTCCTGCCTTGTTGGGTTTATGTTCTCTTGGAGATCAGTGAAGGAGATAGAAAATTCTTCAAAGCCAAGTTCTTCAGAGCAGAGCCCGCACTCTTCCCCTTGTCCCCACCATCCAGCGCAGCATGAGCCCACCACTGTGTGTAGAGTCAGCCGCTCTGTGCCCATGTACCTACTTTCCATCTCAATTCCCATCTTCTTCTCTGTCTCTTCTGGATTGGTATCTGCAACCCTGAACCACTAGCGGCAGTTACTTCTGAGAAGTGAAATTGGGAAGGAGGGCTTTCCTGTTTATTTGATGTACAACTGAGGCAAAGAGAGATGACGGAATGTGTCCAAGGTCACACAGCTGATAAGTGGCAAGCTGAGATCTTGCCCGCCCCCACCCCCCTCCCCACCTTTGCACATCATGTTTCCAACCATGACAAGGACGGTCCCCTTCCTCCCTCACCCCTTCCAGCACTGCCCAGCCTCCGCACATCAAACCCAGACTTTCCCCTGAAAGCCTCTTGTGTCTTCACTGCCTTCCTCCTGACTGTGGTTGAAGGACAGAATTAGAACTCATCTTGCAGTGGGAGGTGGTAGCAATGGCAGCAGAAGAGAAGTGACTTCTCTTCAACTTCTAGGAATTGACTTTGACAATCAGATAGGGCCAGGGGCTGAGTCACTGGCGGGGGCCCACTCTGGCTGGGTTTCAATTAGTTCAGAAGGTGGCAGTGTGTGAGGGTGGAGAGGGGGTGGAAGAAGGCAGAGGCCTCCAGTTTCACTTCCTCTCTGGGAGGCCCAGGCCCTTCAATGCTGTTCCTGCCTCCTCGCTGTGGGAGGGCTCACCCAGCAGCTATCAATCCAGGCCAACTGGAGTGGGCTAAATTTAGGTCCTAAGATGTCACAGATGTAAGGACCCAACATCTCATTTTGCAGATAAGGAAACCGAGATTGAAAGAGGTGAAGAGACTCGCCCAAGGCCGCATAGCAATTTATATTCACTGCTGGAGCTCAAACCCGGGCCTCTCCAAAATCACCCACCACAAGGCTCCAGAATGGACGCTGTTTCCAAAACGCCCAGCCTGGGGACCGTCCCAAGGCCAGCCCTTAGCTGGGTTGAGGGTCACTGCTCTGTGACTGAGACCAAAAATGGGTTTTGGAGGCAGGCATCTGGTTTCTTTTTCTCTTTTTCTTTCTTTCTTTTTTTTTTTTTTTTGAGATGGAGTCTCTCTCTGTCGCCCAGGCTGGAGTGTAGTGGCACCATCTCGGCTCACTGCAAGCTCCACCTCCCGGGTTCACGCCTCAGCCTCCCAAGTAGCTGGGACTACAGGCGCTCACCACCTCGCCTGGCTAACTTTTTGTATTTTTAGTAGAGATGGGGTTTCACCGTGTTAGCCAGGATGGTCTCAATCTCCCGACCTCGTGATTTGCCTGTCTCGGCCTCCCAAAGTGCTGGGATTACAGGTGTGAGCCACCACGCCCGACCCAGTCATCTGGTTTTTAATCCTGGCTCTACTGCTATGGTAGGGCCTCAGACAATGATTCATTTCTTCTTAAATGAGCATAAAGGATATTTTCCAAGCAAATCTATGCCCAATTGCCTAGAATGTAGTAGATACTCAGTAAATGTGAGCTCTGTTTCTGTTTTCCAATAATTTCCTAACTGACTTTGACAGAATCCTGGTTTTTTTGACAATGTCTCTTGGGGTCCTCAGTAGGAGGGAGTGAAGAGGAAGGCAGAGAAAATCGGGCTTCTACTCCCCCACTCCCCTCTCCACCAATATCCCCTAGGAACCAGAGTATCTCTGACTTTATCCATTTTATATGTTGTTTTTCAAAATGGTCCCATAAGGCCGGGCACAGTGGCTCATGCCTGTAATCCCAGTACTTTGGGAGGCTGAAGCAGGTGGATCACCTGAGGTCAGGAGTTCAAGACCAACATGGCCAACATGTTGAAACCCCATCTCTACTAATAATACAAAAATTACCCAGGCATGGTGGTGTGCGCCTGTAATCCCAGCTACTCGGGAGACTGAGGCAGGAGGCTTGAACCTGGGAGCTGGAGGTTGCAGTGAGCTGAGATCACACTACTGCACTCCAGCCTGGGTGACAGAGAGAGACTCCATCTCAAAAAAAAAAAAGGGGGAGGGGCCTGTGAATGACAACCTGGCAGTCCCCCACTGCCTTAGAGACGTAAATGCAGGGAGGACCTACTGGAATTGCAGGAAACAAGACCCGCAGTGCTGTTTTTTCACTGATGCATTTGACATATGCTTCACACATCTAACATTTGATCACTGGTTTCCTGGGGCAGCAGGAGTCAGTGGCCAGCCCTGTGGGTTCCCACTCAATTGCCCTGCTCCACTTCTGTCCTAACTGACGGAAATCTGATTTGGGTTGACCACTGGGTGCCCCTGTGATTCACGGGCTCCCTTTCTGGCCACAAGGAGGGAGGAAATGGGCACCAAGGTGAACCTATTGGGATGATTTCATCCCTCTTGCGAGTGATCGATCAGGGCCTGGGTGACAGGACTGTGCTCCTTAGACAGGAGGTGATGCCTACTGGGGAGAGGGAAACATTCCCTTTGATCAAAAACGAAAAGTTAGGACTGAATTTAAGGAAGAGAAGGGCTGGGCATGGTGGCTCATGCCTGTAATCCCAGTACTTTGGGAGGCTGAGGCAGGTGGATCACTTGAGGTCAGGTGTTCGAGACGAGCCTGGCCAACATGGTGAAACCCCGTCTCTAATAAAAACTACAAAAATTAGCTGGGCAGTAGTGGCTCGCACCTGTAATCCCAGCTACAGGGGAGGCTGAGGCAGGAGAATTGCTTGAGCCTGGGAAGCAGAGCTTGCAGTGAGCTGAGATCGTGCCACTGCACTCCAGCACTCCAGTCTAAAAATAAAACAAACAAAAAGATACATGGCAAGAGGAAAAGCTGCCCCCTTCGCTTGCCTCTCTGTATGACTGAAGACATAACTCCCGGCCCTGCAGCAGCCATCCATGACCTTTGGGGACAGGCTTGAGGACAAAGTGAACCTGCCATGAACACATGAACTAGTCAGCTGTTGCTACAGTAATGCTGCAAACAGCCCTCCCCAAACTCAGTGACCGATGCAGTCTTGTCTCAGGCTCCCAGGTCATAGGCGAGCAAGTTGATGTGGTTTAGCTAACCTAGAATGGGCTGGCCCCCGCTGCGTCAGGCTGCAGGCTGGGCTCTGGTCTTCCCCCAATGTATTTATTCTGGGAACCAGGCTGAAGGGATGCTACAGCTGGGATGAATTCTTCTCATGGCAGGTCTCAGGAGTGCGAGGGTCTCAGTCAACTCACATGAGCACATGTAAGGCCTTGGATGACCAGTCATGGTTGCTCATGCCTTTAATCCCAGCACTTTGGGAGGCCTAGGCAAGTGTATTGCTTAAGCCCAAGAGTCTGGGACCAGCCTGGGCAACATAGTGAGACCCCCGTCTCTACAAAAAATTTAAAAATTTGCTGGGCATGGTGGTGGGCACCTGTATTCCCGGCTACTTGGGAGGCTGAGGCAGGAGGATCACTTGAGCCTAGGAGTTTGAGGCTACAGTGAACTATCATTGTCCCACTGCACACCAGCCAGGGCAACAGACAAAGTCCCTTTCTCAAAAAAGCAAAAAAAAAAAAAAAAAAAAAAATAAGAACTTGACTCACATTCCAATTGCTGATGAGAGTCACATGACCAAGCCCAGCACACCATTCAGGATGTATACTCACCCAGGGCAGGTGGAGGCCTGTGAATATTTATGGACCAGTACCCCAACCTATCATACAGCCATGGACATAACTGACCCAGGAACAGCCCTGCTGGCCTTCAGTTTTCCCCTCTGTGAGACAGGAGTGTCTACCAGTCGAGTTAGAGTTTTTCTATTTGTAGCCGAGATGGAAGCTGGGTCGTGGGGTGGCGTGGGTGGCTGCAGGGCCTCCTAGGGGAAATGTACCATGAGAAAATATGGATTCTGGAGTAAGCAATAGGGCCTGAACAAAAAGGAGAGTTCCAGACTTGAGGTGGTGGCTGGGACTTGAACCCCCAACCCCATCCTCCTGCCGAGGTGTGTGCTGCACCCAAGGGAAAAGCTAGCTCTAGGTTTTTGAACTTAGAAAGCAGCTTCATCAACTTCTGCATTGGGGCTTAAGCACCTCCAGGTAGAGACCTCCTGAGTGAGCATAAAGCTTTCCATCACAGACCCAGGAGCTGCCCAGGTCTTAGGGGCTGGAGCTGTCAGGAAGGGTCTGGCGCTGGGTCAAGGCACAGGAAAGGTCTGTGTGGAACAGAGGCTGGTGCAGCAAAGGCTCAGGGGCCAGGGCCTGGGTGCGGTGGCTCATGCCTGTAATCCCAGTACTTTGGGAGGCCAAGGCAGGTGGGTCACCAGGAGTTCAAGACCAGCCTGGCCAACGTGGTGAAACCCCAGCTCTACTAAAAATACAAAAATTAGCTGGGTGTGGTGGTGGGCAAGTGTAATCCCAGTTACTTGGAGGCTGACCTGGGAGAAACGCTTGAACCTGGGAGGCAGTGGTTGCAGTGAGCCGAGATCATGCCACTGCACTCCAGCCTGGGCAACAGAGCAAGACTCTGTCTCAAAAAGAAAACAAAAAGCAAAAAACATGCTCAGAGGCCAGCCCAGCTGAGGTGCCCTGGTCAGATTCATAGGTCCATGGAAGACTCCATTTGGGAACAACCCGAACTCTCTTGTTGGGGCAGAAGGTGGGAGATTTGTGGTAGACTAGGGTTCTGGGACAAGGAGGTGGGCCTTGGGGCTGGGTGCTGGATGTGCCTCTCCACGTGATCTTCTTGCACCCAAAGGACATGGTGAGGCCTGTTCAGCCTTATGTCATGGCCTGAGGTTCCCAAGTTCAACACCCACATCTTCCATAGATACAGAAGTCCCCAGTGGTCAGCCTCCAGTAAGAAGAGAGTAGGCAGCGGGGAACGCTGGCTTAATAAATAAGAAAATAACAAAAATAAGAAGAAACGGGCCAGGTGTGGTGTCTCATTCCTGTAATCCCAGCAATTTGGGAGGCTGAGGTGGGCAGGTGACTTGAGGTCGGGAGTTTGAGACCAGCCTTGCCAACATGGTGAAACCCCGTCTACCAAAAACACAAAAATTAGCCAGGTGTGGTGGTGCATGCCTGTAGTCCCAGCTACTTGAGAGACTGAGGCAGGAGAATCACTTGAACCTGGGAGGTGGAGGTTGTAGTGAGCCGAGATCACGCCACTGCACTCCAGCCTGGGCGACACAGCGAGACACCGTCTCAAATTAAAAAAAAAAAAAAAAAAGAAATGACATCAACAGTTGCATCTGTCCATAGTGTGTAGCGCAGCATTCAAGGAGATCCCTGAGGCATCTGGGGTGTCTGATATCCTATAGGCACCAAGGCTTCCTTAATGCTGCCCCCACCTGATTTTAGAGTGGGGACCGCAGAACAATGTCTGGTCCACAAAGAGCTCAGCCAGGCTGACCACGGAGGCTCAGTGGACTGAGAAGATGGTCAGAATGTGTGGTTTCAACAGCTAAACCCAGACACCCTGGTGTGCGTTTCTCAAATTAGCGATATGTGGGTGGTGGTAGAGGGCAGTAGATCTCACTGGTTGTAACCACAAGCATCCTGGGGCCGTACTGGCAGTGGGGGAAGATGGTGGAGGTAGGGGAAGAAGGGAGGAGTGGGGCAGGTAGGCGAGGACCACGGGAACTGTAGGACTTTAGGGAATTCAGATGTGTCATAGTCACTGTGGCCAGCAAGGCCTTGGGTCCTCTGCCCACACAACTTCATGTCGTCTTGCAACCACCCCACTGGGAGGGGCTGTTACTATCATTTCACAAATGAGGAAGCAGAGACTCAGAGACGGGAAGTACCATGTGCAGATATGAAGGGAATGGAGCTCAGCTAGCAGTCTACGTGACCGTGGCCAAGGGGCCAAGAGGACCAAAGCTCAATTCAGGTCAAAACCCGTCTCTGAGAGGGTCCAACTGGGCAGGCAGGTGTGGTGGGCATCTGTGCTCCTGGCCAGCCCTCCAGCTCCCTTCTCTTGTATCCTCCTCTCCCCTAGGTGGAACCTCAGGGGCCATATTTGTACCTCTCTGCTCCCCTAGCGACAGCTGATTAGACCAGAGGTGCAGGCTGATTTGAGCTGAGCCAATCAGCTTCTTTCTCCTGTGACTTTGGCTTTGAGAATCAGGGATACTGGGTTGCCTTCCTGGCTGGTTATTTGAAAGGAGGCATAAAGCTGGGCTGGACTGGCTGTGTTTGGCCACTTGCTCATAGAATGGCAGAGAGAAGACTCAATCATGGAAAGGTTGAAATGCAGTTATGGGAGGGAGAGACAGAGACAGGCAGAGACAAGATAGAAAGAGGCAGTCATGCAGGAGAGATACTGAGACAAGGCGGGGAGCGGGAGAGGGAGAGAGAAAGGAAGGAAAATAAGAAGGAAGACTGAGATAAAGAGAGAGATAGTCACAAGGAGCCTAAGACACTACCTCCAGATCTCCTGACAACTTTCTGGGTCCCTACTCCTGCCTTCCTGAAGCTGCTCCATGTCCAGCCTTGGATCTCTGGGACCCTCCTGTTTTAATAAATTCCCTTCTCTTCTTGGGCTGTTTTGAAGAAGCTTTCTTTCTTTTATTTTTTTTACTTGCAATTAAACCCCCTGACCTCATTGCATTCAATCTGTACATTGTTTTGGGAGTACAGATATTAATAATATTAATTCTTCTCATCCATGAGCATGAAATAGCTTTCCACTAATTTAGATCTTCAATTTCTTTATCAATGTTTTCTAGTTTTCAGTATACAAATATTACACCTCCTTGGTTAAATTTATTCCTCAGTATTTTTTTAATGCCTTTGTAGATAAGATTGCTTTCTTGATTTGTTTTTCACCTAGGCTGTTGTTTTTGTGTAGATCTGCTATTGACTTTTGTGTGTTGATTTTGCATCCTATGACTTCGCTGAATTTATTTATTAGATATAACAGGGTTTTTTTGTGTGGAATCTTTGGGATTTTCTGTATATAGAATCATGTCATCTGCAAATAGAGATCATTTTACTTCTTCCTTTCTGATTTAGATGACTTTTATTTCTTTTTCTTGTCTGATTGCTCTTGCTCATACTTCCAGTACCATGTTGAATAGAAGTGGAGAGAGTGGGCATCCTTGCCTTGTTCTAGATTTCAGTAGGAAAGTTTTTGATTGTTCCCCATTAATTATGGTGTTAGCTGTGGTTTTTTCATAAATGGCCTCTATTATGTCAAGAAACTTTCTTTCTATGCCAAAACTGTTAAGAGTTTTTATCCAGAAAGGATGCTGAACTTGGTCAAGTGCTTTTTCTGTTTCAACTGAGATGATTGTGTGGTTTTTATCTTTCATTCTGTTAATGTAACGTACCACATTGATTGATTTGTGCACATTAAACCAGTCTTGCCTGTCAGAAATAGACCCTACTTGGTTATGACATGTAGTCTTTTTTGTGTGTTCTTGATTTTGGCTTGCTTATATTTTATTAGGATTTTTACATCGATGTTCATTATAGAGATTGGCCTGTAGCTTCATTTTTTTGTGTGGTATCTTTGTCTGGCTTAGGTATTAAGGTGATTCTGGCCTCATAACAAGTGTTTGGAAATATTTCCTCTAGCTCTATTTTTTTGGTAGAGTTTAAGAAGAACTGATAATAATTCTTCGAATGGCTGGCCGAATTCAGCTATGAAGCCATCTGGTCCTAGGCTTTTCTTGGTTGGAAGATTTTAAATTACTTTTTTGATACAGTTTGGATGTTGTCCCCACCCAAATCTCATATTGAAATGTAATCCCCAGTGTTGGAGGTGTGGCCCGGTGGGAGGTGATGGGATCATGAGGGCGGATTTCTCATGAATGGCTTAGTACCATCCCCTTGGTGCTGCCCTCACCATAGTGAGTGAGCTCTCCTGAGATCTTATCATTTTAAACTCTGTGGCACCTCCCCCTCTCTCTCTTGCTCCCGCTCCCACCATGTGAGAGGCCTGGCTCCCCCTTCACCTTCCGCATA
Organism: Homo sapiens; assembly: GCF_000001405.40. Taxonomy (NCBI): domain Eukaryota; kingdom Metazoa; phylum Chordata; class Mammalia; order Primates; family Hominidae; genus Homo; species Homo sapiens. Next base: position 124,195,351 of record NC_000009.12, on the reverse strand, counting down.
ATTGTAAGTTTCCTGAGGCCTCCCCAGAAGCAGATGCCAATATTATGCTTCCTGTATGGCCTGCAGAACCATGAGCCAACGGAACCTCTTTTCTTACAAATTACCCAGTCTCAGATATTTCTTCACAGCAATGTGAAAATGGCTTAATACACTTGTTCAATCCCTTTGTTATTAGTGTGTTCAAGCATTCTATTTCCTCCAATTCAATCTTGGTAGGTTACATTTTTCTAGGAATTTATCCGTTTCCTCTAGGTTATCCAAAATGTCCATACCCAAAGCAATGTACAGGTTTAATGCAATGTCTATCATAATTCCAATGGCATTTTCACAGAAATAGAAGAAACAATTTTAAAATTCAGGTGGAACCACAAAAAAACCCTGAATAGACAAAGAAATACTGAGAAAGAAACATAAAGAGACATCGTACTTCCTGATTTTTTTTTTTTTTTTTGAGATGGAGTTTTGCTCTTGTTTGTTGCCCAGGCTGGAGTGCAGTAGCACAATCTTGGCTCACTGCAACCTCTGCCTCCCAGGTTCAAGAGATTCTCCTGCTTCAGCCTCCTGAGTAGCTGGGACTACGGGTGCGCACCACCACGACCAGCTAATTTTTTGTATTTTTAGTAGACAAGGTTTCACCATGTTGGCCAGGCTGGTCTCTAACTCCTGACCTCAGGTGATCCACCCACCTCGGCCTTCCAAAGTGCTGGGATTACAGGTGTGGGCCACTGTACCTGGCCTGATTTAAATTATATTACAAAGTTACAATGATTAAAACAGTATGTTACTAACATAAAAACAGAAACATAGACTGATGGAACAAAACAGAGAGCCCAGAAATAAATCCAAACATATATGGTCAATCAATTATTGATAAGAGCACCAAGAGGACACAATGGGGAACAGATAGTCTCTTCAGTAAATGGAAATCCAAATGGAAATTTGGATTTCCATATGCAAAAGAATGAAATTGGACCCTTATCTTATACCATATGCAAACATCAATCCAAAATGGATCAAAGACCTAAATGTAAGACCTAAAACCATAAAGCTCCCAGACTCTCCTAGACTCTTCCTGAAACCATAAAGTCTCCTAGACACAGGGGAAAAGTTCCTCAGCACTGGCCTTGGCAATAATTTTTTGGACATCACACAAAAATCTCAGGCTATAAGAACAAAAATAAGTAAATAAGACTACATTAAAAAAAACTTCTGCACAACAAAGGAAGCAATCAACAAAATGAAAAGACAACTAATGGATGGGGAAAAAATCATTGTCAACCACATATGTGATAAGGGATTGACATCCAAAACTTATAAAGAACTCTTACCACTCAATAGGAGAAAAACAAATAATCCAATTTTAAAATTGGGCAAATGACCTGAACAGATATTTCTCCAAAGAAGATATAAAAATGGCCAATAGGTATATGAAAAGGTGCTCAAAATCATTATCATAAGGAAACGCAAATTAAAATTACCATGAGATAGCACCTATAGTAAGGATAGCTGTTATCGCAAAGACAAGTGACAGCAAATGTTAGAGTGTGGAAAAAAGGGAACCCCAGTACAATGTTTGTGGAAATATAGATTAGCACAGCCACTATGGAGAACAGTGTGGAGGTTCCTAAAGAAATAAAAAATAGAACTACCACGGGACCAAGCAATCCCTCTTCTGGGTATATACCCAAAGGAGATTGTATTAGTCCATTTTTGCATTGCAATAAAGAAATACCTGAGACTGGGTAATTTATAAGGAAAAGAGGTGTCATTGGATCACAATTCTGTAGTCTGTACAGGAAGCATGGTGGCATCTGCTCCTGGGGAGGCTTAGGGAACTTTTACTCATGGTGGAGGGACAAAGCCAGAGCTGGCATCTTACATGGCAGGAGCAGGAGGAAGAGAGAAAGAGAGAGAGGGAGGAGGTGCCGCACACTTTTAAACAACCAGATCTCGTGAGAACTCACTCACTATACAGTACGAAGGGTGCTAAGCCATTCATGAGAACTCTGCCCCCGTGATCCAATCACCTCCCACCAGGCCCTTCCTCCAACACTGGGGATTACAGTTCGACATGAGATTTAGGTGGGGACACAGATCCAAACCATATCAGAGATGAAGTCACCTTGGAAAGACGTCTGCACTCCCATGTTCATTGCCACATTATTCACAATAGCCAAGATATGGAGACAATCTCAATGCCCATTGATAGATGAATGGATAAAGAAAATGTGATATATATGTACAATGGAATATAATTCAGCTTTAAAAAAGGAGATTCTGTCATTTGCCACAACACGAAGGGACCTGCAGGACGTTACGCAGGTGAAATAAGCCAGACACAGGAGGAAAAATGTTGCATGATCTCGCTGATATGTGGAACATTTTTTCAAAAGATTCTCTGTCTCAATACACAGAGAATGAAGCAGTGGTTACAGGGGTTGGGTGGGAGGAGGAAATGGGGAGATGTGGGTCAAAAGGATACAAAATAGCAGGTATAAAGGATGAAGGAGCCAAGGGATCTAACATGGGCTGTGAAGACTAAAGTTCATAAAATTGTATTGTATTGGGGATTTCCGTTAAACAAGCAGATTTTAGCTGTTCTCATCATGCATTTTAAAGAAGTAACTGTGAGATAATAGGTATGTTCATCTGCCTCGCTGCAGTAACCACTGGACTCTCTCTCTCTATAGCATCATGTTGTCAGCATCACATATACACAGTAAAAATTATGTTTTAAAAAACCAACAGGCTGGCCATGGTGGCTCACACCTGTAATCCCAGCCCTTTGGGAGGCCGAGGTGGGTAGATCACCTAAGATCAGGAGTTCGAGACCAGCCTGACCAATATGGTGAAACGCTGTCTGTACTAAAAAATACAAAAATTAGCCAGGTGTGGCGGCCGGTGCCTGTAATCCCAGCTACTTGGGAAGCTGAGGCAAGAGAATCACTTGAACCTGGGAGGTGGAGTTTGCAGTGAGCCGAGATCGCGCCGCTGCTCTCCAGCCTGGGCCATAGAGCAAGACTCCTTCTCAAAAAGAAAAAAAAAGAAAAGAAAGGAAGAAAAACCAACAGTCTTGACCTGAGACATAGCAGGGGTGGCCCCTGTGATCAGATTTGCCAGGGCTGCCCCACCAGAAACCTCTGAGTCACCCTGGCTCTGTCTCCCACTTCCCTACTTCCCTGATGCCTCCTTCCGCAAGTCCACAGGTTTTGTCCTCACCCATCTCTCCATCTGCCTTCTTTGCAGCCCCCGAGGCCACTGCCCCAGTCCAGGCCTCTCCCCTTTCTCTTGGCCCCTGCTCAGCCTCCTCTCTGTCATCCTGTCCCTAGCCTCAGCTCCTGCAGAGGGGCCTGGCTCACTCATGTGTTCAGCAAATGTAAAAGCAACCCTGCCCAATGCCAGGCCTGCTCCTTGCTGGAACAACATAGTCCATTGGGAAGCCAATGGGTCAGGTCATTAAGAGCAAAACCCACATTCTCACTGTAGCCCACAGGCTCTTCCCAGCCTGGCCAGTCTCTCCAGACTCACTTTCCTGGGAATCCCTGCTTTCCAGCCCCACTGGCTGCCTCCTGCTGCCTCAGGCCCTTGACACATGCTGTGCCCTCTGCCTGAACAGCTCTTCCTGAGACTGGCTCCTTCTCATGCTTCAGGTCCAATTCAGAGAGCCAGCTCTGATTCCTCCTCCAATATCTATATCTATACCTAGATCTAGATAGATTTTTTTTTTTTTGAGATGGAGTCTCGGTCTGTCACCCAGGCTGGAGTGCAATGGCATGATCTGGGCTCACTAAAACCTCTGCCTCCAGGGTTCAAGTGATTCTCCTGCCTCAGCTTCCTGAGTAGCTGGGATTACAGGCACACATCACCAAACCCAGCTAATTTTTTATATTTCTGGTAGAGACGGGGGTTTCACCATGTTGGCCAGGCTGGTCTTGAACTGACCTCAGGTGAACTGCCTGCCTCAGCCTCCAAAAGTGCTGGGATTACAGGCGTGAGCCACTACACCTGGCCTCCTCCTCCAATCTAATGCAAGTCTCCTTTCTTCTACATCTTGGCACCATGTTTATTTCCCTTAGAGAACTTACCATATTTTGTAGTCATTTTTGTTTCTTGACCTGATTTTTGTCTGCCACTAACATCAGACTATAATCTCCATGAGTACAGGGGCCTTGACCGTTTTGTTCACCACCGAATCTCCTGTACCTAGGACAGGGTCTGTGGTGATAAAGAATGAATGAGTGAATGAACAAACGACTGAGGCTCCGCAGCCAGGAGTGGGATGGGGCCGAGAGCAATCCTTGAAGCCTCCAGCTTTAGCTCTGCCCCTGGACACACATAAGCCTCCTCTTGTGATGAAACTGCCCACAAGGGCGACAGCCTTCGTCAGCGTTCTGTGGGTCCCTTTAGTGTCTCTTTGTGCAGCTTATTCATTCCAGAACACAGGAGCTTTGTGCGAGCAAAAGGCCGTCAGTGTGTGTGCAACTGCCCCCTTTCCCAGGACGAGGCTGAGAACTGTTGACCACTTGGAAAGAAGGGTAGAATTTTAAAATTACTGGGGTTGGCTCTTAAAGCTCCTTTTACTTACGTATGTGTGTATGTGGATACACTTTGCTTTTGTTATGAGGGTGGGATGATAATTAAAAATAACCAAGCAATAATAATTACTTATTTTTATTTATTTATTTTTGAGACAGAGTGTCGCTCTTTTTTTTTTTTTGCCCAGGTTGGAGTACATTGGCGTGATCTCAGTTCACTGCAACCTCTGCCTCCCTGGTTCAAGTGATTCTCCTGCCTCAGCCTCCTGAATAGCTGGGATTACAGGCATGTGCCACCACACCCAGCTAATTTTATATTTTTAGTAGAGATGGGGTTTCACCATGTTGGCCAGGCTGGTCTCAAACTCCTGACCGCAGGTGATCCACCTGCCTCGGCCTCCCAAAGTGCTGGGATTACAGGTATGAGCCACCTCGCCCGGCCTCAGCAATTACTTATTAAGTATTAATTCATTTTAATTAAACATTAATTATGAATACAACTATAGTTGACCCTTGAACAAGATGGATTTTGAGCTGTGTGGGTCCCCTTATATGTGGATTCTTTTCTTTTCTCTTTTTTCTTTCTTTTTTTTTTTTTTTTCTGAGACGGAGTCTCGCTCTGTCACCCAGGCTGGAGTGCAGTGGTGCAATCTCGGCTCACTGCCAGCTCCGCCTCCCGGGTTCATGCCATTCTCCTGCCTCAGCCTCCCGAGTAGCTGGGACTACAGGCGCCCATCACCACCCCCGGCTAATTTTTTGTATTTTTAGTAGAGACGGAGTTTCACCGTACTAGCCAGGATGGTCTCGATCTCCTGGCCTCGTGATTTGCCTGCCTTGGCCTCCCAAAGTGTTGGGATTACAGGCGTGAGCCACCGCGCCTGGCCTTTTTTTTTTTTTCTGAGACAGAGTCTCACTCTGTCACCCAGGCTGGAGTGCAGTGGTACGAGATCTGAGCTCACTGCAACCTCTGCCTCCCAGGCTCAAGTGATCCTCCCACTTCAGCCTCCCTAGTAGCTGGGACTACAGGTGTGTGCCTTCATGCCTGGCTAATTTTTTTGGTAATTTTTTGTAGAGATGGGGTTTCACCATGTTGCCCAGGCTGATCTCAACCTCCTGGGCTCAAGCAATCCCCTTACCTTGGCCTCCAAAAGTGCTGGGATTACAGGCATGAGCCACTGTGCCCTGCCAATACGTGAATTTTTTCAAATAAAAGTTACACCAAGTTTACCTGCTCTCCCGCCTCCCCTTCTGCCTCCCCCACCTTTTCCATTTCTTTCACCCAAGTCAGCAAGACCAACCCCTCCTCCTCCTCCCCAGCCTACTCAGCGTGAAGATGATAAGGATGAAGGCCTTTATGATGATCCACTTCGACTTAATGAATAGTACATATATATTCTCTGCTTTATGGTTTCCCTAATAACATTTTCTTTTCTCAAGCTTACTTTATTGTAAGAATTCGGTCTATAACACATAACGTAAAAGATATGCGCTAATCAACTGTTATCAGTAAGGCTTCTGGTCAACAGTAGGCTATCAGTAGTTAAGTTTGAGGACAGTCAAAAGGTATACATGGATTTTCAAGTACGCAGGGGATTAGTGTCCCTAATTCCTGCATTGTTCAGGGGCCAACTGTGTTAAAATAATGGGTAAAATAATCAATAAGCCAATAGTCATACTGTAAAAAGAGAAAGCAAGGTCTCTGGGTGCCAGGCAGTCTGGCTGGGTGGCCCAGAAGGACAGAGAGAGGTAGTATGCACATGTGGCTAGAGCATGGAGAGGCCATGAGAAAAAGGGGTCCCCTGGGTGACATCCACGCCAGAGGTGCAGCTTGACAGTAAGAGCTGGGGAGGTGCCCTAAGAGGTGGGCAGAGGCCAGAAGTGCCCATCTCAAAGATGGTTTCTGAGCTACTTGGGCTGAGGAGGTCTATGGTTGTTCCTTCTGCTAGTCTTCCAGCAGACCAGGCTCTGGGGAAGGCTCATGGTCTTGTCCTTTACCTGCTGTCTGGTGGGTGGGATTGGGGGCCAATGTAACTGGATTCTATCTGAAGGAGAGAAGCCTGGTCATGCTGGGTCCAGAGTAGAGCTGTCAAAGCCCAAGGGGTCTGAACGAGTGTTGGATCTGCAGTCAGAGTGGAACCCAGTGGAGTGCTGGTAGACCAGCTCTTCAACAGCAAGGCCCTAATTTGTAGCATTTGCCAGTTTCCATGGTGTAAATATTCACACGATGGCTGATTTCAAGCCACCAATGGGTTGTCACTGAAAGCAGAGTTGGGAAAACAGCCAGCTCCAGGACAGCCAGCCAGGGCAATGGGGATGGGGAGCTGATCACAATGGCTACACTGGCAGGTGGCCTGGAGGGCCCTGAGGAATGAGGCCACAGCCCCAAAGGATCACTAGAGGGATTGGCACAGGTAGGCAGCTCTCACCAAAGGGACCAGAAGAGACAGCAGGTTTCTTGGCTGCTCATGGGACTGTGTTTATGTCCCTAGCACTATCCCCATGGGTGTGTGGCGGGTGACTACTGTAGTGAGGCCCCAGCCTGGGGAATCAGAGAATGGCCCATTGCTCAGGACTCTGGCCTATGAGCAGAGCTAGAGGAGCAGCAAAGGCTGGGGGGATTCACTCGTTCACTCACTCATTCAACAAAGACTGAATAAGCTCTGACTGTGTCCTAGGAGCAGTGCTAGGGATCAGGGATACAAGTGAACAGGAAAGACATGGCCCTTCCTTTCAGGGAAATTAGAGTCTAGCAGAGGCTATGGGCATGAAAGCAAGTAATCAAAATGCATTGCGTGTGAAAAGTTCTGGGCCCCGCTCGGTGGCTCACACCTGTAATCCCAGCACTTTGAGAGGCTGAGGTGGGCGGATCACTTGAGGTGAGGAGTTCGAGACCAGCCTGGCCAACATGGTGAAACCTTGTCTCTACTAAAAATACAAAAAATTAGCGGAGCGTGGTGGTGTGCACCTGTAATCCTAGCTACTTGGGAGGCTGAGGCAGGAGAATCACTTGAACCTGGGAGGCAGAGGTTGCAGTGAGCCGAGATCATGCCACTGCACTCCAGCAACAGAGTGAAACCCTGTCTCAAAAATAAGAAAATGAAAATAGAAAAGTTCTGGATGGGGATCCCCAGGGCCCAGGGGAGCTCAGGGTACAACCAGCCCCAAGTGGGAAGGGGTGTCAGGGAAGGCTGTCCAGGGGAAGGGCTGTGGGAAGCTTGGAAGTCAGCCCTGTGGGGGATGGAGGGTGTGGATGGGGGAAGGGAGAGTGTTCCAAGCAGGGGAACAGCCTGTGCAAAGACCCCAGAGGAAAGCACCGCAGGACCCTCACTCTAGTTGGAGGGTGGGGTGCAAGAGGAGGGAGTGGTAGGGAGGAACGAGTCAGCAGGGGCTGCAGGGAGGAAGCCATTGGAGGTGTTCACTGAGGAATGCTGAGATCCGACCCCCTCCTCCCCCATTCCCACCAAGGGCCATTCTGGCTGCTCTGGAGGCAAGAGGAGGCAGGGGAACCAGTTGCAAGTGCCCTAGCAAGAGACAAGGAGGGCTTGAGCTGCAGAGGAAGGGGACAGAGTCAAAATGTATTTCAGAGGTTGACGGATACATGTGGAGTTGAGCAAACAGTGATCAAGGATTGTTGGCTTGAAAAGCAGAATATTGGGGGTGCCATTTGCCAAAAAGGGGTAAGCCTGGAAGAGGAATAAGTTGGGGTGGGGGGAGCTCATGGTGGGCATGTTGTGCCCTTTTTTGACTCCAAGCTTCTTTGCTCCTTCAGGGAGCTCCCCACTCCTGGGAGTCTTGTTAGAGCAGAGGTCGGGACAAGCAACATCATTTGCAGGGCAAATTATGCAAATTGCAAATGCAAATCCCAAGCAAAATGGAAATGCACAGCCCCTTGTTCAAAAATACTTGCAAATTTCAAGACGGTGACCACAGAGCATGGAACCAAATGAGGGGCTGCACAGGCCACCTGTCCCTGAAGTCGACCCTGACACAGGTACTTATTTTCCCAACACTACTCATGGCTCAGGAGCCACAAAATGACACTGAAATAGATGGTATCTAAAACCATGGAATCAGGTGAGGACACCCAAGGATGGAACATGACAGCAAAGAAGAGGACCCAACACCGACCTTGGGCATTCAAGCATTTACAGGTCAATAGAGGAGAAGAATCAAGGAAAAAATTGCAAAGGAGCCAGAAATGTATAAAACCAGAAGGGTGTGGTGTCCTGAAAGCCAAGAGAGGAACGTGATCGAAAAATTGCTCGACGCTGGGCACGGTAGCTGATGCCTGTAATCCCAGCACTTTGGGAGGCCGAGGCAGGTGGATCACGAGGTCAGGAGATGGAGACCATCCTGGCTAACATGGTGAAACCTTGTCTCTACTAAAATTACAAAGAAATTAGCTGGGCATGGTGGTACGCGCCTATAATCCCAGCTACTCGGGAGGCTGAGGCAGGAGAATTGCTTGAACCTGGGAGGCCGAGGTTGCAGTGAGCTGAGATCGTGCCACTGCACTCCAGCATGGGCAACAGAGCAAGACTCCGTCTCAAAAAAAAAAAAAAAAAAAAGAGAAAAGAAAAGAAAAGGAAAGAAAAGAGAAAAGAAGAAAAGAGAAAAGAAAAGAAAAACTGCTCGACATGGAGAGCTGCTGAGGCTGAGGAACACAACCACTGGGCATGGGCGGGGGAGGTGGGCTGGGGGTGGGTGATGAGGTGCCCGGGGCAGTGCTGCTAAGATGTTGTTATAATAATTATTATTATTTGGAAGAGTATCCCTCTGTTGCCCAGGCTGGAGTGCAGTGGCGGGATCACAGCTCACTGCAGCCTCGACCTCCTGGGTTCAAGCAATCCTCCTGCCTCAGCCTCCTGAGTAGCTGCAACTACAGGCATGTGCCACCATGCCTGGCTAATTTTATTTTTATTTTTGTAGATATGGGGCCTCCCTATGTTGCCCAGGCTGGCCTCAAACTCCTAGGCTCAAGCAATCCTCCCACCTCAGCTTCCCGAGTAGCTGGGACTACAGGTGCGCACCACCAACCTCTGGCTATTTTTTTTTTCTTGTAGAGACAGGCTTTCACCACGATGCCCCGGGCTCAAGAAATCCACCCACTTTGGCATCACAAAGTGCTGGGATTACAGGCTTGAGCCACCACATTCGGCCATTGCTCAGATTTTAATGTGCACAAAATCACCTAGGGGTCTTGCGAAACTGCAAATTCTAATTCCTCAGGTCCAAGGAGGAGCCTGAGACTATACATTTCTAACAAGCTCCCAGGTGCTGCTGCTGTGGCTGGTGGGAGGACCACACCTTGAGTAGTGAGCTCCAAGGCCATGGGTTTCAAATTTGGCTGCACAGAGGAAACACCTAGAGAACATGACTAGCATGGACCATATCCCAGACTAATTAACTCAGAATCCCAAGGGGTGGGAACAAAGACACTGGGAATTTCTTAAGTTCCACAGGTAATTCCAATGTGTAGCCAAGGTCAAGGACTATTACTAAGGTGTTCAGAGCTTAAATTAGTGTGTGTTTGTTGCTGCAGATAGCTCTTCCTGTTTAATCCTTACATGGATATTACTATTATGATCTATTTCTATTATGCATTTTATTCTGATCATTATTGTAATGTAATATGATGTTCTTAGAGTTTACAATTTATTGCAATGCATTGAGCTGCGCACTTTATACTCATTATCATCATTACTATCGTTGTTATTTTAAAAATAGGAAGAGCTCTTGGAGGGATGGATAGGTAGAGCACAGAGGATTTTTAGGGCAGTAGAAACACTCTGTATGATACCATAATGGTGGATAAATGTCATTATACATTTGTCCAGAGCCATAGAATGTACAACCCCAAGAATGAACCCTGAGCTAAACTATGGACTCTGAGTGATAATGATGTCTCAATACAGGTTCGTCAGTTGTAACAAATGGACCACTCTTGTGGGGATGTGGCTGATGGGAGAGGCTGTGCCCATGTGGGGGCAGAGGGCATATGGGAACTCTTTATACTTTCTGCTCATTTTTTCTGTTAACCTGAAGCAGCTCTTAAAAAATAAGATCTTTTAAAAAATAGAAAGAGCTCATGTTTATGGAAGGCTTGCCTTGTACCAGACACTGTGCTATGTGCTTTGTGTGCATTATCTTATTCCACAAATGAAGAAACTGAGAATCACAGAGATTTTTAAAACTGTCCCATGATTACATAGCTAATATGTGGTGGAGACAGTTTGCAATTTCACATCTATTTCAAAGCCCATTTGCCTATCCACTATTCTCTAAAACCATGTTTTTCAAACGTTTCTAATGATAAAGATGATCTGCCAGGGCACGGTGGCTCACACCTTGTAATCCTAGCAGTTTGGGAGACTGAGGTGGGTGGATCACCTGAGGTCAGGAGTTTGAGACCAGCCTGGCCAACATGGTGAAACTCTGTCTCTACTAAAAACACAAAAATTAGCTGGGCAGGTGGTGGGTTCCTGCAATCCTAGCTATTTGGCTGAGGTGGGAGAATCACTTGAAACTGGGAGGCAGCAGAGAGACTCTGTCTCAAGAAAAAAAAAAAAAGATAATCAGATACTTGTTAAAATATACAGATTCCTAGGACCCTTCCCTGGGGAACCTGACTTAGCAGCTCTGAGGTGAGACTCAGTCTCTATATTTTTCCTCCTCCCTCCCCCTGAGATCCTTATCATCAGGCAAGCTTGGGAAACACTGTTATAATACCTAATGATAGGGTTGTGGTATATGGTTTTATTGTTGACAATAAAATTCATTCTCTTCTTTGTAAGAGGATTATCCAGCCCCAGTCTTGCCCTGCCTCCTGGTAGGCAGGAGTACAGCTCTCTGCACCTTTGCAGTGAGTTCCTCTGACCATTGGGAAGGGAGCGACATGACCTGTGCATGTCTAGCACAAGCTTTAATTGCAGTTGCATGGTCCAGCTTGCTCTCCTGCACTTCTGCTCTCTGTCCTGAGAGTGACGTGTCCCGGAGTGGGGCTGTGCCTTCAGCCTGGGTCCCAGAACAATAAAACACATGGGACGGAGCTAACCTATAGTCCTTGTGAGAAATAAAGTTTTGTTGCTATAAGCCATTGAGATTTGGTGGGGGAGATGTTGTTTGTTACACAGCACAGCTGACTAATACAACATTTAGTTATAATATTATTAACAATGGTAACATCTCTTGAGTACTTATGTATGAAGCACTTTATACATATATATGTATGAAGCACTTTATACATATATATGTATAAAGTCTCTAATCTTAGCAAAAATAAACTGCAAGCTTGGGATTATTATTGCCATTTTGGAGATGAGGAAACTGAGGCTCAAAGAGAGCTTGCCCAAAGTTACCCTGCCAGGAATTGCACAGCCACCGTCTGATCCCAAAGCTCTTAATCTCACAACTGAGCTTTCCTGTCCCCTCCTTCCCTCTTTTTCCCACCTCTCCCCTCCGTTTTCTGCTAGTATCAGTCTCAAGTGCAACCTGTTGGCAGAAACAGACATATGCAATATTTAATTCACTTTAATTAAAATATATTTTAGTGGATTTTTTTTCTGGGACATAACTCATTTTGATGGGAACCCATTGGATTTTAATGGGAAACTTATTAGAGGAACATATTGTGATCTTTAATGAAGCTGGGCTGCGTGGAGAACCACCTACAGGTAATTAGAAGCCCTCCAGGCCCTTGGGGAATAAGGTGAAATGAACTTCGGTTTGTTTAAGACAATTAGTGCAGACAATGATCTAGGAACGAATTAAATGGTCCTTGATTAGGAGCAGCTGTGCAGGTGGCGTCCTCAGGAAAATGGGATGCACAAGTGGGGCTCTTAAGAAAGAGTGATTATTAGTGCTTATCTGTTTATATTGGCAGCCAGCACTTCTGCAGGCTGGAGGTTTGATCAGGTGGCTCCTCCCCGCCTCACCCCTCCCTGCTGCCCTTCCTCATTGATACAGGCTCCTTCTGGGTCTGCCAGGTGTCTCAAGGGGCCTTCTGGGTTCTGATAGCAGATGGGTGTATCTATAATGGCAGAGCTGGAAGCGTCTATACTCCCACTAGTACATGGCTCCATATTGATGGACACTTCTATGCTGGTGGGATTGGCAACCTCTATGTTCTTAAGGATGCGTGGTGTTTTTTTTTTTTTTTTTTTTTCAGACAGTGTTTCACACTTGTTGCCCAGGCTGGAGTGCAATGGCATGGTCTCGGCTCACTGCAACCTCCACCTCCCAAGTTCAAGTGATTCTCCTGCCTCAGCCTCCCAAGTAGCTGGGATTACTGGCGCCCTCCACCACACCCAGCTATTTTTTTGTATTTTTAGCAGAGACGAGGTTTCACCATGTTGGCCAGGCTGGTCTTGAACTCCTGACCTCAGGTGATCTGCCTGCCTTGGCCTCCCAAAGTGCTGGGATTACAGGTGTGAGCCACTGTGCCTGGCCAAGTATGGGTGTTTCTATACTAGTTAAAATGACTACTTCTATGCTTACACATATGCATGTGCTTAGGTTTGCTGCTCTAGGAGCCACTGTACTCCTAAAAGACGCATTGCCCCCATTCTGGCATGGGCTTATTCTATTCGTGCTGGACCACTGGGCGCATTCACACCAGGAGGAATACTAAATAGTGCACCAACCATGCCAGGCGCTTCTATACTGTAGAGATAAGAGTGCTTCTCCTTTGCCCTGAATGAGTCTCTGCATATGCAGGGAATAGGAATCTTCCCCAGAAGATGGGAAGACTGCCTGGGAGAAGGGACATCTAGAGAGAATCCTGGTGGGAGTTAGCAAGGGGGCACTCCTAGAGTGATAGAAATAGACCTCACACGTGTGGCTGCTTCTATACTGATGGGAACAAAGGAATCTACAGTGGTTGAGCTGGGAGTGTCCACAGGGACAGGAATGATTCTTCTGAAGGAACTGGTGAGTCTACACTGGCAGGGAAGTGTGCTCTACGCAGATAGAGATGGGCACTTTTCCACACTCGCATAAATGGAAATCCTGGCATTTGCTAGAATGAGTGTTTCTGTAGATGGGCATGTCCACGTTGGCAAGGATGGGCATATCTATACTGCCAGGGGTAAGTCCTAGAAAAATATGGAGCTTTTGCACCGAAAGGGATGGGCATTCCCTCATCGGTGAAGATGTGTGCTTCCACACCAGTCTCTTTTACTAAGTCTTTTTTTTTTTTTCTTTTTTTTGAGACAGAGTCTTACTGTGTTGCCCAGGCTGGAGTGCAGTGGCATGATCTTGGCTCACTGCAACCTCTGCCTCCTGGGTTCAAGCAATTCTCGTGCCTCAGCCTCCCAAGTAGCTGGGATTACAGGCGTGTGCCACCACGCCTGGCTAATTTTGTATTTTTAGTAGAGACAGTTTTTCACCATGTTGGCCAGGCTGGTCTCAAACTCCTGACCTCAGGTGATCCGCCCGCCTTGGCCTCCCAAAGTGCTGGGATTACAGGCGTGAACCACCGTGCCTGGCACATTTCCTAACTCTTGACCAGTAAACCAGAGTGATCCCACTGACGTGTCCTCTGTTTCAGACCATTCCCTGTGCTCAGGGATGCTTGGCTCAGAGCACAGAGCCATCCTGCCTGTGGATGGAAAAGGCAGCTACTCTGTGGGTGGCGTGGGGGCGGGGAGAGACAATGATGAAAGAAGCAGGACCCCTGGTGACTATACCTGCCCAGGAGGGGACTATACGGGAAGCCCCGATTCTGGGGAGAGCCCAGAGGAACTCAGCTCAGCCCAGAGCCCAGAGTGGATTCCAGGCAAACTTTCTGGTACCTAGAACCAGGGAGGCCAGGGAGGGAGGCATCTGGGACCCCCCATCACCACCCAGCAGCCCAGAGTCCCTTCCCTAATCCCCTCTCAGCTCCAGTTCCTGGCAGGGGCTGCTGCGAGATTCCCCGTGCAACCCTGACACGGGGCTGTAGCTAAAACATTGGTCTGGCAGTTTTCCCTCTTTAAGTTGAAGTGTGATGTTGGCAGGCAGCAAGCTGTGGTGGCAGGCTGCCAGGGGGAGCATGTGTTGGAAATCCTTGTTCCATGTTGCAGCAATCTGGGGCTCCCCCACCCGCAAACTGCTCCAGAGCCAGCCAGCCCTGGGGACCAGAGCCTCACGCTGATGGGGAGCAGCCACCGAGATGAGGAGCCTGATGAGGCAGAGGGACTCAGAGGACCAGGAAGAGGGAGAGAAGCGTGAGTAGAGATCATCAGAACTGAGATGGAGCCACAGAGAGACATGGAAATAGAACAGCCAGAGACAGAGACCCAGAGAGACACACACAGAAAGAGAGAAACCGAGAGACCCACGGTCAGAGACATCCAATGAAGACTGAATTTAAGGAAGATAAGGGCCGAGCACAGTGGCTCACGCCTGTAATCCAAGCATTTTGGGAGGCTGAGGCGGGTGGATCGCTTAAGGTCAGGATTCGAGACCAGCCTGGTGAAACCCCGTCTCTACTAAAAATACAAAACTTAGCTGGGCATGGTGGCACACGCCTGCAATCCCAGATACTCAGGAGGCTGAGGCAGAAGAATCACTTGAACTCGGGAAGCGGAGGTTGCAGTGAGCCGAGATCGCACCACTGCACTCCAGCCTGGGTGACAAGTGCAAGACACTGTCTCAAATAAATAAATAAAATAAGGAAGATAAGAAGCACAGAAGAGTGAGCAAAAGGGACAGAATGGGCATACAGTTCTGTCTCCAAATCTCCTGTTGTCAGAAAAATACATATATATTCAAATAAATGTATACTATCTATAACAGTTGTAGAAAACAAGAAAGAGAATCCTCAGTGGACCGTAACTTTGGAGTTCCTGAAAGATGGAAAGTAGATAGGCTTGGATTGACAGAGGGACTCACAGTGTCTCTGCCACAGGAGGAGAGATCCACTGTGCAAGTCAGGGCTGGCTCCAGGAGTGCTCCAAGCTCAGTCAACAGAACCCAGGAATACTCAGACCAGCGAGACAGCCTGGGGCGGTCATGAGAGTTAGCAGTTGAGGGGTTTAGAGCAGCCAAGCTGGCCAGCCCCTCACTGCCCAACTGCCCCCAGCACCCCCACCCCACCCATCACTCATGCTGAACACCCAGCAGCAGTGGAGTTTGCCCACAAGCCAGAGGTGTGCGAGGGAATATTTAGGTCTCAGAGTCAGAACATGCCCTAAAGCAGCCACCCCGAATCTTTTTGACACCAGGGACCGGTTTCATGGAAGACAGCTTTTCCACGGAGCGGGTCGGGGGACGGAATGGTTTTGGGGTGAAACTGTTCCACCTCAGATTATCAGGCATTAGATTCTCATAAGGAGCATGCAACCTACATCCTTGCATGCTCAGTTCACAATAGGGTTTGTGCTCTTATGGGAATCTAATGCCACCGCTGACCTAACAGGAGGTGGAGCTCAGGTGGTAATGCTTGCTCGCCCGCCACTCACCTCCCGCTGTGCGGGCCAGGTAGGACAGGCCACAAACCAGTACGGGTCCCTTGGCCTGGGGGTTGGGGACCACTGCCCTAGAGTATCTAGTCGCACCCTAGGAAATGGGAAAAACGTCAACTTCCGTGACAGACCACTAGTAGCATGCCTTCATGGTGAGTATCAGAGGAAAACCCTTGTGGTCAACACCGTCCTTCAGAGGCAGGCAGATCAGAATTCCCAAAGCAAAGGTGAGCAGAAAACCAAGAATGCCCAAGTATTTGAGCAAAGTCGACCCCGGAAGAGAGCATCAGACTTAACAAAGAGAAGACCTGAGACCCGAGGGAAAAGACTTCAAGAGCAAACACAAACCAAAGAAGACCTTTTTTTTTTTTTTTGAGACGGAGTCTCGCTCTGTTGCCCAGGCTGGAGTGCAGTGGCGCGATCTCGGCTCACTACAAGCTCCGCCTCCCGGGTTCATGCCATTCTCCTGCCTCAGCCTCCCGAGTAGCTGGGACTACAGGCACCTGCCACCACACCTGGCTAATTTTTTTTGTATTTTTAGTAGAGACGGGGTTTCCCCATGTTAGCCAGGATGGTCTCGATCTCCTGACCTCGTGATCCGCCCGCCTCAGCCTCCCAAAGTGCTGGGATTACAGGCGTGGGCCACCGCGCCCCGCGAAGACCTTAAAGTGTGCAGTTACTATCCCGAGGGAGATGGGAGAAGATAACATATTCATGAATTGAGGACAGGCTGTTACTAAAATAAATCACTAAAAGATCTTGGAAATTTAAAATAATTGTTCAAATTTAAAACTCAGTAGGATGGCTGAATAGTAGCATAAATACAGCTAAAGAGAAAATTGGAATCAATTTAAAGATATGCAGCCCCTATGCCTCTTCTAGGTGTTTGCTTAGAGAAGCTCTTATGTGTATACGGAAATATGTATAAAAGTGTTCACTGCAGAACTGTTTGAAATAGCAAAAAATTGGAAGCAACCTATCATTCAACAGAGAACGGATAAATAAATCATGTTTTGATGCCATTACAGAATCCTATACAACAGGTAAAATGAATTACCTAGAGCAACATGTATCCACAGGGATACATTTTTAAAATATGATGCCTAGTGGAGGAAAATAGGCAATTGCAGAATGACAGATTTTACTTTTTTTTTTTTTTTGGAGACAGAGTCTTGCTCTGTTTTCTGTTGCCCAGGCTGGAGTGCAGTGGCATGCTTTTGGCTCACTGCAACCTCTGCCTCCTGAGTTCAAGCAATTCTCCTGCCTCAGCCTTCTGAGTAGCTGGGACTACAGGCACATGCCACCACACCCGGCTGACTTTTGTATTTTTAATAGAGATGGGGTTTCACCATGTTGGCCAGCCTGGTCTCGAACTCCTGACCTCAGGTGATCTGTCTGCCTTGGGCTCCCAAAATGCTGGGATCACAGGCGTGAGCCACCATGCCCAGCCCACTATATACCTTTTTTGATGCAGTCAGTATAACTTGGATGATTATACTTCAATTAAATTTACATTAAAAAACATATATGGAGCCAGGAGCAGTGATGCACCTCTAGTCCCAGCTACTCAGGAGGCTGAGGCAGGAGGATCACTTAAGGCCAGAAATTCAAAACCAGCCTGGCAACATAGCAAGACCTGTCTCAAAACAAAAGCAAAGGTCGGGCGTGGTGGCTCACGCCTGTAATCCCAGCCCTTTGGTAGGCCAAGGCGGGTGGATCACCTGAGGTCAGGAGTTTGAGACCAGCCTGGCCAATGTGTCGAAACCCCATCTCTACTAAAATACAAAAATTAGCTGGGCGCGATGATGTGCTCCTGTAATCTCAGCTACTTGGGAGGCTGAAGTGGGAGAATTGCTTGAACCTGGGAGGTGGAGGTTGCAGTGAAGATTGTACCACTGCACTCCAGCCTGGGTGATAAAGCAAGATTGCATCTCAAAAACAAAAACAAAAGCATATATGGAGAGTGCATACCCAAAATATATAAAGAATCTTTACAATGTGGTAAGACAAAGATGGGCAAAAGATTTGAACAGAAATTTCACAAAAGAAGATACATGAATGACAATAATTACATGAAAAGATACTTAGAGAAATGAAATTAAAATAATAACGAAGTACCACTACACACTAAACTTAA
Source organism: Homo sapiens (assembly GCF_000001405.40). Taxonomy (NCBI): domain Eukaryota; kingdom Metazoa; phylum Chordata; class Mammalia; order Primates; family Hominidae; genus Homo; species Homo sapiens. The sequence goes on along the minus strand of NC_000009.12, from coordinate 124,177,235 downwards.
AAATACTGGCAATACCAAGTGTTGGCAAGGATATGGAGCAACTGGAACTCTCATAGATTGCTGGTGGAAATGCAAAATGGCACAGCCACTTTGGAAAAGAGTATGCTATCATCTTATAAAGTTAAACATAAACTTACCCTGTAACACAGCAATTCTACTTCCAAGTATTTACCCAAGAGAAATTAAAATATATGTCCACACAAAGATTAATACGCAGATATTTGGCCAGGCATGGTGGCTCACGCCTGTTATCCCAGCACTTTGGGAGGCCAAAGCGGGCAGATCACTTGAGGTCAGGAGTTTAAGACCAGCCTGGCCAACATGGCAAAAACCCATCTCTACTAAAAATACAAAAAAATTAGCCAGGTGTGGTGGTGTGAGCCTGTAATCCCAGCTGCTTGGGAGGCTGAGGCAGGGGAATTGCTTGAGCCCAGGAGGCAGAGGTTGTAGTGAGCCGAGATCACACCACTGCACTCCAGCCTGAGTGATAGAGTAAGACTCCATCTCAAAAAAAAAAACAAAAAACAAAAAACAGATATTCATAATTGTATTATTCAGAATAGCCCCAAACTGGAAGCGACTCAAATGTTTGTCAACTAGTACCTGGATAAATTAATCGTATTATCCATGCTTGGGAATACTACTCAGCAATAAAAAGTATGAACCATTCATAACACATGCAAAAACATGGTTGAATCTCAGAAGTATTATGCCAAGTGAAAGAAATCAAACATAAAAGACTGTGCTGCTTGATTCCATTTACAGAAAATGCCAGAAAAGGCAAAACTATAGTGACAGAAAGCAGTTGTTGTCTAAGGCCAGGAAAGGAGCAGGGGATCAACTGCAAAGGGGCAGGAGGAAACTTTTTTGGGTGGCAGAATTGTTTTATATTTTGATTGTGCTGATGGTTACAGAATTTCACACAATGACCATAGTCATCATATGGTACACTTAAAAAATAAGTGAATTCTATCATATACAAATAATACTTAATTTGTAATAAGTGCGTCCTATCCTATACAATGATAGACTCACTTATTTTAAGTGTACCATATGATAAAAAAGGTAATTAGAAATCACAAAGACCAGGTCGGGCATGGTGGCTCACGCCTGTAATCCCAGCACTTTGGGAGGCTGAGGCAGGCAGAACACTTGAGGTCAGGAGTTCAAGACCAGCCTGGCCAACATGGTGAAACCCCGTCTCTAATAAAAAATACAAAAATTGGCCGGGCATGGTGGCATGTGCCTGTAGTCCCAGCTACTCGGGAGGCTGAGGCAGGAGAATCACTTTAACCTAATAGGTTGAGGTTGTAGTGAGCCAAGATTGCACCACTGCACTCCAGCCTGGTGACAGAGCGAGACTCTGTCTCAAAACACACACACAGACACACACACACACTACACACAAAATAAAATAAAATAAAGATAGGAATCAAATATGGGGAAATGTTACAATCTGACAAGGTTGGGTGGTTGGGTGATATGTACTAGTCTGTTTATTATATTACTTATTCTTTATATTTTTCTGAATTGTGGACATATTTCAAAACAGCTCTTGAAAGAATGAATTAATTTAAAATAAGCTGAGGGTTTCTCTCAGACTGTAGTGCAAAAACCCCACACAATTAAATGGCATAGAGACTACACACAGAAGTTTCAATATTTATCTAGTACTTAGTAGAAGTTCCCATAAGGAGAAAATGGAGAAAAGATAATCAATCAGTAGAGGACATTTCCTCAAAGTGAACAAATACAAGAATCTGTAGATTGAGAGGATCAATCAGGTGCTAAGTAAGAGAATTTTGGGGGGCAGGGGTCAGAGGTACAGGGATTCCTAGACATGGGGAAAATTTCAGTGAGAAAATTCTTGAGAGAGAAAGAGCGCGAGATTAGTTATTCTCAGAGAAATAAGAATTAGATGGGCAAGTGACTTCTCTTTAACAACATTGGAAGGCAATGGAAAAAGAGATTCAAATTCTCTAGGAAATGATTTTGATCCTAAGATCATATACCTATCCTAACTAGACTTCAAAAGTGAGAGGAGGCCCCGCACAGTGGCTTACACCTGTAATCCCAGCATTTTGGGAGGCCGAGGCGGGCAGATCACCCGAGGTCAGGAGTTCGAGACCAGCCTCGTCAACATGGCAAAATCCTGTCTCTATTAAAAATACAAAAAAATTAGCCAGGCATGGTGGCGTGCACCTGTAGTCCCAGCTACTGGTGAGGCTGAGGCATGAGAATCGCTTGAACCCGGGTGGCGGAGGCTGCATTGAGCTGAGATGGTGCCACTGCACTCCAGCCTGGGCGACAGAGCCAGACTGTCTCAATTTAAAAAAAAAAAAAAAAGTGAGATGAAAATGAAGATGTTTTGGACAGATTCTCTCTAAACAAATTTATTACTCACAGACTCTAAAGGAACTGCTCGAGAATGTATTCAAGAAAAAGAAAGTGAATACAAGGCCAAAAAAGACATAGAGTACAGGAAACAGTGATTTTAAAAAAAGTAAAACTTTGTAGCTAAGTCTAATATTTGCATAACATAATAGCAGCAACAGCTAGCGCAGCAATAGCAATGATGACAATAGCAATGTAGGAAAAAAACCCCACATGATTTCAATGCGGAATGTATTCAGGAGTAAGGATGGGAAGTGAAAGTGTCACTAACTTCTTCAAGGAGAGGACAGAAACACGGAGGAACTCTAGACATACATAGAAAAATGCAAGTTTAAATAGTCTTAAACATTTATTGGAAGGAGATTTCTGTTTCTCGGTAGGATATGGTAGGTTATGGCTGGCCAATCCTCTCACTTCATTAATTAGGTAAAAAGGAAGTAAATTGCAAAGTCATTAGAGGCATCACTGAGCTATGGTAAGGAGGTCAAGATGAACTAAAATCCAGAGAGGGAAGAATTCTCCCTAGGTAAGTTGGGGATCATGATGAGACCGCCTTTGCAAAATTATGACTGAGAAAGTGAAAGAGATCTAACTTAATCGACTCCCTGTTGCTTCTAACCTCCAAGCTGTCCTTTTTTATTCCTGGGCCTAGGCTGAACTAACTTTGGGAGAAACTTAGTTTAAACTTTATAGTTTAAAACAAAGTTTAAAGTTTAAAACAGCCCTTTCCCAAAGAAGACCTCCTTCTTGCCTGGGGACTAGATTGACCTTGTAGGACTAACATCGGCCACAAGATTAGAAATTATGGTTGAGGAGTCACGCAGCTGGAGGCTTCAAGATTCTGACCCTCCCTAAACTGCCCCTAAGATCAGTGTTTGAGATATTTTGCAGACCCTGCACTTGATGGATCAGCTGGCACCATTCGGATCAATAAACTGGCTCATCTGATCTTTTGACCCCCACCCAGGAACCCACTCAGCACAAGAAGGCAGCTTCTACTTCCGGTGATTTCATCGCTGACCAATCAGCACTCCCGGCTCACTGGCTTCCCCCCACCCACCAAGTTGTCCTTAAAAACCCTGCTCCCCAAATGCTCAGGGAGGCTAATTTAAGTAGTAATAAAAATCCAATCTCCTGCACAGCCGGCTGTGCGTGAATTACTCTCTATTGCAATTCCCCTGTCTTGCTAAATCTGCTCTGTCTAGGCAGCAGGCAAGGTGAGCCCCTTGGGGGGTTACGGTAGCTGTTTTCCTCTCTGGTAGCGTTTCCCACTTCTAGGCTTGGACTGCAGATCTCGCTTGACTCAGGCTGAGAGGCTGTGCTGAAGGAAAGAGAAGCCAAAAAAGCTTTTGGTGGCTTTCTTACAATGCCCACGTGATGGGTGAAAACTAAAGGAACTCCCAATGTGCGGCTGGTGTTCCTCGCAGAGCACTATTTGAGTTTTGGGTCTGCGTGGAGGCTGAGTGGCTGGGCCAAAAACTTCTGGAAAGTGGAGTGAAATCTCCTGTGGTTTCACTGTGCTGAATCCCAACAGAGGGAGGGGACTGCCACCGACACAGGGGATCCCTCCCATCAAGAGACTAAAGAACTAAGCTCAAACCTGCAAAGGGAGGATCTGAATCTCTCACCGTCATTTAGAGTGGACAAGATAGAGATCTTCCAACCTCTCAATCAGAAGCCCAGGAGAACCAGACCCAAAGAACAGGAGTGAATCAGAGATAGTCTGAGACTTACTAAAAGTGCAACTAGGTCTTGATCCACCTCGATTCCTGATTGTACTGAGGTGAGCAGCTTCCCCATCCTATCTGCTTAACAGAGGAATGGGGAAATCTGGAGCCTCTATGATTCTTTTATGCACAATGTGTGGCATAATTTTTTAAATTGTTAGATATGTACAGTGACAGGAAAATGTGACCAAATAATCAATAGAAGAAAAAAACAATAGAAGCAAAGCCATAGATAAACTAGATAAAGGAGTTACTAGACAAGGGCTTTAAAATAACTACAATTAGTGTGTTAAATAAAATTGTGGAAAAGATGGACAAAATGAATGCAAAGATGGAGAATATTAACAGATATTTGAAATGTACAAGCATAATCAAGTGAAAATAAGAATATCAAAACTAAAAAACTCATTAAATGAGCTTAACAGTAGTTTAGATACAGCTGAAAAGGTAATTAGTGAAGAGGGAAATAGGTCCAAAGAAAATATTTAGATAGGTCAGAAACATGGAAGAAGGCAAATGAATGGAAAATATAGAACGAAGACATAGGTGACACAGTGAAAAAAAAAAAAGCCTTCCTCTCTTTCCTCTATTATCACTGTATAATTATAGTTCCAGGAATAGAGAAGAAAGAAAATGGAGTAGAAAAACATTTGAAGAGATAATGACTGAGAATTTTTCAAAACTGCAAAATGGGAGTAAACTGCAAAAAATACAGGAAGTTCAGCAAACCCAGGAGGTTAAAAATAAGGAAAACCACATGAAAGGGCATTATAGATAAATTGTTGAAAACAAAAGATAGAGATTATTTTAAAATAGAAAGAGACACAGGGAGGAAAAAGACACATTACCCATCTTCAAAGACAGTAAGATGTAAAGCTAACTTTTCAGTGGAAATCACAGAAGACAGAACACAGCATAACGAAATTGTTAAAGTATAGAAGGGAAAATTCTGGCAACTTAGAATGCTACACACAACAAAATACTCTTCAAAACTGAAGGTGATGTCTTCTTAATGTTTCTCCAAAAATTTGAAAAAAAATACTGAAGGTGAAACAATAATATTTCAAATAAACAAAGGTTGAAAAATTTATTGCCGGAAGCTTCACAGAGTAAAGAAGTCTTCTTCAGATTAGGAAACTGAGTCCAGAGAGATGTACAGAACTTCAGGAAAGAATGAAGAAAAATAGACAAATACCAGGGCAAATATTTTTAAACTGTTTCTAACAATGATACAAATGTGTTGTGAAGCTTATACATAGATGAAAGTAAAATATATGATAACAATATCATAAAGATCACAAGGAGGTAAATGGAGTTAAATTATTTACTTCAGGAAACTGCATCATCTAGGAAGTGGTAAAAGGACTAAGTTAATACCTACAGATGTGGGACAATGTCAAACGGTCTAATATGCCTATAATTGGAATCCCAGAAGTAGAAGAGAGAGAGAGGAAACAGGTCAGAAGAAATATTTAAAGAGATAATGGCTGAGAATTTCCCTAAAATTAATGAAAGACAACAAATAACAAATCACAGATCCAGGAAGCTCAGAGAATGCCAAGGAGGATAATTTTTTAAAGAGAGAATTACATCATATTCAAACCCCTGAAAATTTATGAGAAAACCTTGAATCTTACAGGCAGCCAGAAATAAAAGGCACATTACATTCAAAAGTACGAGGATGGGAACTACAGCAGATCTCTCAGCAGAAACTACACAAGTTCAGAAGTTCTTAGAGTAACATCATTAAAGTATTGAAAGATAACATACCTGTCAATCTAAAATTTTCTACCTAGTAAGAATATCTTTCAAAAAACTTAGGAGAAATGAGAACTTTTTAGACAAAGACTGAGAACATTTATTACTGGCAGATCTTCACTGAACACATGTTAAAAGAACTTTTTTAGGTAGAAGGAGTAAGATATCTGAGACGGTTTGGATGTTTCTTCCGTCCAGATCTCATGTTGAGATGTAATCCTCAGTGTTGGAGGTGGGCCTGCTGGGAGGTGTTTGGATCATGGGGGAGGATTCCTAATGAATGGCTTAGCACTATCCCCTTGGTGATGAGTGAGTTCTCACTCTGACAGTTCACGTGAGGTCTGGTTGTTTAAAAATGTGGCACCTCGGCCAGGTGTGGTGGCTTACGCCTGTAATCCCAGCACTTTGGGAGGCGGAGGCGGGCAGATCATGAGTTCAGGAGATCAAGACCATCCTGGCTAACATGATGAAACCCCATCTGCACTAAAAAAATACAAAAAATTAGTCAGGCGTGGTGGCACGCACCTGTAATCCCAGCTACTTGGGAGGCTGAGGCAGGAGAATCGCTTGAACCCAGAAGGCGGAGGTTGCAGTGGGCCAAGATGGCACCACTGCACTCCAGTCTGGGCAACAGAGCAAGACTCCATCTCAAAAAAAAAAAAAAAAGGAAAAGTGGCACCTCCCTCTTCTCTCTCTTGCTCCCTCTCTCATCACATGATTTGCCTGCTCCCTCTTTGCCTTCTGCCATGATTGTAAGCTTGCCGAGGGCCTCCCCAGAAGCAGATGCTGGCACTATGCCTCCTGTACAGCCTGCAGCACTGTGAGCCAATTAAATCTCTTTTCTTTATACATTATCCAGTCTCAGATATTCCTTTACAGCAATGCAAAACGGACTAACACAATACCAGATAGCAGCTTGGATCTGTACTAAGAAATGAAGTGATGGAAATAGCCTAAATTAAATTAAATATAAAATTCAATGTATTATGGGTTTATAGTATATGTAAAAGTAAAATGTATGTTAAAATAGCACAAAGGATAGGAGAGAGAAATCAAAAGTATACCATTGTATGTTCCTTACACTACACATGAAACAGTATAATATTATTTGAAAGTAGATTGATATCAATAATATATGTGTATTATAAACCATAGGGCAACTACCAACATATTTTTAAAGCTGTATAAATAATAAGCCACTAGTGAGCATCATAAAAAAAATCAACCCAAAAGAAGGGGGAAAAAAGAAACAGAACAGATGGAACAAATAAAAAACAGCAAGCAAAATGCTATATTTTACTTTGGCCATTTCAATGATTTTATTAAGGCACAGAGTCTAAATACACCAAATAAAGAAAAATATTGTCAGGTTGGATTTAAAAAAATAGCAAGACCCAACTATATTCTGTCTACAAGAAACCCACTTTAAATATAAAAGCATAGACAGGGTAAAAATAAGAGTTAGAAAAGATAGACCTTCCAAACACTAATTAAAAGAAAATTAGAGTGGCTATATTAATATCAGACACAATAGACATCAGAACAAGGAGTATTGCTGTGGATAAAGAAGGAAATTACATAACAGTAAAGAAGTCAATTCACCAAGAAGACATAACAACACGTAACAACAGAGGTTCAAAAATACATGAAGCAAAATTTGATAGAATTGAGAGGAGAAATGGACAAGTCCACAATTATACATGGAGATTTCAACATTTTCCTCTAGTAATAAAAATAATAAGTAGGCAAAAACCAGAAAAATTATAGACAAAATGTCGTGAAACTTCACCTAATTCAATTTTAAAGAATACCCTGCCCAGCAACAGAAGAATATATATTCTGTTCAGGTGCACATGAAACATTAATCAAGATAGACCATATTCTGGGCCAAAAAATAAAAACAAATTTAAAATAATTGAATTTACCCAAAATATGTTATCATACATAATGGAATCGAACTGAAGATCAATAATAGGCTACAAAAAAATAAAATAAAATACAAAAAAGAAAAGATCAGTAACAGAAAGATAATTGGAAAATGGTTGGAAATGAAACCATACATTTATAGATGACCCCTGGGTCAAAGTATAAGTCACAAGGGCAATAAGAAAATATTTTAAAGTGAATAAAAATGAAAATACAATATATCAAAATTTATTGGATACAGCTAAAGCAGTATTTAGAGAAAATGTATAGCATCAAATATTTATATCAGAAAAGAATAAAGTTTCAAATCAATTATCTAAGTTCCTAAGTCAATAAACCAGAAAGACAATCAAATTAAACACAAATCAAATAGAAGAAAAGAAATGATAAAGATATGAGCAGAAATCAATGAAATTGAGAGTAGAAAAGTAATCAAATGAAACTATTAGCTTGTCATTGAAAACATTACCAGCATTCATAGATCTCTAATCAACCTGGCCAAGAATAAAGGGAGAGAAAATATAGGTTACAAATATTAGAAATGAAAGCTAGGATATGACTTTAGATGCTACAGACATTAAAGAAATAAGATAATTTGACAAAAAATTATATCTTCATAAATTTAACCACTTAGATAAAATGGACAAATTCCTTGAAAGGAAAGGTATCAACTATCAAAGCTCACTAAAGAAGAAATAAATAACCTGATTAGTCCGATATCTATTAAGAAAATCGAATTCATAGTTACAATGTTAAAACTTACAGCAAAGATAACTTCAAGCCCAGTTGGCTTTATTGGAGAATTATATCTAATATTTAAGGAAGAACTAACACCAATTATATGCAAACTTTTCCGTAATATATAAGAATATGGGCCTAGGCAATACCATCTTGGACATAGAAAGAGACAAAGATTTCATGACAAAGATGCCAAAAGCAATCGCAACAAAAGCAAAAACTGACAAATGGGATCCAATTAAATGTAAAAGCTTCTGCACATCAAAATAAACTATCAACAGAGTAAACAGACAGTGTACAGAATAGGAGAAAATATTTGCAAACTAAGCATCTGACAAAGTTCTAATATCCAGCATCTGTAAGGAACTTAAACAAATTTACAAGAAAAAGAAAACATTAAAAAGTGGGCAAAGAACATGAATAGACACCTTTCTAAAGAAGACATACATGTAGTCAACAAGAATATGAAAAAAGCTAAATATCACTGATCATTAGAGAAATGCAAATCAAAACAACAGTGAGACACCATCTCACACCAGTCAGAGTGACTATTATTAAAAAGTCAAAAAATAACATGCTGGTGAGGTTGTGGAGAAAAGGGAACGCTTATACACTGTTGGTGGGAGTGTAAATTAGTTCAACCATTGTGGAAAGCAGTGTGGCAATTCCTCAAAGACCTAAAAACAGAACTACCATTCAACCGAGCAATCACATTACTGGGTATATACCCAGAGATATAAGTCATTCTACCATAAAGACACGCACATGAATGTTCATTGCAACACCGTTCACAATAGCAAAGGCATGAAATCAACCTAAATGCCCATCAATGACAGACTGGAGAAAGAAAATGTGGTACATAGGCAACATGGAATACTATGCAGCCATTAAAAAATAACAGGATCTGTCTTTTGTGGGAATATGGATGGAGTTGGAGACCATGATCCTTAGCAAACTAACACAGGAACAGAAAACCAATACAGCGTGTTCTCACTTATAAGTGGGAGCTAAATGACGAGAACTCATGAACACAAGGGAACAACACACACTGCGGTCTACTTAAGGGTGGAGGGTAGGAGGAGGGAGAGGAGCAGAAAAAATAACTACCGGGTACTAGGCTTAGTATCTGGGTGACAAATAATCTGTACAACAAACCCCCTGTGACACCTATATAACATGTACCCCTAAACCTAAAATAAAAGTTAAAAAAAAAAAAAAGGAATAGGGACCAGTTTCCAACTCATTTTGTGAAGACAGCAAGGAAAACTTCAAACTAATATCGTTCATGAACATAGCTGCAAAAATCTTCCATGAAATACTAGAAAATCAAATCCAACAATATATAAACAGAAGTGTGGCTTAGTGGGATTTCTCATGGAAACACAAGGTCAGTTTAACATTTATAAAGCAATCAATTTAATTTACTAAATTAAAAGACAAAGGAAGAAAAAAACACGATGATTTCATTATATGAATAAATGTTTTAAAATAAAATTCAGCATCTATTTAGGATTAAAAAATCTCTCAGCAAACTAACAGAAGTTCCTCAACCTGGCAAACGGCATCAACAAGGCTCTTACAAGTAACATTGTATTTAATGGCGAAAGACTGAATACTTCCAGGCTAAGGTGAAGAACAAGGCAAGGATGTCAACCACTGCCCCCCTACAAGGCAAGGATGTCAACTACTGCTGCTCCTATTCAATGTTGTTTGTGAAGTCCCAGACGGTGCAATGAGGCAAGAAAGAGAAATAAAAGACACACAGTTTGGAAAGTAAGAAATACAACTCCATTCAGAGAGGACATGATTGTCTAGCAGAAAAATCTCAAAGAATCTAACAAAAGATACAAGAACTAAAGTGAATGAAGTTATGAAGTTTTCAGGATACAATGTAATACATTAAAATCAATTGTGTTTCAGTATAATAGCAATGAACAATTGTAAATCAAAATAAAATGTACCAATTACAATGGTATCGGCAAACGTAAAATGCTTTGGTATAAATCTAACAAAATATGTGCAAGATATGTGTTCTGAAAACTACAGAACACTGATGAAAGAAATCAAAGAAAACGTGTATAAATGGAGAGGTATACATTATTCATATATTGAAAAATTCAATATATTTAAGATGTCAATTCTCCTTAAACTGATCTATAGACTCAACACTATTCTAACTGAAATCTCAACAGAATGAGCTGATTGAAAATGTTAAGTGGAAAGGCAACAGAACTTGGATACCCAAAGTAATTTTGGAAAAAAAAGTAAAATTGAAAGACTCATATTACCTGGTTTCAAGACTTGGGATCAGTCATATCCCAAACCTCAGCATCATGCAATATATTCGGGTAACAAACTAACACAAGTACCCCTGAATCTAAAATAAAAGTTGAAATTATTTTTTAAAAAAGATTCATTATAAAACTCCGGTAGTCAAAACAGTTGGTGTTAGAGGAATGATAGATACAAAGAGCAATGGAACAGAGTAGAGTTCTGAAATAGACCTACCTATACATGGTCAGTTGATTTTCAACAAATATGCAAGGCAGTTAAACTCAGAAAGGATAGTCTTTTCAATAAACAGTACTGAAACAATTGCATATCCATATGGAAAAAAATGAACCTCCATCCATACTGTTCACCATACTCAAAATGAATCATAGGTGTAAGTGTAAAACCTAATACTATAAAACTTCTAGAAGAAAACTATGCAGAAATCTTTGTTACCTTGGATGAGCAAAGTTCTCTCAGCTATGACACCAAAAGCATGATCCATGAGAGAAACAAAAAACGAAAAATTGAACTTCACCAAAATTAAGAACTCCTCCTTTTTTAAAGACACTATTGGTTTGTTTGTTTGTTTGTTTGTTTGTTGTTTTTTGAGGCAGGGTCTCACTCTGTAGCCCAGGCTGGAGTGCAGTAGCAAGATCTCGGCTCACTGCGACCTCTGCCTCCCAGGTTCAAGCAGCCCTCCTGCCTCAGCCTCCCTAGTAGCTGGGACTACAGGTGTGTGCCACCACGCCTGGCTAATTTTTGTAGTTTTAGTAGAGACAGGATTTCCACATGTTGGCCAGGCTTGTCTTGAACTCCTGACCTCAGGTAATCCACCCACCTTGGCCTCCCAAAGTGTTGGGATTACAGGCTTGAGCCACCATGCCTGGCCTAAAGACACTATTGAAAGAATGAAAAGACAACCACAGACTGAGAAAAAATATTTTCAGCTTGTATATCTTACAAAGGATTTGTATCCAGGATAAGAAGGAACTCCCAAAGTTTAATAATGAGAAAACACACAACCTAATAAAAATATGGTCTCAAGATTTGAATAAATGGGAGATAATATACCAAACAAATTGTTTCAGCTCTTTATTGCTGAGTACCAAATAACTCCCAAACACGTAGTAGTGGAAAACAGTAACGATTTCTTATTTCTCAGTACTGTATGGGTCAAGATTTCTGTCAGGGCTGGGCTGGGCTGGGCTGTCCTTCTGCTCCATGTGGACTCATCTGGTGACCCTCACATGGTTGTATTCAGTATGTGGCTGGGCTGGAAGGTCCAAGAAGCTTTACTTACATTTGGCACCTGCTCCAATATGAAGGCTCTCTCCACACCATGTCCCATCACTCAGTCTTGCGTGAATGTCTGTACTTCGTGGCAGTAGTGTTGCCAAAGCACGATGTTGAAAACTCCTGGAACTGCTTAAGGGCTAGGCAAGGAATTGGCACCGTGTCACTTCTGCTACATTCTGTAAGCCAAAGCAAGTCACGAGGCCAGCCTGGATTTCAGGTCAAGGGAATTAGACTCCACTTCTGCAGGCAGATGCACTTATAGGGACAAGAAGAATTGTTGGCAACCATATTTGGAAACTCTACCACACAAATGATAACAATCAGAAGGTAGTATTTGTACAAACGTAGAAAAATTAATTTGGGTAAAACTTATTAAAGGAGAAAATATGACAAACCACCAGAAAAATAAAACAACTGAATTATGTAATTTTACCATGACTTAAAAATACACAAAGCAAATACTGATTGAAAAGAAATGAGAAATAAATAAATCCCCAAAATGATGGTATGTTTTAGTATCCACCTCTCTCAGAAATGACATAAAAAATAAATAAATTGAAAATAAGTAAATAAGGATACAGGGAGTTGAATGGCACACTAAACAAGTTTAATTTATAAGACAGATGATAGATGTAATTTTCTACCCATGAAACAGAAAATAGATACTCTTTTCAACCATCCATGAAACAAAATGCTGACTGTATTATCCCTTAAAATAAATCTTAACACATATCATAAATTATATAGGTCACTTCCTCTGAGTTTGATGAGATGGAAGTAGAAATAAACAACATCAAAATTAACTCTTAGTCCAGAAATTTTTTTAAACTGAAACTGTTGAGAAAATAGCAATATTTAGAAATGAGTGGTAGCATTCCACATCCAGCAAAGTCTGAATAGCTTGTTTTGGATCAGCCCTCCCACTGAGAAAAAACAACCAGAAAATCTGGATTAAAAACTACGTTTGAAGGCATTGGAGAGCTACCAAGATAGTGTAAGTTTAGGGCCAAGATCTGGAGTGGGAGAAAATATAAGATAGGTGAGCCCAGTATTTGGCAGCAAATTTCCACTCAAGGGACTTGCTAATTTAAAAATTGAAGTAACAGTTTGGAGGCCAAGAAGCTGAGCAGAAATTTCAGCAGTCTCAGAGGCTAGGGGACAAAAATTGGAGTTGAGGATCTGTGAAAGATGGGGAACCAGGTAAACATTCCCAGCTTCCTTTGAATGAACCCTGGAAATAGATCAGCCCTCACAAGGATGAAGTCCAACTTTGAATCATCTCAATTCCTCCCCAATTGGAATAAGATGAGCTGCCTCTAGCTTATCCGTCTGCCAAAAGCAAAAGAACATCCTCTCTGGAGAAAGATCACATCATCCACAGCTTCAAATTATTTCTATAATTTTTTCATACACAATGCCCAGCACTCAATCAATAAAAACCAGGTCCACAAAAGACAAGCTTTGATTGAAAACCAAGAGAATAAAAAGCAGGTAAAAATAGGTTCGACTTTTGCCAAGAGCTGAGTAGTTTGAATCTCTATCAAACCAATCCTGCCTCAGATGACAACCATAGACTCTTGCAAAATATAGTAAACAAATATCTGAAAGCCACAGAGAGCAACCAACAAGCAGGCAGAAACTGAAGGGAAAAGACATTTGAAAGAAGGGAGAGGCACCGGGTGATCTGCATATTTCAACAGCTCTTTGCACAAAAGAAAAGAAAAGCATAATCTGCCCTCTGTGGAGTTACTAAAACTTGGATAGAAAATCCAGTCTTGGCCGGTTACAGTGGCTCATGCCTGTAATCCCAGCACTTTGGGAGGCCAAGGTGGGCAGATCACTTGAGGTTAGGAGTTCGAGACCAGCCTGGCCAACATGGTGAAACCCTGTCACTAATAAAAATACAAAAATTTAGCCAGGCATGGTGGCACACGCCTGTAATCCCAGCTACTCAGAAGGCTGAGGCAGGAGAACTGCTTGAACCCAGGAGGCAGAGGTTGCAGTAAGCTGAGATCGTGCCATTGTACTCCAGCCTGGGCAACAGAGTAAGACTCCATCTCAAAAAAAAATAAAAAGAAAGAAAAAAAGAAAAAAGAAAATCCAGTCTTATTCACATAAGAATCAAAAGACAGAGTTTCCACTGTAGCTGGAAATTGAGGGAGTAACTCCCAGAAAGGAGAGAACTAGGTAAGGGGAGCCCCAAATTCTATGTGTAAACTATGCCCAAGTCTCTGGATGCCTCCTGAACCAGCATCCACTGGGCAGGTTCCAAACAATGCATCCAAGACTAAAATAACTGAGCTGACATTTCAGCTGCCACCCACCACAGAGGAGACAGAATTTACAGTTTGGGTTCAGCCAAGGCAATTGTTTATTTAAAAAAATACAAAACAACAAAAACAGCACTTTTAAGAGACACATACTAGAATCCAAAGTTTCTACAGCTTATCACTCACAAAGTCCAGGATATAATCCCAAGCTACTTGGTACATAAGAAAAAAGAAAACATGACCCATTCTAGAAGAAAAAATAATTCATGGAGAATGCCCTTAAGATGACCCAGATGTTGGAATCAGCAGAAAAGTGTTTTAAGACAGCTATTTTAACTATGCTCCATATCATAAAGGAAAATACACTTATAATGAATAAAATGTAGGAAATAGGCTGGGTGCAGTGGCTCATGCCTCTAATCCCAACACTTTGGGAGTCCATGGCAGGTGGATGACTTGAGACCAGGGGCTCAAGACCAGCCTTCCAACATGGTGAAACCCCATCTCTACTAAAAATACAAAAATTAGCTGAGTGCGATGGTGCACACCGGTAGCACAGCTACTTGGGAGGCTGAAGCATGAGAATCGCTTGAACCTGGGAGGCAGAGGTTGCAGTGAGCCGAGATCACACCACTGCACTCCACACTCCAGCCTGGGTGATAGAGCAAAACTCAAAAAAAAAAAAAAGAAAAAGAAAAGAAAAAAAGAACGAAATAGAAGTTGTATAACTGAAAAATACAATATCTGAAGTAAAAAATGTACTGGGAACTTATTGAAGATGAGCGAAAAGGAGAAAAGTCAGTGAATTTGAAGATAAATCAATGGGAATTATCCAGGCTGAAGAACAGAGCCTCAGGTACCCAAGACATCATATCAGAAAGATTAACATCCATGTAAATGGAATACCAGAAGGAGAGGGGTAGGATGAGAGCAGAAAACATATGTGAAGAAATAATGGTTCCAGGTGTGGTGGTTCATGCCAATAAGCCCAGCACTTTGGGAGGTCAAGAAAGGAGGATCACTTGAGCCCAGGAATTCAAGACCAGCCTGGGCAACATGGCAAGACCCCATCACCATCAATCAACCAATAAATAAAAATTAGCTGGATGTGGTTGTGCATGCCTGTGGTCCCAGCTACTCAGGAGGCTGAGGCAGGAGGATTGCTTGAGCTCAGGAGGTCAAGGTTGTAATGAGCCTTGTTTGCACCACTGCATTCCATCCTGGGCAACCGAGCAAGACCCTGTCTCAAACAAAAAAAGAAAGAAAGAATGGTTTAAAGTGTACCAAATTTTTTTGAAAAACAAATTTACAGATTCAAGGACCTCAGTAAATACCAAGCAAAATGAATACAATAAACTACTCTCAAGCACATCATTATCAACCTCTTGAGAACCAAAAGTAAAGAGAAAATCTTAAAAGGAGCAAGAAAAACTAATATATTACATATAAGGGAACAATTATTTTAATGACCACTGAATTTTTTTTTTTTTTTTGAGGCGGAGTCTTGCTCTGTCACCCAGGCTGGAGTGCAGTGGTGCAATCTCGGCTCACTGCAAGCTCCGCCTCCCGGGTTCACTCCATTCTCCTGCCTCAGCCTCCCGAGTAGCTGGGATTATAGGCGCCCACCACCACGCCCGGCCAGTTTTTTGTTTGTTTGTTTGTTTTTTGGTATTTTTAGTAGAGACGGGGTTTCACCGTGTTGGCCAGACTGGTCTCAGACTCTTGACCTCATGATCTGCCTGCCTCGACCTCCCAAAGTGCTGGGATTACAGCTGTGAGCCACTGCACCTGGCCACTGAATTCTTATTAAAGACTATGGAGGTCAAAAATGCTTTAAAAATTTGCTTAAAGAAAAAATGTTTTAGGCTGGGCACAGTGGCTCACACCTGTAATCCAAACACTTTGGGGGGCTGAGGTGGGCGGTTCACTTGAGGCTAGGAGTTCGAGACCAGCCTGGCCAACATGGTGAAACCCAGTCTCTACTCGAAATACAAAAATTAGCTGGGCTTGGCAGCGGGCACCTGTAATCCCAGCTACTTGGGAGGCTGAGGCAGAAGAATCACTTGAACCTGGGAGGCAGAGGTTTCAGTGAGCCGAGATCACACCACTTCACTCCAGCCTGGGTGAGAGAGGGAGACTCTGTCTCAAAAAACAAACAAACAAACAAACAAAAAAAGCTTTAAAAAATCCTAGCAACCTAGGATATTATATGTAGTGAAAATATCCTTTGATAATAAAGGCAAAATAAAGGTGTGTTCATATTTTTTTCAAAGGGGAGAAAATATCACAAATAGGTTATGTACTGCATGAAATGTTAAAGGAAACTCCTCAAAAAGAAAAAAAAATCAAGGCATAAAATGCTATCCCCAAGTCTAACTGTATCAATATTTACATTAATGTGAATGCACTAAACACTATAATTAAAAGTCATATTGCCCTAATGAATAAAAAACAAAACCCATAATATGCCATCTGCAAAAGACCCACTTTAAATATAGGTTGAAAGTAAATACAAAAAAAAAAAAGTTATACGTTGTGAAAAGTAAGTATAAGAAAGCTGGTGTGGTTATATTAATATCAAATAGACTTCAAGAAAAAGAATATTTCCAGAGATAAAGGAAGCATTTCATTATTATAGGGGGGTAAAAATCATAAATGTGTATGTTCCTAAGAATAGAGGTCTGAAGTACATCAAGCAAAAATTCATAAAATTAAAGGAAAAAGGAGACAATTTCATAATCATAGTTGAAGATTTTTACACCCCTCTTTCAGCACTTAATAGAACAATCAGACCAAAAATAAACCAATAAAAATGCAGTATATATGCACTATATCTAACAATTGCAGAATAGACATAGAACTTTTCAAACGGCCATAGCATATTCACTAGTACATATCATATGCTAGACCGTGAAGCAAGACTCAATGCATTTTAAAGAAGTGAAGTTACACAGAATATGTTTTCTGACCACAATAGAAATTTTATTGAGAATCAATAAAAATAAGATATCCAGCAATTAAATAATGTACTTCTTTCTCTCTCTCTCTTTTTTTTTTTTTTTTTTTTGAGAAGGAGTTTTGCTCTTGTTGCCCAGGCTGGAGTGCAATGGAGCGATCTTGGCTGACTGCAACCTCTGTCTCCCAAGTTCAAGTGATTCTCCTGCTTCAGCCTCCTGAGTAGCTGGGATTACAGACACCTGCCACCATGCCCAGCTAATTTTTGTATTTTTAGTAGAGATGGGGTTTCACCATGTTGGCCAGGCTGATCTCGAACTCCTGACCTCAGAAGTGGTTGATCCACCCATCTCGGCCTCCCAAAGTGCTGGGATTACAGTCGTGAGCCACTGCCACCGCACCCGGCCCAAACAGTATACTTCTAAATAGTCCACGAGTCAAATAATAAAACCCAAAATAAATTATGTAATATTTTGTATTGAATGATAATAAAAATGTAACATATAAAGATCTGTGAGATGCAGCTAAAGCAGTCATTGGGGGAAAATTATAGTTTAAATACTTATATTAGAAAAGAAGAAAGTTTAAATGTTTGTATTAGAAAAAAAGAAAGATTTAAAATTAATTACTTAAAATCTAAGAGGCTGGGCACAGTAGCTCACGCCTGTAATCCCAGCACTTTGGGAGGCCGAGGCGGGCAGATCACCTGAGGTCAGGAGTTCAAGACCAGCCTGGCCAACATGGTGAAACCCCATCTCTACTAAACATACAAAAATTAGCCAGGCGTGGTGGTGGGCACCTGTAATTCCAGCTACTTGGGAGGCTGAGGCACGAGAATCACTTGAACCCAGATGGAGGTTGCAGTGAGCTGAGATCGCACCACTACACTCCAGACTCCAGCCTCGGTGACAGAGTGAGACTCTGTCTCAAAAACAAACAAACAAACAAACAAGAAAAGTAAACCAAATTAGAGGAAGAAAATAATAAAACTAAAAGTAGAAATCAATGCTACAGAAAACAGACAAACAACAGAGAAAATTAACAAAGTGAAGAGTTAAATCTTTTAAACGATTTTATGTTTTAGAGATAGTGTCTTGCTGTCATTTGGGCTGGAGTGCAATGGTGCAATCATAACAAACTGCAGCCTCAAATTCCTGGGCTCAAGTAACCCTCCTGCCTCAGCCTCCTGAGTAGCTAGGACTATAAGTCCACATCACCACACCTGACTAATTTTTAAATTTTCGTAGCAATGGGATCTCCTTATGTTGTGCAGGCTGGTCTCAAACTCCTGGGCTCAAACTATCCCCCTTGATTGGCTTCCTGCAGTGCTGGAATTACGGGTGTGAGCCATCGTGCTGGCCTTAAAAGATTTTTAAAAATTGATAAACCCCTACTCAGATATCAAGAAAAAAGAAGAAAAACCCCACAAATTATCAAATATCAGGAATGAAAGAGGAGTTAGCATTACAAATGTCACAAACATTGAAAAATAAAGTGATAATATTATGAATAACTTTGTCAATAAATTCAACAATTTAAATAAAATGTATGAATTCCTTGAAAGACTAATAATCAAAAATGACCCGAAGTGAGATAGAAAATATAAATATCCATAAATATTAAAGAAATTGAATTTGTTATTGAAAACCTTTCCACAAGGAAAGTTCCAGGCCCAAATAATTTCATGAGCGAGTCCTAGCTTTCTTTAAGAAAGAAAGAAGAGCAACCTCATGCAACTCTTACAGAAAACAAAGGGGGTAAGAAAACTTTCCAAATTATTTTATGAGCCCATCACAATCCAATTACCAAAACCTGACAAACCCATTATGGAAAAAAAGAGAAAATTACAGAGCCACATCTCCCATGAACATAGACCAAAAAAATAACGAAACATTAGCAAATAAAATTCAATGACATATTTAAAAAGAGTAATGCATCATGACCAATTGTGATTTATCTCAAGAATACAAGGTTGGTTTAGCATTCAAAAATCAGTCAATGTAATTCACTGATTAACAGACTAGAAAGGAAAAAAAAAAACCCATATGATCACTTTCAGTAGATGCAGAAAAAGCATTTGACAAAATCCAGCACCCATTCAGGATTTTTAAAAAGAACACTCAAGCCAGGCATAGTGGCTCATGCCTGTAATCCCAGCACTTTGGGTGGCTGAGGCGGAAGGATTGCTTGAGGCCAAGAGTTCAAGACCAGCCTGGGCAAAATGGCGAGACCCTGTCTCAATTAAAAAAAAAAAAAAAATCAAAATAAAGGAGCACCCTGCAAACTAGGAATAGAAGTAAACTTTCTTAACCTTTAAAGGGCATCTGAGAAAATCATGGAGCTAACATAATACTTAGTGAGGAAAATTAAACACTTTCCCCCTAACGTCAGAAACAAGGCAAGGATGCGGCTATGAACTGAATGTGAATCCTCAACATTCTATGTTGAAGACTAATGCCCAGTACGATGGTATTTAGAGATGGGGCCTTCAGGAGGTAAATAGATCATAAGGGTAGAGCCCTCATGAATGAGATTAGTGCGTTTTTAAGGAAAAACACGACAGAACTTGCTTTCTTTCTCCTCCATAAGAATATAAGGACATATGAAGATATCCAGAGGCCAGGTGCAGTGGCTTATGCCTGCAATCCCAGCACTTTGGGAGGCTGAGGCAGGAGGATTGCTTGAGCCCAGCAGTCTGAGACCAGCCTGGGCTACATAGTAAAACCTTGTCTCTACAAAAAATTAAAAAAAAAAAATTAGCCTGACATTGTGGCACATTCCTGTAGTCCCAGTTGCTCAGGATGCTGAGGTGGGAGGTTCACCTGAGGCTGGGAGATTGAGGCTGCAGTGAGCAATGATCCTGCCTCTATGCTCCAGCTGGGCAAACACAGTGAGGCCCCGTCTTAGAAAAAAGAAGGGCTGGGTGCGATGGCTCACACCTGTAATCCCAGCACTTTGGGAGCCCAGGTGGGTGGATCACCGGAGGTCAGGAGTTCGAGACTAGCCTGACCAACATGGTGAAACCCTGTCTCTACTAAAAATACAAAAAAATTAGCTCGGCATGGTGGTAGGCACCTGTAATCCCAGCTACTTGGGAGGTGAGACAGGAGAATCGCCTGAACCTTTGAGGCAGAGGTTGCAGTGAGCCAAGATCTCGCCATTGCACTCCAGCCCTGGGCGACAGAGCAAAACTCCATCTCAAAATAATAATAATAATAATAGTAATAAATAAAAAAGAAAGAAGAGAAAGAAGAGGAGAAGGAGGAAGAAGAAGAAGAAAGAAGAAGATGAAGAAGAAGAGGAGGAGGAGGAGGAGGGGGAGGAAGTGGGTCCCTCACCACACACTGGATCTGCTGGCACCTGATCTTGGGCTTACCTGCCTTCAGAATTGTGAGAAATAAATGCTTGTTATTTGAGCCACCCAGTCTATGGTATATTTGATATTTAGTCCAAACTGACCAAGATAAGTGCACACTCACCCAATTCTAATCAATAGGGTCCCAAAGATCCTAAGCATTGCAATAAGGCAATAAAAAGAAATACAATCTTCTCTATTTGCAGATGGCATAACATAATTGTTTAGGCAGAAAATCTCAGGGAAGCTATAAAACAACTACTAGAACTAACACCTGAATTTAGTGAGGTCACATACAGAAGGGTAATATACAAAAATTAATTAGATATTTATATACTGTATGAAACAATTGGAAAATAAAGTCTAAAAAACAAGTTGACTTACAAAAGGATTAAAATACATATAATCATAAGAATAAATTTAACAAAAATTACGTGAGATATCTATACTGAAAAGTATAATACATTTCTGAATGAAATTGAAGAAGACCTAAATAAATGGAAATATATAAGATGTTCATGAATTGAAAGACACAAAAATATTAACATATCAATTCTCCCCAAACTGATCTATAAATTTAACTTAATCTCAGTTATAATCCCACAAAGATTATTTGGTAGCAATATGTCAACTAATTCAAAAGTTATTTGGAAATGCAAATGACTTAGAATAGGCAAAGCAGTCCAGAAGATAAATTTGGAAGGCTTTCCTACCTAACCTCAAGTAATTAAGATTATGGTACTGCTACAAGGACTCTATAAGATTTATAAGGACTATAAGGGCAACAATGTATCAATGGAACAAAATAGAGAGCTCTAATACTTAATTTTAAATAAGAGCACCAAAGTAATCCAATGGGGAAAGGTAAGTCTTGTCAACAGATGGAACTGGGACAACTGGATATCCATATGGAAAAATAAACCTTTACCCATTTCACATCATACACAAAAATTGACCTGAAATATATATGTTTTAAAACCTAAGCATAGCTGGGTACAGTGGCTCATACCTGCAATCCCAGCTACTCAGAAGGCTGAAATGGGAAGATTGCTTGAACCCAGGCACTGGAGACTGCAGTGAGCTATAGTGGTGTCACTGCACTCCAGCCTGGGCAACAGAGCAAGATCCCATCTCTAAAACAAAAACAAAAAACCCTAAACATGAAAGTTAAAACTATAAAACTTGCAGAGGAAAACATGCAGAGCAACTGAAATTCTCATATATTGTTGGTAGTAGTGTTAAATATCAAATCAGTTTAGACTTATGGAGGCAGTAAAAAGATCAGAGAGGTGGGAAGGGGAATTTCCCAAGACCCTCAGGAGGAAAAGAGTATTCTTTCTCTCTCTTTTCTTTCTTTTTTTATTGAGACGGAGTCTTGCTCTGTCTTGCCCAGGCTGGAGTGCAGTGGTGCGATCTCGGTTCACTTCAGCAGCCTCGGCCTCCTAGGTTCAAGCGATTCCCCTGGCTCTGCCTCCAGAGTAGCTGGGACTACAGGCATGCATCACCACACGCGGCTAATTTTGTATTTTTAGTTGAGACAGGGGTTTCACCATGTTGGCCAGGCTGGTCTCAAACTCCTGACCTCATGTGATCCACCCGCCTGGGCCTCCGAAAGTGCTGGGATTACAGGCTTGAGCCACTGTGACTGGCAAATGCCTTTTATTCTTTCTCTTGCCTTATTGCTCTAGCTAGGACTTCCAGTACTGTGTTGAGTGGGAGTAGTGAAAATGGGCATCTTTGTCTTATTCCACTTCTTAAGGGGAATGCTTTTAACTTTTTCCCATTCAGTATGACATTGGCTATGGGTTTATCATATGTGGCTTTTACTATTTTGAGGTATATTTACTCTATGCCTACTTTGTTGAGGATTTTTATCGTGAAGTGATGCAGAATTTTATTGAATGCCTTTTCTGCATCTATTGAGATGATCATATGCTTTTTGTTTTTAATTCTATTTATGTGGTGAATCACATTTATTGATTTGCGTATGTTGAACCATCCTTGCATCCTGGAATAAAACCTGCTTGATCTTAGTTTATTATCTTTTTGATGTACTATTGAATTGAGGTCGCTAGTATTTTGCTGAGGATTTTTGCATCTGTGTTCATCAGGGATATTGGCTTGTGGTTTCCTTTTTTGTTATTGTGTTCTTGCCTAGCGTTGTTAGGGTGATACTGGCTTTGTAGAATGAGTTAGGGAAGACTCCCTCCTCCTTGATCTTTTGGAACAGTTTCAGTAGGGTTGGTACCAGTTCTTTGTACATCTGGTAGAATTTGTCTGTGAAAATGGCTGTCATGAGCTTTTTTTTGGTTGGGAAATGTTTTTATTACTGATTTATGATTCTAAAGTTTTTGCAAGAGGAAATGTATAAGAATAGCCAAGAAACTTTAAAAAGAGAACAATAATGAAGACTTTCACTACAAGATACCAAAGTACAACATTACAGTTATTAACACTCTATGGTATTGATGAGAGAAGATATGAATGGACCAATGAAACATATGGAATTTTAAAAATAAATATAAAAATTTAAGAAGAAAAAGTAGAAGAATATTTTTAAAATCTCTTGGCAGAAAAACTTCCGTGAAGAATATTTCATGGCAGGAAAGTCTCCATTAAAAAGACAAGCTTATGTGAAAAAGATGGACAGATATGACAATACATATAAAATTTCTGTATAATGAAATATCACATAAATAATATTAAGAGAAAACCAACAGAATGAGAGAAATATTTGTAATGTATATAACAGATAAAAGATCAATACTCGGACAGGCGCAGTGCTCACGCCTGTAACCCCAGCACTTTGGAAGGCAGAAGCGGGCGGATCACAAGGTCAGGAGATCAAGACCATCCTGGCTAACACTGTGAAACCCTGTCTCTACTAAAAATGCAAAAAGTTAGCCAGGCGTGGTGGTGGGCGCCTGTAGTCCCAGCTACTTGGGAGGCTGAGGCAGGAGAATGGCATGAACCCGGGAGGCGGAGCTTGCAGTGAGCTGAGATTGTGCCACTGCACTCCAGCCTGGGAGACAGAGCAAGACTCCATCTCAAAAAAAAAAAAAAGATCAATACTCAGTATACATGAAGAACTACTACAAATCTGTAGGAAACAACTCAACAAGAAATGCGCAAAAAAACTGAACAGTAAATTCAAAAAGAAGAAATACAAATAATTATGAATAAATGTAAAATTCGCCTAAACTTTAAATAATTATAGAAATTAGAAATTAATATAATATTCAATGACATTTTACCTCCAAATTAATAAACTATAAAATAGTAATATCCAGTGATGGAGATAATGTGAAAAAAACAAGTCCTTTTGTATATGGTTGGCAGATCTGTAAATTTATAAAGCATTTTTGGATGAAAATTTGGCAGTATCTATCCAAAATTTAAATGTACATACTCTTTGAGCAAACTTTTTTCAAGAATCTATTCTGCAGAATCATTGCACAAGGAGTCTGCACTTAAATTTTTATCAGTGGAGGAGTAGTTAAATAAATCGTAATATAAACTGATGAAATGCCAGATGTCAGTTTAAAAGACTAGGAGAGAACTATATATTGTGATATTGAAAAAATTCTCAAGGTAAACTGAAGGCGAAAAAATGAAGTTGAAAATCTATAAATATGATATAATCACATTTATGTAAAAATAAAAAATATACATTGTGACAGAAAGATGTAATTATTTAGCTAGTGTCATTTTCCTTTCTTCCTTAGTAATAGAAGTACAACATAACTAGCTAAATGACCACAGATCCCAGCCTCCCTTGTAGGTAGGGATAGTTGTATGACTAAGTTCTGTCCAATAATATATAAACAGAAGTTATTAGGACAGTCTTCTGGGAAGGCTCTTTAAAAGGAAAACTGACAGCCAAGGCACTCTCTCTTTGTCATTCCATTTTTCCTTCTCCCTCCTTTCTTTTTTTCCTTGAGATAGGGTCTCACTCTGTTGCCCAACCTGGAGGGCAGTGGTATAATCATGGCTCATTGCAGCCTTGAATTCCTGGGCTCAAGCAATCCTCCTGCTTCAGCCTCCCAAGTAGATAGGACTACAGGTGCACACCACCATGCCCAGCTAATTTTTTTTTGGTGGGGGTAGAAATGGGTTCTCTCTATGTTTGTCTTGAACTGGTCTTGAACTCCTGGGCTCAAGCAATCCTCTTGTCTCAGCCTTCCAAAGTGCTGGATTACAGGCAGGAGGCACCACACCTGGCCCTTCCTTCTGTCTTGAATAAGGACATGGTGGCTGGAACCCCCACAAACCTTCTGGACCATGGGGTCATAGAAGCCAAAGCCAAGAACAGAAGAGCAGAAAGTTCAGAGGAGTCCAGGTCCCTTACAACCATGAAGCTGCTGTGGTACCTACCTTCAGAATGCTTTTCCAGGAGAAGACAATACGCTTTTCTGCTTCTGTTTCTACTTCCATCAGTCTCTTTCAAGAGGCTAAACATAATTTCCAACTAATACATAAACATGTAAAACTTAAGTACCCAGAATATATACAACACAAAAGATTGCAGTGGTTACCTCTAAGAAGGAGTTGAAGTTGGAGGAGTATAAAGGGAACACTTCAATTTTACTGTCTGTATTTCTATCGTTGAAATATTTGACAACCAAGATGGGATCGTTTATTGTTGTATTAATAAACAAATTTGAAATCATTCTGTTAAAAAAAAGAAAAAAAGGAAAGAGACTGGAAGAATATGGCAGGTGGTAATAGTGGATGCCTCTGAATGACGGAATTTTCAGTTATTGGTGTTTTACTGTATTTTCCAAATAAAAAGATCACTTTAAAATAAAAACAAGATTAATTAAAAGTTATTTTCAAGGAAGAAAAGCAGAGGGAACAGAGGGAGGAGTAAGAAAAGGAGAAAGGGAAGACACGAAGCCTGGAGTTCTGAGAGAGACAGAAAAAAGATAAAGAGCAAAAGACTGTGGAAGTTGAACCTACAGGCGACAGCCCAGCTCTGTGCTCAGATGCTCCCTCAAGATCCTGCTGATCATTGTACCCAGATTCCCACAGGGCCCAAGTCTCTCCATTCTGACCAACATCCCAGCCTGCCTGTTATAATAGTTATAAACTAAGATAATGTCAGAGTGTCTGATTATATATGAAGGGAATATGATTCCAAGATGGGCAGGAGATCCCAGAGACCCATTTCAGCATGCTCTGTTCCTCCTTTCTATAGGGAAGCATCCCTGGTCTTTGACCCTTGAGAGTCTCTCAGCGAATGGAACTCAGAAGGCTGTGGGGGAGTCCTGAGCATAGATACCCAGAGGGAACAAGAAATGGTGTTGAGACTCATGAGATCAATGTCTTGTTGTGCCAGGCACAGAGGTCTATATTTGTGTTTGCAGTCTGAGCATCCTGCCAGGAGTCCAGATAGGAGATAGGTGAGATGGTGGTCAGGGGTTGGAGCATGCTCTGAATGTAGCCTCTTCTAAACTGGAGCTCCTCAGTATTCAAGGAAAACAGAGAAGATGCAGGAGGATGCTGGCATTCAGCATGGTCAGGACTGGAAAGACAAATGGAAAAGTAAAGCAGGAGGAAAAGAGATCAAATCAAAGAGCCTAAAGGTGCCTAGGTGCTTGCTCCTGGCCTGGGATGGAATTGATATTCCTAGGGTTGATCCCTTGATTAACATAAACAGAGGCATGCAAAGAGGTGTTGCAGTTCTGACTGGGAGAAAAGTCCATCTAGATTGAAATAAGACCACTCTTAGGACACAGACTGTCATAGATAATGGCAGACACCTGGGAGGATATCAAAGCCAAAATGGAAGTCCAAGGTCTCAGCTTGGTGGATTAGGGTTCAGGGAGCCAAAATATTGAACAGAAAAAGCAAGGCAGACGCTCAGTCATCTACTGGAAGATAATAGAGAAAACTGTCAATAAGTGAAGCACAAGTTCAAGCCTGCAGCAAGATATTTGCCAAATAACAAATATGAAGAATTAGTTAGGATTGTTGAAGGATAGGATTGAATTATTCAGCTAAGAATCATGATATTCTAAGGGTTAGACTAGCATTGGCAAATGCCTAGCAACCATTTCATGGCTCACTCATTTTCCACCTATGGAAATTAATTAATTAGTCGTTAATCAATCTTGGAATAATTTCCTGTTAAACATACACAAGATTTCATTTTTCTCCCCAAGAGAGCTCTTTGGGAAGCCACTAGCAGTCACTTATAGTTAACATAGGAAGATGAAATCATTTGATACCCTAGGGATATAGTACACAATTCTTCCCTGTGGATGTGACCTACAGGGTATTTATGAGCTCCCCAGGGTAAAAGGATTCTGTCATGAGGAGATCATCCCAGAGACAGCTTCCTCAGAACTCTCCTTGGTGCTGAAAATTGGTCTGCATTTCCCTACAGAGCCTGCCACTTCCCACCCTGCCACCGTTGTTGACATGGATCAAACTTCCCATAGTAGGTAGAGATACACCTTGTAAATAAAGAGAACCCAGACTTCTGAGGGATGAAAAGGATTTGGCAGTAAATAATTCTGAAAGGGATATGTTGGGAGTTGTTAGGAGGTAGGCTCTAACAAGGTCAGCACCCGGGTAACCGTGGGAGTCCATATCAGAGAAGCAATGGATGAGCACTAGAACATCCTTCAAATCATGAGTGAAGTTGAGAAGAAAATTCAAGGTTAACAACCTATAGTACCACTAGAAGACAGTGAAGATGGGGCAGGTCTCAGAGATAGGAAATCAGAACCAAATTCAGGCACTAGGAAAGGCAAGTGAGACAGAATCACATGGCGCCAAAGACTTAATGTTTGTGTCCCCCAAAATTCATACCTTGAAATTGTAATCCCCAATGTGATGGCATTAAGAGGTGGGGCCCGGCCGGGCACAGTGGCTCACACCTGTAATCCCAGCACTTTGGGAGGCCGAAGTGGGCAGATCATGAGGTCAGGAGATCGAGACCATCCTGGCTAACACGGTGAAACCCCGTCTCTACTAAAAATGCAAAAAATTAGCTGCGCGTGGTGGCGGGCGCCCGTAGTCCCAGCTGCTTGGGAGGCTGAGGCGGGAGAATGGCGTGAACCCAGGGGGTGGAGCTTGCAGTGAGCAGAGATGGTGCCGCTGCACTCCAGCCTGGGCGACAGAGCAAGACTCCGTCTCAAAGAAAAAAAAAAAAAAGAGGTGGGGTCCTTGGTAGATGATTAAGTCATAAGGATGGAGCCTCATGAATGGGATTAATGCTTCTATAAAAAGAAGACTCTAGAGAGCCCCCTCGCCCCTTCCACCATGTGAGGAAACAGCTAGAAGATGCCATCTATGGAACAGTAGGCATGTCCTCACTAGACACCAACTCTGCTGGTGCCTTGATCTTGGACTTCCTAGACCCCAGAACTGTGAGAAATAAATTTCTGTCATTCATAAGCCACCAAGTCTATGGTATTCTTTTATAGCAGCCCAAAGGGACTAAGACACATGGACATTGATGAAATTCTACTGGACAGATTTTTCTTGGTTCATGGATACTTATTTCTTCAAAGATACTTTTTAACGGGACATTTTGTCTTATTTTTAAAAATAATATATAGTTATTGTAGGAACATTGGGAAGAAAACAAAAGTAGAAATAAGGGGAAAGATATTGCCCACAATCCAGAGGCAATCACTGTTGTTATTTTGGCATATTTCATTCGTCTTTTTTCTTTGAATATTGACATACTTGAGATGATACTTTTACATCCCAGTTTTTCATTTAACATTATGTTATTAGCATCTTCTCATATTTAAAGATCTATATAAAAATCATTTGTGGCCAGGTGCAGTGATTTGCCCCTGTAATCCCAGCACATAGGGAGGTCAATATGGGAGGAACGTTTGAGCCCAGGAGTTTGAGACCAGCCTGGACAACATAAAAAGACCCCATCTTTAAACAAATATATATTTAAAAATTATTGGGGAGTGGTTGGTCATGCATGCTTGTAGTTCTAGTTAGTTGGAAGGCTGAGGCAGGAGGATGGCTTGAGACCAGGGATTCATGGTTATGGTGAGCTATGATGGTGCCATTGCATGCCAGCCTGAGCAAGAGTGAAATCTTGTCCCTAAAATAAATGAATAAATGGCCAGGCATGGTGGCTCATGCCTGTAATGCCAGCACTTTGGGAGGCTGAGACAGACGGATCACCTGAGGTCAGGAGTTCGATACCACCCTGGCCAATATGATGAAACCCCATCTCTACTAAAAATACAAGTTAGTCACGTGTGGTGGCATGTGCCTGTAATCCCAGCTACTCAGGAGGCTGAGGCAGGAGAATTGCTTGAACCCAGGAGGCAGAGGTTGCAGTGAGCTGAGATCATACCACTTCACTCCAGCCTGGGTGACAGAGCAAGACTCTGTCTCCAAATAAATAAAGTAAAATAAAATAAAATAAAATAAAAAATAAGAACCATTTGTACTGGTTGTATCACATAGCATCATGTATGGATGAACCATAACCTATTTTTTTTTTTTTGAGACGGAGTCTCACCCTGTCACCTAGGCTGGAGTGCAGTGGCACAATCTCTGCTCACTGCAACCTCTGCTTCCCAGGCTCAAGTGATTCTCGTGCCTTAGTCTCTTGAGTAGCTGGGATTACAGATGTGTGCCACCACGTCTGGCTAATTTTTTTTGGATTTTTTTTTTTTTTGGCAGAGACAGGTTTTGCCATGTTGGCCAGGCTGGACCATAATCTATTAATTGTTCTTTTATTATTGTATGTATTTTAAGGTTGCTTCTATTCCTGATTTTTTTATGAAAATCACATCAATGGTATGTAATTGAATATACTTGTGCCAATATTTCTATTTTCTTAAACTCCAAGAAATAGAATCATGAACTACAGGATCTAAACTTTTAAAGCTCCTGATATATCATGTTCGATTGTGTTTGAGAGATAGTGTACCCATTTACCCTCTCTCCAATGTAGCAGACAGCCTGGATTATCATGTCCATACCAACGACATCAGTTAGGATACAGGCTAAACTGCCATAGCAAAAAGATCAGAAAACACAGTTACTCAAGCAAGCTGGACATTTCTTTCTTTTTCACATAAGAATCTAAAGCTAAGAAGCCCCAAGCTGAGGAGGCATTTCTCACTGAAAACATTCTGGGACTGTAGTTCCTTCATCTTCATCTGCCATCCCCTGGGGGACTGTCTCCAACTCTGTGATCAAAGGCCCTCCAGGTCCTCATTTGATTTTATTCTGCAAGAAAGGAGAGGGAAAGGCGGTAGAGAGAAGATGATTTTGTTTGGGGCAAGTGAACTGGATATTAGCCTCTCCAGATCCATGCTCTGTTCTGCTCTGTGCCTTGGAGCTGACCTCTATAGATTTCCTTGTCCTTTGGCTTCCAGTTTAGTTCAGCCAATGGAAGACATCAGTAAGAGATCAGAGGATGGAGTCAAGAGATCAGGGCACCAAGTGCTCTGGCTCACTCCTTGCTGGGAGTTGCCTGTGTCCCTTTACTGAAAGCCATAGCTCCTGGCCAGACACAGTGGCTCACGCCTGTAATCCTAACACTTTGGGAGACCGAGGTGGGTGAATCACCTGAGGTCAGGAGTTCGAGACCAGCCTGGACAACATGGCGAAACCCTGTCTTTACTAAAAACACAAAAATTAGCCAGTTGTGGTGGCAGGCACCTGTAGTCTCAGCTACTCAGGAGGCTGAGGTAAGAGAATCTCTTGAACCCGGTGGGTGGAGGTTGCAGTGAGCCAAGATCGCACCACTTCACTCCAGCCTGGGTGAAAAAGCGAAACTGTCTCAAAAAAAAAAAAAAAAAAAGAAAAGAAAAGAAAAGAAAAAGCCACAGCTCCTGTCGGATGGTCTGCTCCATGTCATCCTCTCTGAGCTTCTATTTGCTCCTTTCTCCAGTCTCTAAGGCCTGGAGAAGGTAAGAGCTCCCCGTTGATGCTCACCCGGGGGTACTGCATCACCTCCTGTTACTTTTCCTAAACCCTCTGCCTGCAGTGACTTCTGACACCAGCGGCTCATAGTCTGGCCAAATTTCGCAAGGGAAAGAGCACAGTCCTCTAGAAGACTCAGACATCAGCTGCAAGTTTGGGGTTTCCTAGACTACCCCCACTTCTAACCAGCTGACTACAAATCCAGGGATCCTCACTACTCCCTCAGGTTCAAACATTCTAGAATAATGTAACTGTGCAAGGGGTTCACCTTCCCCCTGCCTAGACAGAGCTGATTTCTCAAGACATGGGAATTGTAATAGAGAAAGAATAATTCACACAGAGCCGGCTGTGTAGGAAACTGGAGTTTTCTTATTACTCAAATCAGTCTCCCCGGGCATTTGGGGAGCAGAGTTTTTAAGGACAACTTGGTGGGTGGGGGGAAGCCAGTGAGCCAGGAGTGCTGATTGGTCAGGGAGGAAATTACAGAAAGTCAAAGCTGCCTTATTGTGCTGAGTCAGTTCCTGGGTAGGGATCATAAGATCAGATGAGCCAGTTTATTGTTCTGGGTGATGCCAGCTGATCCATCAAGTGCAGGGTCTGAAAAATATCTCAGCACTGACCTTAGGAGCAGTCTAGGGAGGGTGAGAATCTTGTAACCTCCAGCTGCGTGACTCCTAAACCATAATTTCTAATGTTGTGGCTAATGTTAGTCCTACAAAGGCAATCTAGTCCCCAAGCAAGAAGGTCTGCTTTGGGAAAGGGCTGTTAATGTCTTCGTTTTAAACTATAAACTATAAACTGGGTTTCTCTCAAAGATAGTTCAGCCTACACCCAGGAATGAACAAGGACAGTTTGGAGGTTAGAAGCAAGATGGGGTGCCAGGTGCAGTGGCTCACGCCTGTAATCCCAGCACTTTGGGAGGCCAAGGCAGGTGGATCACCTGAGGTCAGGAGTTCAAGATCAGCCTGGACAACATGGTGAAACCCCGTCTGTACTAAAAATACAAAAAATTAGCCAGGCATGGTGGTGCGCGCCTGTAGTCCCAGCTACTCGGGATGCTGAGGCAGGAGAATCTCTTGAACCTGGGAGGCGGAGGTTGCAGTGAGCCGAGATCGCGCCATTGCACTCCAGCCTGGTGCCAAAGAGATTCTGTCTCAAAAAAAGAAAAAAAGAAAAAAGAAAAAAGAAAAAAAAGAAAAAGAAAAAGAAAGAAACAAGATGGAGTTGGTTAAATTAGGTCTCTTTCACTGTCTCAGTCATAATTTTGCAAAGGCAGTTTCAATAACTCATAGAATTCAGGATAGCATGATACATATGATTAGCAAGAAGATACAAACCAGAATCAGCCAAAGAAAAAGATGCATAGGGCAAGGTCTGGAAGGGTCCCAAACATCAAGCTTCCATCATCCTCGGGGAGCCGTTACCCTCCCAGCACATCAATATGCATAGTATGGACAACCAGGGAAGCTCACTTAAATGACAGTGTCCAGACTTTCTATTGGGGCTTTATTTCATAGGCTGATTAAATCATGGCCATGAGGTTGAACTCAACCTTTACTCCCCTAGCTGTCCCCAGAGGTAGGGCTGATATCAGGTGACTCAAAGCCCCAGCCGTCTTATCAAACGGTTGGACTTTCTGGCATTGTCAGTCTCCACCCTGACCCTACCTTGTCTTCTGATTAGCATAAACTTCCTAGGAAGCATTAGTCACCTAAACCATCACGTGTGGCCCATGGGAGCCATCATGAATATCAAAGATACTTTTTTTACTCAGGAAGTTCCAGGGATTTGAAGATTACCTCCCAGGAACCAGGAGCCGAGGCCAGCAAATTCTTTTTGTTTGTTTTGAGAAAGGATCGAGTGAGGTGACTCATGCCTGTAATCCCAGCACTTTGGGAGGCTGAGGCAGGCAGATCACTTGAAGCCAGGAGTTCGAGACCAGCCTGGCCAACATGGTGAAGCCCATCTCTACTAAAAATACAAAAATTTGGCCGGGTGCAGTGGCTCACGCCTGTGATCCCAGCACTTTGGGAGGCCGAGGTGGGCGGATCACAAGGCCAGGAGATCAAGACCATCCTGGCTAACACAGTGAAACGCCGTCTCTACTAAAAATACAAAAAATTAGCCAGGCGTGGTGGCAGGCGCCTGTGGTCCCAGCTACTCGGGAGGCTGAGGCAGGAGAATGGCGTGATCCTGGGAGGCGGAGCTTGCAGTGAGCCGAGATTGCGCCACTGCACTCCAGCCTGGGCGACAGAGCCAGATTCCGTCTCAAAAAAAAAAAAAAAAAAAAAAGAAAGAAAAAAATATATACAAAAATTTGCCCGGCATGGTGGCACATGCCTGTAATCCCAGCTACTCAGGAGGCTGAGGCAGGAGAATCGCTTCAACCCAGGAGGCAGAGGCTGCAGTGAGCCGAGATCGAGCCACTGCACTCCAGCCTGGGTGACAGAGTGAGACTCAGTCTCAAAAAAAAAAAAAAAAAAAAGAAGAGAGAGAGAGGGAGAAAGGTTCTTGCTTTGTCACTCAGGCTGGAGTACAGTGGTGCAATCATGACTCACTGCAGCCTTGACCTCCTGGGCCAACAAATTATTTATTATATACTGTCCACACTGTCTCATGCGTCCGTGTGAAGAGACCACCGAACGGGCTTTGTGTGAGCAACAAGGCTGTTTATTTCACCTGGGTACAGGCGGTCTGAGTCCAAAAAAAGGAGTCAGCAAAGGTGGTGGGATTATCATTAGTTCTTACAGGTTTTGGGATAGGCGGTGGAGTTAGGAGCAATGTTTTGCGGGCAGGGGTTGGATCTCACAAAGTACATTCTCAAGGGTGGGGAGAATTACAAAGAACCTTCTTAAGGGTGGGGGAGATTACAAAGTACATTGATCAGTTAGGGTGGGGCAGAAACAAATCACAATGGTGGAATGTCATCAGTTAAGGCTATTTTCACTTGTTTTGTGGATCTTCAGTTGCTTCAGGCCGTCTGGATGTCTACATGCAGTTCACAGGGGATATGATGGCTTAGCTTGGGCTCAGAGGCCTGACACACACCTTTGTAAATTTTCCTTTTTTTTTAACTCTCCTCAAATTACTCAGTTTGAGGGTACCATCCCTTTCCTGCTGGGACCCCAACTAGCACAAATGAAACTAAAATGAAACACATCAATGTCTCACGTGTCCGTGTGAAGAGACCACCAAACAGGCTTTGTGTGAGCAACAAGGCTATTTATTTCACCTGGGTGCAGGCGGGCTGAGTCCGAAAAGAGAGTCAGCAAAGTGTGGTGGGATTATCATTAGTTCTTACAGGTTTTGGGATAGGCGGTGGAGTTAGGAGCAATGTTTTGTGGGCAGGGGGTGGATCTCACAAAGTACATTCTCAAGGGTGGGGAGAATCACAAAGAACCTTCTAAAGGGTGGGGGAGATTACAAAGTACATTGATCAGTTAGGTTGGGGCAGAAAGAAATCACAATGGCAGAATGTCATCAGTTAAGGCTGTTTTCACTTGTTTTGTGGATCTTCAGTTGCTTCAGGCCATCTGGATGTCTACGTGCAGGTCACAGGGGATATGATGGCTTAGCTTGGGCTCAGAGGCCTGACAATCACTCCCAGCACATTCCATTGATGAGAGCTTAGTCATATGACCATATCTGCTACAGAGTAGTTTAGGAAATACAGTCTGTATCTGAGCATTCTTATGCCACCAAAATTCTGTTACTACGGAAGATAGAATGTATTTTGAGGGAATAAACAGCAGTGTGAACTGGGTGCTGTGGCACATGCCTGTAGTCCCAGCTACTCAGGAGACTGAGGTGGGAGGACTACTTGAGCCCAGAGTCTAACCTGGGCAATATAGCTAGATCCCATCTCTTAAAACAATAATGATGTTAATAGTAATAGCAATCTGTCACATTGTGCTAGGCACTAACATTTTAAAATCATTGCCAGTTTGATAGGCAAAAGACAGTATTTTGACATATCAATTTGCCTTTTTTTTTTTTTTTTGAGACGGAGTCTCACTCTGTCACCCAGGCTGGAGTGCAGTGGCACCATCTTGGCTCACTGCAACCTCCACCTCCCGGGTTCAAGCAATTCTCCGGCCTCAGCCTCCCGAGTAGCTAGGATTACAGGCAGCTGCCACCACGCCCAGCTAATTCCTGTATTTTTAATAGAGTCAGGGTTTCACCATGTTGGCCAAGTTGGTCTCAAACTCCTGACCTCAGAAGATCCACCTTCCTCAGCCTCCCAAAGTGGTGGGATTACAGGCATGAGCCACCGTACCCGGCCTACTTTGCCTTTTTTGCCTACTAGAAATAATTAAACATCCTTTTGTTACTGGAAAGGGGTTCTAATCTAGACCCCAAGAGAAGGTTTTTGAAACTTGCACAAGAAAGAATTTGGGGTCCATAAAGTGAAAGCAAGTTTATTAAGAAAGTAAAGGAAAGGCCGGATGTGGTGGCTCACACCCATAATCCCAGCACTTTGGGAGGCCGAGATGGGCGGATCACCTGGGGTCAGAAGTTCGAGACCAGCCTTGCCAACATGGCGAAACCCCGTCTCTACTAAAAGTGCAAAAATTAGCTGGGCATGGTGGCAAGTGCCTGTAATCCCAGCTACTCTGGAGGCTGAGGCTGGAAAATCGCTTGAATCCAGGAGGTAGAGGTTGCAGTGAGCCGAAATGGTGCCATTGCACTCCAGCCTGGGCGACAAGAGCAAAACTCCGTCTCAAAAAAAAAAAAGGGCCGGACACCGCGTGGCTCACACCTGTAATTCCAGCACTTTGGGAGGCCAAGGCGGGTAGATCACCTGAGGTATGGAGTTCGAGACCAGCCTGGCCAACATGGGGAAACCTCATCTCTACTAAAAATACAAATATCAGCTGGGTGTGGTCACGGGAGCCTGTAATCCCGGCTACTTGGGAGGCTGAGTAACGAGAATCGCTTGAACCCGGGAGGCAGACGTTGTAGTGAGCCGAGAACGCACCATTGCACTCCTGCCTGGGCGACAAGAGTGAGATTCCATCTCAAAAAAAAAAAAAAAAAGAAAGAAAAGAAAGTAAAGGAATAAAAGGATGGCTATTCCATTGGCAGAGCAGCAGCATGGGCTGCTCAACTGTGTATACTTATAGTTATTTCTTGATTATATGCTAAATAAGGGGTGGATTATTCATGAGTTTTCCAGGAAAGGGGCAGGCAATTCACGGAACTGAGTGTTCCTCCCCCTTTTAGACCATATAGGGTAACTTCCTGATGTCGCCTTGGCATCTGTAAACTGTCATGGCATTGGTGGGAATCTCTCTTAGTTTGCTAATGCATTATAATTAGTGTATAATGAGCGGTGAGGACAACCAGAGGTCATTTTCGTTGCCATCTTTGTTTTAGTGGGTTTTGGCCGGCTTCTTTACCACAACCTGTTTTATCAGCAAGCGCTTTATGACCTTGTGCCAGCTAACTAACCTCCTGGGAATGCAGTCCAGGAGGTCTCAACCTTATTTTACCCAGCCCCTATTCAAGATGGAGTCACTCTGGTTTGAATGCCTTTGACATTTTCATTTTTTTCTCTTGGTCATTTGTCTTTATTTTACTGTGATTTTTTTTTTTTCAGGTTTTTGGTTCACTTTTCCATTAGCTTTCTAAAATGTTTTATTGATCCAATGATCTCTTCTAGGTTTAAAGATAACAAGTGTTTTCTGTCAAAGCAACATTAAAAAAAGAAAAAAAAAAGGCCAGGCGCGGTGGTTCACGCCTGTAATCCCAGCACTTTGGGAGGCCGAGGCGGGCGGATGACCTGAGGCCAGGAGTTCAAGACCAGCTTGGCCAACATGACGAAACCTCGTCTCTACTAAAAATACAAAAAATTAGCCGGGTGTGGTGGTGGACGCCTGTAATCTCAGCTACTTGGGAAGCTGAGGCAGGAGAATTGCTTGAACCTGGGAGGCAGAGGCTGCAGTGAGCCGAGATTGCGCCATTACACTCTATCCTGGGCAGCAAGAGAAAAACTCCATCTCAAAAAAAATAAAATAAAATAAATAGAAAAAAAAAAGGCTCATGCCTGTAATCCCAGCACTTTGGGAGGCTGAGGTGGGTGGATCACTTGAGGCCAGGAGTTTGAGACCAGTCTGGGCAACAGAGTGAAAACACATCCCTACAAAAAACACGTAAATTAGCTGGGCATGGTGGCACACACCTGTAAGTCCCAGCTACTTGGGAGGCTGAGGCCGGAGAATGGCGTGGACCCGGGAGGTGGAGCTTGCAGTGAGCCGAGATCCCGCCACTGCACTCCAGCCTGGGCGACAGAGCGAGACTCCGTCTCAAAAACAAAACAAAACAAAACAAAACACATGGCTGAGTGCGGTGGCTCACGCCTGTAATCCCGGCACTTTGGGAGGCCAAGGCAGACAGATCACTTGAGGTCAGGAGTTCGAGACCAGCCTGGCAAACATGGTGAAACCTGGTCTCTACTAAAAATACAAAAAGCAGTTGGGTTTGGTGGCAGGCACCTCTAATCCGAGCTATTCAGGAGACTGAGGCAGGAGAATTGCTTGAACCCAGGAGGTGGAGGTTTTGTTTTGTTTTGTTTTTTGAGATAGTGTCTCCCTCTATCGCCCAGGCTGGAGTGCAATGGTGCGATCTCAGCTCACTGCAACCTCCGCCTCCTGGGTTCAAGCGATTCTACTGCCTCAGCCTCCTGAGTAGCTGGGATTGCAGGCACGCATCACAACGCCGGGCTAATTTTGGTATTTTTAGTAGAGACACGGCTTCACCATGTTGGTCAGGTTGGTCTCAAACTCCTGACCTCGTGATCCTCCAGCCTTGGCCTCCCTAAGTGCTAGGATTACAGGCGTGAGCCACCGTGCCCAGCCTAACCCGAGGGCAGAGGTTGCAGTGAGCCAAGATTGTATCACTGCACTCCAGCCTGGGCGACAAGAGTGAGACTCCATCTCAAAAACAGAAAAACACAAACAACAAAAACAAACAAACAAACAAACTAGTTCAAAAATGAAACACAAAAACTAAAAAAAAAAAAAAGCACTTAAAAAGACCAACTTCCCTGAGCCTCATGTTGTCAGGCCACTCTCCTCTGCCCACTTACTACAGGTGGACTCACAGGTGATGTTCCTCGGTCTCTTTCCTCTAGTTCTAGGTCTCCCCCAGGCAACTTTATGTGCCATCATCTGGGAGCAGTTAAAGTAAGTATACTTCTATGGTCCCTGACAAATGACAAGTCCCCTTTCTCAGGTTCAAATCCTGTGTTCAGGGGGCAGGAGATGGGCACCTCACTGGCAGCCTATTTTCCAAGAACAGATTCTCCTGACCCTAGATGTCTGGTGAGTTTCGGCCCTTTCTGTTGCAATTTGTCAGCTGCCCACTTCTGGAGGATTCTGGTTAGCTTAGTCAGTAGGCTGTGACTTCACTAGATACCACCCTTCATGTCTTAGTTTGAGCTTTCTCCAAAACAGAGCCTGAGACAAGGACTTGGGGACTGGGAGTTTAGTAACACCAGGAAACTGGAGCAAGGGAGAAGGAGGAATGAGCCAGGGGAGGAGCAGTGCCAGGAAAGGGTGTGTTATTGGACTGGGCAAATGAGGGTTGACCTTAGCTGGGGACTCCCCAAGGAACTTTATTTCATTTTTTTGTCTTTTTTTTTTTTCCTTTTTGTGGAGAATGGGGTCTCACTATATTGCCCAGGCAGGTCTCGAACTCCTGGGCTCAAGCCATCCTCCTACTTCTGCCTCCCTACGAGCTGGGATTACAGGCATGGGCCACCGCACCCAGCCCAAGGAACTTTATAGAATGCACTGAGAACTGTGTCTTGCTAGGATCAGAAAACAAGAGCCCAAAATGAAGGCCTCAGAAGCAAAAGTTTTTCTTTTTTTCTTTTTCTTTTTCTCTTTTTTTTTTTTTTTGAGACAGAGTCTTACTTTATCTCCCAGGCTGGTGTGCAGTGGCGCCATCTTGGCGACTCACTACAACCTCCACCTCCTGGGTTCAAGCAATTCTCGTGCCTCAGCCTCCTGAGTTGCTGGGATTACAGATGTCACCACTACGCCTGGTTATTTTTTGTATTTTTAGTAGAGACGGGGTTTCACCATGTTGGCCAGGCTGGTCTTGAGCTCCTGACCTGAGGTGATCCGCCTGCCTTGGCCTCCCAAAGTGCTGGGATTACAGGCCTAAGCCACCGAGGCAAAATTTTTTTCGCTGGCTTTCTCCTGCCCTTCTGTCTCTAAGTCCCATTGTCCCCCAAGGCTAGCCATAGAAACTAGAATCCTTCTTCCCTAAGGTGGTTCCTAGAAACCAGAACCCCTTTTCCCCGAAGCCAACCATAAAACCTTAAAAATATTACTCCAACTTTCCCTCTGCTTTCTATGTAAAAACTGGCCATAAAGAAATTATCTGACTTACTTTGTTTGGCTTGTAGGTCATAAGATCCCCATTCCAGAGGAGGTCCTGTCCCATACTCAGAAGGAAGGAGCGCTGTTCAGAAAGGGCAAGAAGAATCTAGACAGACAGGCCCTGCTGGCTTTCCCCACTCCATCTGTTAGCATTAGATCATTCCCTTTTTGTCCACTCGTATTTCCACATGACTGTCCATACTTGGTTGAATTTAAACTTAAAAATGGACAATTTCCCCTGTAGACTTGGGTCTTCATTCTGAAGCCTCCATGTACCTGTGAATAATATTTGTGTGCCTTTTCTCCAATTAATCTGACTTTCTGAATTGATTTTTCAGTGAACCTTCAAGGCGGGAAGGGGAAATCTTCCCTTGGTCTCCACGGTCTCTAAAGGACGGCTGACAGAGAGAGACATTTGTCCACTGGTTCCCCAACAACCTCCCAACACCTTTGTTGGCTGAAAGTTGACCCCAAGACAGTCAACTCTCCGGACTTTCCAGCTGCCTTGGAAAAACCCTAAATGTCCGCCCCAGCTGCAGTCGAAATTAGAGGTGGGTTAAGCAGATCTGGTGTGTGCCAGAAATAGCATTGGTTGCATTGTGTTTTTTTAAATATGTAAATACCTCAACCACATACTAACAAAAACATACATGTTGTATTTTGGGTAGATTCATGCCCAAAGCAGTCTGGGACCTCAGAAATACGGTGTGTGGGGAAGGAAGGACTAGAAGCTGGCCCACACGGGAAGAAGTCTCCAGGGGGCAAGAGTGTGTCAGACTCAGATGGGGGTGGGACACAGAGTGTGAGGAAATGGAGTGACTTGGCAGGCAGCGGCCCTGGCTGCGAGGCAGCTGAGGATGCTGACCTAGCTTTAAAGTGCTGGGCAGGCTGACCTGAAGGGGAGACAGCGGTGTTCCCAACCCAGGGGGATCAGGGAAGGGGAGGGCGATGGGCCCCATGAGAACAAGGCGTCCACAAACATACAAAAAATATACACAAGGATGTTCATCTTAGTGGTAACTATTCTAGCGATTCAGAACTGTAAGCTGGGCAATTGTAAGGCACTGGTTACAAATCACGGTGTGACCATTAAAAAGAGTCATTTGCAGGAATTACAGAGGGCATATGGAACTGCACTGGGTGAAATCCAGGCTGTGGGAAATTCTACCGTCAAGTGGCATTGACCAGTGATCCCCTACAGGCTGCCTTTTTTTTTTTTTTGAGACTGTTTCTCACTCTGTTGCCCAGGTTGGAGTGCAATGGCGTGATCTCAGCTCACTGCAACTTCTGCCTCCCGGGTTCAAGCAATTCTCCTGCCTCAGTCTCTTGAGTAGCTGGAATTACAGGCTCCCGCCATCACGCCTGGCTAATTTTTGTATTTTTAGTAGAGATGGGGTTTTACCATTTTGACCAGGCTGGTCTTGAACTCCTGACCTCAGGTGATCCACCCGCCTCGGCCTCCCAAAGTGTTGGGATTACAGGAGTGAGCCACCATGCCTGGCTACAGGCTGCTTTTAAGGAAAAGAACAAGATGGAGGGAGAAACTGTAGACTAAAACAATATAAAAGACACCCCAATTTTTAAAAATGGCCAGAACTAAACTATAGTGTCTAAGTATGTCCACTTGATTGATAAAGCTACAAAGAAATGCCAGGAAGCAATTGCCACAGATGTCAGGATAGTGGGTTATTTTTTGCGGAGTGAGTGGGGAGCCTTGGTGACTAGGCAGGAAACAGGGAAGTCTTCAGGAGGCTGTGGAAGTTCTCAATCTTGAACCAGGTAGTGGTTACAAGGGTGTTTGTTTATTACAGTTCATAAAGCTATACATTTATTTTAGGAGATGAAATAAAAATAGGGAAAGATGTTATAGAAGCATGTTAAATAACATGAAAAATGCTTGCCCATGTCATTATGGGAAA
Organism: Homo sapiens; assembly: GCF_000001405.40. Classification (NCBI taxonomy): domain Eukaryota; kingdom Metazoa; phylum Chordata; class Mammalia; order Primates; family Hominidae; genus Homo; species Homo sapiens. The sequence goes on along the minus strand of NC_000009.12, from coordinate 124,136,318 downwards.
AGGCAGATTGAAAATCATTAAGTATACTATGATGCCACTTTGTGGGTGGATGGATGGATGGATGGATGGATGGATGGATGAACAGACAGACAGGTAGGTAGGTAGATGGATGGATGGATGGATGGATGGATGGATAGTCAGGAAGGTAGGTAGATAAATGGATAGATGAATGGATGAATGGATGAATGGACGGATAGATGGATGGATGGGTAGATGGATGGACAGATAGCCAGGTAGGTAGGTAGGTAGATGGATGGATGAATGGATGATCAAAAGGATGGATGGATAGATGATAAATAGATATAGAGATAGATAGATAGATACAGACAGACAGATAGAAATAGAGAAAGATGATAGATAGATAGATAGATAGATAGATAGATAGATAGATAGATAGATAGATAGATGTAAAAAATAATTATGGAGGAAAATACACCAAGGTGTTACTAGTAATGTTTGGAAGTAGGCTTTTTCTGACTTTTGTTTTCTTTTACCATTCTGTGCCATGTGAATCTTGCACAGTGAATATTTTTGTTTCTCATGAATCACTTAAATAAATGTTACTTTTATTTATTTTAATCTTTAAAAAATGGCATTTGGGGCTGGGCACGGCAGCTCACACCTGTAATCCCAGCACTTTGGGAGGCCAAGGGGGTGGATCACCTGAGGCTAGGAATTTGAGACCAGCCTGGCCAACATGGTGAAACCCATCTCTACGAAAAATACAAAATTAGCCAGGCATTGTGGCACATGCCTGCAATCCGAGCTACTCTATCTGTCCATCTGTCCTGGAGGCTGAGGCAGGAGGATTGCAAGCTCCGTCAAGAGGTTGCAGTGAGCCAAGATCGCCCCACTGTGCTCCAGCCTGGGCGACAGAGTGAGACTCAGTGTCAAAGAAAAAAGAAAAGAAAGAAAGAAAGGAAGGAAGGAAGGAAGGAAAGAAGGAAGGAAGGAAGGAAGGAAAAAAGAAAAGAAAGAAAAAGACACTTGGAGCACTCGGAAGAAAGCAGCAGGTGCACGGCCTTCTTCACTCTTATAGCCATTCTTCCCTAACACACTGAAAAGGCTTTCACACCCCCTAATAATCCCAGAATTATGAACTAAGAGTAGACCCCTCATTTTTAAAAGGTCTGGCTTTTTTGGTAGTGGTATTAATATTGATTCAGGAGAGAACATTGAAATAAATCACGCATGGAAAATACCATGGTACTCTAAGCGTTCCCCTCCCTGGCAGGGTCCAAGGCGAATTCAGCACGGGTTGATGCCAGAATCCAGCAGGCGCCTGGGAATATCCCTGAGGCTGGATCGAGAACCTGGCTGGGTGTGGTGAGACTGCGTCCACCCTTTGACTCTGCCAGGCACACAGGACTCCTTGGGGACTCTGGTCAGAGGAGGCCTTTGCTGGTCAGAGTAGGGGAGGAAGTGGGTGGGTTTCTTCCCTGGCTGAGAAGAGATAGAGATGGGGTGGGGGGGGGAGGGGGGGCGTTGCCTCAGGAGCCACAGCCTTATCACCCCCAGGGCAGCCCACCTGCCTGCCCTGCACCTACCTGCTCATCCTCTGAGGCCCCCGGGCTGAGTGAACAGCATTGCCAGCCCAGGACCCCAGGCCAGAGTTGGGACACATCCTTGACTTGTCCCTCCCCTCTCTTTCTCAGCATCCCATCCATGCCACTCCCATCTCTCAGGGTCTCCCATTTGTCTCCATCCCAAGCTGCTTGTTGTTGTTGTTGTTTGTTTGTTTTTGAGACAGGGTCTCGCTCTGTCACCCAGGCTGGAGTGCAGTGCAGTGATCTCGGCTCATTGAATCCTCTGCCTCCTGGGCTCAAGTGATCCTCCTGTCTTAGCCTCCTGAGTAGCTGGGACCACAGCATGAGCCACCATATCTGGCTAAATTTTTTTTTTTTTTTTGACGGAGTCTCACGTTGTCACCCAGGCTAGAATGCAGTGGCGTGATCTCGGCTCACTGCAAGCTCCGCCTCCCGGGTTCACACCATTCTCCTGCCTCAGCTTCCTGAGTAGCTGGGACTACAGGCACCTGCCACCACGCCCGGCTAATTTTTTGTATTTTTAGTAGACACGGGGTTTCACCATGTTGGCCAGGATGGGCTCAATCTCCTGGACTCGTGATCTGCCCACCTCGGCCTCCCAAAGTGCTAGGATTATAAGCGTGAGCCACCTCACCCGGCCTTTGATTTTTTTTTTTTTTTTTTTTTTGTAGAGATGGGGTCCCACTGTGTTGCCCAGGCTGGTCTCGAACTCCTGGCCTCAGGCAATCCTCCAGCCTCAGCCTCCCAAAGTGCTGAGATTACAGGCATGAACCACTGCACCCAGCCTCCAAGCTACTTTTCCTGTCTAGCTTTCAGCCCTCCGGCCGATGCTGACTGCTGTGGCTGCTCCACAATGGACAATGCATGCCCCCTAGGGATCCTGACAGAATGCATGCTCACCGCCTCCAGGCACAGTGCTGAGCACTTTGCCCATATCAACGCCTTTCATTCTCACAACCACATGAGGTGGATGCTATTAGGACCCCATTTTCCAGAGGAAGACCTTAAGGACCAGGGCTCACCTGTCAATTGCCGGATGTCACAGTGACATTAGTGATGAAGACAGGACTCAAACACAGGCAGCCTGGATCCAGAGCCCAAAGGCTCCACCCCAGGCTTGGAGACAGAAAATGAGAGATCTGGAATCAGACAGATCTCTCACAGCAGCCGTCTGCGAGCTGCATGGCCTTAGGAAATTCACCCCATCTCTCGCTCTCTTCTTTTTTTTTGAGACTGAGTCTCACTCTGTCCCCTAGGCTGGAGTGCAGTGGTGTGATCTCGGCTCACTGCAACCTCTGTCACTCTGGTCCCAGCGATTCTCGTGCCTCAGCCTTTCCAGTAGCTGGGATTACAGTTGTGTGCCTCCATGCCTGGCTAATTTTTGTATTTTTAGTGGAGATGGGGTTTTACCATGTTGGCCAGGCTGGGCTCGAACTCCTAACCTCAAGTGATCCACCTACCTTGGCCTCCCAAAGTGCTGGGATTACAGGCGCGCACCACCATGCTTGGCCTCACTCCATCTCTTGAGTCTCAGTTTCTTCATCTGCATGGTGTGGGTGCTGATCTTGTCTCGGCCTGTGGAGAAGGGAAGAGGAAACTATGCACATAAAGGGCTTCCATCCTGCTTGGCACAGCATGGTACTCAGTGAATGTGAGCTACTATCTCATCGCTGACTGACCCTTCCGCCTCCATCTCCACTCCCATGTACCACCCAGCAGGCTGAGTCATCTTCCTAAAATCCCTTAATTATTCCCTGATAAAAACCTTCCACATCTCTCCAAGGCGCCTCATTGCTTTCAAGATAAAATGCTCTCTCTTGACCCCGGGATTCCGAGCCTTCCTGACATGACCAGCTCATTCCCCACCCTCTCCTTTCATGCCTTACCCCCTCCCCTCCTGCTCCTGGTCCTCACTTGCCTTTCTCTGATGAGCCAGGCCCCTCAACACCCTTGTCTCTGCACATGCTGTTCCCATGCCCCGGGAAGAAATCCTCTACCATGCCCAGTAGGCTATCTCCAGCTCATACCTCCTCAAGTTCAAGGTCACCACCTTTGTGGCTTCTCTTCTCTCCCCGCAGGCGGATCAGCCAACGCGCTCCCCTCCACTCCTGCCTTGTAATGTCTTTACTATTCTTCTTGCCATGTCAGCTGGAGTTGGGGTTTCTATGTCCCCTATTAGAATATAAGCTTCTTGGCCAGGCGTGGTGGCTCACACCTGTAATCCCAGCACTTTGCAGGGCCGAGGCAGGTGGATCACTTGAGGCCAGGAGTTCGAGACCAGCCTGGCCAACATGGTGAAACCCATCTCTACTAAAAATACAAAAATTAGGCCAGGCACGGTGGTGCATGCTTGTAATCCCAGCTACTTGGGAGGCTGAGGTAGGAGAATTGCTTGAACCCGGGAGGTGGAGGTTGCAATGAGCTGAGATCACACCACTGCACTCCAGCCTGGGCAACAGAACAAGACTCTGTCTCAAAAAAAAAAAAAAAAAAAAAAAAGAGAATATAAGCTCTTTGAGGATGAGACCATATGGAAATGAGGCTGGAAGTCCCAAGTAGCTCTAATCCCAGAGTCCCTAGATGCTCTCTAGCATTTCTGTTTGCCTGGAATGCCTGGGGACAGAAAAGCACATGCTCAGGGAGGAAGCTGTGATACCGAGGTTGGGAATGTCCTTCATTGGAAGACACCTCTGAGCAGCATCCATCTAGCTCACAAGGCCCCTTACTCTCAAAACTGCTTTCCCACCCAGATGCAAACTATCTCCCCTGGACACAGCTGATGAGACTATAGCTGGTAGCCCCAAATGACCTGGTCTCAGCATAGAATCACAAAAACACAAAACCCAGCCATTACACAGTAATTTTAAAAGAGTCTCAGGGCAGGTGTGGTGGCTTATGCCCGTAATCTCAGCACTTTGGTAGGCCAAGGCGGGTGGATCACTTGAGGTCAGGGATTTGAGACCAGCCTGGCCAACATGGTGAAACCCTGTCTCCACTAAAAACAAAAAACAAAAAACAAAAAAAATTATCTGGGCATGACAGAGCGTGCCTGGAATCCCAGCTACTCGGGAGGCTGAGATAGGGGAATTGCTTGAACCCAGGGGCGGAGGTTGCAGTGAGCCGAGATCACACCACTGCACTCCAGCCTGGGCGACAGACTGAAACTCTGTCTCAAACAAAACAAAACAAAACAAAACAAAACTGAACTGAACTGAACTAAACTAAACTAAACTAAACTAAACTAAACTAAACTAAACTAAACTAAACTAAACTAAACTCAGCCTTTACTTGAATTTCAAGATCGTTAACAAGGGTCCAGGTTAGAACTCACCACAGTACCTTCCCCCGCTCCCCTCTGCTTCCCCATCTCTCACCCCACACTTGGACTTGGGCCTCTAGAGCCAGGCGGCCACTCCAGAATCTTGATCTGGGCTTTGGGGGTGGGGATTCACACACGGAATCCCCACGTTCCCCGTTTCCCTTATTGTTTTTCTCTTCCTTCTTCTTCCTTTATCTCAGTTCTTCATCGCATTGATCTTAGCCTCTCTCCTCTTGCCCTCCCCTTCCCTCCCTCTCTGGGCTCCTGCCTCTCTATGCCTTTCTTCCAGTTCATCCTAACTCAGGAGGTGGGAGCCCGGGTGGCAAAGGGCGGATGGAGTGGGGGGCGGGGTAGGGAATGTACATGACATTGGCACAAGAATAAATATGGCGCCCAACCTGCACATAGGGGACTGGTCCAGGAGCACCCAGCACTGCCTTCTATTACTCTTATTCCTAAGCCTCACATACAATTTGCATATCATTATCATATTTATCCTCAGCTCTTGCAGCAATCCTGTGTCACCTACATAGACTCCAGCATGCAGAATGACCCCAGAGGTGCGTGTACACACGAGCACATGCACCCAGGCACACGTGTCCACATGGACAGCGTCCGGCAGCACACAGGCGTGAGCCCCATGAGAAAAGCTTCACTAGTGCAGACAAGGGAAAGGAGCACCGCCCTGCAGCTCCCCAATGTGGTCCTCCATGACCCCTGGCCTCCCCTACCCTCCTGCACCACAGCCTGCCCCTGCTGGAGCCCCTTCACCCTCTCCCTCCCGTATATTTTTTCTTTGTGCCCTTTCCTGAACTCAGCTCTGCCACCAGGCTCTGCAGGAACCTTATTTTTACAGCTTCAGGGAGGAAACTCTCGGAGAGAAGGGATGGCTTTGCTAAGAGGGTAGGTGCGTAATGCCCTGAGCCACTGCCAGCCCAGTTCCCAAGGGGCAAGGTTTCCCCGCCTCAGCTGTGATGGTGGCTCTAGTCAGCCAGGACCAGCCCGGGGACTGCCCGAGGGACCTTCCTGGCAAGCTGGCTCAGTGCCACTGCCCAGTCTCCCCTCACGGACGGGAACACCCTGGGCAGGCTCTGGGCTCTGAACCCAGAAAGGTCCACAGACCAGCACCCAGGGGGAGGGATTCTGCATCAGCGATGGGGGCAGATCCCGAAATTCTCCTTGTTTGACATCTCCCTTTAGGGCAGGCAGCTCCAGGGCTTTGTTCATCTGTAAGGATCAGAGGACTTGCAGGGTGGGCTATGGGACCAAGGGGTCTACCCAGGAGGCTGGAGGGAGAGGGACTAGTCCTGGAGCTCTTGGCACCAGAGAGAGGGAGGGAGAGGGAAGACGTGGGGCTTGGGAAACAAAGGAGAGAAGCAGAGCATGTCTTATGATGGTTGAGTTGCCTGTCAGGTGCAGAGGCCAGGGAAGATCACCTCCTAGACCCACGTTCATCTTGCCCTCTTTTTTTTTTTTTTTTTTTTTTTTGAGACAGGGTCTCACTCTGTCTCCCAGGCTGGAGTGCAGTGGCATGATCTCAACGCTCTGCAACCTCTGCCTCCCGGGTTCAAGCGATTCTCCTCCATCGGCCTCCCCAGTAGCTGGGATTACAGGTGCGTGCCACCATGCCCGGCTAATTTTTTCTATTTGTAATAGAGATGGGGTTTCACCATGTTGGCCAGGCTGGTCTCAAACTCCTGACCTCAAGTGATCTGCCTGCTTCGGCCTCCTAAAGTGCTGGGATTACAGGCTTGAGCCACTGCGCCTGGCCCATCTTGCCCTGTTGTTCCTTCCTCCATCATCTCTCACCTATAAACTTGCCAAGAGAGCCAAAGGGTTCCTCCAACGCTTCCCACTAACTTCCATCCACTCAATGCTCTTCCTGGCTGTCTGACATCTGGCTGGAAAGACCCAATGTGACATCAGATGCTCCCCCTCCGGGGTCCCTTTCTTGCTCCCTCACCTCACAGCCTCCTGGGCCCCTGGGCCTCTGCCAAGAGTTGTTGACAAGATTGGGCACCTTGGAGTCCTTGTCTGTGCCAGGAGTGTCTCCTGGGAAAGCCAGGGGGCACCTTTTCTGGCACAGGGCCTGGGGAGCGGCCTCCGAGGGCTCCCCCAACACACCCACCCTCTTTCTGCTGCAGAGCAGGAATGTTGATTTCAGTGCAAATAACTCATTATTTTGCTTCCCAGACCAGAAAGCCCCACATGTGGAGTTAATTCCCCATTCTGACTTAAGGCTAGTGCCAGTCAGAACTGGGAGTTTTGCTTAATACCCACTAGGCACCATTGTTTCCATCACAGGGTTAATTAGTCCCCAAGAGCCTTGAGCCGAGGGAGGCTGCTCTGGGTGGAGAGTCCAGAGACCCAGATTTTGAATCTGCATTTGCCAACGACCATCTGCTTGAGCTTCACTAGACAAGGCCCTTTCTCTCTCCGGACCTCAGTTTTCCCATCTGCAAAATGAGCAGGTGAACCTGGATGATCACCAAAGTCCTTTCCGGCTGTCTCAAAGTTTCCGTGACATTCTGTGGTGCTGACATTCTGTAACACCCGACAACGGTCTAGCATGATGATGTTCTAAGTCATTCCATGACATTTACAGCTATCTGCAGCACTGTCTGATGACGTTGTCTTCGGAAGGTGGTCCTTGACATTCCATGACATTTACAATGATCTGCAGCATTCTATGACATCCGTTGACATTTACAAGAATTCAGAATACCCCGTGACATTCTTTGACATTCCAGAGCATTTTACGACATTCCTGGACATTCTATAGCACTCTGTGGCATTCTAGTCATGATATTCTGTGGCATTCTGTGACATTCTAAGTTTATACTATGTAGATTCATCTCTCTTCCAAGGGTCCTCCCTGGCATCACTGGAGAAGTCACATTCCCACCCAAGGACTTTTCACCCTAAAGCTCCTCCTGCCCATGCTGTGTGACCCCTCTGTGGTCAGAAGTTCTTGAACTTGGGCCTCTAGAGTCAGGCAGCCACTCCAGGATCTTGATCTGGGCTTTGGGGGTGGGGTGGAGGGAATAGCAGTCTCCCCAGGGTGTTTTGCACCTAAAGAAATAGGTTTTCCCCTCCCCCACTGCCACCAGAGTATTCTAGTAAATGGCTCTTACCTTCAGGATAAGGGTTTCCCTTGGCATAGTGTTGAGTTTAAGCATACCAGATATTTGAAAAATTTCGACCTACAGGAACAGCAATTTTATTTTATTTTATTTTTTACTTTTTTTTGAGATGGAGTCTCACTCTGTCACCCAGGCTGGAGTGCAGTGGGGTGGTCTCAGCTCACTGCAGCCTCCCCCTCCCCAGGTTCAAGCGATTCTCCTGCCTCAGCCTCCCAAGTAGCTGGGATTACAGGCACGTGCCACCACGCCTGGCTAATTTTTAGTAGAGCCAGGGTTTCACCATGTTGGCCAGGCTGGTCTTGAACTCCTGACCTCAAGTGATCCACCTGCCTTGGTCTCCCAAAGTGCTGGGATTACAGGCTTGAGCCACCATGCCTGGCCATGGGAACAGCAATTTTATGCAGTTCAACCTAATACAGCAGAAAGAATGTGGGAATTTCTTTCTGCTGTATTAGGTTGAACCATATACAATTTGGGAATCAGATGGCCCTGGGGCAAATACTGGTACTGTTATTTGTTAGCTGTGAAACTTGGGGCAACCTCACCCGGCCTCACTTTCCTCATCCATCAATGGAGATAATCATGGGTTGTTTTTCAAGGGTTTGTAGAGGACTCAGGGAAATGCCGAGGGTGAAGAGGAACGCCTAGGGTCTGGAACAGAATAAGAAGGCTCAGGATCTTTCTTCCTCCTTTTTCCCTTTTCCCTTCCCTTTTTCCCCTTCTCTTCCCTCCTTTTTCCCCATTCTCCCTTTCCCTAGAACAACAGTGAAACAATCCATGAGCAAAATGGCGCCAGCTGAAAAAGAGAGCCTGGGCATGGGTCTTGGCTGCTTCCTCCTTGCTGTTCAGCCTGGAGGATGCAGTTCTGTTCTGTGGGCCTCAGTGTTCCCATCTGTAGAATGGGCTGGAAGACCATGAGATCAACTAGGAAGACCCTTCCGGCTCTGATGGTCTGGGCTTCCCCAGCTGGGGGAACAGAAGGATGACAGAACAAGGAATCTTGAAGTCTGGTCGGGCAAGAATTGGGGAGCAAGGGGGTCACCATAGATAGTCTTTGAGGACAGGGCACTAGAAAGTGGCTTAAAGTCAGTGGAGGAGGCGAGACCTGAAGAAGTGCTTCTTTCTAAGCTTTGAGGGATGATGACTTGGTTGTAATGCTGCTGCTCCATAGAGTTTTAGAACGACCCCGTAGATCTCCGCTAACGAGGGTGGGCAGGTGCCCCACCGGGTGGGCCGCATCCTCTCCAGCCCTCCAGGCCCCCGCGGGAAGGACCCAGGCTGCTGTGGAAACCTTAAGAGACTGCGCCCCCTGGTGTCAGAACGCTGTCATTGCAGCATGGGACTTCCAGCCTGGGGAGGCAGCTTCTCACCTGCAGACGAGGGCTCCACCCTAGCCAGCAAGTTTCTTTCCAAGAGGAGGCTGGGGAGCAGCGCTTGGGAAGAAAGTGGCTTAAGTTGGGTCAAGCCTGTAGGGCTGAAGGCTGGTAAGGACCCTTCATTAACCTCTTGAGCAAATATTTATTGAGAACCTACTATGTGCCCGGCAGTGCGTTGGGCCCTTGGATCCAGCTTTGAACAAGACAAAGCCCTTGCTTGGCAAGGAGCCCACACAATCCAGGGCTCTCGGACTGGCTGAGGACCTGCTATGTGCCCAGGTCTTATCCCCCAGACTCTTCAAAGCAACTGTGGAGGCGAGAATTATCATCTCCATTTTATTTATTTATATTATTTTATTTTTTGAGACTGAGTCTCACTCTATTGCCCAGGCTGGAGAGCAGTGGTGCGATCTTGGCTCACTGCAACCTCTCTCTCCCAGGTTCAAGCAATTCTCCTGCCTTAGCCTCCTGAGTAGCTGGGATTACAGGTGCGCGCCACCATGCCCAGATAATTTTCGTATTTTTAGTAGAGACGGGGTTTCACCATGTTACCCAGGCTGATCTCAAACTCCTGACCTCAGTTGATCCGCCCACCTCGGCCTCCCAAAGTGCTGGGATTACAGGTGTGAGCCACCGTGACTGGCCTCATCTCCATTTTACAGGTGGGGGAACTGAGGCCTGAGGCCACACAAGTGTAAGGGGCAGAGCTGGGATCTGGACCATCAGACTTGGATCTGGGCCATCCAGAGTATCCCATCACACAAGGTTCATGTAGCAGAAATCACCTGCCCCTCCAAGCAAGTCACTTGCCTCCTCTGGGACACGGAGCCAGTGAGGTGCCTGGAGGATTACACAAGGTAGGGGGTGTCCTGATGCCCTTGCCCTGTGTCCAGGGAGACCTCCTTCCAAAGAGTGGGGGTTGCTCTCTGGAAGTGGGCATCCTGGGGCTCCGGGCATTGTTCTCATTGTCTGGCCCTCCTCTTTGTCTCTGGAGTATCCTGGGCTCGCTTCTCCCCCGGCAGAGCCAAGGGCCAGCTGCCTGGAGAGCAGGACCTGCCGGCCGCAGGCTCATTAGAGCCCTCGCAGACGCCCCTCTACCGGGACTCCCCACCCAGGGTCTGAGGGGGAGTTTGACACGAGTCTAAAAATAGCTGCTGTTTTGTTCCTTTGTTGGAGGGGAGGGGCTGGCAGAGGGATTCGGGCTCCTCTTAATGACCGACCCACCAAGAACAAAGGCTTTTCTTTGCGTTGGCTCTGCTTCCAGCAGCAGCAGGCCCCCGGCTCCAGTATCATCCTTGGGGCTCAAGTGGAACCCAAGCTGCTCCTGAAGAGCCAGCTTGAGGGCAAAGGCAGGCCCAGGCCTCTGACCAGGGCAGCCCCAGCCCAGGCTGACCGGCGGGCACATGGTGGGCAGTGGGGTCTGTGGGCAGGGCTCTGCAGGGGAGGGGTCTGCCTGTGACACTGTTTGTGATGTCAGACCCCCTGGCAAGGCTGGGGGCGGCAAGCATGGGACGGCAAATGACTGTGCGTGGCTGGTTGCAGGCAGGTGACTCTGTGGGATTGTGTGTGACTGTGCCTGGGACACTGCGTGGCTGTGTGCAGGCAACACCATGAGGGACTGTGTGGACGCTGCTGTGGAAATTGCATGACTGTGCCTGTGACACTGCGATGGGACTGGGCGTGAGCAGGTGAGGTCGTGAGTGACTGCGTGGCTGTGCAGGTGACAGCATGAGTGAGTGTTGGCTGTGCATAGTGAGACTCGCTAATGGGCAGGTGACGTTGTATGTGTTGGATTGACATGGGGTGATGGGGCTGATGGTACAGGGAACATTCTATGTGACTCTGTGACTGTATTGGTGACACTGGGAGGTGGGGCTAACTGTGCAGGTGACATTGCAAGTGGCCCTGGGACTGTGTGCAGGTGATCATGACTAAACCATTGTCAGGAAACTGGCAGATCTCAGAGCCCATCAGGCGCCTGGAACAGCTTCCGGCCCTCTTCTCACCTCCCCTTCTGTGGGGCAGCTCATGGGGCCCTCCCTTGGATGGCTCCTCCTGCCTCGCCTGCTGCTCACCTGCCACCTGTGTCTCTAGGCGTCCCTCTCTGCATCATCGGGTTCAGGGTATAAGGCCTCCAACCACCCAGCACGGGAGCTGCACTTGGGAGAATGACTGGAGCAAAAGCAAATGCATGACACTCCTGCTGGGACCTGCCCAGGAGAAAGGAGGCCAGAGGGGAGCCCGGGGGTGGCTGGGAGGGCTGCAGCTTGATCTGTAATGTTTGGTTCATTTTTAAAAGGGAGAACACATGCCTGTATATTTGCTGTGAATCTAGGTGGAATGATTATGTGTGATTATTATACTATTCTCTTGATTTTTCTGAATTTCTAATCTTTCAAAATAATGAACAAAAGCAAAACATGCTGATGATAGGATTTGTTATACACAAAAGTTAACATTGACTTCGTGTCAGGTGCTGATCTGAATGCTTTACATGGGTTATTTCACTGAATATTTACCGTTGTCCTAGGAAGGAGGTCCTATTGCCATCCCCCATTGTATAGATGGGGAAACTGAGGCTCAGAGGGATTTATTAACTTGCCCTCCAACACACAGCAGGTAAGTTGTGGATCCAGGATTCCTAACCCAGACCTGCCTACCCAACGATCATTTTCAGACGTATTCCTCCACCACCTGATACTTTCTTCTTCTCTCTCCCCCTTCAATGCTTTTAGCAAAAAAAGAGAGATAAATACATTTTTAAAAATAAAAACAAAACCAATAGAGTAAAAAATCTCTCTCTAGGAGTAATCACTGTTATCAATTGATCATAGATCCTTTCAGATGTTTTCTATTTACATGTGCATGTGTTTGTGTGTGTGTGTGTGTGTGTGTGTGTGTAGCTCGCAAGATCACAAATGTTATTCACATTACAACTTGGAAATGTGGATAAATGTTGTTTCTTTATTTTGTCTTCTTGAGCCCCACAACCATTGGCCAGTGGGAACAATAGGACACTTTCCCCTATGTGTGGATTCCATTTGTCCAGTCCAATCATCTAAACTGGTCCTTCTTGTAGTTCCTGATCTCCCCAGATAGCTCCCTTGTCTCGCTTCTCTCCAGTGGTTGTGCCTGGATGCTTAAGGGGAAGTGTGGCTTAGGTGGCTGTATTAGTCCATTCTTATGCTGCTATGAAGAAATACCCAAGACTGGGTAATTTATAAAGAAAAGAGATTTAATTGACTCACAGTTCTACATGGCTGGGAGGCCTCAGGAAACTTACAATCATGGTGGAAGACACCTCTTCACAGGGTGGCAGGAGAGAGAATGAGAGCTGAGTGAAGAGAGTAAAAGCCATTTATAAACCATCACCACCATGATTCCATTACTTTCCACCGGCTCCCTCCCATGACACTTGGGGATTATGAGAACTATAATTCAAGATGAGATTTGAGTAGGGACACAGCCAAAACATATCAGTGGCCTTGTGTGGGGGAGGGAGAGTTGGGGCCATAGGCTCAGAGTCACCATCTGCCTTCTCTGGCCTCTGGGACTGTGTCCCTCTCCCTGGTTGCCATGTGCCCTACAAGTGTTCAGACTGAAGGCTGAGGCTACTGTAATTTCTCATCCTCCATCCAGGCCATAGCCCAAAAGCCCCACCCAGATTCCCTCTGGCCTGAAGTCACCCTCTCTTGCCTCACAGTGGCCCTGGCTCTTACCACTGCCTCTACACGACACAGGAAAGCTTCAAGTCTCCCAAAGTGCTGGGATTATGGGTGTGAGCCACTGTGACTGGCCTACTTCATTTTTTTTTAATAGTGCTACAGTATACCAGAGTATAGATATACCAAAATTTAGTCATCCATATTTCCTCTGAACAACACAGGAAAGCTTCGAGTCTCCCTCTGCTGGCTGCCACTGCTACTAGGGGGGTGCTGAGCCAAGAGTCCCATGTGTTAATAATCAACCCTCATAATAAATCAACCCAAAATGTAATGGCTTCAAACAGCAGTCATCATGTAATATCTCTCCTGATTCCTCTGAGTTGGGAATTTGGTGAGGGGGAATTGGCTGGGCAGTTCTGGCGGAGTTGCTCCTGAGATTTTAGTAAGATGTCAGCAGGGCTGCAAATGATCTGCAGGTTGGACTGGGCTGGAGGATCCATTTTAAGTTGGCTCCTCATATTTCCGGCAAGCTAGCATGGGCTATCATCTCCTCTCTATGGGGGCCTCTCCATAGAGCAACTTGAGCTTCCTCACAGCATGGTATCTGGGATCCAAGAGTGAGCATCCTAAGAGAACCAGACAGAAGCTACGTTATCCTGATGACATAGTCTTGAGGTTACATAACATCACTTCTGCCATATTCTGGCCACAAGGGTGAACCCTGACTCAGTGCAACAGAGGACTGTCAAGCACTGTCTAGGGTGTGAGATTTTACCCTACTTGCAAGCTAACAAGTTAGCCTGCCACAGCTTCATGGATGCTGGTAGAAGACATGAGGCTCCAGGGTCTGACACAAAGGACAGGTCATGACTCACAGCAATAGCAGCAGCCAGAGTATCAGCATTTTCTCATTGGTTTCCAAGCCTAAATTCCCACATATCAACATGAAGAGCCCCAGAAATCCTGGGAACACACAGTGGACTGTGTCACAGGAGAGGAACCCCGAGTTTAGGAAGCCCAAGCCCTCTCTAATGGGCAGTGAGCATGCCTGCTTTTGGCTCTAGAGGGAGAGACTCTGCCTGTCTTCCAAGGCTGTTTGCATCAGAAAGAAATTATCCAAAGATGCCACAAAACATGGGCTGTGGTAGCCAGACTTCAAGATGGCCATTATTGGTCACCTTCTTGGGTAGTCCCTGTTGCAACACAATTCCCCATGAAGCTTGCTATAGATTTAATTATGTCCCTCCAAATTCATATGTTGGAGTCCTAACCCCCAGTGTGACTGTATTTGAAGGCAGGGCTTTCTGGAGGTAATTAAGGTTAAATGAGATCAGAAGGATGGGGCCCTAATCCAACCAGATTGGCGGCCTTATGAGAAGAAGAAGCAATCTCTCTCTCATTCTCTCTTCCCACCATGTGAGGACACAGTGAGAAGGTGGCCATCTGCAAGCCAGGAAGAGAGCCCTCACCAGCAACCAAATTGTCTGGCACCTTGACCTTGAACTGACAGCCTCCAGCATTGTGAGAAATAAAGTTCTGTTGTTTATGCCCCCCAGTCTATGGCACTTTGCTATGGCAGCTTGAACAGACTAAGAGCTCTCACGTTCTGGCATGACTTGTGAGCAAGGCATGACTGCCCTTTGCTCTGGACTATCTTTTCAAGGCAGATGGCTGGTTCCCTGACCCATTATTGCATACTCAGAAAATATTTTTATAACCACATTAATACTTTTCAAAATATTAAGCCCATTCACACACAGTTTTTTTTTTTTTTTTTCAGAAACAAATATGGGGTTGTCTAACACATTGCTTTCTCTTTTCTTTTCTTTCTTTTTTTTTTTTTTTTTTGAGACAGAGTCTCGCTCTGTTGCCCAAGCTGGAGTGTCTTGGTGTGATCTCAGCTCACTGCAACATCTGCCTCCTGGGTTCAAGCGATTCTCCTGCCTCAGTCTCCCAAGTAGCTGGGATTATAGGCACCCACCACCGCTCCCAGCTAATTGTTGTATTTTTAGTAGAGACGAGGTTTCACCATGTTGGCCAGGCTGGTCTCGAACTCCTGACCTCAGGTGATCCACCTGCCTCGGCCTCCCAAATTGCTGGGATTACAGGCATGAGCCATCATTTGTTTGCATGAGCAAACAAAAGAGTCGGCCTCTTTTGTTTTTTTTTTTAACCTGTTATCTTAAACTATTAAGGGTTAATAATACATTGTTTTCAATTTTTCTTTTTATATTAGAAAAGGTATTATGAATTTTATAGATTCTGTGTCCATACTACAGATCTACTTCATTCTTTTTCTTTTTTCTTTTCTTTTCTTTTTTTTTTTTTTTTTTGAGACAGAGTCTCACTCTGTCACCCAGGCTGGAGAGCAGTGGCACAATCTTGTCCCACTGCAACCTCTGCCTCCCGGGTTCAAGCAATTCTCTTGCCTCAGCCTCCCAAGTAGCTGGGATTGCAGTTATCTGCCACCATGCCCAGCTAATTTTTCTATTTTTAGTAGAGATGGGGTTTCGCCATGTTGGCCAGGCTAGTCACGAACTCCTGACCTCAGGCAATCTACCTGCCTCAGCCTCCCAAAGTGCTGGGATTACAGGCGTGAGCACCACGCCTGGCCTACTTCACTTTTTAAAATAGTGCTATAGTATTCCAGAGTATAGATATACCAACATTTAGTCACCCATATTTCCTCTAAACAACATTTAAGTTGTTTATAAATATTATGTTGGTGCAAAAGTAATTGCGGTTTTTGCCATTACTTTTGCACCAATGTAATACATTTTTTACACTACTGATTCTTTAAGGAATAACCTTACAGACATATCTTTGCATGCATGTGCTAGTGATTGTGCAACACAGATTTTTGCAAGTGAAATTGCTTGGGTATAGGATGTGCACTGTAATCCCCAAATCTATCAATTTTGACAGATACTATTAAATTGTCCCCTCCCCTCCAATATCAATTTATATCCCCTCCCACAGCACGTGAGTGTGCTCAGTTCCCCACACCCCCTTTGTCATTGAATATTACATTTTTTAGTTTAGTAAACCTGTTGGGCAAAAAGTGATTTTATCACACATTTTAATTTTCATTGTTACTCGACAGTTTAAGCTTTCTTCATCTATTTACTGGCTTTTGGTAATATTTCTTTTTGAAATACTTGACAATATGTCAGCCCATTTACTATCAGGTTGTTATTATTTTCTTATTTGTTTGCAGGAACTCTTTGCATGTCATAGATATTACTCTTAGTCTATAATATAAATTATAGATAATTATTTCTAGTAAATTTGTGTGTCTTTTAAATTTATTTGATTCCTTTTGCTGCACAGAAATCTTTCATTTTTATAGAGTTGGTTTATAGAGTTTGAGTTGGATTTTCTTTCTTTTTCTTTTTTTTTGAGACAGACTCTCGCTCTGTCGTCTAGGCTGGAGTACAGTGGCATGATCTCAGCTCACTGCAACCTCTGCCTCTTGGGTTCAAGCGATTCTCCCACCTTAGCCTCCTGAGTAACTGGGATTACAGGTGTGCACCACTGTGCCCAACTACTATTTTGTATTCTTAGTAGAAACGGGGTTTTGCCATGTTGTCCAGTCTGGTCTTGAGCTTCTGTCCTCAAACAATCCACCCCCCTCAGCCTCCCAAAGAGCTGGGATTACAGGCATGAACCACCGTGCCTGGCCGAGTTGGATTTTCTTGATAACTTCTGAGTTCTTGCAAAAGCCTGTTATGGAGCAAAGATAATAACCCTTTCAGTAAAGGTGGGTCTTGCTCTCTGAGCATCATCTGAAGCTGCAAGTGGTTTGAGGTCCTGAGACTGCAGCCGAAGGAGGCTACCTGGCATGGGGAGGGGAGCGCCTCAGAGGGTAATGATGGAGGCAGCAGGGGCCCCAGTGATATTTTTTGAACAAAACAAGCTGAACTCCTGGGAACAGTTCCCTTTGGAGGGGCAAAGCTTCTTAAGAGGCCCCATGGGGGAACCTGAGAGGAGCTGCCCTGTGATACTTGGCTGTCTGGGAGCCTGTAGGAGAAGCCGCCTGTACCTGCAACTATCAGTCTCTGCCCTTATTCTGGCTTTGGCAGCATACACTCATAGCCACGTGCAGCCATTCCCACCCAAAAGCATGCACATGTGAAACACACGAGACAATGCACACACCCACATGGGCATACATGCATACACATGTGCCCATATTCTCAAATGGTTACATAGGCACATTTAAGGATGCCCACATGGACAAAGCACGTGCAGATGTGTGCACAAATACACTCAGATATGTGTGCAGACCCATTCAAGCGATGCACTTTGAACACTTGCACACATACCCACATGTATGCACGGGCTGTCTCAGCCAGGACCCCAGCAGGGAACAATCAGCACAAACAAGGTGAGGAAAATTTTATCAAGGGGCCATTTACAAGGGTGAGGGCAGGGCTAAGGGAGACCCCAAAGCCACAGCGAAGCACCTGGGGGCTGGCCATAGCGGAGAGTGCTAGGCCTGAAGGGTCCAGGGGAGTGAACAATTGCAGGAGCTGGTAAGAGCTGTGGCTTTGGAGAGGATTGTCCAGTGGAAATTGTGGCTGTGGGAGAGAGACAGCACCCGAGCCACAGCCCCATGGGGAAGGAGCCAACCTGTCCCATCCCTCCCTGCCCTCTGATCTCCTGGCCAAGCCTCCCCCTGGTTGAACCCAGACAACAAGGAACCTGGCTGATGTGCTGCACAGCGTCAGCCTCCTTGGGGCACAGAGCAGGGAAGAGGGTAGATTTGGAGGGGCAGACAGAGAAGATACCGCTGCATGTATGGCGATCCCCATCAGTGCACAGTGACGCAGGCACCCCGAGAGAGATGCCCGATGCACACATACCCACGAGTGCACTGAATCGCCTACATGCAATTGAAAGCTGTGTGCACACAACCTCAAAAGCCCAGAGGCCCACGTATACTTAAGACGAAGGCTGAAATCAACACCCTTCACTGGCGGCGGCTGGGCCTGAGATGAGCCCCCTCTCCCTGGCCACCTCCTCCCATGCCCCCCAACACCCCCAGAGCCCTTTGTTAATCTTGGCAAAGACCACATCCCAAAGAAACAACGGGCTGGCCAGGCCTGCACAAATCACTGGCTGTTTGGGGACATTTCAGAGGCCTGCCTGAGTGACAGCTGAATTGAATCCAGATTGGGCGGGGCAGGCACTCCTGGAGGCAGAGCTGGGAGGTCTCCATCTCTGACTGACTCCCACCCCACGCAGGCCCCTCCTGATCCCACTGACTCCCCTAAAGGGGCATCCAGCTTAAGCCAGAGCAGCTGAGTCCCCTTCACTCCATTCAAAGCCTTGCCCCCCACCCCCATCTAGTGCATCCCCAAATTCTATCCATTGTACTTTCTAAGCCCACTGCTGCCAACATCCCAGTCTGGGTCTCCTCTTCTTTGGCCTGGAGGCCTGCGGGAGTTGCAGGGAGCTGCCACTCTCAGCCAGAGGGATCTTTCTGAAATGTAAATCAAATCATTTTCTTCTGCCTAAGAGCTTTCAATGGCTTTCCAAACACTCCTCCAGATAAAGTCCCAGCTTAGCCCCCAGAATCTCGCACCATCTGGTCCCTGACCCCATCCTCAGCCTCCCTGTTCACCAGCCACCCTCTCCATTCCAAGCTCTCAGTCCTCTAGGTGCCCCTAGACATTTGCAAGTGTTGCTGTCTTTGCTGATAAGCCTTTTCCCCAATGCTTCATCTACTGACTCTTTGCAAACTAGAGCTCCTAAAACTTACTGTAGGGTAGGACCAGGTTGCTTTTTAATTCTGATCCATTGTGGATCTATGTTTTTGTAGAACAGCAATAAAAATGAAGTACTAAAAAAAGAAATTAAAAAACAAAATGATATAATCTTGGATAATAGCTGAGCAGTTTCTTATAAAGTTAAATGTTTATTATAAATGTTTCTTATAAAGTTAAACATTCACTTACCATATGACCCGGCAAGAGAAATGAGAACACATGTCCATGCAAAAGCCTGTATGTGAATGTTTTCAGTGGTTTTATTTATAATTGCCAACAACTCAACTGTCCTTCAATGGCAAATGGAGAAGCAAACTGTGGTACATCCATACAAGGGAATACTATTCAGCAATGAAAAGGAAAGAATTATTGATATATGCAACATGGATGGCTCTCGGACACGTTATGCTAGGTGAAGGCAGCGCGACTCAAGAGATTATATTCTGTAGGATGACATTTTGCGAAAAAGAAAAACAAAAAACAATTGGGACAGAAAACAGATCAGTGGTTGCTAGGGGCTAATTTGAGGGGAGGGGGGAAATGATGGCAAAGCAGCATGAGGAACTTTGAGAAGCATGGCGCTGTTCTGTGTCTTGGTTGTGCTGGGGGGGTCACGTGACTGTACAAGGTTGTCAACATTAATAGAACTACACACTCCAAAGGGTGAATTTTACTGCATGTAAATTATATGCCAATAAACCTGGCTTTAAAAAATACAGATGAAATCCCCTTTTTAACTGTGGTAGTATACGCAAACATAAATTTTCCATTTTTTTTAACTTTTATTTTAGGCTCAGGGGTACATGTAAAGATTTATTACATAGGTAAACTCTTGTCACGGAGGTTTGTTGTTCAGATTATTTCATCACCCAGGTATTAAGCTCAGTATCCAATAGTTATCTTTTCTGTTCCTCTCGCTCCTCCCACCCTCCCGCCCAGAGTAGACCCCAGTGCCTGTTGTTCCCTTCTATGTATTCATGTGTTCTCATCATTTAGCTCCCATTTACAAGTGTGAACATGTGGTATTTGGTTTTCTGTTCCTGCGTTAGTTTGCTAAAGATAATGGCCTCCAGCTCCATCCATGTTCTGGTAAAATACATGATCTCATCCTTTTCTATGGCTGCATAGTGTTCCATGGTGTATATGTACCACATTTTCTTTCTCCCATCTGTAGCTGATGGGCATTTAGGCTGACTCCATGTCTTTGCTATTGTGAACAGCGCTTCAGTGAACATATGCATGCATGTGTCTTTATGGTAGAACAATTTATATTCCTCTGGTTATATACCCAGTAATGAGATTCCTGGGCCGAGTGGTAGTTCTACTTTTAGCTCTTTGAGGAATCACCACACTGCTTTCCACGATGGTCTCCTGGGTTCAAGTGATTCTCTTGCCTCAGCCTCCCAAGTAGTTGGGACTACAGGCACGCGCCACCATGCCCAGCTAATTTTTTGTATTTTTAGTAGAGAAGGGGTTTCACCATGTTGGTCAGGCTGGTCTCAAACTCCTGACCTCGTGATCCACCTGCCTGGGCCTCCCAAAGTGTTGGGATTACAGGCGTGAGCCATCGCGCCCGGCCCAACCCCTTTTAAGTGTACAATTCAGTGGCCTTAAGTACATTCACATTGCTGTGCAACCATCACCCATCCTTTTCCATCATCCTAAACTGAAACTCTGTCCCTATTAAACACTAATTCCCCATTGCCCTCTCCCTCCAGCCCCTGATAACCACCCTCTACTTTCTGTCTCCATGGATTTGACTGTTCTAGGTACTTGTAACCATATAGTATGCCCTTTCGTGACTGGCTTCTTTCACTTAGCATCATGTTTTCAAGGTCCATCCCTGTTGTAGCATGTGACAACACTTTGTTCTTTTCTAAGGCTGAATAATATTCCATTGTACACATATGCCACATTTGGTTTATGCATTCACCTGTCAAGGGACATTTGAGTTGTTTCTGCCAGTTGGCTATTGTGAATAATACTGCTATGAATACTGGTGTATGAATGCAGGCCCCATATTTTAAAAATTATTAGATTCAACAAACATAAGATCACCTTGTCAATTTGCTAAGCACTTACTCTTAATTTTGCTGTCCATCTCCCTGGTCTGACTTTTGAGTAACAGCTAGCCCGGTCCCTGGGCTGGCCAGAATCTATCTTTCCTGAGCCCACAGACTGGATTTACTCCCCTCTCCCATCTCACCCTACACTTCCCTGGGCTGCGCCACACCCTGCTGTGTGGCCTGCTTGGAATCTGGAGCTCCCAAGGGTTGGCCTAGCTCAGAGTCTCCTCTGTTTGCAGCCTTGGGGTTGGGATCAGGCCCAGGTAAGGGGCTTAGAGAACATGCAACCAAGTGCAATCCTCCTGTGTCCAAAGGGACAGTCAAGGAGGAGGGCTTGAGCCCACATCTGTGTGACTCCAAATCCCTGCAACCAAGTGCAATCCTCTTGCATCCAATGGGACAGCTGGGGAGGAGGGCTGGAACCCACAACTGGGTGACTCCAAATCCCTGCTCCTTGCTGGAAAGTACGTGCAGTAGCCATAGCCCCCTTGTCACTGGCTTCTGAGCTAGAGGCAGGATGCAGGACCTGCCCCTCTCTAGCCGTCATGCTTGGGATTCTTGCAGAAACTTCCACCTGTTTCCAAGATCAAGATACAGTCACCCAGTCAAGAAGAACTAAGTGTTGCTCACCTTGCGTTGGCTCCTGGGCTGAAGACTGGGGATACACAAGTGAGCCATGGATGATCATGGGTGCCAACATGTGTGTTCACATGTATGTGCATGCATGTGCACCATATATGTTACCTGGGTGGGTGGGGGGCAGTTGGGGTGCGTGTGTCTGTGTTCCAGGTAAGTCCAAATTTGATTTTTTTTAAGAGAATAATTGTCTGTTTTCAAAGACCAAGAATCAGCAGAGGAGGTTTTAAATAGTGTTGGGAGCTTCAATCTCATTTGTCATGGCTGCCCAGGACCCTGAGCTTTCAGAGGATCATGAAAAGTTAAAAAAAAAAAAAGCTGAAATAAAGACATATGCCCATGCTGACACACATGTGCTTATGCATAAATGCACCAGACTATGCACTTAACCCCAGACTGGCTCATAAACACATCTTAGATAGGCATATAAATCCATAGACAACCACATATCCACATACCACAAACACACACAAAACAAATCATAAATGCGGTATTTATTGTTTCTGATAGACCAGCCACTGTGTTAAGTATTCTAAAAACAGTACATTGCTCTATTTAATCCTTTTACAAAAATCAATCAGGATGGGCATTATAATTTTCATTCCCATTTTACAGATGAGGAAAATAAGGCTCAGCGAAGTGAAGTGACTTGCCCAAGGCCAAAGAGCTGGGAAGTAGCTGAGCTGGGATTTGAACCCCAGTGGGTGTAAGTAGAAGGCCAGAGTGCATACACTATTTGTTAACACACAATTGCATACATCACATGCCTGTGAATTTACACAGCAATCACATGTACTGACACATTGATATACACGTGTAGGCACATGGATGCACAGGGACACCCCTGATGGCATACTTGTGCACAGAGACATAAAGACACACATATACACATAAACACATAGTCTGATATTACCAGACTCAGAGACACATGTAGTAATGTAGACCACATGCAGTTGCATACACTGGGTTTACTGATACGAATGTGCAGAGCTAGGTCCTAGACTTAGATCTGAGACTTGGCACAGACTTCCCTCCCCTCTCTGCCTGCCCTGTCCCCTCTTAGCAGGTAAGAGCTTGGGGTTGGGCAGTGCTGTGTTGATCCCTGCCAGCTGATGGCTCAGATCCTCCAGGGACAGGCTGCTGCCTCCTGCTCCCATGCAGCAGTTATGCAGAGCCACCCTCGGGGCTGGCATCACAAAGCGCCACACCTGGGCCCCTTCCAGCAGAGGCTGAGCTCAGGAAACCTCCAGGTGGCCAGCACAGTGGTGCTCCCCAGCCCTGGTTCATGCCTCTTGCTGCTCCTAGCTCCCTCTGCAGCCACAGGTGTGGATTATGGAGGTGGTGCCCCCCACCCCCACCTCTCCTGCCTCATGTTCCTTTTATCCCTCCCCCAAGACATCCCGCACGGCAATGCACGTGGAGCACAGAGCAGCAATCCCTACTTCTCCAGCCTGGGGGTCAAGGAAGGCTTCCTGAGGGTAGGGGTGTCTCCACTGGGCTCTTAACCTAAAGGTTGAACAGGAATTGTTCAGGCAATTCAGACAAGAAGAGAGCTGTAGCCAGAGGGCAGCATGTACAAATTCCCAGAAGTGAGAGACAATAACATCTTCAGGGACTTGCAATTGATTAATTTGGATGGAAGGGGAACAAAAAGGATTGTAGTGATCAAAACTCTTGATTAGGGGCTGCTTTGTGCTCTGCAAGACTGGGCCTTTCTAGGGGGGTAGGGGTGAGCTCAGAACTACAAAGGCCCAGGGCAGCTGCCACAGCAGCCCCCAGAACATGAAGCACAGCCACTGATGCTGTCTCAGACCTCAAGACACTGGCTCACTACTCTGGGGCCCCTGGCAGCCCAGGGCTTGTTTGGCCAACTCACTGGCCATGCTTGCCCTCATGAACCAGGTCAATGGCACTGCTGGGTGGATATTCCTAATCCCATTCTTCAAATGAGGAAATCAAGATTTGCAGAGGTGATTTTTTTTTTTTTTTTTTTTTTTTTTTTTTTTTTTTTTTTTTGATACTGAGTCTCGCTCTGTCGCCCAGGCTGGAGTACAGTGGCGCGATCTCAGCTCACTGCAAGCTCCACCTTTCAGGTTCATGCCATTCTCCTGCCTCAGCCTCCCGAGTAGCTGGGACTACAGGCACTCGCCACCACGCCCGGCTCATTTTTTGTATTTTTAGTAGGGACGGGGTTTCACTGTGTTAGCCAGGATGGTCTCGATCTCCTGACCTCATAATCCACCCGCCTCAGCCTCCCAAAGTGCTGCGATTATAGGTGTGAGCCGCCGTGCTTGGCCTTGCAGAGGTGACTTTTTAAAGCAAGGATATGACTTGTCCAGAGCTGGCCACAAAAAAAGTTCCTCTGGGAGTAACTGGAAAAGTAGCTTGGCAGGATGGTCCCAGGACCTGGGAGAGGCACGGAGAACTAGAGAGACTGAGGGGCCTGGGAAAGGGAGACTCAAAAACTTTGAGGCCAGATTCCCTTCGGTGGGAGTGAATCTCTGCTCCTCTGATCTCCATGGCACTATTGACTTTGCTTCATGCCACTCTCAGCTCCAGCCCCCTTCCTGAGAGTCCAGAGTCTCCCACATCTGTGTAGACAGCTCCAGATAAATCTCAGAATCCCAGAAAATGCCACTGAGTTTTTTAAGTCCCAGATAATTTCTCTGTGAGGCAGGTTTATGGCTGCGAGCATGGTGACTCCACCCTTAATGAAACAGAAGGAACTCCCTGCCGGGCTTCTGCCCAGCCTGCAGCTCAGGCCTTCACCTGAGCCCTAGATCCTTGGCCCTCCAAGGGGCGACAGACTTCTGGTCAGGAGAGAATGAGTGCAGGATCAGGGATTATACAGACCATATTTTCATCCTAGCTCTGCCCCGTTACCAGCTCCGTGGCCTTGGTTAAGTCCTTTCCCCTATCTGGGTCTTCACATGTCAGAATGGGATGATGTAACCACCTCAAGGCAGTAATAAGGTTGTAATAAAGACTAAATGAGAAAATGGGTGGAAATGGCCAAGCACCATGCTTGGCTCTTAGTAAAGGTTCTAAAAATGGATAGTGATTTTTTAGGTAGTTCCATATTTTCTGTGGGAAAAAATATAAATTCTTTAGTTTACAATTCAAGGATCTTCTAAATGGGGCCTCAGCCCCACTCTTCAGATCCATCTTGCCCACAGCAGGGGGTGGGCTCGGCAGTGAGCCCAGGGAGCAGGTGCTGTTAGACATCAATTGGGCTGCTCCCCTGGAGGAGGGGGATGGAGGCCACTGATGCCCCATAACCTGTACTGCTCCGAAAGGGCTCCAGGATGGGTGACCAGAGCCTATGGGTGGAGACCTCTCTGGCTCCATCTTAGGTGGCCTGTGTGACACCTCCTCCTCTTTCTCAGCTAGGGCTGCCACCATCTCCCCCAACCAAAGTCTTGGCCATGCTTTGAAGGCAGGCATGTGGCTGGAAGTGAACAAGACACTCAATTTTCCAGTTTCCCACTCCCAGTACTGACAGAGGCCTACAAATCAGCCCATCACTGGACTTGGCTCAATATCACTTGTGTTTGATTATTGTCCTAGAGTGATCCTGGGTGGATTCCTCACCCTGCTGAGAATGTGAGGTGGGACGACTTTGAAGATGTGTGGAGACAGCATGGAAGAAGAGCTAGATCACTAGCCAGATAATTCCAGATTCAAGTTCCAGCTCTACTGCCACGTGCACTTGGACAAGATGCTCTGTATCACCGATCTTCAGTCTCTGAATCTGCAAAATGGGTGGATTAGTCCACTTTCATGCTGCTAATAAAGACATACCAGATACTGGGTAATTTATAAAAGAAAGCGGTTTAATGGACTCACAGTTCCACATGGGTGCGGAGGCCTCACAATTATGGCGGAAGGCAAGAGAGAGCAAAGCGACGTCTTACGTGGTGGCAGGCAAAGAGAGAGAGCTTGTATAGGGGAACTCCCCTTTATAAAACCGTCAGATCTCGTGAGACTCATTCGCTATCATGAGAACAGCACGAGAAAGACCTGCCACCATGATTCAATTACCTCCCATTGGGTCCCTCCCATGACACATGGGAATTATGGGAGCTACAATTCAAGATGAGATTTGAGTGGGGACACAGCCAAACCATATCAATGGGGTAAAGGATGCCTATGTTGCAAATTCATTGGGCACACTAAATGATATGATATATGCACAGCATTGGAATGGTGCCTGGCATACAGCAGACAAGCTTGATCAGTGTCTGCCTCTACCAGCAGTTAGCACTAGCACCCAGGACAGCTCCCCGGTCCCTGCCTGGATGCTGTCCGCGGTGCTGATAAAGGATTACAATCTCTACCATTCTTCCCCGTGTCTCCAAGTTCATCGGCCTCTGTGACGTTCTCAGACGTCTCCGAGATCAAGGGGGGTGGTGTGCATGCTACTTTCACAATTTTCTCTTAGACATTTGTCAATAAGCTCAAAATACAGTTGTAGAATGAAGGCTATCCTTCCTGTGGTGGTAGATTTGTTCATTTTCCTCCTGTATATTTCATTGAATGCCCTTTGTGTTGGGTCCAAGAGACTGAGCTCAGTAAGTATAGTTATATTAAAAACAAGGACAAAACACAGTGATATTTATTGACCACTGATTGTTAACCAAGCCCTCCCATCACTCCAGTCTCATAAACCATTGTCCAGAAATCTAAGTATTGTCAACAGCACATGAAACATTCTTGCTGCCTCTTCTTCCTCTTCATTTCTGGTAATCTGTAGCAGGAAGGGATGGGATAAGCAGCAGGGTTCCTACATCTCTCAGCTCCTACCCATTACTCCAGGCAGGGAGGTGGTTAGAGCTGCCGTGATTCTCAGCACATCTTCCAGCAGGATGAGTCAGGACGCACACAGAAGAAAACGAGCATGGAACTTAGAGTTGGATTTGAATCCCAGTTGGACTTGAATTCCTGCATTTGTATCCCAGCTCTGTCACTCACTAGTTCAGTGACTTCAGCAACTTCTTTTGAGACAGAGTCTTGCTGTGTCACGCAGGCTGGAGTGCAATGGTGCGATCTCGGCTCACTGCAACCTCCGCCTCCTGGGTTCAAGCAATTCTCCTGCCTCAGCCTCCCAAGTAACTGGGATTACAGGTGCATGCCACCATGCCCAGCTAATTTTCTTGTATTTTAGTAGAGACAGGGTTTCACCGTGTTTCCCAGGCTGGTTTCAAACTCCTGAGCTCAGGCAATCCACCTGCCTCGTCCTCCCGAAATGCTAGGATCACAGGTGTGAGACATCGCGCCTGGCCAAGCCTCAGTTTTCTCACCTACACAGTGAGGTTAATAACTGTACCTCATCTATAGGGCTATCAGGAGAACCAAAGGAGGGGTTGCTCCTACAGTGTCAACAATATCCCAGTAAATCCTTCATAAAGTGGTAGCTATTATCATGTCAAGCATCTGAGCCTCTCAAAAGGGAGACACCAACTATTTTGTGTCTTCCTATGAAGTCAGCTGCAGGCTCCTTAATGCTGGGGGCTCTCCCATGAGGCCTGGCTTCTCTCCCACTCCCATGGACTGCTGTACCTCAGCAACTCCGGTTTGATTTGAGGCCAGCTCTTCTGAATCTCAAACAGTTTGGGTTTGAATGCTGGATCAGTGCTGACTCGTTGCTGCTCTTTCAGCATGTTATTGAACCTGTCTAGCCTCAGTTTTCTCATCAGTAAAATGATGATGATAGTATCCCCATCCTTGTGATGCTGTTGCAAGGAGAAAGGTCTTAGCACAGATGCAATGGCAAATGTCCATCACTGATTAGCCATTATTGTTGTTCTCAGTTTCCTGGTTTTTATTTCCACTGTCCTTTCCTGATTTTTATTTCTGCTGTCCTTTTCTAGGGATGCTCTGCCTCCTCTCTGACAAGCTGGAGATTAGAGGGTCATACCTCAAGCTACTGTCCCCTCTTTGGAAGCAGAGTAAACACCTGCATTTGGAGCCCACCTAGTGTACCTCATGTATAGGGGGAAGACATACAGGGAGCATGTCCTGTTGTTGCTGAGGCCAGGTCTCTGGGAATCTTTATCTCATATCTTAGGTTGGGATTCTCAGTGGAATGTTCAGCCTCTGTGGTTGTCCTTACGTTGTGGGTGTATGTGTGTGTGTGTATGTGTGCGTGTGTATGTGTGCATGCGTAAGATTGTGTGCATGTATTCCTGTGAGTGTGGGAATAGGTGTGTCACATGACTGTGACTTTCATGAAAGTGAACATGTAACTGGGTATGCAACAATTTGTGCAAATGAGAAATGGCGGTGTGTGTACGACTGTGTATGTGTGTGGCGGGGGTGCAGCTGTTGGACAGGATGTCAACTCTTCAGCCATCTGCAGGCGTGGGGCTCCTGGGCAATTCAAGAGGTTGCTGACTGCTAGCACCTGCCACTCTGAGCCGCACCCCCCGCCTGTTGTTTTAGGAATAACCATGCTTCAGTGATTCCAAATCCTGCTTGCTCAGAATTTCCCACAATCTGACTCAGGTGAGGGATTATGGAAAGTTTGGCCAAGCACACCAATAATACTGAAAAGATGATTAGCTTTTAAAAGAAAAAGTTTTCCAGGATTTTAAAAACCACTTGGTTTGAACCCCTTGTTTACAGCGAGTGCCCAGAGTGCCCAATCACCAACGATTCTCTCTCTCTCTCTCTTTTTTTTTTTTTTTGAGATGAGGTTTTGCTCTCATTGCCCAGGCTGGAGTGCAATGGCACAATCTCGGCTCACCGCAACTTCTGCCTCCGGGATTCAAGCGATTCTCCTGCCTCAGCCTCCCGAGTAGCTGGGATTACAGGCATGTGCCACCATGGCCGGCTAATTTTGTATTTTTAGTAGAGACGGGGTTTCTCCATGTTGGTCAGGCAGGTCTCGAACTCCCAACCTCAGGTGATCTGCCCCACTCGGCCTCCCAAAGTGCTGGGATTACAAACGTGAGCCACTGCGCCCGGCCACCAGTGATTCTTATCTGTTCATTAAAGCAACCCTCCTAAGGGACTGTGTCTCAACAATACAGGGCTAGTCATTATTTTGCATTAATTTGAAAGCAATAAAATTTTTGCAATGTCCCATAATTCTGACTTATCACTAATTCACAAACCCCACCCCCCATACCAATCAGGCAAGTTCTATTATTTAGCAGCAATATGTACTATACTCAAGGGAAATAATTTCTATGTCACCATTTAGAATTCTGTAACAATAACATAACATAACATAACATAACATCATATACTCCCTTCGTTAGAACAGAGCAGAGTTTTTTCAAAGCACGTAGCCGCTCATTGTTTTATCTGGTTCCCATAACAGGGCAGGGGCCATGATGTCCATTTGCCTTAGGGAAATGAATGCTTATAGTGAAGCGAGCTGCAAACCAGGCTCACAAAGCCAGCTGGCCAAGGTGGCCAGAATGAACTCCAATGGGTCTCCGTGGCCTGTGTTTCCCAAGACACAGTGAGTTGCCTCTAGAAAAAGCCAGAAGGGTCCAGGCACAGTGGCTCATGCCTGTAATCCTAGTACTTTGGGAGGCCGAGGTGGGTGGATTGCCTGAATTCAGGAGTTCGAGACCAGCCTGGGCAACATGGTGAAACACCATCTCTACTAAAATACAAAAAAAATTAGCCAGGTTTGGTGGCACATGTCTATAGTCCCAACTACTTGGGAGGCTGAGGCAGGAGAATCGCTTGGACCCAGGAGGCGGAGGTTGCAGTGAGCCAAGATCACTCCACTGCACTCCAGTACAAGACTCTGTCAAAAAGAAAGAAAGAAGAAAGAAAGAAAGAAAGAAAGAAAGAAAGAAAGAAAGAAAGAAAGAAAGAAAGAAAGAAAGGGAGAGAGAGAGAAAGGAAGGAAGGAAGGAAGGAAGGAGAAGAAAAGAAAAGAAAAGAAAAAGCCAGAAGGAACTCTCACCCTTGGCTGTGGAGCAGGAAAGATTTCACAGTTCTGGGCAGTTTGTCATTTAATCCACCCCAGGGTGTTGTTTCAGAAGATAGTAAGAGGCAGAGAGGCTTTGGCAACAGGAAGAAATTCATCACCAACCTGTCTCTTCCCTGCCTCCTTTTAGTTCTTTCGCCTCTCCTCAGACATGTCTTAAATGCCTACTGTGTGCCAGGCCTGTGCTGGGCGCACAGAGAGATCCAGGGTGGGTCTGAACTCAAAAACCTCACACTCTAATGAAGGAAGTGGAAACATAAAAAACAGCCCTTCAAACCCAGCTTGACCACTGAGGCAGGGAGGGCGGTGCAGGGGACTGTCAGAGGCCAGGAAAGGTGGCTAGTGCAGCCCCTTCTCTACTAAAAATACAAAAAGTAGCCAGGTGTGGTGACATGTGCCTGTCATCCCAGCTACTCTGGAGGCTGAGGCACAAGAATCATTTGAGCTTGAGAGGTGGACATTGTGGTGAGCCCAGATCGCACCACTGCACTCCAGCCTGGGCAACAGAGTAAGCGAAGCGAAGCAAAGAGGGAGGAGAGGAGAGGTGAGGGGAGGGGAGGGGAGGGGAGGGGAGGAGAGAGGAGAGGAGAGGAGAGGAGGAAAATGTAGGGATCCAAACACGGTGGGCTATGCACGCCAGGCTGAAGATTCTAGATTTTTCCTAAAGGCATCCATGCAGTACCATAAAAAATTTCAAGCAAGAGAGCAACAGGTCTCTAACTACAGGTACCCAAAAGAAAAAACATGCTAACAACATCACATGCAAATCTTAGGGGTGGCTCCCTGTGGCCTCCAGCACATGGAAATGGCTCCAGAGAAGGCCATGCAGCAGAGAGGTACACAGAAGCTGTGCAGTCAAACAGATCTGGGTTTGAATTTTAGCTCCATTATTTTATTCATGCATTCATTGATTCTGTCAGCTAACAAATATTTCCTGAACACCTACTATGTGCCATGTACTGCTCGGGGCACTGGGAATACATCAGTGACCAAAATGTGAAGCCCTTGCTCCCCTAGAGCTTGCATCCTGCCATACCCAGTGAACAAGCTCATAAACGTGTAACATGCCAGACAGTGCTGAGTGCCATGGAGGGAAATAGAGCAGAGAAGGGGACACAGAGGGAAGGAGGGATGCTTTTTTAGACCAGGTGGTCAAGGATTTCTTGAGGTCAGGAGTTTGAGAACAGCCCGGCCACATTTCAGTCACTGATGTATTCCTGGTGCCCTGAAGTGAAGCAGAAACGTGGAGGCAGTGAGGAACTGACCTGTGGCAATGTCCTTGGCAATGGGAACAGCAAGGGCCAAGGCTTGGAGGCATCATGAGCTTGTCATTGCTTGAGGAGTGGATGGAGGCCAGCCAGCCAGAGAGCAAGGGAGGGAGGGTGACAGCAGATGAGGCAGACAGGGGCTGTGTCACAGTGGGCCTTGCCAGCTATGTTGGCGGCAGTGGTGGACAGGCTCAGAGCTGATTTCCAGCCCCTTCCAGAGGGCTGGGGCCAAAGAACCAGAAGCCACAGTTCCCAGACATTGCTGGTGACTTGGACCTAGAATGCCCACAGGAGTGGTGGGGATGAAGGCCTGACCGGGGCAGGCTGAGGAGGAAAGGGGAGAGGAGGAGAAGAAACAGCAATTCCTCGAATTCTTTCAGGAATGTTTGCTGAGGCCAGGCGCGGTGGCTTACACTTGTAATCCCAGCACTTTGGGAGGCTGAGGTGGGTGGATTTCTTGAGGTCAGGAGTTCGAGACCAGCCTGGCCAACATGATGAAACATAATCTCTACTAAAAATAAAAAAAAAAAATTAGCCGAGTGTGGTGGCACATGCCTGTAATTCCACCTACTCAGGAGGCTGAGGAAAGAGAATTGCTTGAACCCCGGGTGGTGGAGGTTGCAGTGAGCCGAGATCATGCCACTGCACTCCAGCCTGGGAGACAGAGCAAGACTCTGTTTGAAAAAAAAAAAAAAAAAAAGGAGAAGAATTTTTGCTGAAAAGGAGATCAAATAAATAGGTGGCCCCTGGAGGGGGATGTGGGGTCACGGGAAGGCTTTCTTCCAGAGGACATCATGGCATGTTTGTATGATGATGGGAGGCATCTAGTGGAGGGAGAAAGTGATGGTTCAGGAAGGAGAGGAGATCATTGCAGACAGCAAATTCTTGCTGGATAAGAGGAGAGTTTTGGGGCATTCCCACGCCTTGAGCAGGAAAGGTAGTGAACAGGTGGATCCACTGATGCAGAAAGGCTTGAGGGCCCAATGGTGTGCACGGGCTGTCTCAGAAGAGCAAATGGCAGCCAGGCACAGTGGCTCATGCCTATAATCCCAGCACTTTGGGAGGCCGAGGCGGGTGGATCATCTGAGGTCAGGAGTTCAAGACCAGCCTGGCCAACATGGTGAAACCGTGTCTCTACTAAAAACACAAAATTAGCTGGGTGCAGTGGCACATGCCTGTAATCCCAGCTACTCAGGAGGCTGAGACAGGAGAATGGCTTGGACCCAGGAAGCGGAAGTTGCAGTGAGCCGAGATCACAACACTGCATTCCAGCCTGGGTCAGACAGAGTGAGACTCCATTTAAAAAAAAAAAAAAAAAAAAAAGAAAGAAAGAAAGAAAGGAAAACAAATGGCCAAATTTTCAGGACTTATGTTAGCTAGTAATGAAACCATTGGCAGCTTGAGTCAGGCTATGGTGGGAACATTTACACCATGGAAAGTGGCAAATGCTACAGATCAGGGCCTTTTAATCCAGTGAGCCTGTTGTTTTGTTTGTTTGTTTGTTTGAGACAGGGTCTCCCTCTGTCACCCAGGCTGGAATGCAGTGGCATGATCATGGCTTACTGCAGCCTTGCCTCCCCAGGCTCAATCAATCCTCCCAATCCACACACTACAGGTGTGTGCCACTATGCCCAGCTAATTTTTGTATTTTTTGTAGAGATGGGGTTTTGCCATGTTGCCTGGGCTGGTCTTAATTTAAACTCCTGGGCTCAAGCGATCCTCCCACCTTGGCCTCCTAAAGTGCTGGGATTGCAGGCGTGAGTCACTGTGCCCAGCCTCAACCAGTTGTTAAACATTTATGTTCTCAGTGAAGTAAGATGAGGCCAGGTGCAGTGGCTCAGGCCTGTAATTCCAGCACTTTGGAAGGCTGAGGCAGGAGAATTGCCTGAGCCCAGGAGGGTGAGACCAGCCTGAGCAACATAGGGAGATCCTGTCTCTACAAAAAAATTTTAAAAAGTAACTGGGCATGGTGGTGTGTGCTTGTAGTCCCAGTTACTCCAGAGGCCAAGGCGGGAGAATAGCTCGAGCCCAAGAGGTCGAGGCTGCAGTGAGCTATGATTGTGTCACCGGACTTCAGCCTGGGTGACAGCATGAGACTCTGCCTCAAAAAAAAAAAAAAAAAAAAAAAGATAAGATTACCACCTGAGCATGAGGAGGAGAAGAGAGAGACATCTGAAGAGAAAAATAAAGGTATACAATAGTCATCTGGGAGTCACAGAAGAGTCATCTTGGCCAGGAAGCTTTCTGAGTAGCTGGGTGGGGTTGAGAACCCACTTCCTAGCCAAAGTACCCTGGGCAAATTTCTTGGCCACTTTGAGCCTCAGTTTGCACATCTGTAAACTTGGAGTCCTAATTCCTATGTTGCGAGTTTATTGGGAGCATAGGGTAGGGCACCTAAAGCACCTGCCCAGTGAAGGAAGCAGGGGCTGGCTCAGCTGTATTCTGGGCCTCTGGGATTTGTGCAGGAAGGAAAACCCCAGGATGGCTCTTGCTTTTGGCCACTGGGGAGCTTGGCTGGGCCCCACCCTTCCCCCAGCCATCCTCCTCTGTGAACTGGAATGAGGGGAGCCCAGCTTCAAGTCCAGGACACATCCTCCCAACTTCCCCCATCTACATATTTATCACAATACAGCAACTGCATAATTTAAAGCAGTGTTAAAAAATATTCCAATGTGTTATGTGATTTTGCATTCCTGGTTGAAGAAAAATTGCTTCAAGAAGGTGGTTAATTATTTCAAAAGACAAATTCCATGAAATAAAATAAAAATAGACTCCTTGTCCAGAGAGAAAGTGAGAAAAAAAGGAGGGGGAGAAATGAGGCATGTTCCCCTTGGAATAGAATGTGGCTGCTTCTTCAAGTGGTGAGTGAGGCAGACCTCCCTGAGCCCCTGTCACCTGCCAGGAGAGCAGGGGACAAGGGGCAGGGATGCAGGAAGCAAGGGGAACAGTGGGGAGGCTGTGTCTGCCTGGAAGCTGGCAGCACCCGGACAAGAGAAGGAGTGTGGCAATGAGGGAAGTGGTTAAAGCTGAGAACAGAGGTGAGGTGGCACTGCCAGGCATTGGTAAACGTGGGCATGGAGGGGAGGGAGGAGGCAAGAGGTCTTATTGAAGGGAAGGGTGGATGGCGGGGCCTTTTGTTGGTGTCCTTGAGAAACTCCAAGAAAAATCACTCTCTTGCCCCTCTGAGTCCTGATCAATTTAAGAAACAAAACCAAGACTTATGAAAGCCAATGTCACCTTAGTTCTTGATCCAGGCCAGGGGTAGGACACAGGTTTGGATGAGAGGCAAGTGGGCCCATTGCTGAACCCCAGCAGGGGACACATGTACCCCCCTGGGATCCTGCCCAGGAAACTCCCATGGCGTAAAGGAGCAAAGGGGAATTCCCTCTCCCCGTGGGCAGTGCCGAGCTCAGTGTATTCTTCCCAAATTCACCAATCAGAGAGTCACTCAGGCATGACCTCCACAACACGTTTTGTGGAAATGGAAGACCCGCAGGACAAGCAGATTTGGGGACGCTGATTAATTCAAAGTTGGCTGTGGGAGGCTGCGGTGCTGTGGCACCAAGGCAGGAAAGGTTCACTTTGCCTTTAGACACATCAGCCTGGAACTTGCAAGCGACCCGGAGACATTTGTGCCAAAGCTTGAGTTTCCCTCCCACTTGTCCTTTCTTGCCCTTTCTGTGATTTCTTTTTCTTTCTTTCTTGTTTCTTTCTTTCTTTCTCTTTCTTTCCTTCTTTCTTCTTCGCCTTCCTTCATTCCTTCCTTCCTCTTTCTTTCTTTTCTTTCTTCCCTTCTTTCTCTCTCTCTCTTTCTTTATTCCTTTCCCTTCCTTCCTTTCTTCCTTTCTCTCTCTCCCTCTCTTCCTTCCTTCCTTCCTTTCTCTCTCTCTCTCCCCCACCTTCCCTTCCCTTCCCTTCCATTCCCTTCCCTTCCCTTCCCTTCCCTTCCCTTCCCTTCCCTTCCCTTCCCTTCCCTTCCTTCTTAGGCAAGGGTCTGGCCCTGTTGCCTGGGCTGGAGTGCAGTAGCATGATCACAGCTCACTGCAGCCTTGAACTGGGCTCAAGCGATTCTCCCTCCTTGGCCCCCTGAGTGGCTAGGACCACACCCTTCCTGGCTTCTATGTGATTTCTTGAGCGGAGCAGGAAGAAAGGCTTTAAGGCAGTGCCAGGCACTTTGCATAAATCTTCTGGATGAACTGTTACTCCCTGCACAGCCTACATGCCTCCCCTGGGGAGCCTTCCTGGCTTTTTCCTCTGTATACATCTGGTGCCCACACCCCCTTCTCTCTCCATCACTGCATGACTCTCACTATGTTATAATGGCCGTGTGTCACTTGCCCACTGGCTCCCTGCTTTGATTCTTCTCTGTCCCCTTTTCCTGGCACAGAGGAGGAGTCTCTGAGAGTTTGTTGAACAAGTGAATGGAGTTGATCATCGGAGGAGATCATCGGAGGAGAGGGAGAGAAGAGCCCTTCTCTTTATGACAGCAGCCGTGATGTAATTGTCAGCATTAATTTTCCTTCTGTAATCAGATGGGTCTCTCACTGGGCGCAGACTTGTTTGCCCTTCCTGTGGGTAGGGGTGTGGGTTCACATCCCAGTTTCTCCCCCACCTCACAGGGATGGCCTCAGGCAGGTGACCTTGATCAGCATTCCTTAACTACATCGTGATCAGTGTGTGGCATGTGGCAGGCCATTTGTAATAATGTAATGAGAGAGGGGAAAGTACCTCTAGGAGAGAAGGCCGCAGCTGGGAGCTGGCTGGCCTGGGAGGGTGCAGACACCCTTCCTGGGGAAACACTGCATCTTTATCAAGGAAAACTCCCCCATGGGCCTGTTTGGTCAGGCAGTGCCTCTGGGCAGGACCGGGAGGAGTTCAGACAGCTAAGAGTCAAATGGCCCTACCCATAATGGGAATTTAGAGCTGCTCATGGGCACTGTGGAAGAGGAGAAAGACCCAGAGGGAGACCCACTGCAGCCAAGGAGGCTACGTAGAGGCAGTGGGTGAGTGCTCCATGGTGAGAGGGTCTGATGTGTGTTCCGGAGGGACCGGGGCTGACTTCCATGCAGAGTTGCTCCCTGCTCGGCTCAGGGGTTCCTCACTGTTTCCTTCTTCGCCTGTTACACTCAGCAGCCTTGAGCGAGTTGTTTAATGGGGCATGAAGGAAGAGAGATGGCCATGCAGGGTGCCAGGCTGTGCCCAGCAGCCTGGGGAGTGGTGGCTTGGGAGGGAGCTGGGTAGTAAGACTTGAAGCCATGGGAGAAATGGGTGCAATTTGGGCTCGAGGCAACCCCCTTCTCTAAATAGAGCGAAGTAAAGTGAGAAGGTGACCTCGAGGGGCAGGGCCAATGTCGGGGCAGAAGCAGAAGGGAGGCTAGGTCCTGCTGTTCATGGGCCAGGGGTGCAGTGTCTTTAGATATTGAGGGTAATGGTGACCCCCAAATCATGAAGGCCTTGAGGGCCTATGGGCAGTACTAATAATGTCACATGCCAGATGATTTAGGGTCACCTCTGTGATGACATCATTACTTACTTGCTATCTGTTTGGTTTCTTGAGTAGAAGAGGAAAAGGGGTGACATTTCAGCCAGGGCCTGCATACGCCAGGTCCCTGTGTCATGCCATGGGTCACGTATGTGACAGTGGAAAAAATGTCCTATCTCACAGGTGTGGACATAGACAATAGACTGGACTGGTGTGGACGATGGACAGGGTTCTGCCGTCTCCTGGGGCCCTGAGAGGCACCTACTCATCCAGCCCTTGCAGACCAGCAGGTGTGAGAGTGACAAAATCTTACTCACTGTGGGTATTGGTGCTGTACACCCCGAGACCACAAAGAAGTAAACTCCCTGCCCTCAGGCGGTGGCTGGCATGGTGTGCAGGTCTGAGAGGTGTAAAGATGGGGGATATGAAGACCTGCGGGGAGTGCAGGTCTGTGTGTGGGTGTGCATTTCTGTGGGGGGTATAGACAGATCTGTGTTGTGAGAAAGGTAAGACTGCCAGCCTGAGAGGGGTTCTGTGATTGCTATTGTGTGTGGGCACCCACGCAACACCATGTTTGTGGTTAGTGAGAGTGCTGGGTGTGTATTGTGAGGTTGTTCAAGGGGGGATGTGATGTGTTTATGGGAGGGTGAGTGGGCCAGGTGTGCTTACACGTGGGTGGTGGATACACCTATGTGCTTGAGGTCACTCATTTGCAGGTGTCATTTTGCGTGTGTGTAGGCTATACTTGGAGGGTGCGGGAGTATACAAGTCTCTGTGTGTGTGTGTGTGTTAGTGCACCTGTGACTATGCATTACTAACTGTGAGACCTTGGACAAGTTACTTAACTCCTCTGTGCCTCAGTTTCCTCATTGGTAAAAGGGGGATCGTGAGTACCCACCTCAGAGAGTGTTGCAAGCATTCAATGCGATGGTGGGTGTGTGTAGAGCACTTGGAACAGTGCCTGACATGGGGTAAGCGCTCCATGAGTATTTGCCATTGTCGTTACTGATGTGTGAGCCTGCATAGATGAGCATGTGTGTGTCGAACCCCCTTGCAGGAGTGCGAGTGCCCAGTCTCAGGGTGGTGATTCCTGGGACAGGGAAGTCAGACACAGAAGGGTGGAAGACCTGAGCCCTGTGGTGAGCATGAAGCCAAAGCCGGAGCAGCTGAGGCTAGACCCAGGCCCAGCAACTCTCCACTGCTTCCCAGGGACACCAAAGTCCATCCTGGTTCCAGGGGCCATCCTGCCTCCTGCCCCTGCCACCTACCCAAAGATCCAACAGGAGGTGGGGGCTCGAGACAGACAAGCCGAGAGACCCATCCCTCCCCCTCTGCAACCTGACAGCTGTGGCCCAATTAAAACCAACAGTTCACAGGTGTTCCTGGTAATGACTCACGCACAAAAAGCTCCACTCCCTTTAGGGCTCTTTAAAAAAAATTTAGAGCTCTTTAAATTTTATTCACCCACAACATCAAACCCAGGGAGGAAGTCATAAAAGAGGATGGGGGAGTAGGGGCACTGCACACACGTGTGTGTGCACACACTTGCTCATGCATAGACGTGTACACTGTACATGTGTCAATAATCGGCACACCCATTCGCACCCCTTGGCCACTCCAACACACACTATCACACACACACATTCCCAAACATCCACACACCCAGACACGTGCTCAAACACACAAACACATTCAGGCACATGCCATCTAAATCCACACCCACTGACATATAACCCCCAGGGTGACCACACACCTAGCACAAGCCCACATATGCCCCGACTGTATTGGCTTCCTATTGCTACATCTCAAATTACCACAACCTTGGTGGCTTCCCATAACACATATTTCTCATCTCGCGGTTTTTGCCGGTCAGGAGTCTGGGTGTGACTAAGTTGAGTCCTCTCCTGGGGGTCTGGTTGGCTGCATTCAAGGAGATGGGTGGGCTGCATTTCATCTGGAGGCTCTACTGGGGAAAACTCCCCTTGCAAACTCACTCAGGCTGTTGGCAGAATTCATCTCTTTGTGGCTGCATGGCTCAGGGCCACAGTTTTTTTTGCTGGCTGGTGGCTGAAAGCTACCTGAATTTCCTGACTCTGTGGGCTTTTTTAATGTGCCCAGTAGCTTCTTCAGTGAGGAGAATTTCTCTAGTTCATGCCAGCAAGACAGTGTCATGTATATACATGTATGTGTGTCTGTACATGGGTATGTGTGCCTGTGTGTGTGTGTGGTATCCTAGTCACCTTTGCCATCTTTTCTTGGTTAGAAGTCAGAGGTCCTTCACACACTCAAAGGCAAGAGTTGATGCAGGTGTGAATCCCGGTGCCACCGTTGGTCTGTCTGCAACACCAGCTTCCATGCTTGGATCACACCTCGGATGCACACGCTTGAAG
Source organism: Homo sapiens (assembly GCF_000001405.40). NCBI lineage: Eukaryota > Metazoa > Chordata > Mammalia > Primates > Hominidae > Homo > Homo sapiens. Next base: position 124,097,707 of record NC_000009.12, on the reverse strand, counting down.
ATCATGTGCCACAGAAGCTCATTTGCCAACCCTTTCACCAACTCTGGTCCATGCACTCGGCAGCCTTCAGGCCACCCTTGAAGGTTCCACAGAGCCTCCACAGACAGGGGAGTCCCTGAAAGTAAAAATACCTCATGGACCAGACACCCCCCAAAACAAAGCAAAGCCACTGCCTCGAGTCCTCTGCCCCTGTTACCACCGCTTGCAGCCTTTTCTGGCTTCCACCTCCAGGTCCGTCCTCATCCCCACCTCTCCTCCACCTTCTGCTCACAGTCCCGGCATCCACTTGGGCTTTGTCCCTCGACTCCACCCCTGTCCTAGACTGAATCTGATGTCCACTCCCACTCCCAGCCCCGGCCCCACAGAGTCCCTGCTGGGTCTCATCACAGCCTGGACGCGACCTAGTGGGACTGGCTATTCCTGTTAAAGTAAAATTCACAACACTTTGTGAATTTCCAGCACTTGCACTATCCCCCATAGCTTCAGCACAGATCAGTGTTTTCCTGTCTTTGACAAGTTTATTCGATTGTTTGAAAATGTTGATTAACAATGTAGGATCAAGGCCGGGCGCGGTGGCTCACACCTGTAATCCCAGCACTTTGAGAGGCCCAGGCGGGCAGATCATGAGGTCAGGAGATCAAGACTATCCTGGCTAACACGGTGAAACCCCATCTCTACTAAAAATACAAAAAATTAGCTGGGCGCAGTGGCGGGCGCCTGTAGTCCCAGCTACTTGGAAGGCTGAGGCAGGAGAATGGCGTGAACCTGGGAGGCAGAGATTGCAGAGCTTGCAGTGAGCCGAAATCGTGCCACTGCACTCCAGCCCAGGCAACAGAGCAAGACTCCGTCTCAAAAAAAAACAAAAAAAGACAAAAAAAAAAAAACAGTGCGGGATCAGTAGGGCATGGTGGCTCACCCTTGTAATCTCAGCACATGCTTTGGGAGGCCAAGGCAGGAGGATCCCTTGAGCCCAGGAGTTCAAGACCAGGCTGGGAAACATACTGAAACCCTGTCTCTACAAAAATATACAAAAATGAGCCAGGTGTGGTGGTGTGTGTTTGTAGTCCCAGCTAGTGGGGATGGAGGATGTTGAGAGGGGAGGACTGCTTGAGCCCGGAGGTTGATGCTGCAGTGAGCTGAGATCACACCACTGCACTCCAGCCTGAACGGCAGAGCAAGACCTTGTCTCAAAACAAAAACAAAAATGAAAAAACAGTGCAGAATCCTGTGGCACATCCCTAGAGACTGCTCCAAAGGCTGATCTCACGGGAGGAAATGGCAGAGGTTTTGGAGCCCCGGGAAGTGGAGTGTTGTTGGGCAAGTCCTTTCCCTTCTCTGAGGCTCGGTCCCCTGGTTTATAAAATGTGAATAAGAATTATGTTTAATCAGTATCAATAAAGCTAAACACAAACATACATCTATCCTGTGACCTGACAGCTTCACTTCCAAGTATCATCACCACAGAAATGCACACATGTGTCCATCAAAGCACAGTTCTAGAATGTTCATGGCAGGACTATTCATAACAGTACCAAATGGAAAACAAAACGCATGCCATCCGAAAAGAACGGAGACACACGTTGTGGAACATTCACTCCATCCAGCAACAACAAAAACACGGACATCCCTGTGCGTCAACATGGGTGATCTCATCATGCTGAGGGTAAAAGTCCTCATACAAAAGGGAACACACACTGTGATTCCATACAGAGGGCGTTCAAAAATAGGCAATGCCAAGCTATGGTGTTAGAAGTCAGGGTGAGGAGCCAGGCACAGTGGCTCACGCCTGTAATCCCAGCACATTGGGAGGCTGAGGCAGGCAGATTGCTAGAGCCCAGGGATTTTAGACCAGCCTGGGCAATATGGCGAAACCCCATCTCTACAAGAAAATAAAAAAATTAGCCAGGCATAGTGGCACACCTGTGGTCCCAGCTACTTGGGAGGCTAAGGTGGGAGGATCACTTGAGCCTGGGATGTTGAGGCTGCAGTGAGCTATTATCACACCACTGCACTCCAGCCTGGATGACAGAATGAGGCCCTGTCTTAAAAAAAAAAAGTCAGGGTAGCAGCCACCCTTGGGGAGATGGTGACTGGGAAGGGGACATACGGATTCAGGTTACAGAGTGTGTTCAGTTCGAGAAAAGCTATTGAGCTATGCACCCAGGATTTGTGCACTTTTCTGTACCTGTGTTTTACTTCAATTAAAAAAAAAAAAAAACCGGCTGGGCACGGTGGCTCATGCCTGCAATCCCAGCACTTTGGGAGGCTGAGGCAGGTGGATCACGAGGTCAAGAGATCAAGACCATCCTGGCTAACACGGTGAAACCCCGTCTCTACTAAAAAAATTAGCCGGGTGTGGTGGCGGGCCCCTGTAGTCCCAGCTATTCAGGAGGATGAGGCAGGAGAATGGCATGAACCCAGGAGGCAGAGCTTGCAGTGAGCCGAGATCGTGCCGCTGCACTCCAGCCTGGGCAACAGAGAGAGACTCTGTCTCAAAAAAAAAAAAAACTCCAAAATACCAAAAGAACGCCTCACGCCTGATTTGCACCTGGTACATCCTAGCCACTCTGTTAAGCCTAGCTTTTTTCTTCTCCTTTCTGAAGAATGTTCTACTTCACGAGGGGGTTGAAAGGAAACCAGAATGTTCCGTCTAGTGTTAGCATTGGCCTTGCACCAAGCAGTGGTCCCCAGGCTGTCTCTCTCCCCAGACATACTGTGAAGCATCTTTGGCTTGGTTCTAAACATTTTCCACAAGTTTTGCCTTTTCTCCGGCCTTTAAACCTTCAAACCCACATTCCAACCCTCCCCTGCTCCTTGGGAATCCTTCCTAATTATGCTCCTCTGTCCGCCGAAAGCTCTGGGCATTCACAGTCTCCGGCTGTCCCTCCTGTCCTCGTCCGTCCGTCACAGTTGGATTGTCAGAATTTCCTCTCTGAGATTCTGCTATCTCATGCATCCTGCAACTTCATCATCAGCCTCCGCTTTCCTGTGGATTCTCTGACATCCACTCTTCCAAAAACTGTGAGAGCAGGCAGACCTGAGCACTGCCGGAGATGAGGGGACACCCAGACACCTGTGTGTCAGTGGGCTCACCAGGCCTCAGGGAATAAAACCCAGTAATGACTTTGGAGCTGACCAGTGGGCCTGATAAATCAGGATTCACACATTTGAATTAAAAGTGGAGATGACGCCGGGCGCAGTGGCTCATGCCTGTAGTCCCAGCATTTTGGGAGGCCAAGGCGGGTGGATCACCTGAGGTGAGGAGTTCAAGTCCAGCCTGGCCAACATGGTGAAACCCTATCTCTACTAAAAATACAAAAATTAGCTGGGCGTGGTGGTGAGCACCTGTAATCCCAGCTACTCGGGAGGCTGAGCCAGGAAAATCACGAGGTGGAGGTTGCAGTGAGCTGAGACTACACTACTGCACTCCAGCTTGGGTCACAGAGCGAGACTCCATCTCAAAAAAAAAAAAAAAAAAAAGGAGATGAAAGCTGTCGGAGTTCCACCTGGTGGAAGAAGAGATTTGCAGTCCCTCAGCTCTGGAGCCAGGTGACAGTGACAACAGGAGCAAAGCTGGGATAAGTTGATGTGGAACAGGGGTTGGCAAATTTTTCTCTGTGAAAGAGCAGATGGTAAATATTTTGGGCTTTGCTAACAAAACAATCTTTACACGAATGGTTGAGGTTGTGTTCTAATAAAACTACAGTGCCATTATTGACAAGACAGGCTTGGTTTGCCGGCCTCTGACATGGAAGATAGCCCAGGCTTTGAGAAGCTCCTTGGGCCTCTTGGTGCTATGAAAACAGCAGGCCCAGAATCCTTTTGTGAGATTAACAAAATCATACCACCTGCTTCCTCCTGGCAATGAGAATTCATCTCAGACTCCCTTCCCTGTTCAGCCACCCTGGCAATGAAGGGATTCAGGTGGACTCCAAATGTGAAAGGTTGGCCTTCTCCAGGGGTCATTCCCATGACCATACAGAGTGATGACTCCAAAAAAATGAATGGGCCCCACACCACCAAGACCACAGATGGAATTCACATGGACTCCTTCCGATCTCTCATGCTGGTCAGTTTCCTGCATCCCTCGCTTCTTCTGCAGCTTCATGATCCTAATGCACGTCCTCATCACTCCTTTCCTGGACAACTGCAGTGGCCGACGCTGGTTCTTCCTGTCACCTCCATTCTTCCTCTATGTCACCACTGGAATAATCTTCCCTAAATCCAGCCATGCCATACCTCCAAAACCTTCCATGGCTCCCCATGGCCTATTTGTAAAGCCCATACTCCTTGGCTTAGTGTAGCAGACCTTACTACTTGGCCACCCAGTCTCCTTCCATTTCTGGGACTCCTGTCCTCCTTCTAGAAGCTTCTCCTTAATCTCCTACTCCCAACACACACACACACACACACACACACACACACAGACACAAACACACACATATACTCACACCCATCATTCCACCCAAGATGGTGGCATGAGCAACCTTGATGGTCAATAGAACCCCATCCTAAGCCACTGTTAATTGGCCCAGGGCTGGACAAGGGCTCAAGCCAGAACAGTCAGAGGCCTTCCCTGGAGCTTTGGATCTGGAACTGAAATGAGAGACCAGGCTCTCTGGATAGCTGGCTCTTAGGACATGACAACTTGAGTGGCCTTGTGGGCCATGTTCTGCCATGTGGACCCAGGAGAAGAAAAAGCCAGGTGTCAGAGAGGAAGGGGAGCAGAGCAGGAGCCCGGAGAGAAGCAGAGCATGGGATAGAGTCCATCAGCTCCAGCACCAGGCATTTCCTCAGTGAGCCAGCTGGGTCCTTCGCCGCACCTCCACTTGGACTGGAGCTTCCCGCAGGTGGTTCCTATGACTTCTGGTAGCAGCCAGGGGTGAGATGTCCAATGTTTAACAGTTGGGCCTGTGGCCCTGATCATCAGTGTCATTGGCCCTGGGTAAGGTCCCAAAGGTCTCCTCATGGTCAGGTCATTAACACTTTAGTTGCTGGAGAGCAGAGAGGTCCAGACATCCCAGGGGAAAGCCACAGTGGCCTGGTGTCAGGGGTGGCAGTGGTGGGCTCTCCAGGGACTTGTGCCAGCAACTTATGTACCAACTGAACTGAAGTGTTATAATATCTTAAGAAGATGCCAACTGAAATGATCCCTGATTGCCAGCAGAACTGACCTATGCAGCCCAGCCCATCACCCTCTCACTCCTCCTGTAGTGGTCTGCTTGGGCTGTCGTAACAAAATACCATAGGCTGAGGGGCTTAAACAACAGAACTTCATTTATCCCTGTTCCGCAGGCTGGGAAGTCCAAACTCAATGTGACAGTCAATTTCGTTCCTGGTGAGGGCTCTCTTCCTGGCTTGCAGACTGTCTCCTTCTTGCTGTGTTCTCACATGGTATATATAAGGAGAAAGACTTTCAATAAGGGCATTAATCCCATCATGAGGGCCCCACCCTCGTGACCTCGTTGAACCCTATTATCTTCCAAAGGCTCCATCTCCATATATCATCATATTGGGGATTAGAACTTCCACATACGAATTTGGGGGGACACAAACATTCAGTCCATAGCATCATCCTACCTTCAACATTCACTCAACAAACATCTATGAGTACCAATTCTGTGCCAGGTGCTGGGGCATCAATGGTGTTGATGACAGCACTGGCCTCTGCCTTCTGCCTCCTTCATGCAGCAGTGCTGGTCTGGTCACCATTTTCTCAGTATGCCCCCAAGTGAGGCCATTCCCTCTGGGATGTCCTTTCCTTTCTTCTCTGACCAGTTAAAGTCACCAGGCCCCAGGCTGGGCACAATGACTCACGCCTGTAATCTCAGCACTTTGGGAGGCTGAGGTGGGTGGATCACTTGAGGACAGGAGTTCCAAACCAGCCTGGCCAACATGGCAAAATCTTATCTCTACTAAAAATGCCAAAAATTAGCCAGGCGTGGTGGCGGGCACCTGTAATCCCAGCTATTGGGGAGGCTGAGGCAGGAGAATCACTTGAACCCAGGAGGAAGAGGTTGCAGTGAACTGAGATCGCACCATCGTACTCCAGCCTGGGTGACAGAGCGAGCTTCTGTCTCAAAAAACAAAACAAAACAACACAGCAACAACGAAAAGACACCAGGCCCCAAAACTCCTCCTCCCATCAGAAACCTCAGACCCCCCCAGTTCATGTGGACCCTCCCTCTGCCACTTTTATTCCTACTGCCACACCCAGATCTTGCTGTCCCAGGATCTACCATGCACCCACAGAACTGTACTGCCAACAGATCTGTGTGTCTGCCTCCCCACTTGAGCACTGCACATAGTAGAGGCTTTAACGGCCCTTCTTATGGGTTGCTAGTGATTCAGTTGTATTCTGCAGGTGTGCTTTGCTGATGGCAGCTTGGTGAGCAGAAGGGATAAATAGAATGATTGGTAATCCTACAAGGCAAAGCTGATTGCATCTCTCCCCCTTTAAACTTTTCACTACTTTTCCCATCCATTTACCCTGAGATAAAGGTCAAGGTCAAGCCCCATAACCTTAAGGGTCAATCAGCTGCTTCCTGACCTGTGCCCTTCCTGCAGTTCCAGCTTCACCTGGAAACTCCAACTACCCCGAATTACCAGCCCTGGCTCCCATCCCTTGCCTCTGAGCCTCTGCACATGCTATTCCTTCTGCCGGCATCATTTCCCCAGCACCCTCCCCTTTCTTCTGGCTAACACTCAGCTTCCTACAGGAAGTTTGTCCTGATTCCCTCCCACCTGCACTCCCAAAGGCAGGTCCATAGGGCCATGCAATTCTCTTGTCAAACATTGATCATTGTCATCATCTGTTTAACTGTCTGCAGTCCTCATAAAGTCTATGTAGGCAGCAACTGCCTCTGGTCAGCCTAACTGGGTACCAGCAGGTCCTACTAGAGTGCCTAGAAGTGGCCTGCGGACCACCAGCCCTAGCAGCATCACAAATGCATCTCCTGGGCCAGGGATGGTGGCTCACGCCTGTAATCCCAGCACTTTGAGAGGCCAAGGCGGGCACATCACGTGAGGTCAGGAGTTCAAGACCAGCCTGACCAACACGGCGAAACCCCGCCTCTACTAAAATTACAAAGTTAGCCGGGCGTGGTGGCGCATGCCTGTAATCCCAGCTACTCGGGAGGCTGAGGCAGGAGAATTGCTGGAACCTGGGACGCGGAGGTTGCAGTGAGCCAAGATCGCACCATTGCACTTCAGCCTGGGCAACAAGAGCGAAACTCCTTCTCAGGAAAGAAAGAAAGAAAGAAACAAAGAAGGAAGGAAGGAAGGAAAGAAAGAAAGAGAGAAAGAGAGAGAGAAAGAAAGAGAGAGAAGGAAGAAAGGAAGGAAGGAGGGAAGGAGAAAGAAAGAAAGGGAAAGCAAGAAAACGAAAGAAGGAAAGAAAGAAAGAAAGGAAGGAAGGGAGGAAGGGAAAGAAAGGGAAAGAATGAATGAAAGATAGAAGAAAGAAAGAGAAACAAAGAAAGAAAGGAAGAAAAGAAAGAAAGAAGGAAAGAAAGAAAGAAAAAGAAAGAAAAAGAAAGAAAAAGAAAGAAAGAAAGAAAGAAAGAAAGGAAGAAAGAAAGAAAGAAAGAAAGAAAGAGAAAGGCAGCTTCTGGCCGGGCGTGGTGACTCACGCCTGTAATCCTGGCACTTTGGGAGGCCAAGGCGGGCAGATCACTTGAGGTCAGGAGTTAAAGACCAGCCTGGCCAACATGACGAAACCCCAACTCTAGTATAAATACCAAAATTAGCTGGGTGTGGTGGTGCGTGCCTGTAATCCCAACTACTCAGGAGGCTGGGGTAGGAGAATCACTTGAACCAGGGAGGTGGAGGTTGCAGTGAGCCAAGATTTTACCATTGCACTCCAGCCTGGGGGACAAAGTGAAACTGTCTCAAAAAAAAAAAAAAAAAAAAGAAAAGAAATGCAGCTCCTAGCAACCCAGCACCCCCTCCCACCTACTCCACTATAAGCTGTTATTTAACAAATCCCAGGGGACTTGTGTACACGTAAATCTGAGAAGCACTTATCTAGGTCAGTGGTTCTCAAACTTGTTTGCACATTGAAATCACCTGGGGAATTTTAAAAACTACTGATGCCTGGGTCCCACCCCTAGAGATTCTGATATATGTGACTTGGGGAAGGGCCTGCATGTCTGGATTATTTTAAAGCTCGCCATGTGATCCTAATGCACAGGAGGGCTTAAAACACACACACACACACACACACACACACACACACACACACACACACACACACCACTACCACCACCTAGTCTTGTGCTTGGTAAATACCCATTGAATAAATGAGCCTATATGTCTTGAGCATTTCATATAATCCCAACCACCACCCTCTGAGTGTGAATTAGTATCATCCCCATTTCACAGACGTGGGAAGGTAAGGCTCGGGTGGAGGAAGAATTGCAGAAAGTAAGCAGCAGAGCGCAAAGCCCGTGTCCTTTGTCCTGCTCTGAGCTGCCTCCCTGGGCAAGGACAGAGTCCCCAGGAATGAGACACAGCTCCATCCTGGCTCCTCCTCCCTGAACAGGCAGAAGCCCCTGTAGGCGCCTGGGAAAACAAGCCCCTTGGGGCACCGGGAGGCAAAACACACATAAATAAAACTTGAACCCCAGTGCCCGCTGTGAAGATTAGGCATATATTTATAAAAATCACCAGAGCTACCGTTCCTCGGTTTCGTGTTTCATTTACGGCGAACACAAATAGCTTTAACACGAATATCTGGAATCAAAACAGAGCCGCAGGTTCCGGAGCATCTGTGCCATAGGAGGTGCAGCGTGCACTGGGATAATTTTAGCCGAATGTGTTATAAACAAGATCTGCAGAACCGCGCGGCGGGCTGAGTTTTGAAAACTTAGGATTCTAAATGTATAAATTGTTTGGAACATTTAACATCTAGTCATTAAGCAGTCACCCCCTTGCCCTCCGTTTTCAGGGAGAAGCTTGCAGCACGGCAGCCTCCAGCTGACACCCCCTTCCCAAGTATTAAATAGGGACCACTAGGCTGTGATACACACACACGCACACGCACACACACACGCAGGCACACACCAGCTGGTCCGGATCGTTCCTTGGAAGGCAGGAGCAGCACCGAGGCAAAACATCCGTTCACCGCTGTGCTGCAGAGAACGTTTCTCGGGGACTGAGGCCTTTTTTTTCCTATCAAATTTTTTAAGCCAGTCTTACACCTCAGGTTCCAAACACCCCCGAGAATGGAGGGAGGGTGGTAGAAAGGCAGGGAGGGAAGAAGGGAGGCACTGGGATGCTTATATATTATCATGTCATCTGTACCGAAACCTACATGGGTAGATACTGTCCCCCTTTTCACAGGGGATAAAATTGAGGCTGAAAAAAGTGACATGCCCAAATCAAAGAGCTGTCAGAAGGCACAGATGAGGCCAGGCAGTGGCTCACACCTGTCGTCCTAGCACTTTGGGAGGCCAAGGTGGGCAGATTACTTGAGGCCAGGAGTTCGAGACCAGCCTGGTCAACATGACAGCCATATGGCAGACAGGGCATCTTGATACTCACCTGAGGTGTTTCTTTGGGATACCTAGAATCCTTCTTTTTCCTGTTAAATAACATCTTTGGGGTCATAGCACTACATGTACATAGTAACAACTCAAATAGTACCCAAAAGGTTGTGATCAAAACACATTGTTCTCATCCTGCCCCACCCTATGCCCATTCAACCTGGAAAAAGCAACTTAAAAAAGAAAAAAGCCAGGCACAGGGGCTCACGACTGTAATCCCAGCACTTTGGGAAGCTGACGCAGGAGGATCACTTGAGTCTGGGAGTTGAAGACCAGCCTGGACAACATGGTGAAACCCCGTATCTACAAAAAAAAAAATATATATATATATATATATATATATATATATAGAAAAATTAGCCGTGTGTGGTGGTGTGCACTTGTGGTCCCAGCTTCTTAGGAGGCTGTGCGGGGCGGATCAACTGAGCCTGGGAGACTGAGGCTGCAGTGACCCATGATCATGCCACTGCACTCCAGCCTGGGCGACAGAGCGAGACTCCGTCTCAAAAAAAAAAAAAAAAAAAAAAAAACAAGGAAAAAAAAAACCACTGCTATTTGCCTGTCTCTCTGGTGGGTAACTATGGCACTAGTTAATTTGCTGTTCTGGTAGGTAACTATTTCTAGTTTATTTGCTGTTCTTATGTAATATCAACCCCATGATCTGAAAGATGGGAATATAGCCAGTCTACCTTTCTTGTTTTCCTCCCAATGTTTGAAATTTAAAAGTTATTTTTATTTATTTATTTATTTATTTATTTATTTATTTATTCATTCATTCATTCATTTTTTGAGGCAGGATCTCACTCTGTTGCCCAGGGTGGAGTGCAGGTGGCATGATCTTGGTTCACCACAGCCTCGACCTCCCGGGCTCAAGCAGTCCTCCCACCTCAGCCTCCTGAGTAAAAAATTATTTTTAAACCTTCTATTTGTTACTTTCGAAATTTTAAGTGATATGTAAATGATTTACTTAAACCATTGTTTCTTGTTCACAACTCCTGAAACCTGGGAGGCAGAAGTTGCAGTGAGCTGAGGTCACACCATTGCATTCCAGCCTGGGCAACAAGAGCAAAACTCCATCTCAAAAAAAAAAAAAAAAAACTTGACTCCTCATTTTGAAAGTGAGGATTTTTGCACCCCTACCCTTTGGTCTTCCTGTCAACTGCATTTATTTTTGCATTGTGCAGGTCACTAGTACTTATGTTCTGATCATCAGCCACAACCAACACCTCTATGCTTTGTCCATAGTTTGACTCCAAAAGTTTATGCTATTATGACTGTTTAAATATTACCATTGCTGAGTCAAGTAATACCTTAGGATTCTATTCCTTCTCTTAAAATCAAATGTCAGGACCCCTGAGTGACTGAAAAGAAACTCTTCCTAGCATTGTGGTCAAATTGAACCTCTTTTCTTATGCTTTATCAAACACTCAAAACATTGCCACACTTTAGTTTGCTTTGTATTTGGACCATGTATTTGGACTTTCTTATACACTTTCGTTTTTCCTGGAGTTTCCAATTGCCTTTCTTTTCCTTCTTACGCTGTTTTATTTTGGAGACTGAGTCTCGCTTGCTCTGTCACCCAGGCTGGAGTGCAGTGGTGTGATCTCGGCTCACCACAACCTCTGCCTCCCAGGTTCAAGCAGTTCTGCCTTAGCCTCCCAAGTAGCTGGGATTACAGGTGTGCACCACCACACCTGGCTAATTTTGATATTTTTTAGTAGAGATGGGATTTCACCATGTTGCCTGGTCTCGAACACCTGACCTCAAGTGATCTGCCTACTTCAGCCTTCCAAAATGCTGGGATTACAGGTGTGAGCCACTGTGCCTGGCCATCTTTTCTTTCTTACACTTTATTGTGTCTTCAAATGTTTCAAATTTTCTGTGACTCTACTACTTAATCATGTCTCCCATTTCCTTGGACACTTCCCTTTCTGACCCATCCATTCTCTTACTCCCTCCTGGACAGGCTGTTTTCTAACCCTGCAATCTCACTGTCATCCTGGGACTTTCCCTCATTGTGGTCTTGGGTTGGACCCAGTATTTCTGAATCCTGTGTCTTCCTCTTTCTTGGTTTATTGCTTTATTTTGCTAGAATACAACTTCAGATAAGCCATTAAAAGGGGGTCATGAAAAGTAAATTTTCTATATCATTGCATGTTTGAAAATATTCTCTCCCTCACCTTTGACTGATGGTGACGGGTAAAGAATCTAAGTTGAAAATCATTTTCCTTAAGAATGTTACAAGTATTCATTCTCCATCTTTTAGAACACAGTGTTGCTGGGATAGCTAGAGCTAGTCTGACTCAATTCCTTCGTTGGTTGATTTCTTTTCTCTTTGAACATTTTTAGAATTTCCTCTTTACCCTGATATTTCATGAAGATGTGTCCAGGTGAAGATGTATTCTCATCCATTGTGCTGGGTACCTGGTGGGTCCTTTCTATGTAAAGACTGTCTTTCAGCTCTGGGGGATTCTCTTGCTGGTTCTTTGACTATTTCCTCCTCTCCATTTTCTGCTTACTCTTTCTAGGGCTCAAGATGGTCCATGTAGAGCTCATCTTTGACATTGTGACCGATATTCTGGAAGACATCTTCAACTTTGTTTCAGGCTTTCCAGCTTTTTTTCCCCACAATCATAGTTTTAATCCTTCAGAATTATCTCTTGTCTTCTGATCACTTTTCATGAAAACCTGTCTTTGTTTTATGGCCATAACATTTTCTAATATAATCTTCTGCTCTCTGAATTAGTTCTATTTCCTCCCAGGTCAATTTTTCTGCTGAGCTTGATCTTTCTCTTTCATGATGTGGATTCCCTTCATATACCTGCAGCTCCTTGAGTGTCTGTTCATATTTACAACAGAACTGGGCATCTGGTGTGGGTTTCTTCTGTTTTGTAAGCAGGGTTAGTTTTCTGCTAGGCCTCTCACCAACTGAAGATTTTGACTGTGTGGTCTGTGTCGGGTGGGATGAGCAGTGCAACTGACAGGCTTCATTTAAGGTAAGTATGCCAAAAGCCAGCTGTATATCAGGTCCCCCAAATGCCAGAAAGAGGAGACCTTCATTTTGAGTCATGAAAATGCATACCAGGAGTCTTAGCTTTCCCAGGCAACTTGCTCAGTCTCTTTAGAGAAGAGCTTTCTGCTTTTTAGCCCTGGGGTAAAAGCTGCAGGATGCTTTCAACACACGGTAATGGATGGGGCTAGAGAGACAGTCCTAACCCCATGTACAGACCTGCAGGTAATGCCCTGTCCTCAGCCCCTCCTTCTCTTCTGCATTCCACCAAAGCTGGCAGTTCTAGGGCAGAATCTCCCCATGGGCCTCTACTCCCACCTCCCCTGTGACCCTCCTGGAGTGAATTCTAGGCTGGGCCCATTCCATCAGCAGCCCACTCCCATCTGTTTTCTACCTTTCACACATTTGCTGAAATCTCTTGTTTCAAGAGAAAGATGGTGAAACCACCATCCCCCACATTTGTTCCTGGGGAATTATTCCTTTTTTAACTTCTCCACTTTTATTTTGGTGGTGCATCAGGAGCAATGGGAGACAAAGGCTGGGCCTGCTGGTCTATCTTGACCTGGGAGTGCTGAATGCCTGGATTCCAATAGCAGTGACTGGTGGGCACCTCATTTCACAGATTTTAAATAGTAATGAGTTTACATGAAAATAAAGTAGTTTTGTATAAGGTAACTTAAAATCATGCAATTTACACAAAGCAAAATGGTACTGCCTTTACAGAATTTAAATAGATTTAAAGTAGGTTCTAAATTCTAATGGCTGCTGGGAACTACATTTAAAAGATGGCTTTGAATTCCTTACCACGGCCACATCTCACAATGACCCAATGAGTCATTGCCGACTCTTTGCAGATGAGAAAACGGAAGATGAGAGAGATCGAATGACTTGTTCAAGGACACACAGTCGGGAAGTAGCATCTCCCAGGTAAGTTGCCAGGATTTAGCAGGGCTGAGGTCAGGGTGGAATCTGGAAGACAAACTTCAATTTAAAAGGGCCTGAACCTATAAACGAGAGAAAATATTTGTAAATCGTATATTTCATAAGAAATTTGTATCCAAAATATATAAAAATCTCTACAACTCAATAGTAAAAACACAAATAACTCAATGAAAAACTGGGCAAAGGGCCAGGTGCAGTGGCTCTCGCCTGTAATCCCAGCAGTTTGGGAGACCAATGCTGGCAGACTGCTTGAGCCCAGGAGTCAAAGACCAGCCTGGGAAACACAGAAAAACCCCACCTCTACAAAAAACATAAAAATTAGTCAGGCAGGGTGGCACGAACGTATAGTCCCAGCTACTCAGGAGGCTGAGGTGAGAGGATCACTTGAGCCTGGGAGGTCGAGGCTGCAGTGAGCCGAGATGGAGCCACTGCACTCCAGCCTGGACAACAGAGTGAGACCCTGTCTCAAAAAAGAAAAAAGAAAAAAACTGGACAAAGGATCCGGATAGACATTTCTTCAAAGAAGGTATACAATGGCCAGTATGTGAATTCTATCTCAATAAAACTGGTTTTTAAAAGAAAAGAAAGAGGAAAGCTAGTTGGGAATAAAAAGAGGTCATGAAACTAGAATATCTTGGTCGTGGTTCAGTGATGGGATGGATGGAGAGGGGAGAACCAGGGCCAGCTGAAGTAGGGGTGGGGACAAGAGAGTCCTTATCAGGAGTAGGGAGGTGGGTGCACAGGAGGAGACAGGACCAAGAGGACAAGTCAGTGAGTCATTTTAACAGTTACCCCTATCCTTTGGGTGGCCATACCTGACTTAGAGTGGCAGTAATCCTTGCTTTATGGTGGCTGCGCCCACCTTCCCCCACGCTGGGGCAGGATGTGGTCCTCTCCTGGGAAAGCTCCTCCCACCCTCACCCACCCCTACCTCCCAAGAACAGGCTCCACTTTTTTTTTGTTGTTGTTGAGATGGAGTCTTGCTCTGTCACGCAGGCTGGAGTGGCATGGTCTCAGATCACTGCAACCTCCATCTCCCAGGTTCAAGTGGTTCTCCTGCCTCAGCCTCCCGAATAGCTGGGATTACATTACAGATGTGAGCCACCATGCCTGGCTAATTTTTGTATTTTTAGTAGAGACGGGGTTTCACCATGCTGGCCAGGCTGGTCTCAAACTCCTGACCTCAAGTGATCTGCTTGCCTCAGCCTCCCAAAGTGATGGAATTATAGGCATGAGCCACTGCACCCAGCCAGGCTCCTCTTGGAATAACAGTTAACATTCATGGCAGGCACTGGGATAAACCCTTACCAAATTGTGTTTGCTTTTGAGACAGGATCTCGTCTGTCATCCAGCCTGGAGTGCAGTGGTGCAATCACAGCTCACTGCAGCCTTGACCTCCTGGGCTCAAGCAATCCTCTCACCTCAGCCTCCCAATTAGGACCAGAGGCATGCACCACCATGCTTGGCTAATTTTTTATTTTTGTGTTTTGTAGAGACGGGGTTTCTTTATGTTGCCCAGACTGGTCTCAGACTCCTGGCCTCAAGGGCTCCTCCCACCCCAGCCTCCCAAAGTTCTGGGATTACAGGTGTGAGCCACTGCGCTAGGCCAATATATATTTTTTATTATAGAACACTTTAAACACCCACAAAAGTAGACAGGATGGTCTAATGACCGCACCATGTACCTATGCCAGCTTCAACTGCTATCAATGTTTTCCTAGTCTTGTTTCATGTATGCAATCCATACCACCACATGCTCAACTCTGTGCTTACCTACGTGATCTTGTGGAATCCTTAGAACAAGCCCATGAAGTAAGTGCTCCACTTAACCCCATTTTTCAGACGAGGACACTGAGGCTCAAAGAGATAATGGTCACTTTCCTAAAGAGGCAGCAATGCTGGAATTCAAACCCAGGACCCTTTGATTCCGGATCCTGAGTGTTGTTGTTGTTTGAGATAGCCTTGCTGTGTCGCCCAGACAGGAGTGCAGTGGTACAGTCTCAGCTCACCACAACCTCCACCTCCCAGGTTCAAGCGATTCTCATGCCTCAGCCTCCCGAGTAGCTGGGATTACATATGCACACCACCACGCCTGGTTAATTTTCGTTTTTTTTTTTTTTTTTTTTTAGTAGAGACAAGATTTCACCATATTGGCCAGGCTGGTCTCGAATTCCTGACCTCAAGTGATCTGCCTGCCTCAACCTCCCAAAGTGCTGGGATTACAGGTGTGAGCCACCATGCCTGGCCCAGATTCTGTGTTTTTATACCATCCTCAGCTGCTTGCCAAAGAAGGATAAAGAAGGATGCTCCCATGTTCCCACCAGCAAACCCCAATCCCAACACTATGCCTCTTGCCATCCTCCTTCGCCAGTAAGTGGGCTGGTTGACTCATCTTGGAATGAGTGTTGAACCAGGGAGGCTAAGAGCTGCCTGTGCCAGGATGGAGAGCCTGAAGCAGGTGTTCTGCTACAGCTGACTGTGACCTTAGGCAGGTCGATGTCTCTCTCTTCAGATTTCTCCTCTGTCAAGTGGGAATAAGACTAACTCATCGAATCATTGTTGGGTTCCAAGAATACAAAAAATGAAAAATGCCTGGCCCATGGTAGGTGCTCTGTAAATGGTAGCCATTACTTCTTTTTTTAACAACAGGAAAGTCATATTGGCTTTTTGGATGAATCTGCAGGCAAATCTAAGTGCAGCAGTTAGGGTGGGGTAGGGGGTAGGCAGAGTAGGGAGAGCCAAACCCATCTGGGAGGAGCTTGTTTGGTTGGGGTGGAGCTCTTTAGAAGTCCAGAGACCTTGTCCTTTTTTTTTTTTTAGACGGAGTATCGCTCTGTCACCCAGGCTGGAGTGCAGTGGTGCAATCTCAGCTCACTGCAACCTCTGCCTCCTGGGTTCAAGTGAATCTCCTGCCTCAGCCTTCCAAGTAGCTGGTATTACAGGCCTATGCCACCACACCAGGCTAATTTTTGCACTTTTAGTAGAGACGGGGTTTCACCATGTTGCCCAGGCTGGTCTCAAACTCCTGACCTTGGCCTCCCAAAGTGCTGGCATTACAGGCGTGAGCCACCGCACCTGGCCTCATATCTTATCCATTCTTTAGTGTCTCAGTGACTGTAAACCCCCAGCACTGGGAATTCAGGATGTCCCTGGTCCAGACTCCATTACAGCGCTGGCTCTGCAGTAATAATGACTATGAATAATGACTGCCATAATCTAGGCCTTCACTACGTGCCTGACCCTGGGGCTTACTCTGACTAATAGAATGCACTGGAAGTGACATTTTGTGATTCCCATGCTAAATCTTAAGAGATCTGCAGCTTCCACCTTCACTTCTTGAAATGCCCCTCCTTGGAATCCCGCCACCATGCTGTGAGGAAGCTCAGGCAGCCATGTGGAGAGGTCCATGTGGAAGAAAACAGAGGTCCCTGGCCTATAGCTCAGGTAAAGATTCCAGGTGCATCAACTGTCAGCTCTGTAAGGGAGGCGATTTTGGATAGCCCACGCCTCCCAGGACCTCAGCTTACACTACTTGGAGCAGGATTATTACCTGGCCAACCCATAGTATAATGAGAAATAGAAAATAGCTGTTTTTTTAAAGCATAAATTTGGGGGCTGGTTGTTATGCAGCAATAGGTATCCAAAACATCCCATTTTAATGATGTGGAAACAGAGGCTCAGAGTGATAAATAACACGCCCAGCGTCATAGCTAGGATTTATGGAATCTGGATTCAATTCAAAGTCTGCCTAACTTCTTTTCCTTTTCCTTTGTTTTTGCTACTGGCAGGATCAACCAGGTAAGGCCTACCTAACTTCAAGACCTGGGGTTGGCTGGGCAAGGTGGCTCATGCCTGTAATCCCAGCACTTCGAGAGGCCAAGGTGGGAGAATTGCTTGAGCCTAGGAGTTTGAGACCAGCCTGGGCAATATAGTGAGACCCCTGTCTCTACCCCACCAAAAAAAAAAATCTGAAAATTAGCCGAACTTGGTGGTGCACACGTGTAGTCCCAGTTACTTGGGAGGCTGAGGTGGGAGGATTGCTTGAGCCCGGAGGCAGAGGTTGCAGTGAGCCAAGATTGTGGCACTGCACTCCATCCTGGGAGACAGAGCAAGACCCTGTCTCAATAAAAATTAAAAAATAAAATTTTTAAAAACCTACTGTCTTCTGAGAGCAAGATATTGCCTCTACTGTTTAGTCTTTGGAACAGCCTAGGGCTGGATGACACAACACCCATTTCAGAGAAGAAACAGACCCAGGGAGAAAGAAGAAAGATCCGATTCTATGCATGGGGTCCCGAAGCTTGTCCTCCACCCCAATAGCTGCACCCCTACCTGAATGCATATGTGACATGCAGCTGTCTGTCTATGTCTCTCTAGGTGTCTGTGTATCTGTGAGCATGTGGTGTATGTGTGCGCTGTCATGGTGGTGTGTATTGATATGTACCTGTGGTGCGATTGTGTGCGGGGGAGGGGGGAGCCTGTATAGCATGTGGCACGTGTTCATCTGTGTTTTCGTGCGTGTGCGAGAGGGTGTGGTATATATGGAGGCCCGTCTGTGTGAGTGGTGTGGGTGTGTGAGCATGTGTGCGTGGAATGTGTGTGAGATGGGTGGCGTATGGCGCAGTGTGTGTTCCAGAAGAGGAGACCCAGTGCCTGGTCTTGGTCCTGTTTTCCCTCCTCAAGCATCCCAGCATCTTGCTGACACTGATCTGGGTCTGGGAACATCTTTCCTGAATAAACATGATGTCATTTCCATTCCATTCAGCCTGCGCCGGGACAGCTGCTGTCAGCATCACTGAGGGAAATGCCACCTCGGCCCTGACAGCTGCCACTTGGCACACTTTGTAGAGAGCTTCTCCGGGAAGGAAAAAACCAGCCAGTCATGCAGATGCTATTTAAAGTATGTTGCATCTTGATGAGAAATGTAGAGGAAGCTAGAGTGTGCTGGGGGTGGGGAGAGTAGCTCAGGACCCTGGGCTGGGTGTAGGGAAGGCTCGGGTGACCAAGATACAGGCTCCATGTATCTCAAGCTAAATCTCTTCCTACCTTCCATTTTACAGATGAGGAAACTGAGGCCAAGACAGGGGCAGGGGCTGGCCCAAGATCACAGAGCAAGTCAGAATTGCAGAATATGAGAGCAGGACATCATGATCAAAATCTTCAAATCTAACACCCATATTGTACCAATGGAGAAACTTCGGCCCAGAAAGGAGAAGCAATTTGCCCACGTCCATGCAGAAAATCAGTGGCAGAGCTGGGATCTGAGCCCAGGTTTGAGGCATGGGTATTTGATCTTTGGCTTGAACACACTGACAACCTCTGTCTTGCATACAGTAGGAGCGAAACAAATATTTGTTAAATGACTCACATTGTTTTGGATAACTTAGAAGTGCACTGAATTGTTCCATCCTTTTCCCTTCCTTTCAGATCCAGGAGCACCATGTGCCTGCCCTATACAGCTGCTCTGGGGGCTTCCCCCATGCTGGAATTGGTTTCTACTCCACCAGGAAGTATGTAAGTTGCTTCTGGTCAGAGAAGGGGACTTCTCACTCTTTCAAGTTGGCGCCTTGAGAGTTCAGCAAACCTAGGCCCAAGTTTGACCCCTGCTCTCTAGCTGATCTCTCTACCCTGTCCAAACTCCAAACAGTGTCATTTAAGGCTGTTCATCATTCTGCCTCTTTATACCTTTTCTTGCTCGTCCCCCATCTTGTTCCATTAACCGCTGATCCTGTAATGTCTCATTCTCCCTGAGTAAGCTATATTCTTTCATACCTCCATATACTTTTGCATGTGCTTTTGCCTAGAAGGACATTTCTCTGCCTGTCAAACTCCTATTCATCCTTCAAGACCCCACTCTGATATCAGTCCCTCTCAGAAACAGAGTCACTAATCTGGGGCTCACAGGCTCTCTTGGACATCCCTTGATCTAGTAAGTTAAAATTAATGATATGATTCTCTTTACAAGTTCAAGAGCTCACTAGTGGCAGGAACAGAGGCTGAGCAATGTCTGTTTTCCCAGCATCCAACTCAGAACCTGAAACAGAACAGGTTCTGAAGGAATGTTTAGTGAATGAATGCCCTGCACGGTGACTCACTAATGGGCCCTGGCCCAGAAGGCCAGGCTGTCCCCAGAGAAGCAAAAGGAAAGAATGACACCAGCATGGCATTGAGTTCCAGGCCTAATTAGAAGCCAACCTCTAGTAATTCATAAAATTCAGCCAAGTTTGTCTTCAAGATCTTACCTCCATCCTTTCTGGGCCACCTCACCTTCCCACTATCACACCCAGTCCTGCTGCCTCTCTGATGCATAAATCACCCACCAGGCTCTCTCTCTCTCTCGGGGGCCCAAGGCTTCAAAATAACTTATTTCTCCCTTAACCTCCAGAGAAATTCTTTTACTCTAATTGAGACCAATTGTCTTGGATGTTGGAAAAGCAACCTGATTAAACATGTTCATAATGACACATGAAGGACTTGTATGCCATCCAACTTTCTTAGAGATGTTGGCAAAAAAGGAAGGAGGAGGGAAGGAAGGAGTTGGGAAATATTGTTAACAATGAGATTTAACAATAAAGCAGAATTGGAAGTAAACTCAGACAAGAAGCACTTTCCTAATGTTTACAAAAGCTTTGAGGCTGGGTGCGGTGGCTCACGCCTGTAACCCCAGTGCTTTGGGAGGCTGAGGTGGGCAGATCACTTGAGGTCATGGGTTCGAGACCAGCCTGGCCAACATGGTGAAACCCTGTCTGTACTAAAAATACAAAAATTCATCGGGTGTGGTGGTGAGCACTGTAATCCCAGCTGCTTGGGAGGCTGAGGGAGGAGAATCACTTGAACCCAGCAGGCAGAGGTTGCAGTGAGCTGTGATCACCCCATTGCACTCCAGCCGGGGCAACAGAGGGAGACTCTGTCTCAAAAAAAAAAAAAAAAAAAAGCTTTGAATGGCCCAAAATATGCATAATGGATTCCCTGTGGTTCCGTTACTCTCTGTCATTCTGTCTGACTTCTTTAGCATATTCCTGCTATTTGATAATCACTCTGATAGAAACCAGCTTTGTGGATATGTAAAATTCAGATGCTTATGTTTAACTTATTAAAAACATACATCGTATTTATTTTACTTTTGATGTATTGAAAGCATAGCATAGGCAAGGCTGGGCACGTTGGCTCACACCTGTAATCCTAGCACTTTGGGAGGCTGAGATGGGTGGATCACCTGAGGTCAGGAGTTCGAGACCAGCCTGGCCAACATGGTGAAACCTTGTCTTTACTAAAAATACAAAAATTAGCCAGGCATGATGGTGCATGCCTGTAATTCCAGCTGCTCGGGAAGCTGAAGCAGGAGAATCACTTGAACTGGGGAGGTGGAGCTTGCAGTGAGCCAAGTTCATGCCATTGCACTCCAGCCTGGTGACAGGGCAGGACTCCATCTCAAAAAAAAAAAAGAAAAAGAAAAAAAAGAAGAAAAAGAAAAAAATTATTTGCTTTTTTCGAAGTCTGACATGTACACTGCTGGTGCACAAACAATGGTAGTTACACAGATCCAGGCAGTGGCACCAAACTGCACTAACAATCATTGCATCCTTCACCACCACACACTTTTAACACTGTGGTTTTTAAAAAATGCCCTGATGAATCGATAAATATTATGACTATTATTAAACCCTAGACACTTCTTTTTACTACACTGTGTGAAAAAATGGGAAGTAGCATATAAAGCCCTTCTGTTGCAAATTTCAATACAATGGTTGTCTCAATAAAAAGCACTTGTATGATTATGTGAATTACAGCTGAACCACCCACTTCTTTCCTACAACAACACTTGTACTTGAAAGCATGATTAAGAGATAAATTTGGGTTAATCAGACTTGGGTGTTTGGCAGACATTTTCTCAAAAGTCAAAGAAGTGAGCCTGTCACTTTAAGGAAATCAACTATTAGTATTCATTGCCAACAATAAAATTTGAAGTTTCAAGAGAAAACTGAGTTTAATAGCTTCTTTATACTTAAAGACTGATGAGATATTGTCAAGTGTGATTTTTTAAATATTGTCTATTGGGATGTGTCAATATTTGGAAAATCTGCATAATTCAGTAAACCAGTATTTTCCAAATGACAATTCATGGTGTTACAAAATCATGCATAAGTAAAAGATTCATTCAGAATGCAAGGTGGATTTCATGGAACATCATGAAAAGTTTATTGATAGGATTCAAAGTCTACATTGCAACTAACGTTGAAAAGGCTACTACTTGTCAAGTTTTGGTGTACTATCAAAGCATAATATCCATAATTTGTCTTAAAAAGCTAGGAAAATACTCCTCCCTTTTCCAACTACATGTTTGCATGAGACCAGATTTTTTTCCATATACTTCAATCCAAACAACACATCACGACAGACTGAACACCACAGCAAATACAAGAATCGAGTTTTCTTCTATTAAGCAAAACATTAGAGAGATTTGCAAAAATGTAAAACAATGCCACGCTTCTCACTAAACTATTGTTTTGGAAAATGTTGTTTTTCATAAGAATTGGGCTTTTTATGTTAGCAGGTAATGGATTGTTCTTTTTCAATGAATAAATACTTTTTTTTCTTTTTTTTGAGACAGAGTCTTGCTCTGTCACCCAGGCTGGAGTGCGGTGGTGAAATCTTGGCTCACTGCAACTCCACTTCCCCGGTTCAAGCAATTCTACTGCCTCAGCCTCCTGAGTAGCTGGGACTACAGGCGCCACCACACCTGGCTAATTTTTGTATTTTTAGTAGAGATGGGGTTTCACCATGTTGGCCAGTCTGGTCTCGAACTGCTGACCTCTAGTGATCCACCCACCTCGGCCTCCTAAATTGTTGAGATTACAGGGGTGAGTCACCACACCCAGTCAATAAATACATATTTTAAAGTTTTTAGTTTTAATTGTTAATATGGTAAATATCAATAAATATATACAACATGAATAAAAACTCTTTGACCTATAATAAATTTTATAAGTATAAAGGGGTTCAGAGACCAAATGTTTGAGATCCACTGAATAGGGTAATTATCTCCATTTTATAAACCGAGAAGCTGAGGTTCAGGGAGGCAAAGTGACTTCTCATCAGCCACCCAACCAGTGGATGGCAAACCCTGATTCCAAAGCCCATGTTCTTCCCCACTGCTCTCTGCTTTTTGGTTTGACTTTCAAGAATCATTGCAACAATTGCAGGAATCCTGCTTTGCAGCTTTCAAAAGGCTTTCACTTCCATTATCTGCTCTGATTATCACAACAGCCTGGAGAGGTTGAAATTATTTACATTCTTTCTGAATAGACAGGGATACTGAGGCTCAGAGAGGTGTAATGTCTTTACCCAAGGCCCCACTGGGAGGAGCAAAACTGGGATTCGAGCCAGGCTGATCTGACTATAGAATTTGCCTTCTCCAGGACATTCTGTGGTGACCCAATGGATGTACCATCTGCACAGGTCTTCATGCAATCACTTGTTGAAAACACTTTGCTTCAAGTCACCCTGTGTTATTTATTTGAAACGTGTTTAGTAATTGGAGTCAGGTTGTGCTTAATAATTGGAGTCAGGTCGGTTTAGAAATCTTATATACAGGGAAATTCTAGTGCGTTTAGAGAGTGTGGAGAGATTACAAATGTCAGGTTAAAACATCATAACTGCCAGGCACGGTGGCTCACGCCTGTAATCCCAGCACTTTGGGAGTCTGAGGTGGGCAGATCACCTGAGGTCAGGAGTTCGAGACCAGCCTCAACATGGAGAAACCCTGTCTGTACTAAAAATACAAAAAATTAGCCGGGTGTGGTGGTGCATGCCTGTAATCCCAGCTACTCGGGAGGCTGAGGCAAGAGAATTGCTTGAACCTGGGAGCCTGAGGTTGCGGTGAGCCGAGATCGTGCCATTGCACTCCAGCCTGGGCGACAAGAGCGAAACTCCATCTCAAAAAAAAAAAAAAAAAAAAAAACCATCATAACTACTTTTTCTCCTAGAACCATGGGTTGATTCTTAACCACTCAAACAAATAAACTTTCCTACATTGAGTGATTCATGTGCTAAAAAACATAACGTTCATGTCATTTGTCTTAGTTTGGACTCCTCAAGAGAGTGATTTGGGTTCAAATGATTTATTTGGGAGATGGTGCCAGGAAGCATGGTGAGAAAGAGAAGTGAGACCGGGAAAGGAACAAAGTTGACAAAGGATATGGTGATTCAGGGTGACCACTGTGGATAACTAGGGCTTAAGACCACTGAGGATCTGCAAGAGACTGCATAGAACATGCCTCGAAAGTGTCCAGCTGACGAGCAAGGCAGCTGGGGTATTTATTCACCAGTTCCTGTTCTTTTTGAGACAGGGTCTCACTTTGTTGCCCAGCAAGTGCAGCGGCACGATCACTGCTCACTGCAGCCTCAACCTCCTGGGCTCAAGCAATCCTCCCACCTCAGCCTCCCAAGTAGCTGGGACTACAGGCACAGGTCACCACACCCAGAATATTTATTTATTTATTTATTTACTTACTTATTTATTGTAGAGATGAGGGTCTCTCTATGTTGCCCAGGCTGGTCTTGAATTTCTGGCCTCAAGTGATCCTACTGCCTTGGCCTCCCAAAGTGCTGGAATTACAAGCATGAGCCACTGCCTCTGGCCTCATCCTTCATTTTTGAGGACTGTTCAGGGGAAATAACCCTCCAGCACTCCCAACTCCTCAAAGGTGGGCCAGCATCCCCAGAGAGCTCCCACAGGTGGGGAGATACAGGAAGCGCTGCTTGCAGGGAAATGTCTACAGGTGATCTCGGGGTTAGCCTAAAGAGAGAAGCAGGGTGCCCACCGCATGTGCTGAAGCCCCATGGCCACACTTTTCACATTCAACAAATCCTTGTAGGAGTCCCTCTGTGCCAGGCCCTGTCTTGGGCACTGAAGCTGCAGAGACAAGAGACCAACACAAGCCTGGCCCTCGTGACATTACACTTGGGCTGACCCCTCTTTCTGCACCCCATTGAGAAAGAAGAACGGATCATGATGTTCTCACAATGGCAACCCATGTTGGTTGAGTGAAGTGACATGAAGCATTTGGAAGCTGAAAGACTCATTTTTTTTTTAGATGAGACTAACATGGACCTATGCCTGGCATTTTATTTAACAGATATGTGTATAAGGTTAAAGGTTCAATTAAAAAAAAAAGATGAAGAAGAGAAGAGGGGCTCCCGGAAAAGGGCAGAAGGAACACAGTAGATGCATAGAAGGCATGCATCATGATAGGAAGTGCAGCTTTTTTTTTTCTTCTTTGCAGACATTGCAAGATTTTGCAAATTGTAAGGAAAGCTGGTGACAACGGTGTTGATAAAAGCAATAGCTACCAGGCGCTTTGAACACATGATGTCATTTGATTCACATGACAACCCTGATGGTTGGGAACTGTTAACTCCATTTTACAGACAGGGAAACTGGGACTCAGAGAGGTGCAGTGACTTGATCAAAGACATGGCTGGCTTAAAGTTCAAGTCTTTCTAAATCCGAAGTCTTGAATCTTTTCACCAAGTCAAATAGTGAAGAAGAGTGAAAAAAGGAAGAGGAGATGGCTAGGAGCAGGAGACAGAGGAAGATGAAGGGAATGAGAGGAATAAGGGCAGAAAGGGAGAAGCTGTAGGGAGGGAGCCACCTATTACCTAACGAGTGTCTTCACCCCATCTAGGAAAAAGCACCCCTCTGGACCCTGGAAGCCCCCTAAGCTCGGCCACAGTTGAATCGTGGATGTAAAGGAAAGGACACTCCTCCCTGGTGATGGCTGAAGCTCTTAGCAGGGTGAGCAGCTTGGCAAGACGAGTGACAGCTGGCTTTCAGGTGTTCTTTCCCTCCTCACTTGGCAACATTGAGAAGGGATGTGAATCAGAAGAGAAAAAAAAAGCACGGTTTGAAGGTTCAACAGGAAGCAGGAGAGTTCCTCATAGGGTCTGTTTTTGGAGCTCCCACAAGCAGAATCATGAAGTCTCTCAGTGTCTGGAAGTGACAGGAGAGCATTTTTGGCGCAAGAATTTGGCAGAGAGGAACCAGACAGCCTCTTACCATTCACACTTCTATCTTCCATCCTTCTTATTCATCTACCCTTCCATCCACCCACTCATTCATGCTTC
Source organism: Homo sapiens (assembly GCF_000001405.40). Taxonomy (NCBI): domain Eukaryota; kingdom Metazoa; phylum Chordata; class Mammalia; order Primates; family Hominidae; genus Homo; species Homo sapiens. The sequence goes on along the minus strand of NC_000009.12, from coordinate 124,072,084 downwards.
CCTCTCCTACCACCCATCCAGGCATGTATCCAGTCCATTCATTTATTCAATTACTCAAAATAGTCTTGGAACCCAGTCTGTGCAAGACACTGTTGGATTCTGGAGACCCAGAGGTGACTCAGTTAAGATCCCTGTCCTCTAAGAGCTGACAGTCTGGTGGGGGAGAGAGACATAGTCAAGAATGACTCCAAGAGAAAATGCAAATCATGAGGACCTTCAAAGAGATGCAAACCATAGACAGTAGAAGCAAAGGAGAGGAGTAAGGCGGAGGAGAAAGAAGAGGAGGAGGAGAAAGGGAGGAAGAAAAAGAACAAGGAGAAGGGAGGAAGAAGGAGAAGGAGGGGGAGGAAAGGGAGGAAGAGGAGGAAGAGGGGAGGAAGAAGGAGAAAGAGAGGAAGAAGGAGAATGATCACACATATATATCACACTCTTAGAGGAATCATATGAGGGCAGGAAGATATGGGAGAACTATATGAAGGAGGTAACGTCTGGACTGGGCTTTGAAGAATAAGTAGGATTTATTAGGGAAATTCAAATCAAAACTACAATGGGGCCTGGGTGCGGTGGCTCATGCTTGTAATCCCAACACTTTGGGAGGCCGAGGTGGGCGGATCACTTGAGGTCAGGAGTTCAAGACCAGCCTGTTAAACATAGTGAAACCCTGTCTCTACTAAAAATACAAAAATTAGCCGGGCATGGTGGTAGGCACCAGTAATCCCCGCTACTCAGGAGGCTGAGACAGGAGAATCACTTGAACCCAGGAGGCAGAGGTTGCAGTGAACCGAGGCTGCACCATTGCACTCCAGCCTGGGTGACAAGAGTGAAACTCTGTCAAAACAAAACAAAATAAAACAAAAACCCACAACGACCCACTAGGATGGCTCACACCCATTAGAATGGCTACTATCAAAAAAAAAAAAAAAAACTCAAAATGAAACAAAACAGAAAATAACAAGTGTTGGCAAGGATGTGGCACACTGGTGCACTATTGGTGGGAATGTGAAATGGTGTAGCCATCATGGAAAAGAGTACAGCAGTTCCTCAGAAAACTAATAATAGAATATCATAGGATCCAGCAACTCCACTTCTTGCTATGTACCCAAAAGAATTGAAAGCAGGGTCTCAAAAAGATATCTGTATACTCATGTTCACAGCAGTATTATTCACAAAACGAAAATATGAAAACAACCCAAGCATCCATCAACAGTTGAATGGCTAAACAAAATGTAGCATATACATACAATGGTATATTCTTCAGCCTTAAAAATGAAGGGAGCCAGGCACGGTGCTTCATGCCTGTAGTCCTAGCACTTTGGGAGGCCAAAGTGGTTGGATTGTTTAAGCCCAGGAGTTTGAGACCAGCCTGGCCAACATGGTGAAACCCTTTCTCTAGGAATAATGCAAAAACTAGCCAGGCATGAAGGTGCACACCTGTAGTCCCAGCTACTTGGGAGGCTGAGGTGGGAGGATCACTGGAGCCTAAGATGTCAAGGCTGCAGTGAGCTGTGATCACACCACTGCACTCCAGCTTCGGTGAGACTGAGACCTTGTCTCAAAAAATAACAATAAAAATAAAAATGAAGGAACCCCTGACCCATGCTACAACATGGGTGAACTTGGAGGATATTCTGCTATGGGAAACAGCCAGTCGCAAAAAAACAAATACAGTATGATCCTACTTACATGAGGTTCCTAGAGTACTCGAATTTATAGGGACAGAAAGTAAAATGGCGGCTGCCAGGGACTACGGGAGAGGAGAATGGGGAATTGTTTAGTGTTGACAGAGGGATCACTTTTGCAAAATGAAAACAGGTTCAGTTTTGCAAGACATCGGTTGCACCACAATGTGAACGTACTTAACGCTACTGAACTATACACTTAAAAAATGGTTAAGATGGTAAATTTTATGTTATGTATATTTTACCAAAATAAAAAAAAGAATGGGCAGGATTTAGACATATGGAGATGAGGAAGAAGTAAATTCCAGGCAGAGAGAACGTGTTGAGAAAGTCATGGAGGTGAGCAAGATAAAACCAAGAGGCGGGGAGAGAAAGGCTCCATTTGCCTGCAGCATAGAAAAGAAGAAAGAGGCTTGGATAAGACACAGCTTCCTTAACGACCTGGTGGGCGACAGAAAGAGAACTCAGATGGAATTGAGGAGAATGCATGTATAGGATGGATGACTTAATGAAGAAGACATAGCATCCACCACTTCTCAGAGACCCAGCAAGGCACCACCTGGAGCCCTGATCAAGTCATCTCTATTTTCTAATGTGCAAGATGGAGATGATGAGACCTGCCTTGTGAGGCTATTTGTGAACATCAATGGTGATTATGGCTGGGAAAGGGCTTTTTTTTTTTTTTTTTTTCAGACGGAGTCTTGCTCTGATGCCCAGGCTAGAGTGCAGTGGCGTGATCTCGGCTCACTGCAAGCTCCGCCTCCTGGGTTCACACCATTCTCCTGCCTCAGCCTCCTGAGTAGCTGGGACTACAGGCGCCCGCCACCACGCACGGCTAATTTTTAGTATTTTTAGTAGAGACAGGGTTTCACCGTGTTAGCCAGGATGGTCTCGATCTCGTGACCTCGTGATCCACCTGCCTCGGCCTCCCAAAATGCTGGGATTACAGACGTGAGCCACCGCGCCCGGCCAGGAAAGGGCTTTTTATGCCAGAAAGTCCTCAAGAAGAATAGCCATTGCTATTACTGTGTAGAACAGCTGAGCCCAAAGCAGAAATTAGAATCTGGTTGGTTGTGGAACTGCTAAGCTGGTCATCTTTAGCATGAGTTAGAAATTGTGGAAGTTTTAGTATTGGGTTCATGATTGTCGAAAAGAAGTTATTTTGTTTGTTTTTGGTTTTGTTTTTGTTTTTTGAGACAGTCTTGCTCTGTCACCCAGGCTGGAGAGCAGTGGCGCGATCTTGGCTCACTGGAAACTTCACCTCCCAGGTTCAAGCAATTCTGCCTCAACCTCCCAGGTAGCTGTGATTACAGGCACCCACCACCATGCCTGGTTAATTTTTTGTATTTTTAGTAGAGACGGGGTTTCGCCATATTGACCAGGCTGGTCGCAAACTCCTGACTTCAGGTGATCCACCCACCTCAGTCTCCCAAAGTGCTGGCATTACAGGTGTGAGCCACCATGCCTGGCCAGATGAAGTTATTTTGGATGTAGAAGAGCCTAGAGAAGGGAGTGTGGTGGTACAAAGACCTCATGGTGAAAGCGATGGTTTTGAGTCATGCATTAGTCAGCTATTGACTGCATAACAAACAGTTCCCAAACTCAATGGCAAATAAGAAGTACTTGCTTTTTACTCATGAGCCTGTGGCTGTGCTATGGGATTTTCTGGGGTTGGCTGGGTTTGGCTCCAGGCTTCAGGTCAGGTTCAAGTCAGCTCCACATGACTCTCATTTTGGGGGCAGCAGCTACCCTGAGCATGCTCTTTTCATGACCACTGTAAGATGCCCAAGAGGCCAAGCAAACGACACAAGTACTTTTAAAGCTCTGGGTGCATCATGACTGCTAACCTTTCCTTGGCTGAAGCAGGTCACAGGGCCAAATCCTAAATCAGGTGGCGATGGACACTGCCTGCTCTACTGGGAGGCACTGCAAAGTCATGTGGCAAAGGGTGTGATTGTGTAATCCGATTACACACAGAGGGAGTGAAGAGTTAGGAGCAACCATCCTGTTTTCTACAGATGTCTATGGGAGAGAGATAGGCCCAGAGGCTGAAGGAACTGGAATTGGATAGATCCAGGCCCAAGAGGCTGAAGGAACTGGAATTGGATAGATCCAGGCCCAAGAGGCTGAAGGAACTGGGATTCAGATAGATCCAACGAGGCCCTAGGCCCAGGTAGTGCTGCTTCTGGGCCCATCAGACAAAGAGTAACCCAGGCCCGGGAGTGGTCGCTCACGCCTGTAATCCCAGCACTTTGGGAGGCCAAGGCAGGAGGATCACAAGGTCAGGAGTTCAAGACCAGCCTGACCAACATAGTGAAACCCCGTCTCTACTAAAAATACAAAAGATTAGCCAGGCATGGTGATGGGTACCTGTAATCTCAGCTACTCAGGAGGCTGAGGAAGGAGAATCACTTCAATGTGCGAGGCAGAGGTTGCAGTGAACCGAGACCGCACCACTGCACTCCAGCCTGGGCGACAGTGTGAGACTCTGTCTCAAAAAAAAAAAAAAAAGAGATGGGGAAGGGGGAATCTTACCCCCCTACCTCTGGCTCCCATTTCTCCCCTACAGATTAGAGGGCATTTTGGACATCTTCAGGGGACAGCCAAGGACAATCTTGCTGTGCCTGGCAGCTGAGTGGGCATGACGAGGACCTCTATATTCTGTAATCTCTTGTTTCACCGTCTCGTTTAACCGTCATTATTCCCTGAGATAAATATCATTACTTCCACTTTGCAGAAGAGGAAATGGAGACAGGCAATTATCAAATGGCTTGCCAAAGTCACTGTGCTAGTTAGTGGCACTACAAGGGTACCAGGCAAACTCAATTAGTTGAATCAATCCCCTGTTTCGACCCTCAGCAGGGTTAGGCAAGTCTCTTAAGCTCTCTGTATCTCAGATTCACCGTCCATAAAATAAGGATTAATTTAACTCCCTTACTATAAGTACTTATTAATACAACTACCTTCTAAGCTGTAGCACCTGACATAGGGTAAGTACCCAACATATATTGACTAGTATATGGTCCATGTCGTGTCAGCATTTTTATTATAAATATGCACTTTATCTTTCGAAACGACTTTTTGGGGATATATTTTACATATCATAAAATTCGCACACTTCTAATATGCAATCCAATGGCTTTAGTAACTTTACCTAGCAGTATAACCATCATCATAAATCAGTTTTAGAACATTTTTATCCCTCCTTAAGTTCCCTCTGGCCTGTTGGCTGTTAATCTCCATTCCCACCACCTCCAGCTATGCATGACCACTAATCTGCGTCCGGTCTCTATGGATTTGCCAATTCCGGACATTTCCTAGAAATGGAATCACACAATATGTGGCCTGTTGTATCTGGCATCTTTCTAAAGGCTTGTGCCTGCCATAGCATGAGTCAGTGGTTTGTTCCCATTAATTGCTGAGTAATATTCCATTGTGCGGATATAACAAGTTTTGTCTATCCCCATTCACCAGTTGATGGGCGATTTAGATTGTTTCTGGTTCGGGGCTATTATGAGCAATGCTGCTAAGAATGTTCATGAGTTAGTCTTTTTGTGAACATGTCTTCACTCCTCTTGGGTAGAAGCCACGCCTCAGAGAGGACTTGGTGGGTTGTATGGTAGTTTTATGTTTTTTGAGAAACTGCCAACTTGCTTTCCAAAGTGGCTGCTTCAGTTTATACATTCCCCCGAGTAATGCACAAGGGTCCCTGCCTCTCCACAACCTCCCTAATATTGTGGGTCTTATTTGTTTTTGTTTTTGTTTTTTTTTGAGACGGAGTTTCAATCTTGTCGCCCAGACTGGAGTGCAATGGCACGATCTCGGCTCACTGCAAGCTCTGCCTCCCAGGTTCAAGCGATTCTACTTCCTCAGCCTCCCAAGTAGCTGGGATTACAGGCGCTCGCCACCAGACCCACCTAAATTTTGTATTTTTAGTAGAGACAAGGTTTCACCGTGTTGGCAAGGCTGGTCTCAAACTCCTGACCTCAAGTGATCCGCCTGCCTCGACCTCCCAAAGTGCTGGGATTGCAGGCTTGAGCTACCATGCCTGTTTTATTTATTATACCATTCTAGTGGGTGTGCAATATCTCACAGTGGTTTTTTTGTTGCCGTTGTTTTGTTTTTTGAGACAGAGTCTCGCTCTATTGCCCAGGCCAGAGTGCAGTGGCACGACTCTCGGCTCACTGTAGCCTCCACCCTCTGGGTTCAAGCAATTCTCCTGCCTCAACCTACTGAGTAGCTGGGATTACAGGTGCTCGGCACCATGCCCAACTAATTTTTGTATTTTTAATAGAGAGGGGGTTTCACCATGTTGGCTAGGCTGGTCTCGAATTCCTGGCCTCAAGTGATCTGCCCACCTCAACATCCCAAATTGTTGGGATTACAGGCGTGAGCCACCACGCCCAGCCTCTCATGGTGGTTTTAATTTGCATTTCTCTAATGACAAATGATGTTGAGCATCTTCTCATATACTTAGCAGTTGCATTTTACTTTTATAATGAGGAAAATATACATACATAAAATAAGAGGTCAAATGAGTAACCATCCCTCTCTAATGAGTGACAGCTCTCCTTGCCCTTTCCCCGCCTCCTCCTCCCTACCTCACCGCAAATGGGCAAACACCCCCATCCGTCTGGGGCAGGAGGAGGGAACAATACCAGCACCTGTTCCACAGCAAAGGGACCCTGGAGGCTGGGGCTGCTGAATATAATGGGACCCTCTGCCCTGCCCCAGACCATCTCTTCCTGCTGGGCATCTGCCCAGGGTCACCCAGAGGGGGCCTGGGGCATGTCAACTTGGAAGGTCACAGAAAGGCATGAACCCCAGGGACCACTGTGGGGTGCCAGATGGAGGGTCTGGCCCACCTGCCTCCCTCCCTCCATTCAGGGCTGGCACATGAGGTTGGCTCAGCCCACAGCTGCCTGAACTCCACCTGGGCTGCAGGCCCCAGCATGCAGGCACTCACAGGAGAACTGAATATGGGATGGTGAAGGCAGGGTCTTTCCCCGGTCTCCAAAAGGATGCCTGGCATTGGCCAGTGCCTCACCCCTCCCCTACCTGTGCAGGTGTGTGCAGCCCATGGTGTGTGGTAAAGTACCAGACTCCACAGCAGACCCCAGCACTTGACCCTGAGGACACAGAGAGGAAGGACACCCCATCTCTGTCCTCAAGAAGCCCTCGGCCAGGCACGGTGGTTCATGCCTGTAATCCCAGCACTTTGGGAAGCCAAGGCGGGCAGATCACAAGGTCGGGAGATCGAGACCATCATAGCTAACATGGTGAAACCCCATCTCTACTAAAAATACAAAAAATTAGCCAGGCGTGGTGGTGGTCGCCTGTAGTCCCAGCTACTCAGGAGGCTGAGGCAGGAGAATGGCGTGAACCCGGGAGGCAGAGCTTGCAGTGAGCCGAGATCGCGCCACTGCACTCCAGCCTGGGTGACAGAGCGAGAATCTGTCTCAGAAAAAAAAAAAAACACACACACACACACACACAGAAAAAGAAACCCTCACAGGCCGGAGCGACAAGTGCTATGACAAGATGTGCAAGGGGCCTGGGATGCCTGGCAGTAGCCTGAGCGGCAGGTCATTGCAGGCCCTCACATGCTGGGTGAGAGACCTAAATTGTTTCTGATCCTCCCAGTAGCCTTGTGAGGTGGGTCCGGCAGGTGTTATCTTAACCAGCCTGCACTTAACCAACTCGCTGGACCAATGGCTGCCCTCCATCCCCCTGCCAAGGCACACGGATGCTGCCCAGAAATGCTGATGGCTTAAGCTTCTAGAGCATTCTCGACCCTGCCCAAGCTCTCCTCCCACTGACTCAGCTGTCAGCTGCCAGAATCAGGAAAGTCTGTACTCAAAAAGCTTTGGCTAATTTGTGTCTATTGTCGTAATTATAGTTAGCTAAACAAACAAAAAGTAATGAAATCTGACTGCAAAAGAAAGTAATGTTTTGAGAAAAACTAAATCTAATGCTTTGGAAATATGCAATAAAGACGCATTGCTAAAAATAAATCTGTTGATTTAGTTTTGGGAGAGATTTGGGGTGGGAGGGGGATAATAACAATGTAGAATTCCAGATTCAAACTGCTTTGCCAGTGTCCTCGCATTCCACTTACAAATCATTTTAAAAAGGACTGAAAATCGTCAGCAAGGCCAATGGGTACAGTCAAAACAAACAAGGCAGAACTCCAGCCAGAAGACCTGAACTCAAAGCAGCAGCTTTGGCCTACACAGATTGTTTCATGTTATATCAAACAGTTAAGGTATTTGTGAATCTATTTTTAAGATTCTCTCTTTTTTTTTTTTTTTTTTTGAGATGGACTCTTGCTCTGTCGCCCAGGCTGGAGTGCAGTGGTGCGATCTCTGCTCACTGCAACCTCTGCCTCCTGGGTTCAAGCGATTCTCCCACCTCAGCCTCCCGGGTAGCTAGGATTACAGGCATCTGCCACCAGGCCGGGCTAATTTTTGTATTTTTAGTAGAGATGGGGTTTCACCATGTTGGCCAGGCTGGTCTTGAACTCCTGACCTCAAGTGATCCTCTCACCTCAGCCTCCCAAAGTGATGGGATTACAGGCGTGAGCCATGCACCCTGCTACCTTTTCTGCCAACCTTTTGATTACCTGACCAAGGACTTGGAACCAATCAGGTTCGCTGAGAGGTTTCTAGTGGGTCATTACGCCCTATTTATTTACTTATTTATTTATTTATTTATTTATTCATTTACTTATTTATTTTGATATGGAGTCTCATTCTGTCTCCAAGGCTGGAGTGCAGTGTCACAATCTTGGCTCATTGCAACCTCTGCCTTCCAGATTCAAGTGATTCTCCTGCCTCAGCCTCCTGAGTAGCTGGGATTACAGGCATGGGCCACCACACCCAGCTAATTTTTTTTGTAATTTTTAGTAGAGATGGGGTCATTTCAGCCCAGAAATGACCCCACCTCACCTGCCCTCCTGGCCCAGGAGGGCAAGAGGTGGTCACCCCTGCCAGATCCTAAGGAGGGGCCCATGTTGGCCAGGATGGTCTCAAACTCCTGACCTCAGATGACAGCCACCTTGGCCTCCCAAAGTGCTGGGATTACAGGCGTGAGCCACTGTGCCGGGCCTCATTATTCCCATTTTACAGATGAGAATAAGGCTGAGAGAGACCAAGTGTCTTGGCCAAGGTCACATAGCTGAGAAGTCCTGGTGTCGAACCCCGGCCTGGGTGGCTCCTGAGCCAGGGTCTTCCTGCCCCAGTAGTGGCCACTAATAGTGCATTTATGAGTGTGAGCCTGAGACTGAGTGTGAGGGTGTGCCAGTCATGTGGTGACTGAGAGTGTCTGCGGTGACTGCATGAGAGTATGTATGAGTTTGGGGGTTGGGGGTTGCGTATGAGGCTCCGAAGCCAGTCCTGGTCCCTCCAGCATGGCCGCCATCCCCATGGCCCTATGGCATCTGCTCTGTGTAGAGACAGGTCTAAATAACCCTGTGGGAGGAGCTGCAGAGATCTGGGGTCCAAGGAGGAGGCTTGTGCGTAGACAAGCAGGGGCAGGAAGACCCTGGCTCAGGAGCCACCGAGGCCGGGTTTCAACACCAGGACTTCTTAGCTATGTGATCTTGGACAAGACACTTGGTCTCTCTCAAGTGTGCATAGACAAATAGGGCACAGCCCAGAAATGACCCCACGTCACCTGCCCTCCTGGCCCAAGACAGTAAGAGGTGGTCAGCCTGCCTAAGAGGGGCCCAGCCACATTGGCAATCTCAGACCCTGTTCCCTCCTCAGCCCCCAAAAGGCTGTCCACGTGGGCCCCCCAGACATTTCCATCCTTCCAGGTGGCAGCCTCACCCTTTCCCAGAGGGCAGTGGGTCTGTATTGTGTCTAAGATTCCTGCAATTTGGGGCCCCTGAGTCCTGCAATTCTTCCCTAGAACATGAAGGACCCAGGGCAAATTTGGATGGTGCTTGGGGAAAGGCAGGCAGGCTTGAACTCACCACCGCCCACTTGTGGCCTGGGAGACATGGGCGCTTGTCCTCTCCAAGGCTCAGCCTCCCCATCTGTGAAATGGGAGTGGCAACACTGGCCTTATGAAAGGCAGGAAAGGCTCACACTCAGGGCTACCTGGGTTCAAACCTTCATTCTGACATTTGCTAGCTGTGTGAACTTGTGCAAGTGGCTCACCCTCTCTGTGCTTTAGTTTTTCTCATCCACAAAATGGGGAACTAATAGTATCTACTTCTTAAGGTGCCTATGAGGGTTAAATGAGTTCATATATGTGAAATCCTTAGGAGATGCATGCCCATAGGAGGTGGAAGTGCTCTGTGTGTTTATTACTCTTTCCTTATTATTATTATTTTTTACCTTGCAGGGTTCGAGTGAGCATGACACGGAATGGAATCATCAGTGTCTGATGGAGCCCAGGACATCTTGGCTGCCCCTTCCAGCCTAGGGGAGAAGGGAGGGAAGACACAGTAAGGACAGACCCAGGAACCTCCCAGTCACTGTGCCAGCCTCTACACATGCGTCCCTCCCGCAGGCTCGGTGTCATCGGCTGAGTGTGTGTTTTGCATCTCGTGTCTCCTTTAGTCTAACAGCAGCGTGGGAAGGCAAAGAGGAGCCTCATCCCCATCTTCCAGATGAGGTAACTGAGGGCTTCCAGGGTCTTTCTGCCCCCAGGAGGTTGAAGTGAAAAAGCATTCAAGTCAGAAAGACCCTGAGCGCTCCTCGCTTTGCAGCCCGGGAAGGTTTCCCTCTTCCTTGAGACCGTGGGGTGGGTCTCTGAGCCCTGCTGGAGAAGGGCTTGGAGACTGCATGGAACCTCAGACAGAAAACGTGCTGTGATTGCTGAGCGATGCCTTCCACGGATGCAGGAGCGTGACGTGGCAATGTGTGACTTTGGTCAACCTGTTTCCAGTCATCTGCCTGACCAAGTGCGTGGCTTAGAGACGGGAGCCACTTGCTTATGGTCCCAAAGGAGACAGTGTTCGGCAAGGGAAGACCCTGCCCGGCCCAGCTCTCTCCCCGCCTGACCCTGCATCGTTTCTGCTTTCTTAACTCGGTGCCTCTGCCATCGATGGTCCTGGCTGCTAGGAAGCCAGTCATTCAGAGGGGACTGAGGAGTTGGTCAAGAGGCAGCCCCTGGCCTTGCCTCTGCCCCCATGGCCTCTCACTGTAATATTTGTGTTATCCAGGAAACTCAAGAGCTGCACCAGGAAGAGGTAGGAAGAAAGCAGGCCTTTGGTACACCATCTAGCTGCACTCCTCACCCACGGTCTCCGGGTGCAGACCCAACAAGGCTGCTCCCACCTCGCCCGGGGCAGCACGTGAGTTCATACAGCAGACACCAGCAAGACCGCCAGAGCCAGCAGGAACACGGGAAACACACACAGATGCACACACCCATTGAGCAAATATTGGAAATTCACTTTTGTACACAGATACCTATATGGTCACAGATACATATAGTAACAGAGAATCCAGAGAATAGAGTGTAACAAATGTCCATGCACCCACCACTCGAGTCAATACATGTTAACAATTTGTTAGTTGTGTTTTAGACATTTTTAAATAAAAGAAACAGATGTTGAAGATTTTTTTTTCCTTGAGACAGAACCCCCCGCTGCTGCCCAGGCTGGAGGCTGGCGTGCCATGGTGCAGTCTCAGCTCACTGTAACCTCTGCCTCCCAGGTTCAAGTGATTCTCCTGCCTCAGCCTCCTGAATAGCTGGGACTACAGGCGCACGCCACCACACCTGGCTAATTTTTGTATTTTTAGTAGAGATGGGGTTTCACCATGTTGGCCAGGCTGGTCTCGAACTCCTGACCTCAGGTGATCCGCCCTCCTCAGCCTCCCAAAGTGCTGGAATTACAGACGTGAGCCACCTTGCCCGGCTGAAGATATTTTAATTGAAATCCTTTTCATCCCCCTCCGTTTCATTTCCCTTCTCTACACAGAGGCAGAGCCAGAGGCTGGAGTGCCATAATGCGATCATGGCTCACTGCAGCCTCAATCTCCTGGGCTCAAGAGATCCTTCTGCCTCAGCTTCCCAAATGCTGGGACCACAGGCACATACCACAATGCCTGCTAATTTTTTAATTTTTTGTAGAGACAGGAGTCTCGCTATGTTGCCCAGGCTAAACTTGAACTCCTGGGCTCAAGCAATCCTCCCACCTTCGCCATCCAAAGTGCTGGGATTACAGGCGTGAGCCACTGCACTCAGCCTCTAAGTTCATTAAAACCATAAACAATATATAGTACTGCTATTTGTATGCTTTAAAATTTTAAATAAATAGTGTCTGATATGGTTAGGTTTTGTGTCCTCACCCAAATCTCGGTTTGAAGTGTAATTCCCATAATCCCCACATGTCCAGGGAAAGACCAGGTGGAGATAATTGAATCGTGGGAGTGTTTCCCCCATGTTGTTCTCATGATAGTGAATGAGTGATCATGAGATCCAATGGCTTTATAAGGGGCTCTTCCTGCATCACTCGACACTTCTCCTTCCTGCTGCCTTGTGAAGAAGGTGCCTTGCTTCTCCTGTGCCTTCCGCCATGACTGTAAGTTCCCTGAGGCCTCCCCCAGACATGTGGAACTGTGAGCCAATTAAACCTCTTTCCTTTATAAGTTGCCCAGTCTTGAGTATTTCCTTACAGCAATATGAGAACAGTCAAATACAGTGTCATATTATAACCTTTCAACTTACTTTTGTATTTGTTTCTTAGGGATGCTGTAACAGGTATCACAAACCATGTGGCTTCAAATAACAGAAATTTATCCTGCCCCAGTTCTAGGAGCTAGAAGTCTGAAGGCAAGGTGTCACCAGGGCCATGTGCTCTCTGAGACTCTGGGTAAAATCCTTCCTTGCCTCTTCTGACTTCTGTTGATGGCCAACAATCCTCGTCGTCCCTCGGTCCCTCGGCTTGGAGTTGTGTCACTCCAATTCTTGCCTTTGCCATCACATAGCATTCTCCTCTCTGTGTGTGTCCATGTCTAAACATCTCTCTTCTTATGAGGATATCAGTCATATTGGATTAGGGTCTAATCCAATGACCTCCTCTTCACTTGAATACATCTGACAAGACCCTCTTTCCACATAAGGCCACATTCCTAGGTACCTGGAATTAGGACTTTAACATGCCTTTATAGAGGACACAATTCAACCCATAACACTTTTAAAAATCAAAATTATACTTTTAAATAATTAACCAGATTTCAAATAGGTAACTCAATTACAAAACTCAATATGTAGCTCAATTTAGTTTACTGTATGGTGTTCTACTTTATAAATAGATAACACAAGCCAGGGGCGGTGGCTTACGCCTGTAATCCCAGCACTTTGGGAGGCCAAGGCAAGTGGTTCACCTGAGGTCAGCCTGGCCAACATGGTGAAACCTCCTGTCTACTAAAAATATACAAAAATTAGTTGGGTGTGGTGGTGCATGCCTGTAATCCCAGCTACTTGCGATGCTGAGGCAGGAGAATCACTTGAACCTGGGAGGCAGAGGTTGCTGTGAGCTGAGATGACGCCACTGCACCCTAGCCTGGGCTACAGAGTAAAACTCCATCCCAAAAAAAAAGTAAAAATAAAAATAAATAAATAAATAGGTAACAGATTTATTTAATTCCTCTGCCGACAGACATGTGAGTTATTCCAAGTTTAACGTCCACAATGCTTCCTTGACCAATGTGCTAGGGTTTTAGAGTTCATTCTTAGCAGCAGAACTACTAGTCACATGGTGTGCGTATTTCTGACTTTCATAGGTATCGTCAAATTGTAGTATCTTCGAATGTAGTAGTTCAGCTTTCCCAGCATCTTCACCAACTTAATAGTGTCAAACCTTCCAACTTGTGTGAATCTGAGGGGTATAAAATGGAATCTCTTTGTCGTTTTGTGGGGATTTTTTGTTTGTTTTTTTGAGACAGGGTGTCACTCTATTATCTGGGCTAGAGTGCAGTGGCACGGTCTCGGCTCAGTACAGCCTAAACCTCCTGGGCTCAAGTGATCCTCCCACCTCAGACTCCCAAGCAGCTGAAACTACAGGCATCCACCACCATGTCTGGTTAAAATTTAAAATTTTTTTTTTAATTTTTTTGGAGACAGGGTCTCACTATGTTGCCCAGGCTGGTCTCAAACTCCTGGGCTCAAGTGGTCCTTCCACTTCGGCCTCCCAAAGTGTTGGGCCACCTCGCCTGGCCTCTCTTTGTTGTTTAATCATCAACAAAGAGAGGTTAAGCATCTTTGATTCTTATGCTTATTCACTCTCCCTGTTTCCTTTTTTGTGTTCAGGTCTTCTGCCCATTTTTCTATTGGGTTGTTTGTCTTTTTCTTATCGATTTATAGGCGTTCTTTGTATCTTTTGGATGTTAACCCTATATCTGTAATATATGCTGCAAATGCCTTCCCACAGACTATTGTTGGAATTTTAACTTTGCAGGTAGTTTATCTGTTATACAGAAATATTTGATGCGGCTGAGCTTAAACTTCATATTTTCCTTTATGACGCCTAGCTTTTGTGACTTAAGGGCTCCTTCCCTATCCCAAGACATAGGGAAATTTTCCAACTTTTCTTCTGTAAGCTGTTTTTCACATTTAGGTCATTAATTCATCTCAAGTTTATTTTTGTGTGTGATGTGAGACAGGATCTAAGGTTAATTTTTACATAGGGATAGCTACTTTTCTAAACCCCATTTTTGAATAGTCCATGCTTCCCCTCCACAGATTTGTAATGCCTTTTGATCATACACCAAGGTCCCATATAACTTGGATCAATTTCTGGGTTCCCTTTTCTGTTCCATTATTTGTCTATCGCTGTGTTAACAACCAGGATGTGTTTATTATCAAAGCTTTATCATAAATTAGAACATTGGCTGGGCGTGGTGGTTCATGCCTGTAATCCCCAGCACTTTGGGAGGCTGAGGCGGGTAGATCACCTGAGGTCAGGAGTTCGCAACCAGCCTGGCCAACATGATGAAACCCCCCTCTCTACTAAAAATACAAAAAATTAGCTGGTCTTGGTGGCAGGTGCCTGTAATCCCAGCTACCTGGGAGGCCGAGGCATGAGAATCGCTTGAACCCAGGAGGCGGAGGTTGCAGTGAGCCGGGATCGTGCCATTACACTCCAGCCTGGGCAACAAGAGTGAAAATCTGTCTCAATAAATAAATAAATAAATAACTAAGGATATTGGTTTGGGCAAGACCCCTACCTCATTCTATCTCAGATTGGCCTTCACTATTCTTGCCCTTTTATCCTTCTGTGTTAATTTTAGAATCAGCTTAACAAGTTTGATGACAAATCTTATTGGAATTTTAGTTAATTGCACTGATTTTATGAATCAATCGGGAAAAATTAAAGTACATTTGATGATATTGAGTCTTGTTTTCCATGAATATGATACATACCTTCATTTATTCTTGAGTGTGTGTGTTCTTCAATAATACTTTGTATTTTATCCATAGAGTTGTTACACACATTTTGTTAGTTGATTACTGGGCCCTTACACTTTTCATATCATCTTTCTTTCTGTTACATTTACATTTTCTTTTCTTTTTTTGAGACGGAGTCTTGCTCAGTCGCCCAGGCTGGAGTGCAGTGGCTTGATCTCGGCTCACTGCAACCTCCGCCTCCCAGGCTCACGCCATTCTCTTACCTCAGCCTCCCGAGTAGCTGGGACTACAGGCGCCGGCCACCATGCCTGGCTCCTTTTTTTTTTTTTTTTTTTGTATTTTAGTAGAGACGAGGTTTCACCATGTTAGCCAGGATGGTCTCGATCTCCTGACCTCGTGATCCACCCGCCTCTGCCTCCCAAAGTGCTGGGATTACAGCTGTGAGCCACCGCCCCCAGCTACATTTTCTAATTGGTCATTGCTTGTAGCACACTGTGGATTTTCTAGGTTGATTTCATATCCAGCAACCCTAATTTCTTCACTTTATAGTTCCAGACAGAAGGAGAGGGAGTTTTGAATTTGATGAGTTTGCAGCGTCCCAAGGCAGAATGCAGTGTAGACAAGGGATTTAGAGCATGGACGTTGCCATCTGACAGGTAAACCTGGGTTTGAATCCTGGATCTACCACTTACTAGGTGGATAAGTTACTTAACCTCTCTGAATTAATAAGCATTCCCACCCCCAGGCTATTGTGAGGAGTCAGGGAGACAAAATGCATTCTAGTGCCTAGCATGGTGCATCACACAAAGAAAGTTTAATTGATGCTTGTTCCTGTAATTGCTACTAACTGGCTTCTCCTGCATAGCTGGGGAGATCATTATCCATAGTAAAAGAAATCAATGCCTACTTCTACTCATCATTAAGAAGCTATCTGGAGTTGCCAGTAATCAGCAGCTTGATCATGAATTAACACCCATATTGTCTGCCCATTTGGAGCTCACGTTTAAAACCCATTTGTTTTCTTTGTCTATGCCATTTTAATATACACGGCCTCACAATCAACAAATAAATAGCCTGTCATCAGCCATCGATTTGAGAAACCCTGGAAGACCCCTGCCCATCTATTTGGCCCACTCCCCCTATATCCTGAGCCACCAAGTCAGATCAAACCAAACATACCCTTCAAGTAATTCCTCCAGCTATTTGCTCATGATGTGGAACCAGACAAATGGGCAGACAGAAACTTAACTGTATTTATATTGTCAGTAGATTCACTACACCTTCTAGTGTGTTCTAATCACCTGTTTTCACAGGGCCCAAATCCAATATCTCTGAAGCCCAGTATCCAGAAGAGAACTTGACGGTGGGTGAGGTTGAGAAGGGAGAATGGGAAGGCAGGAGGAATGAATCTGGGCTTTCTAAACCACAGCCAATGGAGGACCAGAGAGAACACTGTAGAAGGATTCTGAGCTGGGCACAGTGGCTCA
Organism: Homo sapiens; assembly: GCF_000001405.40. Taxonomy (NCBI): domain Eukaryota; kingdom Metazoa; phylum Chordata; class Mammalia; order Primates; family Hominidae; genus Homo; species Homo sapiens. Next base: position 124,055,553 of record NC_000009.12, on the reverse strand, counting down.
CGCCTGTAATCCCTGCACCTTGGGAGGCCGAGGCAGGCGGATCACCTGAGGTCGGGAGTTCGAGACCAGCCTGGCCAACACGGCAAAACCCCGTCTCTACTAAAAATACAAAAATTAGCTAGGCGTGGTGGCAGTTGCCTGTAATCCCAGCTACTTGGGAGGCTGAGGCAGGGAGAATTACTCGAACCTGTGAGGCGGAGGTTACAGTGAGCCAAGATCACGCCATTGCACTCCAGCCTGGGTGACAGAGCGAGACTCCGTCTCAAAAAAATAAATTAATTAAATAAATAAAAGAATTCTGAAGGCTCACATAATGTTTCAAGCCATGACTAAAGCTCATGCATTTTGTTCATAGAAACTGTCCCTGCCCAAAGCTCCGCCTCCCAGGACTGCCTCCCCAAGGGCCAGAGTAATTGCAACAATAGGATCTGGCTTACAGCAGGCCCTCGGTAAATATTGCTGAAAGCCCACTGCATGCCAACCACTACGAGAAGCCCTTTCTAGACATTAGCGCATTGACTTATCCCAACAAACCACAAAGAGGGTGGACATCCCTACAAGGAAACCACAGCAAAGAAGGGCCAGGGCCAAGATAAGGACTCAGAACCATTCTGTGGTTATTGGTTTAGTTTTTGGGGTTTGTTTTTCCCCCAGATGAATGAATGCTACTGTAGACTGATAAGCATTACTCTAGTTTCAGTGAGTAACTTCACTGGCCCTCTGAGCACTGCCGCTGGGTGGCTGAGTCATTTAAACACACTGCTGAGTGTTTTCACCAGACTGAGAAGTATTTGATTGGGCTGCTAAGTGCTTCTGCTCAGCTGCTAGGCATGGGGGCAAGCCCTGAGCTCATTGGGGGTGATTGGATCACCCGGCTGTGCTCAGGACCCTGGCACTGGTATTTCCCTTGGGGAACCCCACTGGCAGAACAACAGCTTCCCAAACTCTGGGCAGCAGCTGCTCCGGCTTCATGAAAAAAACTGAGCCTGGCTCCCCTTGTCTCCCCCCAGCTCCCAGAGAGCCTGAGGCACAGCTGGGGCAAGGCTGGGGGTGGGAGGAGGCCTCTGGGGCCCTGATCCACAGGGTTCACCCTGGCAGAAGCTTTGGGGCTCAGGGACCATCCCCCCATCCTTAAAACCTTCCAGAGTCGGTATTGCCACAGACCGTAATGTAGGGGCTGAAAGAGGAGGCTCCCAAGCAGATGCCCAAAGACATCAGAGGCTCAGAAGCCACTGAGTCCACCATGCACTAGCCCATTGCACAGGTGGTGAGAGTGAGGTCCCCAGTCAGACTCTTTATAGGAGCACCTATCAGATCTGCCCCTTATGATAGCATCCTGGCAGACCTTACCCTCCCTTCCCTGGGAGGGGCCTGAAAGGGCCCAGGTATAGCCCATTCCCTCCCTGCTCCATGCCCAACTTGACCTTCCCCTCAGGAATCCAAGCCACACACTCCAGAAGCTGCCACTGGGGCCCCAGAGAACTCTGGGCTCACCTCCCAAACAACTTTTTGTATGTACTCCTTTTAAAGTTATAAAAAATCTCTCGTTGATTTTTCCAAGTTTCTCTTATAACAAAAGTACTAAGTACAGGCTTTGTTAAATATACACCTCAGCTATGACCCAGCAATTCCACTCCTGGGTATACACCCAAGATGTGAGTGCCACCAAAAGGCCTGACACACATGTTCATAGCAGACTTGTTCATAATGGCCCAAACTGGCAAACTGGAAACAACCCAAATGCCCATCAATAGGAGACCGGATCAATGTTTCGTGACACATTTCTACAATGGAGAACTACACAGCAGTAAAAAAGGAACAAACCACTGATACGTGCAACACCATGGGTGAATCACACCATTATAATGATGCTATCTTTCTGCTCCTTAGCTCAGCTAGGTCCAGGGTCTTGTCTCATGACCAGGAAGAATTAAGCATGCAGACACCAGAGAGTGAGTGGGGTAGAATTTATTAAGTGAAAGGAAAGCTCTCAGCAAAAAGAGGTGACATGAGGGATGGTTCTCCTACCCGAAGGTGGAAAAGTACCCAGTATGGCTGAGCCCAGGGCTTTTTATGGGATCATAACAGGGAATGCATGCTGACTGGTTTTTGAGTATGCAAAAAAGGTTAAAGCAAAGACACCACTCAAAGGTGGGCATGACATTGTAGAAAACCAATTAGGAAAGGGTAGGTAAAATAGGTGAAGGATTAGGATCAATCAGAGGAAAGCATGCCAAATGGAAGGTGGGTTTTCAATCCGGTCTGAGGATTTACCCAGGACTGTCTGTGGCTGGAAGGTCAGGTGTCACTGGAGACCCACCCCTATCTGCCTAGGCATTTGGCTGCCTCCTGTCACTATCAATAACACGAAGTCAAAACTCCAGGCACAAAAGAGCATTTTACTGTATTATTCCATGTCCACGAAGTTCAAGAACAGGCAAAACTATTTCAAGATGATAAAAGACAGGACCATAGTTACCTCTGAGGGCAGATATAGACCAGGAAAAGGTAAAAAGGGACTTCCTGGGGCACTGGAAATGTCTATACTTTGATGTGGGTGTGATTACATGGGTGTACATACACATGTAAAAAATCATCAAACTATACACTCATAAGTACACTTTGCTGTATGCATGTTATATGCCACTTTCAAACATAATTTTGTAAAGTATATATCAGCCAAAACAAAACAAAACGAAATACAAGCTCGCTGTTAGTCAACAAGTACAGAGGCCTTTAAATAAATTCCAGCTCTCCCCACCCCGAACACCAGCCATTTCTCTCTCTTATTCCTGTGTGTCTATCCCCAGCTGCAACCTGGAGAAACTTCAGGCCCTGAGGAGACACCCTGCTGGGGACCTGCTCCCCCCATCAGCCCTCCCCTGCAAGACTTGCCTATCCTGCTGCTGTGACCCCGCCAGGAGAGTTCCAGGGCCTGTGCCGGGGGCTCTGCTGAGCTTAAAGTCCACTCCGGGTCCTGGGAGATGGACCAGGTGGGTTTTCCTGCCTGGAAGTGGCATCACTCAATTGATGGAGGTGGGTGACTCAAGCTCCTGCTCCCCCGCCCACCCCATCTCCTCATTCACCCCTCTGAGTCCCACTTTTCTGTCCCCCTTTCCTGGGTGGTTTCCTCAGGAGGGCTATTAGGAGGAGGAGCTCCTGGGCTTGGCAGGAGGTTCACGTGACACACGTTGTCAATTCTGCCCATTTACACACCTCCTAGGCCATCCAGAGGAGCATTCAGCCATCAAACAGTGAGCAACTGGGCCTTCAGCCTGTCTCAGTCCTTTCCAGGAACCCTCCAGCTTGGGACAAAGCAGAACCATTCTGGGAGCCCACACCCCAAGTTAAGATCACCCAAGAATCCCAAAGAGATGAGGGGAAAATATGAAAGTGAAAGTGTCCCCTGTCCTGTTTTTATACCTCGCATGACAGGGAGCTCACTCTCTGCTAGGGCTGCCTCCCCGCTCCCTAGTTAGTCCTGACCATGAGAATCCTTTGCTCACACAGAGAGGAAATCCAGAGCTTATGGCTGCACCTCTCGCGTGACCACCTCAGCCAGGTTTGGCCAGGGCTTTTCTGACTTTAGCACTAGAAAGTCCAGTATTCCAGGAAAACCCTCAGTCCTGAGCCAACCAGATCAGGTAGTTCCATTATCCCACCCCTGCACCCACACCTAGCTCCACCCTCTGGGTCACTTAAGAAACATCACCTCGGCCGGGAGCGGTGGCTCACGCCTGTAATCCCAGTGCTTTGGGACGCCGATGCAGGTGGATCACCTGAGGTCAAGAGTTCGAGACCAGCCTGGCAAACATGGTGAAACCCCATCTCTACTAAAATACAAAAATAACCCGGGCATGGTGGCGTGTGCCTGTAGTCCCAGCTACTCAGGAAGGTAAGGCAGGAGAATAGCTTGAACCAGGGAGGCGGAGGCTGCAGTGAGCCGAGATCGCACCACCATCCTCCAGCCTGGCAACAAAACAAGACTCTGTCTAAAAAAAAAAAAAAATCATCATCTCGTCAGGGTTTCGTACACAGCAGAGCAGCTCCCTCGCTGCAATCTATTGAAAGTCAGCCCTTGACACAAGGGTTTGTATTTACCAAAAAAAGAAAAAACATAAAGGAATCACCATCTCAGGGCTCCTCTCCATGGCACTTGGACAGGTGCCATGTCCAAGCCTAGCACCACTTCACTCTCCCAGGCCTCACTGTGTACCATTTGTTCATTCATACATTTACTGTATTTATTTGTTCATTCATACATGTACTGTATTAATGGCTATAAAAGCTAACATTTATAGCCATTCAGAATGGCCTAGAGACTTAAAGTCTCAGCCCTGGAGTCAAACCAACCTGGATTCACTTCCTGGCTGTGTGACCTTGCATATGTTACTTAACCTCTCTGAGATTTCACTTGCTCATCTCAAGTTGGAAACAATACACCTCTACCTCATGGGGGTGTTGTATTAAATGAGACAGTGAGTGGGAAGTGCTTACCCTGGGGCCTGGCACTTACTGAGTACTTGGTAAATGTTAGCTTTTATTTAGTATTCATTCATCCAAAACCACATTGATCATGTATTTACTCTATCGGGGCCCTAGTCCAAGCACACAGAAGTAACCCAGACGTGTCACCCCCATGCCCACACACACACACCAGGATGCTCACAGGCTGGTGTGGAGAGCGGAGGTGAACGCAGGCAATTATATATATATCATCATGAGAAGGGCTTGGAGGAGACAAGGTCAAGGGCAGAACTGCCTGGGAAGCTTCCCAGAGTAGATGCTATTTATCTGGGCCTTGCCTGAGAGAAGCTTGGGGGAAGGGTATTCCATGAAGAGGGACTAGCAAGGGGCAATGGCTAGAATGCCTTATACAACATGGCGCACTCAGGAGGTGAGTGACTAACTCAGTACTGCAGGGTCTGGGTTGCACGTAGAGGAGGCCAGAGAAGGAGATGGCCTAGAAAGTTTAGAAAGAGCTTTTCTTTCTTAATAAAATAGGAAAATGTTTAAACACGATAAAATACTGATTTCAACCCAAAAGCCAGCATCATGCTTAAAGACGAAACACTGAAAGCATTCCCATTATGATCAAGAGTAAGAAAGTGTGTCTGTATTTTTTGTTTTGTTTTGTGGTTGGTTTGTTTGTCTGAGACGGAGTCTCGCTGTCATCGGCCTGAGCTGGAGTGCAATGGCGCGATCTTGGCTCACTGCAAACTCCGCCTCTCGGGTTCCAGCAATTCTCCTGCCTCAGCTTCCCGAGTAGCTGGGATTGCAGGCGCCCACCATCACAACCGGCTAATTTTTGTATTTTTTAGTAGAGATGGGGTTTCACCATGTTGGCCAGGCTGGCCTTGAACTCAAGACCTCAGGTGATCCACCCACCTCGGCCTCCTAAAGTGCTGGGATTACAGGCGTGAGCCACCTTGCCTGGCCATCTGTTATTAACACTATTACTTAACATTGTTCTGACAAAGTACCAGCCTACACAATTAGACAAGGAAAAGAAATGAGAAGTATAAGAATTAGAAAGGAGGGGAAAAATGGGTTATTATTTACAGAATCAACTGAAAAGCCATTATACATAATATAAGAGGCCCGGTATGGTAGCTCATGCCTGTAATCCCGGCACTTTGGGAGGCCAAGATGGAAGGATTGCTTAAGGCCTGGAGTTCAAGACCAGCCTGGGTAGCCGGGTGCAGTGGCTCACACCTGTAATCCCAACACTTTGGGAGGCCAAGGTGGGCGGATCACAAGGAGGATCGAGACCATCCTGGCTAACACAGTGAAACCCCATCTCTACTAAAAATACAAAAAAATTAGCTGGGCGTGGTGGCAGCCGCCTGTAGTCCCAGCTGCTGGGGAGGCTGAGGCAGGAGAATGGCATGAACCCAGGAGGCAGAGCTTGCGGTGAGCCGAGATCACACCACTGAACTCCAGCCTGGGCGACAGAGCGAGACTCCGTCTCAAAAAAAAAAAAAAAAAAAAAAAAGACCAGCCTGGGCAATATAGCAAGACCCTATCTCCACAAACAATTAAAAAATTAGCCAGGCATGGTGGTGTATGCCCGTAGTCCCAGCTACTCAGGAGGCTGAGGCAGGAGGATTGCTTGAGCCCATGAGTTCATGGCTGCGGGGATGACCATGAACATTGCACTGCAGCCTGGGCAACAGAGTGAGACCCTGTCTCAAAATACATAATAATACATAATAATAATACAAAAACTCAGTATGGTGGTTGATTGCAAAATTAATATATTGTAATTAATAGTCCTCATCAAGGTAAAGAACCAGTTAGAAGAGATAGTGAAAGAGAAGTTCCTGTTTATGATAGCAGCCAAAAAGGTAAAATATTTAGAAATCAATGTAACAAAAATAAAATGTATGAGATTTACTGGAAGTGAACATTAATAAATTGCTGAGGGGCACAAATGAAAACTTGAGCATGTAAAATGGTATGCGTGTGTTCTGATAAAAACACCAATCAGATTTTTAAAAATAAGCAAGCCGATAAGTTGATTCTAAACTCCATATAAACAACGAATATGATATAAACAAGGAAAATATAAACAAGAAAATTTTGAAAGAAAAGAGTAATGAGTGGGTACTAGTCTAACACATATTAGAACATAAGATCAATCTATGATATTTTAAACACTGGTATTGGTGCATTTTACACAGATGGATCAATAGAACAGAATAGAAAAACTGAAAGTGGCCAGGTGCAGTGGCTCACTTCTGTAATCCCAGCACTTTGGGAGGCCGAGGCGGGCAGACCACCTGAGGCTGGAAGTTGGAGACCAGCCTGGCCAACATGGTGAAACACTATCTCTGCTAAAAATACAAAAATTAGCCAGACGTGGTAGAGCATGCCTGTAATCCCAGCCACTCAGGAGGCTGAGGCAGGAGAATTGCTTGAACCCAGGAGGCGGAGGTTGCAGTGAGCAGAGACACTGCACTCCAGCCTGGGTGACAGAGTGCGACTCCATCTCAAAAGGAAAAAAAAAAAAAAAAAGAATGCATAGTTGTAATGGGTAGAATTGTGCCCCTCTAATAAAAGATACATTGAAGTCCTAACCCCTGGTACTGCAAACATGCCCTTAACTAGAAACAGTGTCATTGTAGATGTAATTAAATCATGATGAGGCTATACTGGATGAAGGACATATTGGATTAGACCCTAATCCAAAGGTTGGTGTCCTCACAAAATGAGTGAAATTTGGACACAGACATAAACACAGAGAGAAGGCCATGTGAAGACAGAGGCAGAGATTAGAGTGAAGCTGCCACAACCTCAGGAATGCCCGCAACCACCGGCTGCTAGGAGAAATGCGTGGCATGGTCTGTTCACCAGCAACACCAGAAGAAACGTGGCCCTGCGGACACCTTAATTTAAATTTACAGCCTCCTGAACTTTGAGAGAATGAATTTCTGTTGTTTTCAGCTAGCCAGTTTGTGGGAATGTGTTAGGATAGCCCAGGGAAACTGCTAAAGCACTCAAATGCTACATATATTACAGGAATTTAGTATATGATAAAAGTGGCATTGCTAATCAATGACAAAAAGATAGATTATTCAATCAATAGTGTTGGGACAACCAGAGTCACCCAGAGAGAAAGAGCAGAATCCCTACCTCACATCTTCCACAAAAACAAATTCTAGAATGAAGAAAACCTGGGGGTACTTTACATTCATACAGTAAAGAAGGCCTTTTAAAGTATGGATTTTAAAAAACTGAATCCAGCAATAAAATAGCCACAAAAAATTATTTTTAATTCTGCATACAAATAATATAAATAAAGTCAAAAGACACATATAGTATAGACATATCATATGTTATCAACAAAGGGCTGATATTAAGAGCTCCTACATATCAGGAAGAAAAAAAAACCAACCTAATTAAAAGATAGGCGAAGGATATAAACAAACAGTTCCCAGGAAAGGAAATGTAAATGATTCTTAGTCATATGAAAACATGGTCAACCTCTCTTGTAGTAGGAGAAATGAGATTACAGCTACGAGATATTATTTTATATCTAACAGATTGACAAAGATAAAAAGGTTCGATAACACGCTGTGTTGGCAAGAGTGTGGGAAACAGACATTCTCATTCATTGTGAGTGGGAGGGCAGATTGGTGCAACCTCCCTGAAGAGCGATTTGGCAATATCTAAGTAAATTCAAAATCCGCATACCCTTTAACCCAGCATTTCCACTTCTAGGAATTTACCATACAAATACACTCGCGCACATGCAAATTGATGTATGAGTGTGGATATGTGTTGCAGTTTTGCTTATAATAACAATAGATGGGAAACGGCCTAATTTCCTGTCCATAGGGGATGGTGAAATCAATTCTGGAACATCTGTTCAGTGGAACACTATGCACTGGTTTAAAAGAAGGGAGCATTTTATATTTCCAGTATGGAGAAGTCTCTGTTACATGATAGTTAAGGGGCAGGGAGCAGGAAGCAAAGTGCAGAAAAATGTGTCCAATGCAATATCATTTTGTAAGGTTGGCTACAGTGGCTCACACTTGTAATCTCAGCACTTTGTGAGGCTGAGGCAGGAGGATTGCTTGAGCCAAGGAGTTCAAGACCAGCCTGACAAGTATGGCGAAACCCCATTTCTACAAAAAATAGAAAAATTAGCCAGGCATGGTGGTGCACTTTCTGGTCCCAGCTACTAGGGAGGCTGAGGTGGGAGGATCGCTTGGATCCTGGAAGGTGGAGGCTGCAGGGAGCCATGATCGTGTCACTGTACGCCAGCCTGGGAGTACAGTGAGAGACTCTGTCTCAAAACAACAACAACAAAACACACACACACACACACACACACACACACACACAAATACCATTTTGTAAAATATGTTTTATGAACATGTCTTCACAGGCATAGAATGTCTCTGGAAAGATGGGCAAGAAACAGGTAACAGAGCCTGCTTTTAAGTAAGGAACTAGGATGTCGGGCTAGGGAAACTGCATATTTTACACATGCTATGTGTATGTGGTAACCGCTCAGAAAAAAAAAGAGAGAGGGAGAAGGAAATGTATATAACTCAGAAAAATCACCAAGCAAAAGAGTAAAAGTTTTCATCTGAGATCTGAGATTAAATGCCAGCTTCGATACTTTCTTGGACAAGTTATCTCCGCTATCTAAACCTTAGTTTCCCCACCTGTAAAATGGGGATAAAAATATTGTCCACCTCAAGGATATACATGGGGAGGGGATGGGGAGAGACAGCAAGCGTGCAAAAGTGTCAGAAGGTTGACACTTGGTGAATCTAGGAAGGGCACGTACGAGTTCATTGTACTATCGCGCATTTCTGGAATTTTGAAAAAAATTCAAAACAAAAAGTTTCCGCCGTCTCCCCCTCCTCCCTCCTCCCCTGATTCCTGGACCCATTTTTCCAAGCACATTGTACTCCGAGCACCACCAGCCTAGCATAAAGCTGGGGTTGGAAGCCAGGTGACCCTGGTGACGAGGCCACCCCAGCGTCACTACAGGCCCCTTACCCCTCTCTGTGCGCGCGGGTGAAGAGGGTCCTTTTCCTGCCGGACCCCTGCAGGTCGGAGGTTGAGGACCACTGCCCCTGGTTATGTCTTGCAGGGAGAGGACCCAGCTGTCCCCTCTGGGACTGGGAGGACAGACGCCCCCCCGGGGGTGCCATTCCCCGCCCCCCGCCCACCGCGCGGGCTCTCTCCGCGGGGCCTGTGCCGGGACACGCAGGGAACCCCGGCCCTGGCACAGCCCCTATCAGATAAGGCCGCCTCCCCCGCGCTGGCAGCCCAGAGCCGGCGAGGAGTTTACGTAAGCCCGGTTGTTGATGGAAAAACAAAAGCAGCAACAGGCGTTTCCCGGCCTGCTCGCGGGGAGCCGCGGGCCCCAGACGCTGGCTCACCCCAGAGAGGACCCGTCCCGACAGCTCCCCGGGGGCTCGGGCTGAACTCCGGGGGTCCCATGTGTTGGAAGACCAGCTCTCAGGGGGCCACCCAAAGGCTCCCCGCACCCTAAGCCCAGGCCACCCTGCACGTGGGCCCAGCAAGCGGGAGGCAGTTAATGAGTGCTTGTTCTTAACCCTTCTCCTGCCAGCCCCAGCCGCACCGCCTGCGCACCCCCAACCCGCACCCCCTGCGCCCCTCCCCTCCGCGCCCTCCCAACCCCTCCGGGGCCCGGCTCTGGCCCCACCCCCGCCCCGGGCTCAGAGCCCAGGGGACCCGGTCCAGGCATCCATCAGCAGCACTCCATGAATGCCTGCTGCGTGCCCGGCCCTGCTCACGGGCGGCGGTGAGGGAGGGATGGGAACCAGGAAGGAACGGCGGACTGGGCCTGTGCTGAGAGAAAATTAGGGGAGAACTCCTCTATATACGGAGCCTGCTTTCCTCATTTAAAATTGAGGAAAGCTAGCTACTCAGGAGGCTGAGGTGGGAGGATCGCTTGAATCCGGGAGGCGGAGGCTGTAGTGAGCCGAGATCGCGCCTCTGCCCTCCAGCCTGGGAGACAAAGTGAGACTGTTTCAAAAAAAAGAAAAAAAGAAAAAAGAAAAGGAGAGCTAAGGCAGACCTTCACAGAACTGTGGGACGAATGAAAGTGGACAAGTGAGGGTGTGTCTCACCCCCACCCACATCCATCTTTGCCTGGAGGGAGGCGGAGGGCCGGGGTTCAAATCCCAACTCTGCCAGTTGCATAACCTCCACCTTATACCTAAATCTCTTTATCTGTAAAAGGAGACTAATACTTGTACCAACCTCAAGTTTTGAGAATTAAGTACCAACCTCAAGTTTTGAGAATTAAGTGAGACATTTCGAGGATTAAAAGAGATAAATACTACACCCTTAAAATCATAACTCGTGTCTGGCACAAAATATCCCACAGGACCACGTCACCGTGGAATGTAAATATGTCACAGCCACCTGCCCTTTCTGTCTCAGCACAGACATGTGTCTTTCAGGGTGGCCTCATGACCTCCCATCCTGAGTCCACTGGTCCAGTGGTCCAGTTATATTCCCTCACCAGTTCCCATCAACCCCCTCTTTTCTTCTTTTTCCTTTTTAGAGACAGGGCCTCAATCTGCCACCAGGCTAGAGTGCGGTGGTGTAATCACAGCTCCCTGTAGCCTCGAAGATCCTCCTGCCTTGACCTCCTAAAACTCTGGGATTGCAGGTGTGAGCCACCACACCCAGCCTCCCATCAACCCACTTCTCTTGATAACCTCTCTTGCCTGTGGAACCATGTATTCCCTGCCAGCCTGGGCACCTACTTTGTGCCAGGCCCAGTGCTGGCCCTGGGCACTCCATGATAAATCACATTTTGGTCCGGTCCTCTGGGGGTCCAAGTTCAGAGGGGTGGAGATACATGTATACACAGAGCCAGGACCAGTGAAGAAACCCAGTAGAATTTGGAATGACTAGAGGATGTTATAAGAATCACAAAGGATCGGCCGGGCACGGTGGCTCACGCCTGTAATTCCAGCACTTTGGGAGGCCGAGGCGGGCGGATCATGAGGTCAGGAGATAGAGACCATCCTGGCTAACACGGTGAAACCCCGTCTCTAGTGAAAATACAAAAAAAAAAAAATTAGCCGGGCATCATGGTGGGGGGCGCCTGTAGTCCCAGCTACTCGGGAGTCTGAGGCAGGAGAATCGCCTGAAGTAGGGAGATGGAGGTTGCAGTGAGCCAAGATCACACCACTGCAATCCAGCCTGGGCAACAGAGTGAGACTCTATCTCCAAAAAAAAAAAAAAAAAAAAAAAAGAATCACAAAGGATCATGTGGGCACAGCGTTAGCAAGCAAAGGATCATGTGGGCACAGCGTTAGCAAGCAGCCCGACACACAGTAGCACAGGAGGCATACCCCCAAACCATAATTGCCTACAATCATGCTGTTTATTAATAGAGAGACCTAGAATGCTGACTCTGCCATTTACTTGCTGTGTAACCTTGGAAAAAGCACTGTCTCTTTCTGGGCCTCAATTTTCCCCATTCATCCAAGGGAGATGCTAATATTAAATACTCATCTTAAGACTCTGATGAGAGTTGCCGGGCGCAGTGGCTCACGCCTGTAATCCCAGCACTTTGGGAGGCTGAGGTGGGCAGATCACCTGAGGTTGGGAGCTCGAGACCAGCCTGACCAACACGGAGAAACCCGTCTTTGCTAAAAATACAAAAATTAGCCGGGCGTGGGGGCACATGCCTGTAATCCCAGCTACTCGGGAGGCTGAGGCAGGAGAATCACTTGAACCTGGGAGGCAGAGGTTGGGGTGAGCCGAGATTGAGCCACTGCACTCCAGCCTGGGCAACAAGAGAGAAACTCCACCTCAAAAAAAAAAAAAAAAAAAAGACTGATGAGAGTCAAAGAGTCAAAGTCAATGCACATGGAAGCACTTTCTGGACTCTTAGAGGGTTAACACTATCAGCAATGACCTAACCTATCAATGTCAGTGGGAGAATACAGCCTGGGATACAGGACCTGGCATCAGAATCCAGCCCAGACACCCCTTGTTTTGTGACCTATAGCAAATGGCTCAGCCTCAGTTTTCTTGTCTGTAGAGTGGGAATAACAATACCTACCTCCTAGGTCACCACAGGGAGCCAAAAAGATCGCAAAAATAAGGGCAAATACTTGCTGCACGTATTCAATGGCAGGATGGGTTTTAAAGTATATGTGTGTGTGTGTGTGTGTGTGTATATATATATATATATATGTTCACCTCCTGTCATTTTACAGTGGGGAAATTGAAGCAGAGACTTTAAGCAACTTGCCCGAGGTAACACAGCTGGACAACATTGCTGGGAAATAATCCTGGCTCTGGTGAGGTCCAAGGTCCTCACCAGCCTGCATCACTGCCCCCCCAGAACTTAGCAACAGCACATAGTCAGGCCTCAGCAAACAGTAGCAATCATTCTGTTTCTTTTAATATGTTGTGTTGATATCATCATGATCTTAATTACTCATCAATCCCTTCCCAGAGCAGGGCAAGCTGGAGCGCTTTGAGAGCTGGCGCCAGGATCCTAAAATGCAGCCAGAGCTTTGTTTCCTCATCACACCCAACCCGAGCCAGCCCATGGAACGGCGCGGGGGGCAGGTGGGTCCAGTGCTGGGGCTGGGTGCCCTCGTGAGCATGAGTATCACATGCCCCTCTTTGCCCAGTCTGGCATTGGACACCCACCCGGCTCCTGGAGCAGGGCAGGGCCAGGAGGGGGAGGCAGGGGCAGACACTGGGCCTTTTGTGTCCTGCTCCCCACACAGCCCAGCCCAGAAAGTCGTCCTCACCCCAGCCTCGGGCTGGGCGAAGGGTGCACAGGGCCCTCCTGGGAGAAGCAAGAATTAGGCTGGAGTTGGGATTCCAGCCAAGACCCTGGCTCCACTGCTTTCTGGCCGAGTGTTCCTGGGCCAGTGCCCCAGCACTTCAGCCTGGCTTTCTTGTCTCTAAAATGAGGCATAAAGAGCTGGCCTTTGGTGCAGGTGGGGGTCAGGGGAGACAGGAAAGGAAAATATTGGTCCTGATGGGGCTGAGGGAAGCAGACAGGACAGGGGGGCCGCCACCCTTCTGTTAGGTGGAAATTGATTAGGGCTTTCGCTCCCTCCTCAGGCAGGCTCAGCTCACCCCTCAGCCCCAACACACACCCCAACCTGCATCACACGAGCAGAAGCCACCCTGAACAGCTGTGTACACCTGAACAGTCATCACACGGACTCACACAAACCTCTGAACACAGACACACACATCTGAGTACACACACATCTGATTACACACACACACACCGCTGATCACAGACGCACTCACAGTCGGACATACTTGTACACATCCCCCTAAAAATAAACAAAAACACACACGTCTCAACACATACAGACGCTCCCACACTAACACCACGGCACAGCCACACTCAGATTCCCTGACAGCAGCACACATCACAGACCTCCACCCAGCCCCACCGCAGCCCCACCCCCACTCATCACACGCCATACACAGGGTCCAGTCCTGGGAGTGGGGGGCCCGCAGGGAGAGTGAGCCCTGGGGGCACCCAGGATGGCGGTCTGGAGCTGCACAACCCTCACCCCTTCCATACCGGAGGACCCTCTCAGGCTTGAGCCCAACACCCCTGCCCAGAAGCCCGAGGAATGAGGCTAAGGGAGAAGAGGACCCTGGGGGACCCACCGCGTGCCAATGCCTGTGCCGTGAGCTGCCATCTGCCTAATGCAGTACGCGGCACACGTGAGGGCTCAAAAGCGTCACTCCCAGTTTTGGAGCCCAGGAAAGCGTCCGGAGCCCGAAACAGCTCTCCGGAGTCCCCGACACCCCTCCCTGAGGGGAATTTCCTCCGCGAAGACCCCACCCAGCCTGCTGAGGAAGTGAGAGACCCGGGGCGATGCCGCGGTGCCCCGCCAGGGGGCGCCCTCGTCCGGCCCCTGCGGCGGCTCTGCAGCCCCAGACCCGGCGTCCCAGCTCCGATGGCCGCGGTGCCCGGGCCGGCTCCCCCGGGACCGTGCCTCGGTCCGGGCTGGGGGCGCCCCCGCAGGATGTCTGCTCTGCCCACCTCGCCGGATCCGACCTCGGCTCCGGCTTCCGCCCCCCTCTCCCCAGTCCCCAGGGACCTCCTCTTACAGCTCCAGGCCCGCGGCCACCCCCATGCCCGGAACCGCCCCAAGCCCACCCCCACCCCAAGCTCTGAAAACCACTGCGGCCGTCCCAGAGTGGGAGCCCTCCCTCTCCTCTTTTCAAGGGGCAAGCACGCTAGAGGTGCCTGAATGGAAAGACGGAGCTGAATAAATAGCAACAGCTCCCAGGAACTGAGCACTGCGATGAGCCAGGCACTCTGCTAAACGCTATGGCTGCGTGAGTTACACCATTCAACGTTCACGAAACCCTAAGAAGTAGGTGTCATCACTACCCCCGTTATACAGACGACAAATCCTGGAAGCTCAGAGAGGTTCAGTACTTTGCCCAGGATCCCACAGCAGTAAGCGGCAGGACAGAATCCAGCACCGAACCCCTAAGGACTAGACTCTCAACCATAGTGAACGCTTATGCTAACATTTACCCTCTCCAGGACTTAGGAACTATTTAGGAGGGACTCATCCGGGCCAGGAGTAATATGAAGATGGAGAGGCTGAGTCATGGAGCTTACACTAGCAGGAAAGAGAGAGTATAACATACTTTCAAAACAAGAACCCACAGATTCATACTGAACCGGGCAGTCACAGGCCAGCCCCACGTGGCCCTGTTGGCGTTGGGGTAGGGATGCGGGGAGAACAGACAACTACAGTTGGTTTATTCCCTCTTCCTCCACCTAGCCAGATGTCCCATTACCTGGTGGCTTTAGGAGCCCCCTCACATCCACCCCTGCCCCCTCCAGCCCTGCATGGTGAGAAGGGTGGAAGTGACAGCAGAGAAGGTTCCAGAGAGGAGGGGACATTTGAGCAGGAGTTTTTGAGAAGACCCTCAGGCAGAGAGCCCACCCAGTGTGCAAAGCACTGGTGAGTTTGGTGCACCTGGCTGGCTTTAAGCCCAAAGATGGGTAGGTAGGTCCCAAGTCCTGCACCAGAGAAGTGGGCAGGGACTAACTTGTGACCAAGCCTCAAATGCCAGCTTGAGGACACTCTTACTCAGGATAGCTGGGAAATTCAAAGAAGAGAAGCACTGGGTAAGTGTCCCAGGTCCCTTTCATGCCTCCTCCTTCTGACTGGGAGCCCCTTGAGGGGAAAGACCAGGCCAGCACTTGGATGTCTCAAAGCCATCAAAAACTCAGCAAATCTAAACCACAAATCCCCGAGCATCTTCCCCCTTCCTCTTCCTGATGACTTTCCTCATTGCAGTGAAGGGCCACAGCATCCACCTGGTTATGATCCTGATCCCTCCTGGCTCTCCCTCCCCCCATAGCTGGTCCATTCCCTCTGCCTCCACCTAGCCAGATGTCCCATTACCTGGCAGCTTTAAGAGGCCCCTCACATCCACCCCCTGCCTCCTCCTCCCCTGCCTTCATTTCTAGCTTCCTGGTGCTCTTGGAATTGAGGCCCAGACATGCTGCCTGGAAAGCCCCTGGCTGTGTCCTCAGCCCCACCTCCCACCACCTTGGCCCTTGCTCTGAGAGCTCCGGCCACACTGGCCACCTTTTAGTGCTGTGGACCTCTGAGCCTCAGGGCCTTTGCACATTCTATTACTCCTTTCTCCCCTCCTCCCACTTGCGAGTTAATTTCCATACACTTAGCTGGTCTCTTACTGATGATTTTCTCCAAGAAGCTCTCCTTTTCCTTGCCCGTGTATACACTCTCATGGTCTCACATAGGCCTCATCACAAACATCAGTAAGTACTTTTGAGGTTGTTTGGCATTTGTCTCCCTTGGTAGATTCTGAGCTCCATGAAGACAGGGACCATCATATTCGCTCATGACCCCACTGCCCAGCAGAGGGCCTGGCACTCACTAAGTGTCCCTCAGCCAGACAACCCCCTCTCTGCTGCATCCCGGCTAGGTGCCCACATGTAAGCCCCTTCCCCTCTTTGAGCTTACCCTGATCATCCCTAAGATGAAGGATGTGCCTGTCCGAATCCCTGAGGGACTTTTAAAAAATGCACAGGTCATTGTCATCAATCATCATCATCAAGTTGGAACCAGGGAGTGGGTGGAGTATAGAGGTTACAAGAGTGAGTGGATGTTGGCCAGGCACGGTGGCTTACGCCTGTAATCCCAGGACTTTGGGAGGCTGAGGTGGGCGGATCACAAGGTCAGGAGTTTGAGACCAGCCTGGCCAACACAGTGAAACCCTGTCTCTACTAAAAATACAAAAAAAAAATAGCCAGGCATGGTGGCAGGCACCTGTAACCCCAGCTACTCGGGAGGCTGAGGCAGGAAAATCGCTTGAACCCGGGAGGCAGAGCTTGCAGTGAGCCAAGATCGCACCACTGCACTCCAGCCTGGGTGACAGAGCTAGACTAAGTCTCAAAAAAAAAAAGACTGAGTGAATGTTGATAACTGGAAGCTGAGCAGGGAGTACATGGAGGTTCATTGTACCCTTCTGTTTACTTTGTATATGTTTGAAATTTTCCATGATAACAAGTTTTTTATAAGACACACCAGCCTGGGCTCCTCCCCAGGAAGTGGTGGCGAGCCAGTAGGGGAATGTGGAAACGCCGCTGGAGTGGTTCTGACGAGCAGCTCCGGCCAGAGGCTCTTCTAGGCTGCTTCCAGCTCCAAAGAATTAGCAGTGATTCTCTTTCTCCTGTCCACATGGGTGCTGTTCACTAGCGGAAAAATACCACACCCTGAGCATGTGCTTCTGCCCTCTCCCCAAGTCCCTCCCCCCTACTCAAACACTTCTAGGTCAATTGCCTGCTCTTCCAACTCAGAAAGTACCCCCAACCACCAGTCTGTATTGGCAGCCTCTTCTGGACTCCTTGCCTTCTTGAATGCCTAGTCCCAGCTGCCTTCGCACCTGGTCTGCATCTGCCAGCCCCTAGCAAGGATCGCAATTTCCTAGGTACCCCTAGCCACCATGCCTGGCGCCAGGGACGAATTGACTCATGCTGGCTGAATTCAATTGAATTGCCATGGAAATGTCTCTGTGGCCCCTGAACTGTGTGATCCTGGGCAAGTGGCTTCTCCTTGGCTTCCTTCTGTGTGAAACGAAGTGCTCATCCCTGCCTCCTAGAGGCAAGGATTCAATGAGATAATAACTGTAAGAACGCATCACCAGTTGCAGAGTGTTACACAGGACTTTCACCACTTGCAGAATGAGACTCTCCCACCTTGGGCTCCCATAATTCCCAGGCTTCCTTCCTGCTGGACAGTAGCTGGCTATTGTACCTGTCTCCCAGAGAGGCTGGGAGCCAGAGGGAAGGGCTGTTGGCCAAATCATCTCCACATCACCAGTCTCGGGTGCCCAGCACTGGGTTGAGGAGAGAGGGAGGGACAAAGAGTAAAAAGGAAGGTATAAAGGGCCTGCTGGCAGGCTGGGTGCAGTGGCTCAAGCCTGTGATCCCAACATTTTGGGAGGCCGAGGCAGGCAGATCACTTGAGGTCAGGAGTTTGAGACCAGCCCAGCCAAAATGGTGGAACTGCATCTCTACTAAAAATACAGAAATTAGCCAGGTGTGGTGGTACACGCCTGTAATCCCAGCTACTGGGGAGGCTGAGACAGGAGAATTACTTGAACCTGGGAGGAGGAGGTTGCAGTGAGCCGAGGTCACACCACACAGAGTCCCCAGGAGCCAAAGAGCCCACAATGTCCCTCCCTGGGGCAGCGGCTGGCAGGTGTAGCCTGGAGTTGTCCATCCTTGCCAGCAGGTCATGCAGCCCACAGCAACAAACACTGCTCTCCAGGAAGCCAGTGCTGCCACGTGGGACTCCAGCATAACTACAAGGAGGAGAGGGGTCCTGTCACCCAAGGAAGAGCAGGGGAGTCCTGCTGCACCTCCAGGCCCCTGGCCTCATCACGTTCCCCAGCCTTAGATAAGGCCCCCTGTGAGCTGAGTTTCACCAGCCTCTCCAGGACATCCCCACCCGGGAAACTGCCCTCCACTCATGAGCCTGCGGCACATCCTCTTGCCTGTGACCTGGGCTGCTCCTCAGTCAGGAATCCTCCCTGGCTCCCTTCTCCATCTGATCACCTTCTGTTCATTCAAGAGCCCAACCCAACCCATCTCCTCTTTCAACTTTGAGACAATTCCTCACACCATCACTGTGGCCCCCTGGGAGTTAGTCACACCATGAATAAAGCAGGTACATAGACTTTCACTGAATCCCCACAGCACCCTGCAAGTGAACACCATTGGTCCCATTTTACAGATTATGAGACTGAGATTCAGAGTGGCTTAGTATCTTGCCAAAACTTTCAGAGCAGAGAAGAGTGCGAAGGTCTCTTCCCTGTGCTCCAGACCTGCCCACCTTGGAGGAAGGGAGACTTGGCAGGGTGGGGTAGGGCTAGGGTGGAGACCCCAGCCCCTGAAGACCACCTAATGCCAGGCCTGGGTGTGGGTCTCAAGAACAAGGTGTCTCTCCATATTCATAGAGGGTTGGGTGGCCCCCGATCCCCACTGCAGTCAGCATGCGGGGAGGTTTGGATAGGTCCCCAGAGCTGCAGGTGGCTGTGGCGATGGTACTGTCTCCCTCCCTCCCATCATGGTGGACAGAGCTGGCCTACCAGCCTCAGCACCTGCCTCCCCTCACCTGCTGTCACTCAGTCTGAATTGCCGCTGATTTACCTGTCTGGCTTTTATTTATTTATTTTTTTTGAGACCTACTCTTGCTCTGTCACCAGGCCGGAGTGCAGTGGCGCGATCTCGGCTGACTGCAACCTCTGCCTCCTGGGTTCAAGCGATTCTCCTGCCTCAGCCTCCCGAGTAGCTGAGACTACAGGCACATGTCACCACGCCCAGCTAATTTTTGTATTTTTAGTAGAGATGGGGTTTCACCATGTTGGCCAGGATGGTCTCTATCTCTTGACCTCGTGATCCACCCACCTCGGCCTCCCAAAGCGCTGGGATTACAGGCGTGAGCCACCGTGCTCCGCCTCTGTCTGGCTTTTGAGCTCACCTCTCCCTCTCCCTCAGTGTCTCTCCTTACCAGCCTCACAGGAGCCATCTCTGTTTCTTCTGCTGTCTCTCAGTCTTGGTCTCTCTCAGCCTCTGAGTCTGTCCCAGGGTCTCCCTTTACCAAGTCTTCCTTCTCAATCTCAATCTTTCTGTGTCTCACCATCTCTCCCGTGTCTCTGTCTCCATCCCTGTGGGTCTCTGCCTCATCACTCTCTGTGTTGCTGTTTTATTCCCTTCCTCTCTCTCCCTGTCTACTGCCTTTCTGCCTCTCTCTCTGCCTATGTCTCTCTCTCTCTCTCTCTCTGCCTCTGTATCTCTGTCTCTGTCCCTGTCTCTGTTCCTATCTTCCCAAGTCTGTGTGTGTCTTAGTCTCTGAGCCTGGGGAGAGCAACGCCCCATCCAAGGTGTCCCCACCCCTGGCCCAACAGCAGCCCTGGCTCCTCAACGTGCTCTTATGCAGGGGTGGGGGACCCCCGGGCATCATTCCAGGGCCCTCTCCAACTGGGTGCCAGTGCTGACAGACAAGATAGGAATCAGACTCAGCTTTGTTGGTGCCTGAGCAAGGGGCACAGCGGGCTACGCGGGGGCGTCTGGGTGCCTGTGAGCATCTGCATGTGTGCACACCCGGGTTTATGAGCGGGTCTCCCTGTGTGGGGTGGTCTGGGTGTCTGTCTAGGTGGATTGATGAGCATCTGGGCCTGTTTACGTCTGTCTGCGAGCATCTGTGTGTGTGTGTGACGTTGTGTGGTGCTGTCTGGGTGTGAGGACCTTAGCCTGTGGGTCTATCTATCCATGAATGCCTCAAGAACGTGCATGCGTGCATGTGTGTCTGTGGGCACCCGTATGAGTTGCTGGGGGTAACTGGCGTCATGGTGTCTGTCTGTCTGCAGTCCAGGCCCTCTGATTGCATTCCCTCACAGAGTCATCAATGGGAGACAGATTCCATGACCCCATTGGGCAGGTAGAAAAGTTGAGGTTCTTAACCCTCTTGCTTGCGTGGGTAACTATGAACATGTGTCTGCTTGAGGGTAAGAGCCTTGGATCTGAGGGCATAGACCTGGCTCAAAGCTTGGCTCTTCCATCACTAGCTGTAAGTAGGCTAATCTTGCTAAGCCTCCTGAATTCATTCAGCAAAAAATGTATCGATCAAAAACAGATTTTTTTAAATAGGAGCTATCTTGGGAGGGATTGAAGGAAGGGGCCTTAAGGGAGACTTCTGGGTGCTGAAAGTGTCCTATACCTTGATTTGAGTGGTAGTTAAATGGGTGTGTTCATTTGAAAGACATTAATCAGGCTGTTTATTACAGACTTGTGTACACTGTATATGTAATATAAAAGTTTACAAAAATTTTATTGGGCTCCTACTGTTTGCCAGACATTATAGCAATAACAATAGTGTTTTTTTGTTTGTTTGTGTGTGTGTGTGTGTGTGTGCGCGCGCGCGCACGCAATGTGCTTGGGGTTTTCAAAAAACATTTCAGAAAGTGAGTGAGTCTGGGCTTGAAGCACACTCAGCCCGTTCCTGCCCCACTCACTCCCTCCACCCTATCCCAACAATGATGGCAGAGGGAGGAGGAGAGAGAGACCCCAGTCCTGGGCTGGATGGTTCCTCTGCCCACTCTTGCCTGGCTATTTCCTCCTCCAGGTGGCCATGATTTTCCATCTGGATGATCAAGTTGGTGGGCCATTGCAGGGGCATTTGGGTTGGTAACTGCTGACATCCAATGAAACTGGTAGCAGAGTACTCCGAAGCAGGGCTCAGAGTGAGAAATGAGGGGTGTCAGAAGTCTGGGGGACAGACACCACACCTGCTTGGTGCATTCAGCAATGCCAGAGGGTGCCTGGATACACACATTCCTGCTCTCCACCCACAGAGTCCTCACATCACCTGTCTGTCATTCACTACAATGCATCGAGCCCTACTCTGTGTCAGGCCTTCTGCTGGGCTCTTCAACACATCTTACCTTTTGCCCCCACTACAACTGCCATGCAAGGGCCATTCATTATCTTCAGCTCATAGCTGAGGAAACTGACGCCCAATGAAGTGAAATGACTTCCTTCAGCTCACCCTGCTCAACAGTAGGAATTCCAACTTCATTCTGCCTGGCTCCAACCCTCCCTCCTCTCTGGGTGTGTCTTTTCTCTGGGTTTCTGAGGTTCCCTGAAACTTTAGGAAAGGAACAGAATTCATTTGCTTTTGCCCTCTCTAGCGATCTTGAAATTTTGTGTCATTAGGAAAACTGGAGCTTAAGCTGCCCTTTGTTAACTGCGTTCACTCCTCGTAGGGAAAAGCTGCAGGTTTTTCAGGAGGCCTCCCTCATCGCCTGACATGCCTTCTTTCCAGCCCAGCCAGGAGCAGAAAAGGGCCTCTGACCTCTGCATCACAAGCATCTGGCAGGGTGTGCTCATTAAATATTTGAAAGAATGAATGAATGAATAATGAATGAATGAATGAATGGGATGTTGCATATCCTCCACTTGAGCACATATCACACCCTGTTAAGATATCTTTTGTCTGTCCCGTGTCACCATTCTGATTCCTTGAGAGCAGGAATTGGATCTTTGTCTCGGCATCTCTGTAATCCGTCCAAAGCCTGGCACAAGACAGGAGCCCCAGGAATATCTGATGAATATGTGAAGACCTAGAATTGATCTCTGGGCCTCAGTAAAACTCTTAGGTCCTGTCAATTTCACACCCAACCAAATGGCAGCAGCCCCAAGTAGTTTCAATAAGTGGTTTTATTACTGGTTAGATTTTACAAATTCTGATATTCGAACAGACTTCCACCTTAAAATTCTAAAACAACAAAGCGACCGTTGGAGGGGGTTTGATTTTTCCTTTTTTTTTTTTCTTTTTTTCTTTTTAGGACTATTCAAAGTAACAAACTTTTTTTGTTGTTTTTTTTGTTTTTTACATTTTTGCTCTGGTCATAAATATACAGAGAAAAAGAGGGAGAGAAAAATGAACAAGTCATCCAAAGTATGGAGATAAAACAGTATTCCTAAGGCACGTGGCAGTCTTTGAAAATACAGAAGCTCTAGCCAACTTAAATTATTTGTTGTTTTTCCTCGCTCAGTCCACAAAACTGTACAGTGACACAAATGTTGTGTTGCAGGTAGATCTTCCAAGTTGTTCCTCGGTCCACACCGCTGCATTAGCCGGGCGCACACTTCTTTTTTTTACCTCTGTTTCCAGGCGAGATCCTAAAATGTGGTTAGTTAGTTGCTCAAAGCCTCTATTTTAAAATACACTTGGAATTCAACTAAAGATAATTTCTTTTTTAAAGAAATTGTGGGGTGAGGGGTTGCGAGTCATTAGAAAAGGTTGGTAAGAGTCGTTTGTGAGGGGCTGTGAGGCTCATGGCCCTCCAGGTTGCCAGGCACAGAAGTTAAGACGGACGTCACAGTTGGCAGGGTGGGGCTAGTCAAGTCTGTCAGGGTGGTGGGCGTGCTGGAGGGGCTGAGCGAGGCGTTGGAGAGCTCCGAGGCCGGGCCCGATGGCGTCCCTGTCTGCAGCGCCGCGTCTGTCGACTTGTCCACGCCCGTGTTTTCCTGCCGTAAGAGGTTGCGCCTGAACTTGGCTCGGGCGTTCTGGAACCAGACCTGCGGGGGACGACAGGGAAGGGCTGGTGAGCGGAAGGCAGGCAGAGCATCCCCCCGACTGCTTCACTCAGAGCTCTGCTGCCTCTGGGGACGCTGATCTGTGTTTTGCCAAGAGGATCCAAAAAGTCAGGTTGGCAATATTTTGCTTTTTTGGTTTTTTTGTTTTTGTTTTTGTTTGCAGACAGGGTCTGGCTTGGTCCCCCAGGCTGAAGTGCAGTGACACAATCTCGACTCACTGCAGCTTCTAACTCCTGGGATCAAGCGATCCTCCCGCCTCAGCCTCCTGGGTAGCTGGGGCTATAGATAGGTGAGCACCACCGGCCCCGCTAACTTTTTAAGTTATTTTTTGTAGAGACGGGGTCTTGCAATGTTGACCAGGCTGGTCTCAAACTCCAGGCTTCAAGTGATCCCTCCTGCCTCAGCCTCCTAAAGCGTTGGGATTACAGATGTGAGCCACTGCACCTGGCCAATATTTTGCTCTTAATAAAATAAAACAAAAATTTCACTCTATCTAATGGGCTACGGCTGGGCTTCTCTTTCTGATAGGTGGTTCCAGAGCTGAGCTGTACTCCCGAATATCACAGCCACGAGCCACGTATGGCTGCTGAGCACTTAAAATGGCATTAGCCCAAATTCAACCAGTCTGCAGGTGAAAACACACAACCTATCTGAAGGCTGAATATGAAAAAAAAAGCAGGTAGAATATCTCAATAATTTTTATATTGATTACATGTCGAAATGATTAATAGTTTGGCTATACTGAGTTAAGCAAAATACATTATTAAAATTAATTTTACTTTTACTTGTCTCTCTTCATTTCTTCAAGGAGGCTACTAGGACATTTAAAACTTAAAATTAAATGTGTGCCTCATGTTGCATTTCTATCAGACACACCAAACACACACACCAGACAAATCTTGATCCTTTTCCTAATGGTTCTTTGAGACATTCCTTTTTTTTTTTTCTTTTTCCTTTTTTGGCAGTTGCCTTTCAGCAGACAATAAACCCCACAAGTTCTTGTTGGTAAAATGTTTTAAATGTTTTGTGGTCAGTAAGTCTGGGAATGCGATAAAGAACACATGAGAATCAGGCAATAATAATGAGTTACTAAGAGGAAGTGAAAGACACGGAACCTATCCCCATCATCGGTTGGGGGAGCCACCAGGTACCCTGGGCCACTGGGTGTCAGGTCTCAGGGTGGAGGTGGGTGGAGGTAGGCAGCGTGGGAACGGCAGCCAAATTAAAGTGAGGCCAGGGAAGTTGAAACCCGCAGAGTCTCTCTCCCGACCTGCTGCATCCCGTATCGACTTATGAGGGACGTGCGGCGGGGCGCAGAGCTGGGGCTGAGCTCTGTCTGAAAAGAATGTCAGTGAGAGAACATGGGTTTACTTTCATTTTTCCTTGGGCACAGACACACACGCGTCCACTCCCATATCTTTGCACACACGCCTGTAAGCATTCAGGAAGACACACAGAAATTCATCTAAGGACGGGCACAGTGGCTCAAGCCCGTAATCCCAGCACTTTGGGAGGCCGAGGCAGGTGGATCACTTGAGGTCAGCAGTTCGAGACCAGCCTGTCCAACATGGTGAAACCCCATCTCTACTAAAAATATAAAAAATTAGCTGGGTGTGATGGTGCGCTCCTGTAACCTCAGCTACTCGGGAGGCTGAGACAGAAGAACTGCTTGAACCCGGGAGGCGGAGGATACAGTGAGCCAAGATCCCACCACTGCACTCCAGCCTGGGCCACAGAGCAAGACTCCATCTCAAAAAAAAAAAAAAAAAAAAAAGAAAAGAAAAATGAAATTCATCTACACAGCCAGCACCTAAGTACCACCACCCATCTAACAGCACAAACACAGGGACCCGCTGTACCCAGAGGTCCACGAAGTACTTTGGGAGGGGCTTAGGAAATCCAGGCCACTCTGGGGGGGTTGAACCTTCCAAGGAAAAAGTCCTGAAAGGCAGGGCCCCTTCACTTCCCTTTGCGTGAGGAAAACACCCGCCAGAAGCCTCCCCATAAAACAAAGGGCCTCAGGGCACTCTGCAGATTCTGGGGTGTCCAGTTGCGCATTTCCAGATGTCCTGCATCTGCCTGTCTTCCCAGTGTCTCTGGCAGGAGAGGGAGGGCTGACTCCTGGCCCCACGCACCCCTTGGGACCACCCCGGCTGCAGGGGCCTGTGGCCTCAAACCCCCGTTTCTGGTGGCGTAACACAATTTGGGCTCAATTAAAAGCAAATCCACAAGAATCTTGGAGTAAAGTGGGAGATCCAGACCCTGTGAAGTGGAGAAACCAAGCTCCCTCCTCAGTGCTGGATCTTCCCAGGAAGAAGGCACATTTTCCCTGGCTCTCCGCCCAAAGAAAGCCCATCACCCCTTCTGGGGGCTGGCAAATAAGTACAGTGCTTCTCAGACCACCCTTGACATGCTTTCCCTGGGGTGGGGGGGTCCTTCCCTTTCCCGGCCAGCAGAAATCTGTAGGGGAGAGACTGTGTCCTGGTGGCCTAAAGAAAATGGATGGGGAAGCCCCCAGAGGCCCTCAGAGAGAGGAAGTGACTTCCCCAAAGTCATGCAGATTGGGGTGGAGAAGGCCGGAGCCTTGGTGCCGCTGCCTTGCCACTGTCCTGGCCTGTGTGCGTGTGACCCCTGAGCAGCCTGTGCTCTGTGCGTCTGACTCTCAGAGCAGTAGCTGGAGCGGGGAGCCTGGGTCGAGGGTTTGAGGGTGCTTTGCCGGGTGCTCATTTGCTCATCCATCCGGGGCTCCAAGACCTCGGGCAGGGCTGGACCCGGTTAGTTGCCGGCTGTTTGCTATTTCTCAGGCTGTTGCCCCTAACAGTGGGCTTGTAAACAATGACACCATCGTCCACAACTACCTTCTCTGCTTTCCAGAGCTGAGGCACTGGGAATCTGGTAGATGAAAATTCAACAACTTCATTAAAAGCCCGGCTGCTCTGGGGTTGTGTGGGGTTTGTTCTTCATGTTGTCAGGGCTTCACTAGAATTCTCTCCCAGGTATTTCAAAAAGTCCACTCCTGAGAGTTTGATGGGAGCAGGGACCCTTTCTATGCTATCTTCATGTCCCCCGGTGCATGGCAGAGACTGGCAGAGATTAAGAATCAGTAATATGTATTCATAGGAATGGCTGACATGTATGTACCTTTTACTATGTGCCAGGCTCCATGCCACCCTCCAGCATGCACTGCCACAGGTTATTCCCATGAAAAGCCAAGTAGGTGGATTCGACTATTATTATTCCCATTTTATAGATTTATTTATTGACTATTATTATTATTATTATTATTTTTTGAGACAGAGTCTTGCTCTGTCACCCAGGCTGGAGTGCAGTGGCACGATCTCAGCTCATTTCAACCTCTGCCTCCCAGGTTCAAGTGATTCTCTCCTGCCTCAATCTCCTGAGTGGCTGGGATTACAGGCACCCGCCACCATGCCTGGCTAATTTTTTTGTATTTTTAGTACAGACGGAGTTTCACCATGTTGGCCAGGCTGGTCTTGAACTCCTGACCTCAGGTGATCCGCCCACCTTGGCCTCCCAAAGTTCTGGGATTATAGGCATGAGCCACCGTGCCTGCCCTCACTGTATAGATTTAAAAACCAGAGAGGGTCAGAGTGGTAAAACCACTTGCCAAAGGTCACACAGAGGGCAACCTGAGACTGGAATCCAGGACCACTTGCCCTAAAAGAGTCCATGCTCTCCCTGCCACATGGTCCTGAGGGAGGTAGCAAGTCCATGAATGAGTGAATAAATGGATGAAGAAACAGAGAAGCAACTATAGTGCAGTGGAAAGAGCAGCTTCCAGTCCTGGGACTACCACGTGACCTCGGGTTTGTCCCTCACCTCTGGACCGGCCTCAGTTTCTTCACTTGTACAACAAGAGGGTTAGACCACATCATACGATCTCTATGGCTCTCAGGGTTCTGACAGGCTGGGATTCTTAGGCAGCTGCAAGCAACAAGGTGCAGTCTGCCCCACCCACCCATCTTCTGAAACTGACAGGCCTTCTCTTTTCACATGCCTCAAGTTCTCTGGACTGTGTGTCTGGGACAAGAAGGCGAAGTTCAGACAGAGAATCATCAGGACACAACTAACACCAGGCCGGGGTGCCCCAGCCTGGTGCGCGGTAGATCTCCAATAAGCCCTGGGTAGATGAAGAAGCACACGTTGCTTCTTGCCCCTTCCCAGGCACTACCTGACCATGCAAGTTGTGTTTTGCCTCACAAACCTCCTTCCCCAGAATTCTTTCATCAAGAAAGCCAGGAGGGCCAGTGGGAAACCCACTTTGCCCCCAGCAAATCCCCACCTGGGATGCTAAGGAAATCAGCCAAAAGATGAAAGCTTCATGCCCATCATGGCATTTTTAATAACATCAAACTAATGGCTGCATCCAAAGTGTCCACTCAGATGCGGCAAGTGGGAGTCATGACACAGCCACTCCACGATGCCACAGGGGAAATGTCTTGTGATGGCTGTTAGGT
Source organism: Homo sapiens (assembly GCF_000001405.40). Taxonomy (NCBI): domain Eukaryota; kingdom Metazoa; phylum Chordata; class Mammalia; order Primates; family Hominidae; genus Homo; species Homo sapiens. The sequence continues at coordinate 124,027,923 of NC_000009.12, read as the reverse complement.
GAAAAAAAGGATAAAAAAAAACTATGCCTTCTGGTATTGTACCTTCATAAAGCAAATAATAATGATGAATACTATTCCTCATGAAGTGCCAGGCATCTTTTTTTTTGAGATGAAGTCTCGCTCTGTTGCCCAGGCTGGAGTACAGTAGTGCGATCTCAGCTCACTGCAACCTCTGCCTCCCGGGTTCAAGCAATTCTCCTGCCTCAGCCTCCCAAGTAGCTGGGAATACAAGCATGTGGCACCATGCCCGGCTAATTTTTTATATTTTTTAGTAGAGATGGGTTTCACTGTATTAGCCAGGATGGTCTCCACCTCCTGACCTTGTGATCTGCCCACCTCGGCCTCCCAAAGTGCTGGGATTACAGGCAGGAGACACCACACCCAGCCAGTGCCAGGCATTTTATAAGCAAAGTCCTAAGCACTTTACACATTAACTCATTTGGTCCTTATAATAACCCTATGCGGTAGATGTGAATATTATTGCCAATTTGCAGGAGTAGAAACTGTGTGCCTCTTACTGCACAAACAGAATTGAGATGTGACTTCCAACAGACTGGTTCTATGCCCTTAACCACTACTTAACCTCTAAATCACACACTTTAATTATTGGATTCCTGTGCTCTTAGAAGGGTACGGTTTTTTTTGTTTGTTTTGCTGTTGTTGTTTTCTGTTTTTCCTATTTTTCTAAACTGTTGGTATGGCAGTTCTAGTATTTTGTAAACTTTTAAAGAAGTTTTCTTTAAAGAACCAAAAGTAATAAGCACTGAACTGGAAATCAGAAACCCTTGGTTCTAGCCCCAGGCCTAGAACCACTTTGCTGTGGTTCTTGGGAAAGTCACTCCACCTCTCTGAGTCTTGATTTCCTTTCCTTTGAACTGAGAGGTTTAGGCCAAATTGTCTGTGAAACTCCATACAGCTTAGGCCATCTAGGACTAGATTGGACACTTATCACCCACCTGGGTGGTAGACAGGCAGGAAAAAGACCACTTTACAGGTAGGGAAATGGAGGTTCAAAGTAATGAAGTGACTTGCCCTGATATAAACCACACCTCCTCCTCAGGGAAGCCTTCCCTGACTACCTCCTTCAGCAGGTCAGGTCTCTGTGCTCTAATTGTACCCTTGCATTTTTCCTACCTAGCACGTCTACCATTTTATTTCTTTACAAGAGTTAAATAAGAATTATATGGCCAAATAAAATTTGGGAAATGTTAGATTAGACAAAGTTGAGTCTCTTCCAGATTTCTCAGTGCCTGTATTAATGCTAACATGCTCTGATCTCCAAGAGAAAGACACAGTCAACCTTGAGCCTTTCCCAAACCTATTTGAGCTTAGAATCATTTAAAAGAAAAACACAGAGATTAATCTTGGCACCTTGTCAATTGTTTATCCCACACCTTGCTCCACATGCCCTCTGGGTGGATGTTCCAGTGGGGTCTTGTTCAATGTCTTTTTTTTTTTTTTTTGAGACAGAGTCTTGCTCTGTCACCCTGGCTGGAGTACAGTGGTGCAACCTTGGCTCACTGCAACCTCCACCTCCTGGGCTCAAGCGATCCTCCTCCTGCCTCAGCCTCCCAAGTAGCTGGGATTACAGGCACATGCCACCATGCCCAGCTAATTTTTGTGTTTTTAGTAGAGACGGGTTTCACCATGTTGGTGAGGCTGGTCTTGAACTCCTGACCTCAGGTGATCCACCCGCCTCCGCCTCCCAAAGTGCTGGAATTACAGGCGTGAGCCACCACGCCCAGCCAGTCTTGTTCATTGTCTTGTTCCCCACTGAATCCTCAGTGCCTCCAGCCCTGCCCGGCACATGGCAGGTCAATATATCTGTCAAACAAGTGAGTGGCCAGAGGAAAGCTAGAGTACTCAACTCCTAAATTCTCACACAGGTTAGTAATAACTAACTAGTCACCTGAAAGATGCTATTTATTTATTTATTTTGGAGACAGAGTCTTGCTCTGTTGCCCAGGCTGGAGTGCAGTGGCACAATCTCAGCTCACTGCAACCTCCACCTCCTGGGTTCAAGTGATTCTCCTGCCTCAGCCTCCCGAGTACCTGGGACTACAGGTGTGCGCCACCATGCCTGGCTAATTTTTGTATTTTTAGTAGGGAACGGGTTTTCACCATGTTGGCCAGGCTGGTCTCAAATGCCTGGCCTCAAGTGATCTGCCCACTTCAGCCTCCCAAAGTACTGGGATTATAAGTGTGAGCCACCACACCCAGACTGAAAGATGGTTTTTAAGCTGTTGGTGGTTAAAATGTGTTTTCTTCCAAAGTCACACCAGGGAACCCCTATGGAGACCTTCACCCACCCAAATCAATCAGCTCATCACTCACTTCCCCAAGCTTAGGGCATCTTAATATGCTGCTTCCCTGGCCCTTCCACAGGAAGGAAGGAAAGCAACTCAGAGAGACTTCTATGTGGTGAGAAATGGTCTCCATGCATTTGTAAGGCTTAAAGTCTTTTTTTTTTTTTTTTTTTTTTTGAGACAGAGTCTCACTCTGTCGCCCAGGCTGGAGTGCAGTGGCGCAATCTTGGCTCACTGCAAGCTCCGCCTCCCGGGTTCACGCCATTCTCCTGCCTCAGCCTCCCCAGCAGCTGGGACTACAGGCACATGCCACCACGCCCGGCTAATTTTTGTATTTTTAGTAGAGATGGGGTTTCTCTGTGTTAGCCAGGATGGTTTCGATCTCCTGACCTTGTAATCCGCCCGCCTCGGCCTGCCTCCCAAAGTGCTGGGATTACAGGCGTGAGCCACAGTGCCCGGCCAAGGCTTAAAGTCTTAAAGGACCTCCGTCTAAGGGGCCATTCTGTCTCCTAGTCACCTTGCCCACTGATAGTGAGTATTGTAGTTGCCATGCTGCTGCTGATGGCAAATGTGAGCACCTTTTATGTGACGAGCACTTTACTAGAGGTTTCTGCTTCCCTACCAAGACATGGCATCTGTGACCCACACCTTCCCTCCTCTCCCACTGTACTGCTGCACTCTGCAGCCAGATCCAAGGGAAAAAAGTCAAAATCCCTTCGTGTGCAATATTGGAAAGAGCTTTGGAAATTTCAGACCAATCTGAACTCGACTCCTGGCTTCATCACTTACTAGCTGTGAGACTCAGGGCCAGGGTTCTAGACTCTCAGAATCTCAGTTTCATCATCTGCAAAATGAAGATAATCACATTTTTAAAATGTGTGCAAAGAGGGTTGCAGAATGAACTGTACTGTGTAAATGACTGCAGGAGACTGAACTGTACTGTGTAAATGAGTGCATGAGATCAGCATGCCTGGGTCCTGACTCTACACTCTGTAAATTATACTGTATGTCATCTTATTTACTCCGTGCAACCACCAGTAAGGTATCCTTCTCATCCCCATTTCATAGATAAGGCATCAGGCTCAGAGAGGAGAAATTAAAACATCCAAATCTCACTGCTGGTAAGTCAGACAGGATTAAAACCAGTCTGTTACCTTTCAAAGGCATACTACCAACTGCCTCAAACTGTTCCCATCCCATGTCTGCCAGATTCCCCATCAGCATTCAGGGCACCTGGGGGCAAGCCCCACCCTGCCAATGCCTGGCTCCTGTATCCAGCAGCAAATCACCTCATCTTACTAGGTCTTAAGCTTCTCATCTGTAAAATGGGCAGAAAAATCTTAAGGTAAGGTAGATACGTGGCTGGAAAGATAATGCTTTGTAAACTGCTGCATCACCATGTGCAATAGGAATATTTGGGATTTGTGCAAATGTGGTCTGGGAAAAAGGGAGAACAGTGCTACACGTATGCCCCACCCCCAGTATACAGACCCTAAATGAAACTCACACCCAGACAGTCATTGCCAGATTGGCTCAAAGAAGAAAGAACTATGTCCATTGATCAGGCAGGCCTGGATTTGGATCCAGCTCTGCAGGTAACTATAAAGTGTGATTTGGGGCAAGTGGAGATCATTTGGGCCTCTGCCTTCTCATCTGGATGGTGGGGGAAGAGGGATCATGCTGCCTGGTACACAGCATGGTTGGTCCTTCCTCTGGGCTCCCTCAGTAGGTGCCCCAACGGATCACACCATGAGGAAACTGTACATGGGTCTGTGTCTATACCTAACAGGTGAATTTCCTCAGGGCCAGGACCATGGTTTGTTCATCTCTGTGTCCCCAAGGCCTGGTGCCAATATATGTTTCATCAGATGAAAGAATAAGAGGTAACTCTCCTGGAAATCTGATTTGTTCCTAAGTCAGGTGACCAAGCCTTCTGCCTCCCCAAGGCCAACAGAGACTGGCTCCTCACTGGAAATTCTGATTCAACTATGGGTACTTACTCTTCATTTCATTTAATCTGGATAACTGAGAGAGGTTTGTGCCCTAATGGTGCCCTTTCTACAGATGAGAAATCTATGGCTCAGAGAGGGTAACTAATTTGTCCAAGACACACAGCCAGTGAACCCAGCCCAGGTCTTCCTGAACCCGGTTCCATCCCCAGCTAAAGCATTAATTCATAGAACTGCCCTCCCTCCCCTGACCCCACTCCATAGAGCAAGCCTGTCTATGCCCAGGAGGGCTTTGAATGTGGCCTAACACAAATTCGTAAACTGTCTTAAAACATTATTATTATTATTATTATTTTAGCTCAACAACTATCGTTCGTGTTAGTGTATTTTATGTGTAACCCAAAACAATTCTTCTTCTTCCAATGTGGCCCAGGGAAGCCAAAAGATTGGACATCCCTGCCACAGAGCAACTGGGTTGGGGAAGGACGAAGGGTCCTACTAAGCAGAGAAAAGGCAGCCCAACCCCAAGTCCTCAGTCCGAACTCACCCACGGCTGAAGGGAGGGGACGCCAAAGAGGGTCCTTGACCTAACCCCAAGAAGGCAAACAACGAAGGAAACAGACGAGAGGGACCTGCTACCCCAGCCAGTGTAGTCACGTTCTCCATCCACCAGGAGCTCAGGCCACTGGGACTCCAAAGCAAAACAGACCATGAGGGAGGGGCGGGCCCAGAGGGGCGCATCGGCATCCCATTGGCCGACGCTCCCTCCCTCGGCTACGTCACCCAGTCCTCCCTCTCCCGCAGCCCCTCGCCCGCTCCCCGTGGGCAGCGCTGCTCAAGGGGGCGCCTCGGGAGCCTAGGGGCCCCAACTCCCGGCTCCCCCCGCAGCTGCAGCTGCAGTTGCGCCGCGTCACAGCCTCCACCCGCCCCACAGAGGGCATTTTTTTGTTTGTTTTTTGTTTCTGACAAACTCACAAGAACTTTCTCAGGGCAGCTGCGCAGCCCTCCGTCTCCGTCATCCCTCTGTGTCACCTCCCAGCCCTCAATCCCAGAGACCTGGGGCTGGAGGGTGGGTCAGACTGGCCTGGACTCGAATCCCACCACCTCCCCTCCTGTTGTGAGGCTGTCCGGTTACTTCATCCCTCGGTTTTCTTCCCTCAAAATGTGTGTCGCTGGCACTGTAACCACACGTTCTGAAGAATAAATTGGTTAAACTTGCTATCAAGGGAGGCATTGTCTTGCCTTCTCTTTGTACGAATGGGGAAACTGATGTCCACTACCAGAATAATTGCTCATACTAGTGAATCATGCCAGCTAATGAATCTAGTTAATGCTGTTATTGGCTACCATCCACTGAGCAACGAAGTGTCAGGTCGCACCACAGGCACGTCATTTCAGTGGCTCCTTGGATAACCCGGCAGCATAATTTATTGTATCCATTTCTTGTATGAGGAAACAGGCTACAAAAAGTCAAGTGACTTGCCTAAGACCCTAAAATGAGTAAAAGGAGGAGCTGACCGTTTGAGATGTGGCCCACGACTCTGCCACAACTTTGGGTCATGCAGGAGCCTGGGACCTGCTTCTGTGCCTCCAGACTAGGGTTCTTAACATCTCTAGGGGTGTGAAAATTTGGTGAAAGTTCTGGATCTTCTCTATTAAGAAGTTACTCGCACATGTAAGTGCAGTTCTGCTGAGTTTCACAGGCACCCAGCCGCTCCCCCACCCCACCATGTCCTCTGGGCAGTCCCGCCCCCACCTGCCCACCCAGGGAATCTGCCCACACACATCCCCACCACCAAACCTTGCTTCCAGGAGAGTCTGGGAGGCAGAAGATAAATCTAGAGAGATGCCTGAAGGAAGAGAGAGGGGGGAGTGAGACAGAGGCAGACAGCAAGAGAAGAGAAACTAGAGTGGGTAAGAAGCAAGAAGCAGGAGCTAATGATAGTCACCTTGGGTGTACGTCCTGGGATGGGGTGGGGCGGCCTCTAGATTTATCTGAAATGTTTGAACCTTTTATGATGTGAATGTGTGTAAAATGAGTGTCACTTGAATAATAAACAGAAACTAAGAATTGTTTAGAAGAAAGAAAAGAGACCGAGTGTGGAGACAATGAGGATGGAGCGATACGCAAACAGAAAAACAGAGAGGCAAAAACTGAAAAAGAGAAAAGACAAAGTAAGAAAAAAAAGACTGAAATACAGATGGGGACAGGCTGGAGAGGTGAAGAAAGAGAATGAGAAAGATTAAACACACAGAGAAGCAGACACAGGGTGGAAGGTCCTTCCAAGGCCCACGGCGAGGGGTGCAGGGTTCCACCCCAGTCCCTGGTGGTCGCAGATGCCCTCACCCCTGGCCCTGGCTGACCTGGAGGACCCGCTTGGTGAGGCCCGTCTTTTGCGCGAGCTGCTTCAAGTCCTTGGCGTCGGGGTTGTGGTTAATGGCAAAGTAAGACTTCATGGTCCGAAGCTGGTGGTGCTTGAAGGACGTGCGCATGCGCTTGGTCTTCTGGCTGCTCGGGTATGGCTGGTCACGGTCCAGGTGCTCTGCGTCGTTTTCGTTGCAGCTTAGCGCTAGGGAGGAGACACAGAGCCGGTGGGTGAACTTCCTGACCCGCCCCCCATGCCAAATCCACACTCGCCCCACCCACTGCCAAACATTTCAATCCTTAACCCTGCTGCATGTCTGCGCCACAATGAAAGGGGGACATCATCCCCATTTTATAGATGGAAACACTGAGGCTCAGAGACAGCGATCCACCCAGGATCACACTGCTAAGAACTGCAGCACTGAATCCCGGCTCTGGGAGAATCCAAAAATCATTCTGAGCCATTATGTTACAATAAGAACAATAGTAGCAGCAGCAGCAGCAGCAGCAACAACAGCTACGACTTGTTGATGGCCGATTGAACTCCAGGTGATGTGTTAAAGGGCTTTCCAGGCACATTTTCTTTAGGTACTTAAAACAATCCTAGGAGCACCAGGTATTATTTTTCCCGTTTTTACAGATGTTGAAACTGAGGCTCAGCAAGGGAAGTCACTTGACTTTGGACACAGCAGGACAGGGTCTCTGGGCCTGCCCTCCTCCTGTTTTCCAAGGCACTCTAAGGAGGAGTGCTTTCTGCCGTCTCCCCCTACCGTGTCTGGGACCGGCACCTAGAAACTGCTGAAACAGAGATTCATGTTCATTTTGCCACACCCAAAAGTACTGAGGGACCCCTGGGCCTTGGGCACTGGGCCAAAGGTTGGAAACTGCATTTTGCAGTTTAATCCTCATCGCTACCCTGTAAGATGATTGTTTCTCCGTGAACAAGTGGAGCAAATTAGGCTCGGGGAAGTTCAGAGATCTGCGGCAGTCCACAGAGAGCGGCAGAGTGGACGGGGAAGGAAGTCCGAGGCAGAAATAAACATGTAGTAGACACCTATGGTGTGTGTTTGGCTTTACAAATGTCACTGTACATCATTACCTCTCAGAGAGGTGGCTATGACTATTCCCATTTTAGAGATGTGGAAACTAACGCTAAGGGAAATGAAGCCACTTGCACACTGCCACACCACCGGTAACCAGCTAGATTGATCTTGATCTGTTGAGCCTAGATTTAGCACTGGAGTACTCCTTGTTTTCTTCCACTACACCACGAAGGGAGGAGGGAGCCTGTCCCTAACCACAAGGAGCCTCATGGGGGCCACGCTGCCAATGCCTGGCTGGCATTGGGGGTGGGGAATATGGGTGAAAACCTGGGCCTCAGAAAATTGCTCAGCCACCTGGAAGCTGATGGGGACCTGCAGGACCCCTCCCAAGGTCGCCTCCTCATGGCACCTCCCGAGCCATGCCACACTTAAGGTCTTGCCTTGGGGTAAGCCTCATAAGGGGTGTACATTCGGTCCGCCTAAAGTGAGAACTGAGAAGGTATCTTGTGCCCTCATCACATACCCGTAACAGAGCTCTAGATTTAGCAAATGAAAATACAGGTTGCCCAGTTAAATATAAATTTCAGAAAAATAATAAGTAATTTTTTAGTATAAGCATGTCCTAAATATTGCATGGGACATACCTATACTAAAAATGTATTTGTTGTTTACCTGAAATTCAAATACTACAGGTGACACAGCTATGCTAAAAAATTGTCATTTATCTAAAATTCAAATATTACACGGGACACTTATACTACAAATTTCAAATTTATTCGTTATTTTTCCAAAATGCAAATATTGCCGGGGACACTTACACTAAAAATGTATTTGTTACGTACCCAAAATTCCAATTTAACTGGGGATGCTGCATTTTGCCTGGCCACACTACCTCCAAAGGACTTTTACTCTGCTGGTGACCTCCCCCTTCCCCTGCCCAGATGGGGAAGAGCCCCTTGCAGAGAGAATTTGCAAGATACAAGTCTTGCCCCTGCCTTTGGAGCTGTTAGCTAGGGGCTACACCTCCTAGGGGCCTCTTTCCACCGGCACTCAGGTCCCCTCACCCCCGGGGCTGCATTCCCACAGAGAGCACGCCCAGAGTGAAGAGCGCGGGTCCGGCAATTTAAAGGGGATCAGAGGATGCCTCTGAACCTGATCCACCAGAACTGCTTGGAACCCGCTGAGGTGAGCAACCCTTTTCTTTCCCCCAGTCCCCAGCTCCACTGGGGGTGGGGCAGCCTCCCTACGGGGTATCTTTGGGCCCATCCCTCCACCGAGCCCCCGCCTGGGCCTGGCTGCTGTTAATGAGCTCCGTGGGGACCCCGGCGCCCCCATGGGCCCAAGGGACCTGCCCTGAGTGCCGCCTAGGTGGGGTAGTAGTGCGGGGGAGGGGGACAGAAAGGGCAGAGAAAGGAGAGAAAAAGACAAACACAGAAAGGCAGAATGGAGGGAGAGAAAGAGAGAGGGGGTAGGGACGGAAGATGGACAGAGCCAGGAAAAAGAGAGGACAGACAGAGGAAAAGAAAGCGAAGGAGCCAGGAGAACCACAGAGAGACAGCTACAAAGACAGCAAGAAATAGGGAGAGCGGAGGGGAAAGCGAGTCCCGGAAACAGGCGCAGCTTGTGGCGAGGGTCCGGTGGCCGAGCTGAATCCCGGGGCTCCGGGAGACCCGGTCCCTGCGGGGGAGGCCTTTTCCGAAGCCGTTATTGGCGGGGGAGTAGAGAAAAGGGGAAAGAAGGGGAGTGGAGAAAAAGGGAAAGGAGCCGGCCCTAAGTAGCGAGGCCGAGGCCGGCCAGAGGCAAGGGCAGGGGGCGGCGGCGGGGGAGGCAGCCGTGGGGCCCAGGTTTGGCCGGCGCCCCGAACCCCCTCACTCCCGCCCCCAGTGCCCGGGGGCGGGTCGAGATTCCCCAGGATCGGATCCGGGGAGGAGCGAGGGGCCGAGGGGAGGGGGAGGACCCGGGCTTTCTCTCTCCTTTTTTTTTTTTTTCCTCTCAATTAGGCCGATTCAATGGAGCTAAAGAGCTCGTAAAATCATGAATAATTTACTCGTGATCTGTTATTAACCCATCGGGTTTCGAGCTCTTGTCGCTGGGACTGAACCTGTAATCAAATCTGACTTCGCCTCATTTTACTAAAGACGAGATTGTAGGTTCAATTGTCTAAATAATGGATTGGAATCAAATCAGTAATTACGCCGCCAGGCACACACACACAAAAAGCTGGGGCTGGGGGAGGCCGGGCGTCCGGCCGGTCCGCGCGGGACTCCCGCGGCCGCGGCGCGCAAACCCAGGCGCAAAGTGCGCGGCCCGGGCCCCTCGCCCGCTCCTGCCGCCGTTTTCGCACCCCCAGCCCGCTGGCAGCCCCTCCCGGGGTAGGGGGAGGTTTCCGTTCCACCGGGGCCCGGGCCCGAGGGGCTGCGGGAAGAGGCCGCTGCGGCCCCGCCCCGGAAGGACTTTCCGACCCCGCGGCCCGCGGCTCTGCTGTAAGCCCAGCGCCCGGCGCCCCGACGGCGCCCCCTCCCCACTCGGCCCCCAGCTCGCCGCCCTTCAGTAAGGTGCCGCCGCGCCTCGGAGGGACTGTCCCCAGAGCAAGAGGCTTTGCAAGGGGTCGTCGTGGCTGGGCCACAGGATGTGGGACACTGCCACAAACAAGCTCGTGTCCCCGTGGTCGGAACCCTGCACGCACACGCACACGACCCGCGCCCGCACACCCCGTCCGCGATCGCACCCTCCAGGGTCCCCGCTTTCCAGTCCTAGCTGCCCCGCGGCCCACACTGCGGCCATTTCTCTCCTGCCAGTGCGGGAGGGGAGGGAAGGGCGGACGCCAGATCTAGGAAGACTGGGCTGGGCCCCGAGAGGCCGGGGAGATGCCCTCTTTCCCCAACCTAGTCCCGGGAGCCCCGAAAGAGCCAGCCGCATAGCCACCGCCGGCGCACCGAACGCCGTTTCTCTCAGGACTAGGAGCCCCGGCCAAGGTCGGAGAGGAGGGCACGGGAACAAACACGACACACACAGAGACAGAGATAGAGAGAAAGGACGGAGAGAACGGAAAGGAAAAAAAGAGAGAGGGAGGCCAGAGAGAAAGTGAGATGGCTGAATGGAGGGTGTCTCTTGTAGAGGTTAAACAAGGCTTGAAATTCAGCCTCCAGCCCACCTCGCTGGGGCAAACGGCGGCTGAACAGCAAAAAGCAGAAATAAATCTCTGTACCTTCTACTCTCTTTTTGCACAATCCTAAAACCGGCGCCGAACCTCCGTGCCCAGGAAAACAATACAGCTCCCCAGCCACCAGGTGCCCTGGAGCCGAGCCCCGCGAGGTGCTTCCGAGTGGAAGTTGACCCACTTGATAAATAGAAGCGGCTTGGTGTTGGGGGAGCCGGTCTGAACTCGGTTTTGTCTTTTTTTGGGGGGTGGTAGGAGAGGAGGGATGGAAGTTCCAGAGAGCTACATCTGTGGTAGTGCCTTCAGCAAATCTTAAATCCGCGCCACCGACCGGCCTACCGCTGCTTCACCATTTACCAAACTGGGGGCTGCGTTTTCCTCCCAGTTCCGCACACAGGGACACACGCCCCATGATCCTCCAAGCGATTTCGTTGGAGCGAACACCCGCCCCTCATTTCCCTCTCTATTCAACTCAGATTCTTTAAGATGAAAATAACTGACTTCTTCCCGCCGTAGCACCCTCTGCACAGTCTTGGGTTTGTTTTTGTTTTTGCTTTTTTCTGCTTGTGCATTAGACTAAAGGGAAAAGGAAGAAGAACACAAAATCTCCAAATCTAATTCTGTTGCAAACGAAAGAAAGAAAATAATTGCACATAAACTCTAGTTCGGAAGCCCGGAGAGTCATAAACCTTTCCGGGCCTTGCAGACTTCGGGCAGATGTTGACGGCTCATTTGCCGGAACTCAGAACCTCTGCAGCTGTCCTGAGCAGGGAGGGGCGCGGGAGGGGGCAGAGCTTCTCCGGGAATGGCCTGGGGTTCAAAGATGCCGGAAATCCGAACCAAGCCCCCCACCTCACCCCACCCCACCCCACCCCGGCGCGAGGCCAGGCCTGCTCCGGTCTCGTCCCCGCCCGGGGGGCTCGCTTCCGAGGGTCACGGCCCTCACCCCAGCAGGCGCCAGGAAACTCGGAGGAAAAAGTCCGGGAAAACTGAGACCTGTCTTTAAAGGAGGATCGGGCCGAGCAAAAGGAACCGCAGCCTTTGCTTTCCTGAGTTCCCCAAGCCCGAGTTCCCCAAGCCTGCCGCCCTTGGGACATTTCACGAGGTCAGGCCGCACTCCAGGCCGAGCTCGGCGCCCCGGGCCACAGCCAGCCCTTTCTCTTGGGACCCTCGCCGCCCTGCCTCGTTCCTTCGCTGCCCCAGTTCCCGGCCCTCAGCCGCGCCAACCCAAAACCTGTTTGGCGTCAGCGCCGCCTTGCTTTCTCCATCCCTGCCACTTCCTGCCTAGCAAAGTGGGGCAAAGGCCCAAACCAAAAAGCCATCTCCAAAAAAACAATTTATCAGAGACAAGGCCCTGCACCCGGAGCAGCAAGGGACCACTGCACCCTCTCCTCCCGCTCCAGCCGAGGACGCACAGTCTGGAAGCCCAGGGGGCTAATGTCCCTTCTGCGAGGCCGTCCGGTGCTTAAGGCTCGCTATTTGCCCAGCACACAGAGATTCAATCCAGCTCCCGGCCGTCGAGGCCGCACACTTTCCCCCAACCCTATGGGGGCGCTTCGTGCGCCGCGCACTCACCAGCGTTGTAGGCCGCCAGATCCGCACCGGGGCCCGGGCTCTTACGTTTCCTCGGCCGCCCCTTCTGCACAGTGCCCACGCCATTGTAGTAGGGAAGACCCAGAGGGTTGGCCCCTGCTGCGCCCAGCCCCGCGCTCTTGGCCGCCGCGGCTGCAGCGGCCGCCGCTGCCACGTCGGCATGGTTGAAGTGTGCGGGGTACTCGCCCTGCAGCAGCGCCTCGAAGTGCAAGCGGCAGTAGACCAGGCTGTCCTTCATGCCGAAGTGGTCGCCCGTGGTCAGCATCTTGTTACACGTGGTGCACGTGAAGCAGTTGAGGTGATAAACCAAGTCCCGAGCGCGCATCACCATCTCCGAGGCCGAGATGCCCAGGTGGCAGCGGGCGCAGCGCTGCACAGAGAAGCGCCTGTAGGGACCATGGAGGGAGGGGCTGTGGGAACACACGGTTGGGTACCCCCCTTTTCCTCCTCCAGGTGCCGCTGCTGCTGCGGGGGGCAATCCCCTCCTCAAGACGAACAACCCGGCCTTTATTTGGAGGATGGGGGGGAGAGAGAACTAGATTTTGACCCAGGCCTGGTCCTGTCCTAAAATAGTTTCCCTTAACACACTTATGCCTACAGAGACTTCTACTTCACCCAGAGTCTCCGCAAGCCCTAGGAAAGCCTTTACCTGGGAGTGGAGGGAGACACTTACCACTTACCCCCTCCTCAACCTTTACTCCTCCCTCCAAACCAGCGCCTGGGAATCCTACTGACTTTTATAATTTGGAAGAAACACAGAGACAGGGAAAGAGAGAGAGACACAGACGTAGAGACAGAGACAGAGAGAATATACATAGACCCTAATCCTAAAACTGGGGAGAAGGAGAAACAGAGAACTTGGAGTCTACTAGTGATTCTGGTTCTTTGATCTTGGCCACCTTTCATTCCCATTTTCTCAAAAGACCTGGAAATGCACCCACTCCCACAGCTCTCTTTCCAGCTGTGTTTCACTCCAGCTTGGGCTGCCTAGGTTTGGGGGTGCCTGTTTCTATAACCTCGGATTAACTCAAGAAACTTCAAAGAGAGAGGGGAGCAAGGATCCCAACTCAAGCTTTTTTGTGGTCTAAGCTCCGAGCAGGAGGGCAGCTTCTGCTTTTTTTCTGGTTCTCCTACTTCGTAGACCTTTCCAAGAGCTCCCCAAATTGCTGCTTTAAAAGGTTATCACCCAACTTGTGGTGGCTTGGAGAACTTGGGGGGGGAGCGGGGGAGTCCTGAGTAGTGAACCCTCTCCTGGGACTAAACGGAAAGGAGAGGGCCAAACTGTAAGACTGTGCCTGAGATTGGGGGGAGGGGTCCTGAGGGGCAGTTGGGTGGGGGGGCTACCTGTAGTAGTCTTCCTTGCAGTAGATGCTACCGTCCTTGCTGAAACAGGTGAGCTCCGACTCCAGGTTGAGCTTGCACTCGCAGCACTTGAGGCAGCGCATGTGCCACTGCTTGTCCACCGCCAGCAGGTAGTAGCGGTCCGAGATCTTGCCCCCGCAGCCGGCGCACAGCGCGGCGCGGTCACTGCTGATGGACGGCATGGTCTGCGAAGGGAGGGAGGCGGAAGACAGCAGCGCCTGCGTCAGCCAGCGGCCCCTCCGCCGCCGGGAAACCGGCACCCACAACTCCCTCTGTGGCCTTGGCTACCCTGAACGCGGAGGGGGCTGCCAGGACATGCGGCGCGCTTCCCCCCACCCCAAAAGGCCCATTTCCATTTCTGGGCGGTTCAGAACCCAGGCCTGCCTGCGCAGCCCTCGCCAGCCACGGGCCCAGGCCGGGCTCCTGGCCTAAATGGCTCTGGTGCTTACCTCTCTTCCTTCCAGTCCTCCCTGTCCTTTCCCCCAAAATGCTCGGGCTGTGTTTAGGGACCAGGACAGCTACTCCAGTCAAGCCCTCCAAGAGCTTTCCCTAAACTGCTTCTTAAATGAGCCACCCGGGGGATAAGGTGACCATTAAGTCACCCTCCACACAGAATCCTCTTTGGAGAGACAGCGGAGTTCCTGGGCCCCAGCTCCAGTGATCCCTGGATCCTTAGACCAGAGGTTAAGGCCAGGACAAGTCAGCCAACTTCTGGCTCCTCTGCCACACGGGCTGGGGCCCTCTTGGGTCCGGGGATGAGGTAAGTGGGGTGCAGGGACACCCTCAAAGTCCGTGGGTGAAGGACAGGTTCAACCCAAATACTTCCCTATCCAAACTGACCAGCAGAGAAGGTCTAACCGAAGAAGCGCTCAGAGGCCGGGAGGACACTGGCGCCGCTGCTCCTGCTCCCGGAGCAGAGAAGCTTCTCCCGTGCTCCCCACCTCCGCGGCCTCCTAAAGGTCACTTCTGGGCCCGCTGGTCGGGCAGTGTCTGCTCGTCTGGCCCCCAGGGAGGCCTGAGGCGAGGAACTGGCTATTTGGGGCTGGGCCCGCGGAGCCAGGTGTAGAGATCCAAATGGAGTCTCCTTCGGCGAGGGCCAGGCCGGAGCCTGAACTCCCAGCCCTGGCCTGGCTAAGTCTGACCAGTCAAGGGTCTGGGGACGCGATCAACGACAAATGTTGGCCCCGAAGACTTCGGCCTCTGAAACTGCGCTGGGGGTTGAGGAGGATCCCCGATTGCCGGAAAGCTGGGAGCGGCCCAAGCCGGCTGGAGCCCCAATGCTCCCAGCTGGTTCGCCCTTCCCTGGCGCCGCTCGCGGCGCCGCCAGCAACCGGAGCCGAGAGGTGGAGGAGAGCGCGGGGCTGTCGACCCCGGCACCGGGCAAGGTGAGAAGGGAGCCGCCCCGGGCCGCGGATGGGACTTCGCTTCCAGTTCGGAAGAAACGCTCTCCTCTACCCCCAGGGCCGAGATTTCGGTTTCAACCTTGTTTCCCTTCTGCGTCCCAGCAGCCGGGTTTCCCCCGAACCGGGAGCCACCGGCCTTGCATTCTGACCGAGGATCCCCAGCACCCAGTCCCGTGCGGCACGAAGGACGCTCCCCAAACTTCGGGGAGCAGAGGCGCTGACTGGCCCGGCCCCATCCCAGCTCTCAGCCCCGACCCCACAGCCGCGCGCCTACCGTCTCGGTGTCGCCGCGGTCGATGGCGGAGCTGATGGCGGGAGCCTCGCTCTTGGCCCTGCGGTCCATCTCGTCGATGACCCCGTGCACCTCGGGGCCCGACAGACTGTGGAACAGCATCGCGGCGGGACCGGCGGGGCCGGGGGCGCGGCTCCTCCGAGGGAGGGCTTGCCCCCCGCCTCAGCTGCCTGGCGCTCCTGGCGCTAACGGGCCCGGTGCATCGCCACCGCGGCCCCGGCCCCGCCCGAGCTCGGCTGAGCCCCCAGGCCGGGCTCCGGGCCCCGGGCGCTCGCGGGGCAGGACGCCTCCCGCCGAGGCGCAGGGGCAGCTACATTGCGGGGCGCCTGGGCGACGGCGCCAAAGCCAGGGTCACAAGGGCACGGGACAAGCGGGGCGGGGGGAGCAGGAGACTAGGACAGAGGTCGGCGCCCGCCGCGGGCGCTTTCACGCCGCGGGCATCGCCCGCCCGGCTTCAGCGCCCGGGGCGCAAAGCAAGGGCGCAAACTCTGCCCGAGGCGGCGACGGCTGCGGTCGGGGTTCACCCTGAAGCCGCTAGGTGTCCGCGGCGGCCCAGCTGCCTGGACCCCTCCCCTCCCTGGGGTGCGCCCCCAGCCCAAGGCGACCCTCTTGGGCGCTGAGTCGGCGACTGGAGTAGGGGTTTCTCCGAAGCCTGCGAGCCGAGTCGAGCCACCGGGAGAATTGAAGAGGAGGAGGAAGAGGAGGAGGAGGAGGCGGAGGAGGAGGTGGAGGAGGAGAAAAAAGAGGAGGAGCAGAGTGGGAGGAGGAGCCGCCGGCCGCGGGCCCAGCCGCGCGCAATGCTCTCCAAGCGCGCGCCTAGCCCAGCCCCGGCTCTGCAGTCCGCGCCAGCGCAAGCCTCCGCGCCTTTTCTACAGCCGCGCCTGACATCACGTCCTGCCGCCGTGCCATTGGCCGCTCGGCGCCCCAGGCCCTGGCAGCGCGTGCTCCGGGAAGGCGGGAGACCCAAGAGGGAGGGGAGAGGCAAGAGGAGCAGAGGAGAGTCGAGATGGTGGGAGCTGGTGGGCGAGGCTGGAGGGCGGGGGTGGGGGGGAGGCAGGGAGGAGGGAGAGCGCGGGGTTTGGAGTTTTTAAGATACGAACAGCTTCCTGCGATATCTTCAGAAAGGAAAATTAAACCCTCTATCCTAAGAAGGCGCAGCAAGGGGATGCTCGTCTCACTGCGGTCTCCCCTCGGCCTGGAGCCGCGGCCTCAGGCACCCGCCTGGGAGGCCCGGGAAGGCAGGCCTGTGGCAGAGTTGCAAGAGCCTTCGGCCGGCCGTTTCCCATCGAGCTCCGCCTTCGGCCCGGGCTCTGCACAGCGGGCTGCAGGCGGCCGTGCAAGCCTCCTGGGTACCCGGCAGAGCCTGAGTGGCGAGACCGGCGAGAGCTGTGACTCCCGGGGAGGGGGGCCAGCCAGCATATCCACGCTCCAAGCCCGCTAGGGCCCAATCTGCAGCCCAGCGTGTAGCTTCTCGCTCTTCCCGGTCTCTCCCCAGCCTGGAAGAGTGGGGGCGAGCATGGCTTTAGGAACTCAGAAAGGCCAGGGTTCGAATCCTAGCTCTGCCATTTACATGCACTGTAACCTTAGGCAGTGACTTATCCTCCCTTAGCCTGTTTCTGACCTTTATAATGGGCGACAAGAAGCTCTCCTCCGCATGGACGTGTTGATTGAAAGAGACTGTGGATGTAAAATGCCTGGAACATAGTAGGCACTTAGCAAATTATTTCATTACTCTCTCTTGCTCCTTTTCCATTAAAAACTTTCTCACTCCAAGACACATTCGATATCAGTGAGGTTCTTAAAAACCACAGGCCTATTCTCTGCCCACTGGGCACACCATGTCTCAGACCCCGCTGATGGCGCGAGTCCTCCTTACCCGCCTGGCTGCACCACCTCCCCAGGGGCCAACAAAGTAGCGTGCTGGGTAAATCCCAACTGCTACCCCCAGCCTCCAGGTTTCAGGCTCACCCTAGAGTCTCCTGGGGACTGGAGGGAAATACCCAGGTGTCTGGTGGGGGAGGGATTTAGGAAATAAAATGATTGTAGACAAAAACTGAATAAGCACTTCGGTTACAGAGTCCCATCTGGGTCTGCTTCGGAGGCAGGTTTGGCTCCGTCTAATAGGGACAAGGCGGGTGTCAGTCTGAAATGACTTGTTTGCCAGGACAGGTAAGGGGATAGTCAGGACCTGCGGTTTACCTCACAGGGTACAGAGTTGAGGCATGAAATCATGTTTTTCACGTGTGTAAGTAACTTTCACACACAAATATATGTGTGCACAAATATATGTATGCGTGTAATGCCCAAGCACATGAACTTGTGTTCATGTGTGCAAATACACATGTTCATCTCTGTTGGCAATAACACAGCCAGCACGAATTTTATCTCTGTTGGCAAAATCACAGCCAGCACCACTGAAGAGCTAGGGTCTTACACATGCGCATCAGGTGTAAGTGTCTAGAGCTGGGAAGAAGGATGCAACTGCAAAATGGTAAATTGCACGTTATACCTGCACTTGCGTGCTCAGGCGATTCTACTTAAATCACTGCAAGTGCTCCTACGAGGTCGTTTTGCATAATTGAAAAAACTTGAAGTTACAATCATATGTGTATATTCTGCATGTGTACAGATGCCCCAACGCGAGGGAAGGACCACTAAACCCAAAGACGCGCGTGCCCGTGTGTTCACACAGACGTGTGCTTCGGCGCCTGCACACGGCCGGCGCGCAGGCATGCGGACGCCTACACGAATACATAGGCATGTTTTATTGACGCATCTGGGGCACTTTCTTTCAAAGAAAGTAAGGAATGAAAATCCAATCTGAGAGTCACCAGGGTTCATCTGGAGGTCGCCCAAGGGGCAGAAAAAATTTGTAATGACGCTAGAGTGTTTGTCCTTGGTGCAACTCCACTCTCGGGAGGGCTGGATACAATACGTTTGGAAAGCTCGAGGGGCTGCCTTAGGATCTGGGGGCGGGGGGTGGGGTACTCAGCAACTCTTGCCGCGGGCTGCTCAAGAAACGTGGAAACACACCCTGCGACTTTCCACTCCCCCATACATATAGGCACGCGATTCCGTCGCCACCTCTCGGACCAGCAGCCCACGTCCAACGCTGGGCCGACCCCAGATACACAGGCAGTCGGGATTCCCGCCCGGTGCGCTTGTCTATTCATCCCTCTGCGTCAGGCTGGGACGCGCTCCGTCTGTAAAAGGCTCAAACGCATCTCCCGCCGCGGGGCGGGATCTAGGGGCCCAGGCCCCGGGGTCCAGAGGCGGGTAACTTTGCTAATCTCCCCCAGCGGCGGGGAACGTCGCGCAACCGCTGAGCCCTGTCCGCCGAGACTAAACAAGCAGAGGAACAGGCTGTAAACACACATCCTGACACGTGAGTGACATTTACGCGGTGCGAGAAGCTGCAGCCAAGGGAAAGGCAAGGGGTGGGGGGAGCGGGCACCGACAGGTACGGAACCTTCGCAGGCGCCGGAAACGGCGGCCCCTCGACCTCCCCCTCCCCCAGAAAGTGGCAACGAATGCCTAAGTCCCCCGAACCTGCCTTTTGTGGGAGGTGACAGGTGAACGGAATTCAGGTCTGGCCACTCTCGCCGCTGCCTACCTCCCCACCATCTGCTTCCTCGCAGACAAGCAGACCCGGCGCATAATGAGGTAGCAGCCTCCAGCCGGCCACCGTGACTAACTCAGAACAAAAGCGCTCCCTCCACGCCTCCTCCAACAAAGGGGCCACCAGCCCCGGCGCTCCCCGAAGGCTGCGGGGCTCCCGGCTGCCGGCTGCGGAGCTGCCGCGCGCAAACTTCCCGGGGCTCCCGGGGCTGCCGGCGCCACGGAGCCGGGGCCGCGGAGGGAGGAAGCGCAAGCCGCCCGGAGAAAGTGAGGCCAGACCCGGCGGGGGAGAGGGGAGGGAGCCGGGCGGCCGCGGAAGGAGGGTGATTGATCAGTGCGCGGTGCCCGGCGCTCTGTCCCGTTATTAGAGGCGGCCAAAGCAGGGCCACGCAATAACCTCAGAATCGCCAACTAATTGACGCTGCAGGCAACTACTTCATTGTGCGCGCTGGTTTTATGTCTTCATAGCCGGTGATTGACAAGGTGTAATTAGTCATCTCACTCGGTGATAAACATGGGCACCCTCCTCCCGCGGCATCAGGCCGTGTGTACCAGCAGAGGAAGCGATAGTTGACGCTGATATACCATTAAATCAAAATGAAGACGTTCAGAAGTGTGTGTTTGCTGTGACGCTGTGATGGTTTATTTCTCAAATACGGCACCAACAGATTTACTTGATTTGCAAGTTAACTACAACATTAACTGGTTTTATTTATTTTGCCTCTTCCTTCCTCTTCCTAGGCAGGGATGTTGCTCTTGGAGAATGTGAAGACAGTTTGCTTCTTGACAAGCGAGCGAACGGGCGCCCAGATTTTTGCAGCCTTTCCGAGTCTCCCCCGAGGGAGAGGCGGCAGAGAAAACGCCGGATTTGGGAGCCACCAGGGAAGGATCCGCGCAGGGGAGCCGCCCTCCTTGGCCCCAGACCCGCCTGCCTGGGGCCCCCTTTGCTCACTGTCAATGTATGGTCTGAAGCTCTGAGGATGGTGCTGGGGACTGGGGTCGGGGGAAGCCTCTTGAATAATAACTGCAAAGAAGAAAGAGGCGAGAACGTCTCCCTAACCTTGAAGCAGAAAGGACTGTGTTCTTAAAGCTGTTGGCTGCAGTCACAGGGCCAGTTGCCCGCCTCTGTTCCCTGAGTAAAGTGTAACATCTTCTGTCCTCCTGGCTTGCTTGCACCATTCAGCAAATTATACTCCTTCCTTACCAAAGTGGGAATGCTCAGGGAAGTGTGTGTGTGTGTGTGTGTGTGTGTGTGTCCCCTCTGCACTGAGGCTGCTGTTAGAGATGTTACCAATTTAAACCTTCCAGAATCCTGGAGGTTTACATTTTGTAAAGGGAGGGGACACTCCTGGACTGTCACAATCCCAATTCTGGTTAGAGTGGCAGGGACTGAACAAAGCCACCAACATGCAAAAGTCCATCTCCAGAGTAGCATGCATGCCCCCAGGAAACCCCCAGTGGGATATGCTTCCTGCACTTTCCCCTTCTCTCTAACCTCTGTCTCCTGTTTGTAAGGCAGAGGAAGGGTGATTCCTTGCCACTGCACAGGAATGCAGGGTTAGGGTTATCTCCAAGAAAGGGTGGGGTGAGGCTGAGTCACAGGGAGAGCAGAAAAGCTCTGTATCTTCAATGAGGACCCACACACACACACCTTTCCCAGGCTTGTGGGCCTCATTCAGCAAAGCAGGGAGTGTTTTATATTGATGCGAGAGGCTGTCAGTCAGCAGTAAATCAGTTCAGGCATAGCTATCTCTTTCTTTACGAAATCAGCTCATTGCCTTGGTCACACTACACAGAAAATCTGCTTATCACCGCTATCGACAATAAAAATTAGTGGAGCCTTAGTTGTTTCCGAAGAGGAACCCCGTGTCTGTGACATTAGAATAGATAAGTGGCTTGGCCTGTTGCAGGCAGAGAGAAGCCCAATTCCTCCTCCTCTTCTCCCTGCAGCGATCTGAACAATTCTGAAACCGCCTCCCTGGGCGTCAGCTGAGCAGGTTGGGGAACTAACCAGGGCTCTCTCTCTAGGGCCCTGTTAAATGCACTGAACTTAAAATGAAACACGAAGTGTGAATTTCAGGTTTGAACATGATGCATCAGGAAACGTGGAGGTTGGCAGCCCTTTTCCTCCCTCCTGCTTTTCAGTAGCAGGTATTAATATTGTATTAAATGTTATGAGAAAGTAAAGGCTGCGGAGAGGAATGTGCTCAGATGCAATTTTGTCAAGGTTTTTATCTGTGATTATGATTCCAGATGTAGAAACTCCCGGAGGAGGGAAATGAGGGGCTGCTGGCATGTGACATGTGTTTTAAGGTGTTTGGCAGTGTTTCTCAAAGTGGTGACAAAATGTTCAATTTTATTACAGGGAATTGGTAAAAGAAATATGAATACTAGGTCAGAGATTGTTCACCTCAGCAAAAGGATTTACCATTATTGATTAGGGTGCAGAAAGTATGTATCTAGGTCCTGCTTAAATCACATTGTCAACAATATAAATCTGTCAGATCAGATTTTTCTGAAAGAACAATTATAACAAAATACACTATAGCTAATTGCATCCCCTCACGGCTAATTTCCATGCAATGATGTAAATTTCCCTGGAAGCAAAACCAAAAAAGGTAAATGTTGCAAAAAGATGCCATTTTTTCCCCAACTGGTATAACTACAGTCATTTATTGACAATCATTTCTTTTTAATCTAGCCCAGAATGATATCCAGTACTAGTAGGGCCATTTTGCTAACCTGGTTGCTCTGCCAGCCTTTCAGGTTGAAGCACAAGAAAAACTAGCAACAAATTTCCTCACATAGGAAACCACATTTTGCTTAGAGGAGAATCCAAAAGATTTTGTATGGAAAAAGTGGGGACGGGGGAAGAGGAGGAAGCAGATGAACCCTTGACTGTCTGACAACTCATATTTCCATGCACTTGAGACTAAAAATTTTTCCTATCACAGCCTTCTTCATTCAAAGGCATCTCTGCCATCCTTCTCTGACAGCAGGACACCTCTAAACTCCATTTCTAAGCACAGGTTTCCCCATAAAGCTTTTATGAGCTTCCCATACGCTAACACCAATCGACTGGAGTGCCCAGCCAGCACTGACTGGAGTTGGGTTTGGTAAACATTTCTACATAACAAAAAAGGAGTTTTTAGCTAAAGATGCTGGACTTGGCTCCTCCTTGGGTTCTCAATCAGAGGACGAGGGTCTCTACCCACTTGCTGGAGCCACGCTTTACAGATCACCCCATGTCTAGCACACCCATTCAGCCCCAGCCTCTCTTTAGTCCAGGCTAAAGAATGTTGATTTGAGCTTCCCAGCCACTGGCACTATTTTACCATCACAAAGCATGCTAGGCTCCCAGCACAAAGTGCAACTTCCTAGGAAGTAAGACAATTCCTCTCCTAGAAGATGATGTAGGATGTGTTAGTTTTCCAAGGGGAACACTGAGGTTGCAGGGGAGGAAAAATGCCCAGTGTGACCACCATATCTCCCCCTACACTTTCAACAGGACCCCTCCCACACCCAAGTCCAACTTTCCACTGGTTTGATTAGCAAATCTCTCCTGCTTTTGGGAAGTTGGCATTGTCTCTTTAGGTGAGGAATGAGTCATTTCCCACACATGCTTCAGCTGAAGCCCAGTCCCTTGGCACCCCTCCCCAACATTTTTATTCTTCCATTAATTAAAACAACTAATGTCCCATTGATTATCTTTGCATGAATGAAAATCACTACAAGCCCTTGCAGGTATATGAGAAATTCTGTTTGCTTAAGTATTCACACTTTGATTTCCTATAGGCTAATTTTCTCAAGCATAAAGAAATTCAAACAAAACAAAACAAAAACAAAAACAAAATCTCCTGGCACTTTGCAATAAAATACAAATGCTAGTTGTAAAGAGCTTGTGCCGATCTCTTGCAGGAAGAAATGTTCAGATGGCCCTGTTTTAGTGCTGAGTTTTACTATCTGGTAATGGATTCTAGACAGTGAAGGCAAACATTGATAGGTCATCAGACTCAGGTTTTGAATTTCTGTTTGTGTTGAGTGAGATGAGCTCACCCAAATTTACTTTTAAGCTACCATGTCAGCCCTCGAAAGTAAAAAGGCAGGGGACAATCGACACTATTTAGAATTTCCCAGCTACTTGGCCATTTCAGCTTGCATCTCCATTTCTGGGGGCTGCCATAATTAGAGCGATCTATTTTGCATTTACTTCTCTTTGCAAGCACTACATTATTCACTCTTTCCTGTGCTTATTAAACAGTGCCACCTGCACCAAATTCAACAAAGCTCTTCCATCAGTCGGGCCCAGCGAAGGATCCCAGACCATATATTATCATTAATTGAAGCTCAGTTGAATTGTTGACGATAGAGTCAACAGCAAAAGCAACACATTTTCTAGGAGCTGTTTATAAAAATATTTTAAACAAAAAAAAATGCATTCTCCAAATCGTCATCTTTTACAAACTCATTTCATTCCTTCTGTACAGTAATTCAAGCAGCAATTAGCAAGTCTTTTAATTAATGAACTATTCCCTGTATGTCACCAAGGTGCCTGCAGCACAAATGTCCTCCTTCATAGGTACCAGCAGATGCAGTCGATAGTTTGTCCCCCAAAGCCTTAGAAGCTGACTACCTCGACAGCCCTAACACTAAAAAAAGGATGTGAAGAGCCAAAGGCAAGGCTGGAAAGCAGAGAACAATTTTCAGGAAAGTAGCCATGGAGAGTATGAATCCAGAGAAAGGGAAAGACAGGAGAAAGGGAACCAGCAGCAGAGGGGAGAGGCAGAATATGAATGTCTAAAGACATCCATGGCTAAAGAAAGGCACAGAAAGTTTCTGGCAAAGGTGGGATCATCTCTGAGCTTCAGCTACGTTATAAAGGTACCTTACATCCTAATGCTGATGATTTACACATTTTTAAGAGCCTCAAACCTCACTGTGGCTTGTTCTTTTAAAAGCTTCCTGCTTTGTTCAAAATACTGCTTATCTTTGGTATTGTCAACAGCTCTGCTCTGGGAGAGATTAATTAAGTGATAGGTCAGACACAATGAGGTGAAAGGGCATGTCCACCCAATCAGGACTGATTCATCCGTTTCTAGGTGGATCAACTTTTTTGAGGGATGCCAATTTTGGTTCAATTTCCAGGGGGTTTTATCAATAGGGATGCCTCAGCTCCTCTGGTGAGGGGCACTTAGCTGGTAAAGACTGGTCTGCAGATAGAAAAATCAAAAATCTTCACTTTGTTTTTTTAAGATGTGGAAACAAAACATAACTATCAATTGTCTGTATGCTTAAGTTTTACCGATCTGGGAGAAGGCTGATTTATTGAATCCTTTTACAAAATACAAAATAGCTAATTGGGTGGTTATAATTAAGATTGCTACGCACCACAAAAAAAAAAATAAAAAGTTCGCTTTCTCTCCTCCCCCCACTGTTTTTCATTGCCCTTTTCTTTCAAGTCCACTTTTAATTTCTAGAAGGTAATATCAGAGAAAAATAGAAAAGAGAGAGAGAATGAAAAAGAAACAGAGATTTTCAAGATGTCATCTCTTGATGGTGGAGAGACAGAGAATGAAAAAGAAACAGAGAGATTTTCAAGGTGTCATCAGCTTAATTTTTCCAGACCAATTAGAGGTTACCTTTAAATCTCCATCCTTCACCCCCTCCACACCTTTCTAAATAGATCTTTAGACTAGTGAGAAATTAGTTCATTGGGAAGGGTCATGTGGTTGGCTTACCAGGTTCCTAACCAGAAGGGTTTTAGGGACCTTAGACCCACTCCTAGAAATGGCACCCTCCCCATCTCTCTGGCAGTCTGGATCAAAATTGTGGTTGCAAAATTGTGTGTGTGTGTGTGTGAGAGAGAGAGAGAGAGAGAAAGAGAGAGAAGAAAACTCCCAGCCTGTGAATAAGGCCAGGCTCAGGTAAGGTGACTATTATTGGCAGACCCCAAACAAAACATCTGGAATATTTTTACTCTATTTTTGAACACTCTTGAAAATGAGCCTCACATTTTCCAAGGTATTTTGGGGGCAGGGAGGAAGTATGGGGGTGAACAATGGTTTGGGTTTATGCAACTGACCAGCCATTTCCCCTTCTCCAAAGAAATGTAGAAGGCTAGTTTCTTAACTATCTAGTTGTTTAAATCATCTGGGATCCATCTATATTTATAAAACTGAACAGAAATACTTAACAGCCTGATCAATAGCCATTGACCGTCGGTGCACCTCGCACCCTAACATGCACAGCTTGATCATGTATATTTGATCATTGAAAAATTCAAAGCATCTTGCAGCAGTGTATCAAGCTTCCCATAAAATAGTCTGCCTCTTTCTGTGGTCTTAAAAGAGTGTGTTTTTCTCTCTCCTGCATTTATCTATCTATCCACCTATTTATCTACACACACACACACACACACACATTTCCCTTCCTGGAGAATTTATTGCTCATATATTTGATGAAGAACAAGGTAATTAACTGCCTGCGAGGCTGTACATCTGGGCGGCACTTCATATCCATTGCAATAATAAAACACTTTTTTCACATTTTAGCAAAAGAAAGGCTAGTCCTGCCCACAGATTCAGAGGACCCCAGAGTCTCTGCCTGCAAAGTCTCCTTGTTATAAATCCTGCCTCCCTCTTAAGTGATGGCAAGCACAATTGCACCAAGGGGCACTAAGTTTATCTGTGCAAAAGCATCACTGGAAAAGCTTGTCCCTTCTCAGAGCTTCAGCATCAGCTTGTGGGGGTTTGAAACAGACACAGCTGGCTCCTCCATCCCCAGCCTGCTTGGCAGCAAACCGGGGCAAGAGTCCAAAGGACTGATCCTGTGAGGGGCCACAGGTAGAAGAGATATATTTTGGGATCCCAAGGGTTGTTGTCTTGAGCATGTGTCGCTAAGAACTAATTACTCCCAAAGGACCCGATCCTGCAGATTTTTCTGATATTCTGGGGTCAAAAAATGGATTCCAAGTTTCTCCAGAAGGTATCCCAGATCCATCCAAACTACTCCAAGATCCTGGGCAGAGGAATACAAGCTGGCACAAGCGTGCTCCAAGCCCCCAGCACAGTTCTTATAACTCCAACCTCAGAGACCACCCCTACCCCCCCTACCCCCAGCCAGCAAAACAAATTACCTGCAGAACCTCCCATCTCGGGAGTCCCCTGCTCTGTATTCCCGACCGTGCCCCGCACAAATTATTCGGGGCCCTTCCTTTTAAAAGCAGCAGCATCTGGGCTGAGGCTCCCTCCTTTAAAGGGTGGGGGGAGACTTCATATGATAATATGTGTAATATGATATGGAATGACAGAATGCATGACAGTTGCCCATAATACAGAGAAGTCAGTCAAAGGACAGAGGGGACATTTGGATAATTACCATCTATTGGCTAGTCAATCACGCGAACAGAGAGAAACTGCACAAAACCCACAATGGAGTTGGGAAACAAAAGAGACCCGAGCCAGACTCAGGATTAACCGGTCTAAAGCGATCTAAATGCTTTTGTATCTGAAGAACTGAGGCTCCCGGGTTGCCCCCCCCACACACACACCAACAATCCCAGGGAACTAATTGCGGGGATCAGAGTTAAAGCTCTCTCCCTCCTTTCCCATTTCTCTTTGTAGACTGCTCACCACGCAGAAAAAAAAAAATGATTTCTCTCTCTGTGTTCATTAAACTATTTTAAAGTTAAAGAGGTGGGGGAGGGGGATAGATGTAGCCCCTCAGTCCAGAAGCTGGGATTCCTCTGCCGTCGAAGAGGCTGGGACAGTCTCGGTTGGTCTCAATTCTTTGTTTCAGGGTAAAGTCTTCCTTGCTTGCCCCGTGGAAACAAATGCCCCTTGCACCTGGGCTGCGGCTGGGCAGCTGCCCCTTTCCTGCGGGCTACTACGGATTGCTGGTGCCCTGCTTTGGGTGAGGAGTCCCCACAGCTGGCCCCTGCACTAGAAAAACACAAGGTAGATCCCTCCAGCTGAAGACAAATTGATCTGCACAGCCAGGATTATGGGGGTGAAGGGCAGCATAGGAATGGGTCTAGCCTTGGAAATGGGAAAGTGAGCCACAGAAGGTGGTTCCAAATTGTGGGGAGAGAGAATTTCCTTTTAAACTGGGGAGTGAGAAAGAGGAAGAAAATCCTTCTAAATTGGAGGAGGGAGGGGATGTGCTTAATTGGGGAAGAGGAATGGGAAAAGACTCCTGCTTGAGAAGAAGGGTGGCAAAGAGGTGATTCCTCAAAAGAGACACTGGAAAATAATGTCTATAAAATTTTAGGGATTCGGAGAGGATAGTGACAGAGGAAGAGAATTCCTTAAAAGAGAAAAAGATCTGGACAGAAGATCTCTGTACCTGAGCGTGAGACTCCCCCACGCTCCAGACAGAGCGGCAACTGCCAGCCACTTGCCACCAGGTCCTCCCTTTGACAAGCCCAACTCGCCCAAAGCCCTCCCGGCCCGACGGGGCCCTCCCGTGCTCCCGGCTCAGTGGCAGCGGCGGTTCCCGGTCCGGGTCCGCGGGTGCCTGCCGTGGCCCTCCCCGCACCACGCGCAGCCCTCCAGGCCCCCGGGGCGCGCCGAGGCGCTTCCTTACCTTGGTGAGTCCTCCGCAGCGGGTGTGGCCGGCTCTGCGGGCGGCCCCGGGCCAGGGCCGGGGGGCGGGGGGCGGGGGTGCCGGGCTAGGGGGGAGCGGCAGGGTGAGGGCTGGGGGCGCGGGCACGGTGCCCAGCGGGGGTGAGGGGGCCGTTGGCAGCCCCAGGGCCCTCGGGCGGGCCGGGCCGAGCCGGAGGAGGTGCGCGGCGCGCGGGGCCGGGGAGGGGCGCCGGGGCCCGGGCCGGAGGGCGGAGGGCTCCCTCCTGAGGCGGGCGGGGTGCTCCAGCCTGCGGGGCCGGCCCGGAGCCGGGCTAGGCGCGCGGGAGGGAGGCCCGGCGCCCGGGGAGCCGAGGACTGGGCGCGCGGATCAGAGGGGCCGTTTTTCTTGCCTCGGCTGACAAATCAATCAGGGCCAGCCGGGCGCCGGGAGCGGCCACCCGGGCTGCGGCGCGCGGCTCCCCGCTCGCCCCGCGTTGCCAGCTGCCGGCCGCCTGGAGTGGGCGCGGGCCGCGGCGCGGGCTGGCTGCGGTCATTAGGCTGCGGGCGCGTGCGGCCGGGGGCGGGGGCGGGGGCGGCGGCGAGCGCCGGGAGGGGGCGGCGCGGCGTCCCCCGCGTCCCCCGCGTCCCCGGCCTCCCCACCCCGCCCGCCGCCGTCCCGCGCCCGCTAGCGCTCGGCGTCCCCCGCCCCCCGCTCCGTGGCTGTCACCGGCCGGTCCCCCCGGCCGTCCCCGCCCGCCTCCCCCTGTCTCTTTCCATCTCCCGGTCTCCGCGGCGTTTCTCTGCCTCCTTCCTCGCCTCTCCCGGCCTCTCTGGCTGTCCCCGGCTCTCTTCCTCACTGCCTCTCTCTTTTTCTCTTACCCCTCTCTCCTCGGCTGCTCTCACCACTTCCTCCCTCCCTCTCCGGCTTCCTTCTACCTCCCCTCACTCTCCCCCCTTTCTCGCCTTGCTCAGGGGGACTCGCTATCTCTTTCTCTGTCTCTCCTTGGAACAGCGGCCCCCAAAATGCAACTGAAGCCATTTCCCTGCTCTGAGACCTCGGACAAGTCACTCCCCGCCAGGGCTGCAGTTTCCTGTCTCTAAAAGGAGTTGATGAGCAGCTCTAGGTGGGGTGGCGATGGGGGACGCAGGAGGTGCCCCGTGCCTGTGGTCCCCTGTTGAAGTTCACGCCTCCTCAAATGCAGCGGCCACCCAGCGCTCGCTGGGTGCCATGTGTGCCCCACAAAACACCTTTCCTCAGCCTCGAGGACAAGTACCAGAGGCCAGTTCCGCGGGAAAAGTTAATGGTGGTTTCCTCCAGGGTCCCTAAAGCCCCTCCTGAAAAGTGACTGTGGTTCCCCTCCCCCTGTCCTCAGGTTTTGAGTGGGCACAACCTAAGCTGGATCTGATAGGCCCTGTCACCTGCTGGTTCCTCCCTGGTTGACACCAAGCAGAGGGGCAATGCTCTCTCGCTGTCCTTAGACCCAAGCAGGAGAAAAATCTACCCTCCCTCCTTCCCTCCCCATTCCCCATCACACCATGATTGGCTTTTAAGCTTCAGGGATGTTTCCCGGACCGAGTGTGGCTTCAGAGTCAGAGAGATGTGAGTTCAAGACCACTTGCTTAGGTAAGTCACACTGCTCCAAGTTTCAGTTTCTTCATCTGTGAAATGGGAGCAATAACCACCTCTTTTTCAGGATTGCCATTGAGATCATTCGTGGAATCCATAAAGTGCCCAGCCCACAGGTTATTTATTCTGTCCAGCTTTTATTCAAGCTTTTTGCTTAGCACTGAGGAAACAGCAATTCACGAGGCAGGCATGGTCTCTGCCTTCATGCAACTTGCATTCTAGGAGGCAGACAGACTGTGGACAGCAATTACAGAATTTCATGACAGTTATACAAGTGCCATGGAACATATAGAGTACGATAAGACCAGATATCCAGGGAAACTGACCTGGTCTGGGGCTCAGGAAGGCCTTTCCCAAAGTGTGATGACATCGAAGCTGAGACCTGAAGTCAATTGGGGCACCAGGATTGCAGTTGGTAGGAAGTGGGCAGGGGGTGCTAAAAGAGGTGGTGGAGGGAGAGCGTTCCTGGCACGAGGGAGCAAGGCCAGCGCGAAAGCCGGAGTGGCCGGTGTGGGGTGGGGAGCGGGATGAGGCTGCAGAGGTGGGCGGGGCCAGGCGTGGGCAGGCAGTGTCTTGTAGGCTGTGCTGGGAAGTCCCGGCCTCAGCGCACAGAAACTGCTCTCATGAACCCTCAACCACATGAGTCCCGATTTCCCCTTTTCTGAGCTGGAAGGAAGAAGCCAGGCCAGCATGCAGACTCATTCTTTGCCTTTGGTTATTCCTGGGGGCTGCCATCTCTTGTCCTCTCCTTTGCTATGTCCCAGCACTGTGCACCCAAAGATGTCATTGCCTACTATGACAGCCATGCCCCCACCCGAGGGCCTCCCTGGCAGCACACACTCAGGCTTGGTTTCTGTTTGTGCCCTTAAAGTCAGGCCCACAGGAGGCATCGTCCTTGGCCACTGATCCCCTGTTGTGTGCCAGGCCCTGTGCTGGGCATGGCCCCTGTCCTCACAAAGCACTCCTTTTTCTGGGAAGACACTTTTGAGCACACAGGGATGCAATGACCATGATGAAGGAGTCTCATGGGGGACCTGAGGCATGGGGCTGGAAGCTCTTTGAGGGCAGGTCCATCGTGTGTTTTCTCACCTCGCATCATCATCAGGGTGTGGCACTGTGCCTGGCACCAAGGCAGACACTCAGAAACACGTATTTGGAGGATGAAAAAGAAAAGTGGAGTTTAAACATAGAAGGATGAAGGCTCAGTAGGAGCTCAGAGAGCCACAAGAAAGGGGGAGGAGACCTGCCTCTGAAGCTCTGTAAGGAGGAGGCAAAGGGCTCTGTAGTGGGAGGGAGCTGATGCTTCTGGGGCTCCTCCTCCTGGGGCCAGGCAGGTGCTGGGCACTTTTGTGCAGTTCCCTGGGCCAACCTCCACAGCGCCCCGCCTCGAGGGCACCATTGGCCCCACTTTTCTGTTAAAGCGCTAGGGTCCAGAGGGGTTGCGTCACAGGCTTGAGGTCACACAGCCAGTAAGAGCCTGCGCCCGGATTTGAACCCTGGTCCGCCTGCTCCTCTTTACTAAAAGGAGGAAGCAAAAGAGGAGGAGAAGGCAGAGGAAGGCGACGACTGAGAACAAAAGAAGAGCAGTGGCAAAGGAGTGAGCTCCATGAGTAATTTTTCAACTTAAAAACAATTCCCATTTCCCAGCCCTGCGGAGGCAGGCGCAGCGGATCTGAGGCGAGGCCGGCCCTCTGACTCGCAGGAGCCTGCCAAGGGGCCCCGGCAAGCTGCTTCAAAGTCGGCCTCTTCAGCACAGGCGCTTTTAAACTTCACACGGGAAACTTTCCAGGGCTGACTTTTTGCACTTTGTTTCCAAATCAAGAGATGGGGAAGTCCCTCTCAGCCCAGCGGGGAGGCGATCACACTGCGAGACTTGCCCTAGGGTTTTTGGCTTGGCACTGAGCTCCTCAATAGGGCAAATGGGCTGATCCCCAGATGTAGGGGTGTGGGGCCCTGTCCCCTGCCCGAAATGGGTTCCCAGGAAGAATTCAGGGTGTGGGCTTGGCAGCCAGTGCCCCCCTACCCCCCCTCCGTCCCCAGGGTCCCCAGGGGGGATAAGGCCTCTCTTCCTGTATCCTCCCAAGTCTGTTTCTACCTGGGTTCCAGGTGGCTTTTGTGGACAAGATGCGACCACCTCATGAGGATCAAGATGTACTCCTTGCTCTTCTCTGCACAGCAGTCTCAAAACTAGGCTACACCGTCTGTCTCCTCTGGTCACCATTTTGAGAGGCAGCAAGGGTCTTCCTAACCCTCAGCTCCCTCTGATTTTTGGAATTCAGATTTGGATTTTGGATGTACATCAAGAGGCTGGCTCCACGCATTTTAATTAAGTTGTCTTTTTTCATTTATTACTAATACACTCCTCTTAACTATGATTTATTGGTTAAACAAAGCACCATAAGCCGTCACTTATTCATCTTAATTTCAACAAAATTAAAGTAGTCGCTGTTAGATTGCACCTAATTGCACTTGCAATGAAAAGAACGGAGATGTTAATCAAAATAAATTGAAGATAAACAATAAAATCATTACATCTTTGCGGTGGTAAGTGTAACTAATCAGTTTTGACTCGAAGTGACCGAGCAGGAATAATGAATGTGTCACCGAAGGCACGCTCATTAAGGGAGGCTGCCGGGACCTGGTCCTCAGGGCAGCAAACAGCCACCCTGCCCATGTGGCTCTGAGGGTTCCTGCCTCCTGGGCTGGGCAGAGGGACCCCAAGGAGTAAAGTGATTCAGGAGGAGGCTCAGAGAATGGAAGCGAGTCATGGATGGGGGTCTCTGAGGCTGCCCTGCTACAAAGGGGTCCTCTCACTCTGATGGGAAAGAGGTCCCAGGCTCGTTACTGGACAGCCCAGGAAACCAAGGATGGGGTGAAGGCAGCTGGAAGACAGACAGACAGCCCGATATCCAGGGAATATAAACAGGCAGATGCACTGCAGGGTCACAGTAGAGAAGAGTCAAGCATTAAGAGACAAGGAGAGCTGGGTGCGGTGGCTCACGCCTGTAATCCCAGCACTTAGGGAGGCTGAGGCTGGTAGATAACCTGAGGTCAGGAGTTCAAGACCAGCCTGGCTAACATGGTGAAACGCTGTCTTTATTAAAAATACAAAAGAATTAGGCAGGCATGGTGGCGCACACCTGTAGTCCCAGCTACTCAGGAGGCTGAGGCAGGAGAATTGCTTGAACCTAGGAGACAGAGGTTGCAATGAGCCGAGATTGGTACCACTGCACTCTAGCCTGGGCAACAAAGTGAGACTCCATCTCAAAAAAAAAAAAAGAGAGAGAGAAGGAGAGTTGGGCACAGTGGCTCATGCCTATAATCCCAGCACTTTGGGAGGCCAAGGCAGGTGGATCACTTGAGGTTAGGAGTTTGAGAACAGCCTGGCCAACATGGCTAAACCCTGTGTCTACTAAAAATACAAAATTAGCTGGGCATGGTGGTGCACACCTGTAATCCCAGCTACTCGGGAGGCTGAGGCAGGAGAATTGCTTGAACCTGGGAGTCAGAGGTTGCAGTGAGCCAAGATTGTGCCATTGCACTCCAGCCTGGGTGACAGAGCGAGACTCTGTCTCAAAATAGAAAGAAAGGAAAGAAAGAAAAGAAAAAGAAAGAAAGAAAGAAAAGGAAAAGAAAAGAAAAGAAAGGAGAAAGAGACAGGCAGAAGAGCAGTGAGGGAAAGGAGTCTGGCCAAGGCCAGAGATGGACAATCAGACAGGGACAGACAGAGAAAGGAGCTGCAGAGGGAGGGAAAGCGAGGCAGCTCTGACAGTGATGGAGGAGGGACGGGGAACCAGCTGAGTGAGGAGAGGGAGGCAGAAGAGAGAACCAGGCCGATCTGCAGAGGTGGAGGCTGTGGGTCATCATTCAATCATCGCTCCTGTGAGGACTATACATGCACATTTTCATTTGGAGCCAGTTAAAGCTCGGGAGCTTTCAGGTTAGGATTCTGGGGACACAGCAGTCCTCAGCAGTCTGGGCAGGTAAACGACTGTCAGGATGGAATCCCTGGACTGGGATCAGGAACACAGGGGGAGTGATCATGAGTACTGAGGCAGAGGGCCACCTGGAGGACTCCTGGGCTCATCCTCCCACCACAGGGCTTTCATAGCCCTTAAAGGGTCCAGATGGGGCTCCTTCCTCATGTCACAGGCCTCTGTGCCAGCCTTTGGGTTGCTGGCCTGGACACCAGATGCTGTGCAGAGTTGCTCTGGCTGAGGCTGCCTTAGCAACACCCTCTTTCCAGTCTGGGAAGATCCAGAATGTGGGCAACTTCGGGAAATGGGAAAATCAGAAGATACATCCTGGTAGGACTGGGGGCAGAGACCAGGAGAGACAATCTGAAAGATAAGTATTTTTTGAATACCTACCAGGTGCTTAGCCCTGGGCTGGACCTGGGAAATACAAAGATGACCCTCTAGTCCCAGCTACTGGGGAGGCTGAGGCGAGAGGATCACTCAAGCCCAGGAGTTTGAGGTTACAGTGAGTTGTGATCACACCACTGCGCTCCACTCGAGCCTAGGTGACAGAGCAAGAGACTCTGTCAAAAAAATAAAAAACAAATACACAGATAAATCAGATATGACCTTTCTCTACCTCAGTTTCCCCATCTTTAAAAGTAGGGTTAATAACAGAACCTACTTCACATATTTATGATGAGGATTAAATGAGTTAATGCTTGTCAAGAGCTTAAATGGTGGTTGACCCTTGGAAAGGGCTTTATGTGTTTGTTAAAAATAAAAATAAAGTAAGTCTCTGCCCTTATGAAGTGCAGAGTTCAGTCAAGGAGACAGACTCGTTAGCAGTCAAGTTCTGTCGAAGGGGTGAAGGATGCTCTGGGGCCCAAAGTGGAGCGAAAGCCTCCAGCGAAGCAGGAGGAGTAAAAACTAGTCAGATCAGGGCTCGGGGAGGGGAAAAGAGTGGTCCAGGCAAAGGGGACCATGCAAAGGCACATAGGCAGGAAAAGACAGGATATGCCCGGGGCTGTCAAGCAACTTGGAGTTGAGGCTGAAGACCAGGGACTTAGATCTTGATAAGCCTTGGCAGGGACGATGGAAGAGCATTTGGAGGGACATGCTGGGGTTTTTTTCCTGGCTGCTCTGCATGCCTTTACTATATTTAGGGTGGGACTTTGGGGATTGCGTCCTACTCCTTTCCTCCCCTTCTTTCCTCCCAGTCCAGTGGTTCTGGTAGAAGCAGTTCCACCAGGACTCCAGGGGAAGCGGCATGTGACCCAAACCTAAGCCAATCCGTGCATTCCACTGCTGTGGCCACAGTGATTGGCTGAGGGACTGGCAATCCGGCCCAATGGCAGCCCATCCTGGGCTTTGGCTTGAGGACCTGGGAGAGGTCTTTGATCCCTTCTGCTGGTCTCTAATCTGACAGGATGTAGGGGCTGGGGCCGCTGTCACGACCTCAAAACCATGGGGCTTCTGAGACCGAAGCCAACACAGCAGAAGGCAGCAGCACGGTGGAGCGAAATGAGTTCCAGTGACGTCGTTTGAGCCCCAAATCCAGCCGAGATGAAGCCAGCCCTAGTCCCTGGCCTTTTTGAGTTTATGATCCAATAAATTCCTTTTTGTTTAAGCCAGTTTAGGTTGGGTTTTCTGTTACTTGGAACAGAAAGCGTTCTAGCTGATACAGGTTTCAAACAGGAATGCAACGCCGTCATGTGTTTTAGTAATGTCACTCCGGCAGCCGCGGTGCAGCAGAGGGACTGGAGGGAGTGAGGTTGGAGGCAGCCACGCCAGTGGGGAGGCCGACGTGGTCATCCCAAAGAAGGCTCGTGACCAAGAGGAAGCAGAACTAGCAGCTCTGGTCTCCGCCGCTGGATTCGCTTCCTGAGGATGCCGTAACAAATCGCCATGAATTGGGTGGCTGAAAACAAGAGAAATTTATTTTCTCATGGTTCTGGAGGCCAGGAGTCCAAAATCACGGTGTCAGTAGAGACTTCCTTCTGAAGGCTGTGAAGGATAATTCTTTTTTTTTTTTTTTTCTTTCTGAGACAGAGCCTTACTCTTATTGCCCAGGCTGAAGTGCTGAAGTGCAGTGGTGTGATCTCGGCTCACTGCAACCTCCACCTCCCGGGTTCACGTGATTCTCCTGCCTCAGCCTCCTGAGTAGCTGGGATTATAGGCACCCACCACCACACCCGGATAATTTTTATTTTTATTTTTGTACTTTGAGTAGAGATGTAGTTTTACCATGTTGCCAAGGCTGGTCTCGAACTCCTGAGCTCAGATGATCCTCCCTCCTTGGCCTCCCAAAGTGCTGGGATTACAGGCATGAGCCACCACACCTGGCCTTTTAAGAGAGAATTCTCAACAAAGAATTCTTCCTCCAGCTTCTGGTGGCTCCATGTGTTCACTGGCTTGTAGCTGCAGCCCTCCAATTTCTGCTTCCATCTTCATGTGGCTTTCTTCTCCTCTGTGTCTGTGTCTTCTCCTTGTCTGTCTCTTATAAGACCACTTGTTATTGGATTTTGGGCCTGCCTGTGTAATCTAGGAGGATCTCATCTCAAGATCCTTAATTACTTCTGCAAAGACTCTTTTTTCCAAATGAAGTTACATTCACAGATTCCAGAACACAGACATATCTTTTTGGGGGTCACCATTCAACCCACCACAACTAGCAAGGAAAATGACCACCAGACCAAAAGACTAGAGTGAATATTATGAAAGGGAACAGGAGGCCAGGGGAGGTGAGGCAATGCTCAGAGGGCACTGGGAGGCACAGAAATGGAAACCTCTGGGCTGGGAGGAGTCCATTTTAGGACATCAAAAGAACTTGTGCACAGGATTTCCTAGGGAACCTAGGAGAACCAGAGAGAGCAAGAGCCTAAGGAATGGACAAGGGTGCTTTGCATTTTCAAAATCTGGAAGCCAAGATATTCTGCAAATACATGGGGTTGTGAGCTTAACATCACTCTGGGCAAGGTTCCAGAAAACTCAGGGCTTGGAGAGCACCTAGGAAGGAAAGTAATTCCCAGGACCCCACACTGATTCCTTAAGAACAAGTCATGCCAGATCAGCCTCATTTCTTTCTTTGTTAGGTTCACTGGATGGGTAGACTTAGGGATGGTGTGATGAGTGATCAGAATGAGGCCAGCTTGTGGTGGTCTTCTTGTAAACAGGACAGAGAAAACGTGTGATGGATTCAAAGACGATTAGGAAATTGACTGCCCATAAGGGAAGGGAATTAACCGATAGGTCTCTGTCTCCTGTAGTGAGGTGCCTGAGGTCCTCTGCTAGGTCCTGTTCTGCCCATCCAAGTTACATGAGACAATGGTAAACAGTGGGAGGCCCACTTGTCCAATTGGCAGATGGTTTGAGGGAGGAAGAAGCACACATTATGTTGGGAAATAGAGCTCCTTTTTCTTTGAGCGCCTACTTTGCCAGGCACCGAGTTTGGCTCAGGCAGAATAATGGTGAATAAGACAGAGAGAGAGAGAGGTATAGCTACTCTCATGGAACTTACTGTTCTGTAGGGGACTCAGGCAAGCACATTTAGTGCGATAAGCATCCCAAATGACTGTGGCAGGATGGGTTTCCAAGATGAGAGGAGACATGGAAAAATAGAAACACCTGTCCCTGGTTCTAAAAAACCAGGGAAGCACACTGAAATTACTGCTTCTTATTGACGAGCAGACATGTTACTTAATTTTCTTAGGTAGATGATGTAAGCAAACTTCATTTCTCTGCAGGAAGAGCCAAGAGCAAAATTATTTCTCCTCTTCCAACAATTCCATATGATGCTTCCAGGTCTGGCAAAAGCATTCCCTCTGTTTAGAACCCACCGAGTATTTGCTTTCCAAGAGAATTCTAATGTCGCAGTTCATTTAATCAGCAAACACTCCTATCAGAAAGAGATCATTATGTCTCTCCTACAGGTGAGAAAACAGGCCCACGGACCTACCCAGATCACCAGCCAGAGAATGGCAGAGCTGGGATTAGGCCCACCCCTTCCCAGCGTTGAAGTTCACACTCCATTCACTGCTGGCCTCCAAGAACCCCCTCCGTTCCCTAATTACTGTGATTCTTTCCCGTTTGAGAGTCTAGCCCCTGGTGGAAGAAACTTTGTCTTCAAGAAGGAAGATCTGGCTCT
Organism: Homo sapiens; assembly: GCF_000001405.40. Classification (NCBI taxonomy): domain Eukaryota; kingdom Metazoa; phylum Chordata; class Mammalia; order Primates; family Hominidae; genus Homo; species Homo sapiens. Next base: position 123,990,541 of record NC_000009.12, on the reverse strand, counting down.
TTGAACAGCCTTGATTCCAGATGGCTGAAGAGTCTCAAAAATAATCAGCATCAGTTTTTCCCCCCAAGTCTGTACTTTTTTCCTTCTCACTAAGGTAATGCATGTCTATTTTTAACAATTCAAACATTATTTGAATGTTGTTAAAATGAGAGTCACAGGTATTTACCTCCCCCAAAATAGCAGCTGTTGACAATATGAGACATATTCTTCCAGTCTTCTCCCATGCAAATATTAATAACACACATAAAAATCATAATAATTGTTAGAATTACTAAATCAAATATGCTATACACCTTTCTAAAAATTTAACACTGGTCAGGCACAGTGGCTCACACCTGTAATCCCAACACTTTGGGAGGCCAAGGAGGGTGGATCGCTTGAACCCAGGAGTTTGAGACCAGCCTGGCCAATATGGTGAAACCCTGCCTCTACAAAAAATGAGGAGGACTTGTTGGTGCATGCCTGTAGTCCTAGCTACTCTGGAGTCTCAGGTAGGGGGATTGCTTGAGCCTGGAAAGTCAAGGCTGCCATGAGCTGTGATTACACCACTGCACTCCAGCCTGGGTGACAGGGCAAGACCCTGTCTCAAAAACAAATACAGATGCAAATAAAAATTTAACACCATACTTAGGATATCTTTCACTGTTGATTCATATAACCTTCCTTCTTTTTTTTCCTCTTCTTCTTCTTTTGAGACAGGATCTCCCTCTGTCACCTAGGCTGGAGTGCAGTGGTGCGAGTTTGGCTCACTGCAACCTCCGCCTCCCAGGCTCAAGCCATCCTCTGACTTCAGCCTCTCAGGTAGCTGGGACTACAGGCACATGCCACCACACCTGGCTACTTTTTTTTTCTTTGAGACGGAGTATCGCTCTGTGGCCCAGGCTGGAGTACAGTGGCGCGATCTCAGTTCACTGCAAGCTCTGTCTCCCGGGTTCACGCCATTCTCCTGCCTCAGCCTCCCGAGTAGCTGGGATTACAGGTGCCTGCCACCACGCCCAGCTAATTTTTTTGTATTTTTAGTAAAGACGGGGTTTCACCATGTTAGCCAGGATGTTTAGCCAGGATGGTCTCGATCTCCTGACCTCGTGATCCGCCTGCCTCTGCCTCCCAAAGTGCTGGGATTACAGGCTTGAGCCACAGCGCCCAGCCACCTGGCTAATTTTTGTATTTTTTTGTAGAGATGGGGTTTTGCCATGTTGCCCAGGCTGGTCTCGAACTCCTGAGCTCGAACAATCTGCCTGCCTCGGCCTCCCAAAGTGCTGAGATTACAGGTGTGAGCCACTGTGCCTGACCTGCCTTCTTTTAAATAAATACATGGTAAATCAAAGTATGGATGCACCACAGTTATCCTTGCTACTCTCCTGGGGATGGATATTTGGGCTGCTGCCTTTTATTCACTTGCAAAAAACATTGCTAGAAGAATTTGTGACCCCTGTCCCACCATACCATGTGCTCCTCACTTGAAGTACTTTGAGTAATTTCAACTAAGGATTTCCGTTAATGCCCATTCAATGTCTCTCTCCTCTGTGAAGTTCTGTCATTTCTAAGGGAACCCAAGGAATCACGTCTGTGTGTCCAGGGAAATATCTCAGGACCTGGTTCAGTCCCTGGCACTCGGAAGATCTCAAGAGATCATTTTGCATGAGCAACTGAAAGAACCAGTTACTGAATGGATGTGTGTGTGCTCATGTTCGTGTCTGCAGGGCATGTGCGTATAATGAGAAACACCGGGCTGAAAGGTATGCATAATTGGAAGTGTTTTTTCCAGCCTGCAAAGTTGCCTCCTGAAAAGAGCGAAGCAACGTGAGGGAATGAGAGGGCAAGGAAGACACTTTTAGGGGACGTGAGAGCACAGAGTCATATTCCATTTGGTGTCATCAAGGTTCTGGGGACCCAGTGGGAAATCTTCCCACCCTGGCCTTGAGGAGCTCTCACTTGCTACAGGAGAAAAGAGAAAAAGGAGAGATGAACTTGCTTTGCCCCAGCAGGGGAGACAGCTCCACCCCAATCCCAGTAGGTGCTGCCTGTTCCCCTCTGGGCCCCACCCTACCTCCAGGCCCTTGGCTTCCCAGCTGCCAGTCTTCTCCCATGCAAGTGTTAATAACGCACATAAAAATCATAATAATTGTTAGAATTACTAAATCGAATATGCTATACACCTTTCCAAAAATTTAACACTGGCCAGGCGCAGCAGCTCACACCTGTAATCCCAACACTTTGGGAGGCCAAGGCGGGTGGATCGCTTGAACCCAGGAGTTTGAGACCAGCCTGGCCAATATGGTGAAACCCTGCCTCTACAAAACATTTTGTAACAGCAAAACAGCAGTCAAAGACAAAGCCTTTGAAGTCTGTGGCTGCCCTGCCAGCCTTCGGATGGCCACTGCATGCCCTCTCCTCAAAGGCAGAACAGAAGCAACACCCAGGCCAGCTTTTAAAACTGGTGATTACACCACAGCTGCCCGGGGCTGGAAGCTCGGGCATTGAACAGGGTTTAGATGCCTGGAGCCAGCAGTCAGCTGAGCAAAGAGATGGCCCTGTAGGTCCCCTCTGCTCTCATAGCGAGTGCTGTCTTCTGACCTAAGGGACGGCTCCGTGTGGTTCCACATGCATGTGTGCACTGAGAACAGGAGTGTCCTAGAGGTACAGCTTTCTCACACCCTGCTCTACAGATGTCCACCCCCAACCTTTAGAGAAGCCATGAGAAGGGCAAGAAGCTTGAGACCTATGGCTTGGTCAGTGGACAGGAAATAGCTGAATCTCCCCTCATTTAGGCTGTACTCCTCTTAGGTGAGAGTCACATCTTACCTTTCACTCATTCATTCAACAGCTATGCACTGAGCATCTGCTATGTGCCAGGGTCGCAGCAGGACAGGTGGGGTCTGTGTATGAAGCTCTCGTGAACTTTACATTTTAGAAGAGGCAGACTATCGGCACATAAGCAAATACATGAGTTAAGTAACGTCAGATGGAAAGTACTTTGAAGAGAATCAGACTGTGCAATAAAGAGGGCAGTACAGAGTTCCTTTTGACTGGAAGGCCTCCCCAAGGAGGTAGCATTTGAGCTGGGGCTAGAATGAGGAGAGGCAGCCAGCCCAGGGATGAACTGGAAACAGAATGTTCCAGGAGGAGGGCATGACAGGTGCAAAGGCCCTGACGCAAGAATGAACTTAGTGCCTTTGATAACTGAACGATGGTCAGAACTGGGACATGGTGGGTAGGGGCCAGATCAGGCAGGGCCATGTAGACTGTGGGAAAGAGTTTGGACTTTTTTTTTTTTTTTTTTTTTTTGAGACAGAGTCTTGCTCTGTCGCATAGGCTGGAGTACAGTGGCACAATCTCGGCTCACTGCAAACTCCGCCTGCCGGGTTCAAGAGATTCTCATGCCTCAGCCTCCCAAGTAGCTGGGATGGCAGGCACGCACCACCATGCCCGGCTAATTTTTTGTACTTTTAGTAGAGACAGGGTTTTGCCATGTTGCTCAGGCTGGTCTCGAACTCCTGACCTCAGGCAATCTGCCTGCCTCGGCCTCTCAAAGTGCTGGGATTACAGGCGTGAGCCACCAGGCCTGACCAAGAGTTTGGACTTTGAAGTACAGCAGGAGACCATTGGCTACACTGTGTGCCAGTTATTGTGAGACATCCATTCATTTATTTGCTCACTCAGTCACTCAGTCAATCAGTCAGCCCATCAGTTAACGATCCTTTTCTGAGCACAAGTGCAGGGACTGGAGACATAGAGATGAATGAGACACAGTCCCCAGCCCTCAAAAGGCTCATAGTCTAGTGGCCAAAGTTAGTGTGGACACACACACTTAAAACCCAAAGTGACAAGCAGAGGGACATCCAAGGTGCTGGGAATCAGAGCAGGGAGCGTTTGTTTCTAAGTGGGAGGACCAGAGAAGGTCTTCAAGAATACGTGATATTTGTGCTGGATCTTGAAACCCCAAGCACTGTGCTGGCACGTCGAGGTGCTTTGTAAATATTTGTTAAATGAAATAAGTAAGAGAGGGAGGAAGAGAAGGAAGAAGGAAAGATGGGAATTTGCCAAGTGCTGAAGAGTTTTGATGACATGAGACAGTGTGGAGAAGGAGTTACTGATCCTGTCCAGAGGCACAGGAGGCTTCTCAGAGGTGGCATGTGAGCAGAACACATCCCACCTCCTGCTCTGGAACTCCTACTATGCGAGGCACATAGTAGCTGCACAGTAAATGTCGACAGGTGTGGTGGTATTTAATGCTATTTGCTCAACGTTTTCACCTCTCTGATTTCCAGGCACTTGCCAGGATTGCACTTCCTCTGCCACCTGTAAAGTTAGGTGTAGTCACACGACTTGCCTTGGCCAGTGACATATGAGCAAAAGTGACATGGGTCACCTCTGAACATGTTTCGAGAGCTAGTGAGCAATTTATCGTGTCCCCTTTGGAGGCTAATATAGAGAAGAGGTCCCCTGCCAGTCTTCAGTGGGCATACAGTAGGAGCCACTGACATTCTGGTGTGGTTGTTACTGCAGTGGAATCTGTCCTATCCTGACTTATGGAACGAATGAGTCAGTGGATCCCAGGGAGGATTTTTGAGTTAAGGCAGGGGCATGAGGCCCCTTTGGAAGTCACAGGTGTGGTGAGGCTGCAAAGGAATGAATCATCCTGAAGCCCACTAAAAACATTTCTTGAGAAAAGAATCTTGGGGCCCCAGTCTTTGTTCAGCCAAAGGGAGCTGGAGTGTGCCTCCAGAATGCTAACCTTTCCCACAGCCCCTCGCCCTCTTCTTTCCTAGGGGCAGCATTTTGAGCCTCCTGTTATCACGTCTGTAACCCTTGTTCATTCCACTGGGTCATTCATTCATTCCCAAACATTTCTCGTAACCTGCTCTGTGCTGGACCTTGTGCTTGGGGCTGGGGAGACCAAGGTGGATGAAACTGGGCACCAAGTCTCAGGAAGCTCAGAGCCTAGACAACAACACAGACATAGAAACAAATGCACTGCAATACAAATGGGTGGACGCATGCACACAGACACGTGCACACACACACACAGAGGTGCCCCAAGTAGGAGAGATTGAGTTGGCTTGTCTGATACTTGAGCTAGCTGCTGAAGAATGGCTGGAGTTCATCAAGTGGGAAAGACAGGAAGGATGTTCCAGGAAGCTGTGTAGGGTTATGAAAGAGAAGTGGGGCCGGGTGCGGTGGCTCAGGCCTGCAATCCCAGCACTTTGGGAGGCCGAGGTGGGTGGATCACTTGAGGGCAGAAGCTTGAGACCAGCCTGGGCAACATGGTGAAACCCCATCTCTACCAAAAAATACAAAAATTAGCCAGGTGTGGTGGCATGCATCTGTAATTCCAGCTACTTGGGAGGCAGAGATTTCAGTGAGCCAAGATTGTACCACTGCACCCCAGCCTGGGTGACAGAGTGAGACCTTGTCTCAAAAAAAATAGAGAAGTGATTCTCTCAGGTAGACTTAGCGGCAAGGGTAGAGCTAGGGGATTAGGTGCAGAGATCTCGTGAAGGACCTAGGGTGCCAGGCTGAGGGATCTGGACTTTGTCCTAATGTCAACAGGGAGCCAGCAAATGTCTTTGGGTAGAGGACGGCCTGGGTGAGAGCTGAGTTTTTGGCTGTGGGAAATACCAGGCTGCCAGTCTCCAGCTGGGTGACTTGGCAAGTGATGTAACTTCTGTGTGCCTCAGTTTCTTCATCTGTAAAGTGAGAATGACAATTGTATATATCTCATAATGTAGGAAAGGGGAATATTCTAAGGAAAGCTTTTGGCAAGGTGCCTAGCACAGCGTAAGGGTCAGCAAATGGTGGCTGTGATTATTACTGGCAAAATGTAACATCATGGGGAACAAGAGTGGTGTTGAAGGGCACTGGGAAGGAGGGGATGTCACATTTATCCAGCCACCTTGCAAACTCTTTGGGCCCTTACAGCTTGCATCCTATATGCCTTGCATCTTCACAAAAGCCAGCATCTCCCTGTGTCCTGGAGGATGGACTAGCCAGGCGGATGGAAGGTTTGCAGCAGGCACATCTCCATGAGCACAAGGTCATAGGTCTGTGTCACTGTGGTGATAAACCCTGGGACCAGGGATGGGCAGCTTTGATGTGCAGCTACAAAGGCCCAGCTGCCCCTGTGGAGATGCCAGGTCTTCACAGGTGATGACACCCCACCCATTTTGAAGCATGTCTTTAATAAGGGCTGTTGGAGAGGCCAGGCTGTGCTCTGGAAGGTCCCAAAGGCCGCTTCTGGAATAGGTCTGGTTAATACGGGCACAGAACAGAGAGAGCACTACTCACACCCAAATCCTTCAGATAATTGGGATAAATTTTCCTTTAGGCCCAAAGAGGAAGGATGTCAGCTTTGGTTGTGTGCCTACTATGTGCTGGGACTTGCGCGTCTAGAATCTCACCAAATCCTCCCAGCTCCCTTGCAAGTTGGTCTTACTGTCCCTGACCTGCAGATGAGCACTCGAGGCTTTGAAGGGCCAGCCACTTGTCACACGGTCAAAGGAGAGGACCCAGGTGGGAAGAAAGTTCTACCTGACCCTGAAACCCAATGACTCTTGTTTCTATGGACTTAGGGGGAAAATGTGTTGTGTGTTTTTTTTTCCTTTATGTTTTCATTAAGAGGCAGCATCTCACTCTGTCCTGCAGGATTCTCCCCTCCACCCAAATCTCTGCCTGGGAAACGCTTACTTTTCTTGCTTGACAGAGCTCAAGCATCACCTGTCTGAGAAGCCACCCTCGGGTCTCCCCACCATTGCCCTGGCCAGTCTCTGTTATGGCCTATTTGGCGCCTTTCTCTCCCATTGGACTGTAAAGTCCTTGAAGACAAAAGTGCTTCTGGGCCTCAAACTTCTAGTTCAGGAGACTCACAGATTTCCTAAGCAGATACTCATCTCTGCACATGGTATTTTCCTCAGTAGGAGGGGCTTGAGGGGTAAGGTCAGGGCACGTGCTTCCAGGCAGTAATAGGACCTGACTAAGGCCCACTAAAGTCCCCATCATGACCCAGGTGCAGTGCCTGGCACGTGACATAGACTCTCTCATGCACTCCAAATACCTTGTGAGGAAGGTTCTTTTTTGATACCCACTTTGCCCAGGAGAAATCTGAGTCCTGGGGAGCCCAAGACCTTTCCAGCTGCTTAATGGCAAATCTCTGATTGCTAACTGAATCTGAATGTATTTTTACAGATTTATTCAATCAATCAACATGTCCTTAGGGTCTGCCCTGTGCCAGGTTCTGTTTTAGGCACTGGGGACACAGCCATGAATAGTAGGTGAGGCCTGTGTGAGCGTGTGGGTGTGAGTGTGTGTGAGTGTGTGTGTGTGAGTGTGGTAGAGGGGGCCGGAGGTGAACAGGCTGAGGATCAGGAAAGGCTTCCAGGAGAAGAAATGAGTTGGGGTTAGGTCAGCAAAGTTGGGCGGGGTTAGAAAGGCCAGAGGAGGGGAGCAGCAGAGACCAAGGCCTGAGTGGGAGTGAGCACAGGGGCTGGGAAGAGTTGGAGGAGGGGATTGGGCAGAGGATGGCAAGAGATGGGGCTGGAGAGGGAGACGCACTCAGATCAGATCCTGAGGGGCTTCCTGAGAAGAGTCACCTACACAGGTTGTTAATGACCCAGCAATCCAGTGCCCTTCGGGGCAGGAAAAAAAGGTTTTCTGCATATTTTATATCATGGAGATTTCCTGTGCCCACACCCCTGCCAAGTGTATCTCCATGAGAAGACAGAGAAGGGGTCCCCCAAGGCAGGGAGGGAGGCGATCCCGGCTCTCAGAGAGCTCTGCAGTGGAGTATCTGCTGGGTCCTCAGCCAGAAGCCAGACACCCTCGGGTTTTTTAGACCTTGGGTGCCAACCTGCTGTGTGGGCCTGGGCAAGCTGCTTTGCCTCTCTGAGCCAAAGATAATTCTGTGTGAAACGAAGAGACAAATCCCTATGTAAGTGTCGTAGAAAAACCTGCCCCTTCATTTCCTCCTGGAAAAAGGAGCTTATTTTGCCCAAGAGGGCCAGCTCAGGGTAGAATAAAACATTTATTGGATATGCTCGGATTCCTTGCAACTCCCAGCAGGCAGTTAAATGCAGGGCGGAGAAGCTGTCCCAGGAACTTTCTAAGATGAAAGGGTGTCCTCTGTAAGGACAGCTCCCCACTGGCCCTCTTTGCCAGCCTCCAGGATGCCTCTCCACTCTGCGTAGAGGTCAAGCATGCCAAGGGCTTTGTTTTTTTCCCACTTCTTCACTCTGCCTCTGTGCCAAGGAGAGTCTAACAAGCCCGATGCTGCCTGCCCATCTCTAGATGTACGTTTCTGAGCCAGTCTCATCCCCGGCTGAGCACAGCGGTTAAGGGCGTGGATTCAAGCTACTTCCTAGCTGTAAGGCTTGCGGGGAGTAGCTGTGAGACTCAGTTTCCTCATCTGGAAAAGGGAGAAATAATGACCACTGTGACTGTTGCAAAAGACTAAACAGATGACAAATGGAACGTGTTCAGTAAGTTGCCTGACACATGGGGAGCACACAAATAAAGATTAAAAAAATAAAGATTAAAAAATGTAGCATGGTTTTTTGTTTTTGTTTTTTTAGTCTAGGAAGAATTTTTATTAGAAGTAGGAAGAAATGTCAGGTTCTTTTATTGTGGGGGAAACACACATAATATGGAACTAACTGGCTTAACCATTTTTTAAATGTACATTTCAGGGACGTTAAGTACATTCATATGTGCAACCATCACCACCATCCATCTCTAAAACTTTTTCATCTTCCCTACTGAACCTCTAAACCCAATAAACAATAACTTCTTGCTCCTCCCTTTCCTCTAGTCTATGTCAACCACCATTCTTTCTTCTGTTTCTATGAATTTGGCTATTCTAGGTATCTCACATAAGTGAAATCATACAGTATCTGCCTTCTTGTGACTAGCTTATTTTACTTAGTGTGATGTCCTCAGGGTTCACCCATGATGTAGCATCTGTCAGAATTTCCTTCCTTTGTATGGCCAAATAATATTCCCTTGTATGTATAGACCACATCATGTTTCTCCATTCATCCATCAATGAATTCCACTTTTGGGCTACTGTGAATAATGCTGCTAAGAACATAAGTGTGCAAATATCTGTTTGAGCCCCTGCTTTCTGTCCTTTTGGATAAATGTCTAAGACTGAAATTGCTGGTTCATATGGTGAATCTGGGTTTAATTTTTATATTACTCATATAGTAAGTTTTAAAGCCTCCATTTCTTCAGCTTAAACAGGGGCCCATGGCAAATGGGGACTTCTCCTCCATCCCTCCCCCCTTGCCCAGCACAGAGTCAATACAGGCTCTGCCCACCTCTAGACTGTGGTGCCTAACCCGAGGCTCCTCTGAGCTATGCTGGCCTCCATGGTGATGAGTGTAGTTGGTGTGTTCCTGGCCCGGTGCAGACACACAGCATCCAGCCATCCCTAGTGGAGCAGCTCCTGCCTCTGTTTCTCCTTCAAAAAAGAATCCAGGTACCACCTCCTGTTTCATGGAGCTGTCTGGATGAAGCATCACTTCCAGGGAGCACTGCTACCTTGGAGTAGCACCACATGGAAGAATTACCTCTGCCTGCTGTCAGCCCGGGGACCCCAGCCCTAGGGCACCATTGTCTTCATGGCCTCACTGGCCCTTCACAGTCTGCACCCAGGCAGGTTGGTGTCCTGGTTACAAGGACTTTGGGATCAGATAGATCCAGGCTTGAGACCAGGCTCTGGCAGTTGCCAGCTCTGTGAGTTTGAGAAAGACACATCTCTCCTCTTTGCCTGTTCCTAATCTACAGAAGGGGATAATAGCTGACTCTGTTAACAGGAAAATTAAGTGAATGCGTGGAAATCCCTGAGCCCTCTGTCTGGCACAGAGCAAACAGTCAGTGATTAGAGTTTTCAAGACCATGTCATTACCTGGTTAGGCACAAGAGTGAAGGAGGCAGAGCTTCCAGGACTGAGGGTGGAGAGGAGGTGAGATAGTGAGGTACTTCTGAGCAGGGTTTTAAGGGTTCTAGCTGAGGACACTTGGGAGAAGATTCTGGGTCAGCCAAGCCAAACCCTTCCCCCCGCCATGGCTCTACCTTCATTGAAATTTCCTTTCCTTACTATGAGTTGAAGGTAGGGAAGGAAGCACACATTTGTGAAATATCATTGTGTGCCTTATGGTGTCTTATGGAAAAAAATGTCAGCCATTACAGCTTAGTTAATCCTTTCATAATTGAACAGAAGAATGTTTATGAGAAAATTCTTTTCTCATAATGTTTTTTTGCCACTAAACTATTACTAAAGGGCATTTCCAGGAAGCAGTAATATGGAGGTTGCTTCTTATATCTTCCTTTAAATCCTTGTATTTGAACAGGGCTTTAATGCTCACACAATTTTTTCACATGGTGCATTGATCATCTTGACCCATTTACAGATGGGGGAACTGAGCCTCTGGGAAGTCAGAAGGGTGCCATAGAAAACTGGAGTTGGAAAAAGCTCTTTCTCTTTTAGGCAGTCCTCACTGAGCACTGGTCATGTGCCAGGCCCTGAGCTAGGGACAGGGTCTGAGAGATGGTGATGATGTGGGCTCACCGTTTTCCTCCTTCCTATGTGATATGGTTTGGCTGTGTGTCCCCACCCAAATCTCATCTTGAATTGTAATAATCCCCATGTGTCGAGGGCAGGACCAGGTGGAGATACCTGAATCATGGGGGCAGTTTCCTCCATGACGTTCTCGTGATAGTGACTGAGTTCTCACGAGAGCTGATGGTTTTATAAGGGGCTTTCCCCCTTTACTCGGCACTTTTCCTTCCTGCCGCCATGTAAAGAAAGACATGTTTACTTCCCCTTCTGCCATGATTGTAAGTTTCCTGAGCCCTCCCCAGCCATGAGGAACTGTGAGTCTTTATAAAACTCTTTCCTTTATAAACTACCCAGTCTCGGGCAGTTCTTTGTGGCAGCATGAGAATGGGCTAATACACTATGCTTGTAGGATTTCTTCTGTCCTTGGCCTAGGAGTAGATAAATTTCCCAGCAAGGTCAGCTGCGCTGCATCCCATACACTCTCTACCTCACGTGCTGCTCTAGAGTGATTCCTAGGGCTCCTAAGTCACAGTCAGCTGCAACTTGGCCTGGGGCGAGGCTGGTAGGCACTTTACTGCCTCCCTCAGAGCCATCCCCTCTGCAACCTTTGGCTTTCTGGTTGTCACCTTGTAAAACAGGATGATTCCAAAACTCTTTCTATTTCTGCCTCTAATTGTCCCTAGCATTGTCATCACCTGCTACCGCACTATCGAATCCTCCCCTTTGCTGCTCTGTATGGCTGAAAGGCTACATGTGAAATTCGAGTGTAGATCAGCTCTCCAAACTTGGCAGGGCCCATGTCCCCTCACACATCGCTGCCCTCTCCACTTCACTCCAACCACTACTGACCCAGGGCTTCCTTCTCCTGAGGTGACACTGTTGGTTTTTTAGAACCAGGGACAGGTGTTTCTATTTTTCCATGTCTCCTCTCATCTTGGAAACCCATCCTGCCACAGTCATTTGGGATGCTTATCGCACTAAATGTGCTTGCCTGAGTCCCCTACAGAACAGTAAGTTCCATGAGAGTAGCTATACCTCTCTCTCTCTCTGTCTTATTCACCATTATTCTGCCTGAGCCAAACTCGGTGCCTGGCAAAGTAGGCGCTCAAAGAAAAAGGAGCTCTATTTCCCAACATAATGTGTGCTTCTTCCTCCCTCAAACCATCTGCCAATTGGACAAGTGGGCCTCCCACTGTTTACCATTGTCTCATGTAACTTGGATGGGCAGAACAGGACCTAGCAGAGGACCTCAGGCACCTCACTACAGGAGACAGAGACCTATCGGTTAATTCCCTTCCCTTATGGGCAGTCAATTTCCTAATCGTCTTTGAATCCATCACACGTTTTCTCTGTCCTGTTTACAAGAAGACCACCACAAGCTGGCCTCATTCTGATCACTCATCACACCATCCCTAAGTCTACCCATCCAGTGAACCTAACAAAGAAAGAAATGAGGCTGATCTGGCATGACTTGTTCTTAAGGAATCAGTGTGGGGTCCTGGGAATTACTTTCCTTCCTAGGTGCTCTCCAAGCCCTGAGTTTTCTGGAACCTTGCCCAGAGTGATGTTAAGCTCACAACCCCATGTATTTGCAGAATATCTTGGCTTCCAGATTTTGAAAATGCAAAGCACCCTTGTCCATTCCTTAGGCTCTTGCTCTCTCTGGTTCTCCTAGGTTCCCTAGGAAATCCTGTGCACAAGTTCTTTTGATGTCCTAAAATGGACTCCTCCCAGCCCAGAGGTTTCCATTTCTGTGCCTCCCAGTGCCCTCTGAGCATTGCCTCACCTCCCCTGGCCTCCTGTTCCCTTTCATAATATTCACTCTAGTCTTTTGGTCTGGTGGTCATTTTCCTTGCTAGTTGTGGTGGGTTGAATGGTGACCCCCAAAAAGATATGTCTGTGTTCTGGAATCTGTGAATGTAACTTCATTTGGAAAAAAGAGTCTTTGCAGAAGTAATTAAGGATCTTGAGATGAGATCCTCCTAGATTACACAGGCAGGCCCAAAATCCAATAACAAGTGGTCTTATAAGAGACAGACAAGGAGAAGACACAGACACAGAGGAGAAGAAAGCCACATGAAGATGGAAGCAGAAATTGGAGGGCTGCAGCTACAAGCCAGTGAACACATGGAGCCACCAGAAGCTGGAGGAAGAATTCTTTGTTGAGAATTCTCTCTTAAAAGGCCAGGTGTGGTGGCTCATGCCTGTAATCCCAGCACTTTGGGAGGCCAAGGAGGGAGGATCATCTGAGCTCAGGAGTTCGAGACCAGCCTTGGCAACATGGTAAAACTACATCTCTACTCAAAGTACAAAAATAAAAATAAAAATTATCCGGGTGTGGTGGTGGGTGCCTATAATCCCAGCTACTCAGGAGGCTGAGGCAGGAGAATCACGTGAACCCGGGAGGTGGAGGTTGCAGTGAGCCGAGATCACACCACTGCACTTCAGCACTTCAGCCTGGGCAATAAGAGTAAGGCTCTGTCTCAGAAAGAAAAAAAAAAAAAAAAGAATTATCCTTCACAGCCTTCAGAAGGAAGTCTCTACTGACACCGTGATTTTGGACTCCTGGCCTCCAGAACCATGAGAAAATAAATTTCTCTTGTTTTCAGCCACCCAATTCATGGCGATTTGTTACGGCATCCTCAGGAAGCGAATCCAGCGGCGGAGACCAGAGCTGCTAGTTCTGCTTCCTCTTGGTCACGAGCCTTCTTTGGGATGACCACGTAGGCCTCCCCACTGGCGTGGCTGCCTCCAACCTCACTCCCTCCAGTCCCTCTGCTGCACCGCGGCTGCCGGAGTGACATTACTAAAACACATGACGGCGTTGCATTCCTGTTTGAAACCTGTATCAGCTAGAACGCTTTCTGTTCCAAGTAACAGAAAACCCAACCTAAACTGGCTTAAACAAAAAGGAATTTATTGGATCATAAACTCAAAAAGGCCAGGGACTAGGGCTGGCTTCATCTCGGCTGGATTTGGGGCTCAAACGACGTCACTGGAACTCATTTCGCTCCACCGTGCTGCTGCCTTCTGCTGTGTTGGCTTCGGTCTCAGAAGCCCCATGGTTTTGAGGTCGTGACAGCGGCCCCAGTCCCTACATCCTGTCAGATTAGAGACCAGCAGAAGGGATCAAAGACCTCTCCCAGGTCCTCAAGCCAAAGCCCAGGATGGGCTGCCATTGGGCCGGATTGCCAGTCCCTCAGCCAATCACTGTGGCCACAGCAGTGGAATGCACGGATTGGCTTAGGTTTGGGTCACATGCCGCTTCCCCTGGAGTCCTGGTGGAACTGCTTCTACCAGAACCACTGGACTGGGAGGAAAGAAGGGGAGGAAAGGAGTAGGACGCAATCCCCAAAGTCCCACCCTAAATATAGTAAAGGCATGCAGAGCAGCCAGGAAAAAAACCCCAGCATGTCCCTCCAAATGCTCTTCCATCGTCCCTGCCAAGGCTTATCAAGATCTAAGTCCCTGGTCTTCAGCCTCAACTCCAAGTTGCTTGACAGCCCCGGGCATATCCTGTCTTTTCCTGCCTATGTGCCTTTGCATGGTCCCCTTTGCCTGGACCACTCTTTTCCCCTCCCCGAGCCCTGATCTGACTAGTTTTTACTCCTCCTCGGCATCCCCCTCCGGCACGGAGAAGGTATCAGAGTTTGGCAACTGAATAAATGAACGGCCTATTCCTACCAAGAAGTGGCTTATGGCTGTCACCAGGTGTGAAGCTCAGCTGAACAATTCACGGAACAAAATCCACATCTCACTTCCCAAATCATCTCGGTATAATTGACTGTGAAATCCACCAGGCACACTTCCCCATCTCATGTCTTGTGGTAAGGGAAAAGGCAGTGAGGCTGGCTTAAGCTATGGACCAGTTAAAACCACTTGAGATAATGTCCAGGGCTCTGGCTTGAAGAAAAGGGTGGGAAGTGAAAGCTGGAGAAAGCCCTGGCCTTGAGGTGCAGAAAGGGAAAAATTCAGTGGGCACAGCTGACCTCATTCCTCAGACACTTTCCAAGACTTTCCAAGACACACTGAGGGTTTGGGTCAAGCCATGCTGGGATCTCAGCCAGGATAGTGGGAAGGCAAGAGGGCTCCCCAGCCCTCCGAGGAGGTATCCTGAGTACCAGTGCCCAGTGCCCAGAGCTGTGTGCTGAATTTCAGCTTGGTTCAAGCTGTCATCAATTTTTGGGAGAGGAAGGGGCAGCAGCATTCATTGAAGTTGGCCAGCAATGGAAGCAGGAAACGACGCGGCCAGTTTATCCATAGCAGAGCCTCAGCTAATCTGTAAAGCTCAGGATCAGTACACAGTAAGTCTTCAACCCATAGTTGCTAGCTTTTTTTTTTTTTTTGCAAGACAGGGTCTCCCTCTGTTGCCCAGGCTGGAGTGCAGGAGCACTACCACAGCTCACTGCAGCCTTGACCTCCCAGGCTCAAGTGATCCTCCCACCTCAGCCTCCTGAGTAGCTGGGACTACAGGCGTGTGCCGCCAGGCCTGGCTAATTTTTTGTAGAGATGGGGTTTTGCCATGTTGCTTGGGCTCATCTCGAGCTCCTGAGCTCAAGCGATCCTCCCACCTCGGCCTCCCAAAGTGCTGGGATTACATGAACCACCACACCTGGCATTTACTAGCACTTTGTATCACTAAAATTGTTGCATTATATGGAGGCTGGGGGTTTCGTGGGCCTAAACTGATTCTCAGGGCACTATTTACGGGGTTCTGGCTTGCGTGGTGAACTCCAAATCAGAGAAAAAACAATTCTTGTGAGAAACTCAAGAATCTATGATTGTGTGTTTACTATAAATCAGGCACTGTTGTAAGCCCTTTACCTGAATTAACTCACAATTCCCCACAATACATGCTGGTGTTATGGTCATTTTACAAGTGAAGAAACTGAGTCCCACTGAGGGTAACTTACCCAAGGTCACACAACTTGTAAGGACTCCAACCAGGGCCACCAGAGAATATGAGGATGACAGTCACAGCCCCATTCACTTAGTGCCCACAGGTGACTGGCTTTGTGCAAAATGCTTAAGTCCTCTCCTGTGAACCTCCCAAGTCTTCAAGGTAAACACTAGAATCTCATTTTACAGAGAAGAAAAGCGGCCCAGAGGTGCAGTGGTTTCCCTAAGCCCACGCCGGAGAGGTTGACGGTGTAAGACAGGAGTCAGGTCCTGCTGTCCGTCTGAATCCTCCCAAGCTCAGTCTCAGCCAGCAGCTCAAGAGTTGAGCACAGCAGGGACCTGGGGCGCTAAAGCTTCCCGCAGACAGGCGGGTACCAGATAGGTGACTGCAAGACTTTCTGGGCCCCACCTGCCGGAGGGGTGGGGCCGCTGCTCATTTCCTGCGCCGCCCACCCTGATCAGGACAGGCCCAGAAACCTAGCAGGTGGAGGCTGCAGTTAGGGGCCAGGAAAGCCCAGCTTGGGGCTACCCCTCTGGGCTTGCTCTGATGGTCTTCAAGGAGAAGGTACCCAGTAATTAGCTGGCCCCGGGCACATCAAGCCTGAGGGCAGGTAGAGGCTGATGGGAGGGGCTCCCATGGTCCCCACTGGAGAGGGCAGGGAGGTTAGAGAGAGACAGGGACTCCTTTCTGGTCCCCTGCCGCTCACCCCTCCCCTTCCCATTCCTCTTTTACCCTGAAGTCATGGGCTTTTTCTGAACACGAATCTGACTCTATCACTCTGGTTAATGGCCTTTAATAGCTCCTCATCACCTTCAGGGATAAAGTCCTGGCTATTTAGCCAGCATTCAAGGTCCTGAGTGTCACCTGGCCCTTGGCTTCCTCTCTGGCCTCATTTCCTATCATATCCTCCACCCCTACTCCAAACACACACTTACACCCACACAACCACACACACTCAACGCACTCATGCATTCACACACTCACACACACATGCACTGGCACTCACACACTCACTTGCACTCACACTCACACACATTGGGGGGTCACACACTCACATGAACTCACATTCACTCGCACTCAGACACACATTCTCACACACTAACACACACTGACACATTCACATTCACACACAGACATGCACTTGCACTCATACACACATACACTCACATTCTTTCACACTCATATTCTCTCACACATTCTCACACACTCACATTCTCACTCAATGCACACTTATATTCTCACACACATTCACACACACATTCTCTCAGACACACTCACTCACATTTTTCTCACACGCACTCACACATTCTTTCATTTGCACTCACACTCACATTCTCTCACACGCACTCACACTCACATTCTCTCACACACTCACATTCTCTCAAACGCACTCACACACATTCACTCACACGGAAGTCACACACTCAAATTCTCTCACACGCACTCACACACATTCTTTCAAACGCACTCACACATTCACTCACGTGCACTCACAATTCACATTCACTCACATGCACTCCCACATTCACTCACACGCACTCACACTCACATTCACTCACACGCACTCACACTCAGTCTCTCAAACACACACATTCTCTCACACGCACTCACACACTCACATTCTCTCAAACGCACTCGCGCATTCTTTCACACGCACTCACACACGCATTCTCTCACATGCACTGACACGCTCACATCACACTCATTCTCTCACTGACATTCACTCACACACATTCTCTCACTCACACACTAACACATTCTCTCAAACGCACTCCCACACATTCTCACACGCACACACTCACATTCTCAAATGCACTCACACACATTCTCTCACACACACTCATTCTCACACACATTCTCTCAAACGCACTCACACAATTTTCTCACATGCACTCACGTTCTCCAATGCACTCACACACATTCTCTCACATGCACTCACACTCATACTCACATTCACACGCACTGACAGACTCACATTATCACACTCATTCTCTCACTGACATTCACTCACACACTCACATTCTCACACGCACTCACATTCTCTCACGCACTCACACACTCACATCTCACTCACACACATTCTCTCAAACGCACTCACATTCTTGCACTCACACACACATTCACTCACACGCACTCACACACTCACATTCACTCACACGCACTCACACACATTCTCTCAAACGCACTCACATTCTCACACACACACTCACATTCTCTCACACACACATTCTCTCAAACGCACTCACACACATTTTCTCACATGCACTCACACACTCACATTCTCCAATGCACTCACACACATTCTCTCACATGCACTCACAGACTCATACTCACATTCTCTCTCACACACTGACACACTCACATTATCACACTCATTCTCTCACTGACATTCACTCACACACTCATTCTCTCACTCGCACTCACACACTCACATTCAAACGCACACACATTCTCACACGCACACACTCACATCTCTCACACATACTCTCAAACGCACTCACATTCTTGCACTCACACACATTCACTCACACGCACTCACACACACATTCTCTCACACACACCTACACAGTCACATTCTCGCACTCACATTCTCTCACACACACATTCTCTCACTCACATGCACTCACACACATTCACTCACAATACTCACATTCACTCACACGCACTCACACACTCACATTCTCTCACATGCACTCAGACTCATTCACTCACATGCACTCACACTCACATTCAAACGCACACATTCACACACACTCACATTCTCTCACACACGCACTCACATTCTCTCACATGCACTCACACACTTACATTCTCTCAAACGCACTCACACACTCATACTCACATTGTCTCACACAGACACACACTCACATTATCACACTCACATTCTCTCACATTCACTCACACACTCACATTCTCTCTCACACACTCATTCTCACACTCACACACTCTCACATTCTCTCACACGCACTCACACACTCACATTCACTCCCACACACTCACACTCACATTCTCACACATGCACTCACATTCTCTCACACACATGCATTCACTCACATGCACTCATGCTCACATATTCTCTCACTCAAATGCACTCACACTCACATTCTCACAGGCAGTCACACGCTCACATTTTCTCACACGCACTCACACACACACTCACATTCTTTCACTTGCACTCACACATTCTCTCACACACACTCACACTCACATTCTCTCACACACATGCAGTTGCACTCACACACTCATATGCATACACACTGCCACAGCCACTTGAATGCGGTGTCCTGGCTACAACAAGCTCTCTTAAGAGTCTTTCCACCTGCTGCTCCCTTTGCCTAGAATGTTCTGGCCCCCTGCTTTGCCCACCTAGCTCCTACCTGACCTTCATGTTTACTTCACAGCTCAGCTCTGGCAACACTTCCTAGCCAAGCCTTGCCTGCCCTGATGCTGGACTAGGTGCCCTCCTTGGTATTCCAGCTCCACCTCCTCCCTCCATCGCTGCTCTATCAGGCTGGATTGGAACTGTGTTGCTGTGCGTCTCCCTCGCTGGACTGTGAGCTTCTCCTCTCAGGCCGACCAAGCCTGCCTCACCTCTACCTCCCCTGCACCCATCCCAGCCCTGTGGAAGACAGGTAAGGGCGCAGTCAATGGTGACTGAGTGACTGGATGAACAAACAATGGGACCCCAAAGCCTCTCCCTTACTCTTCTCCTCCCATCTCTTCCTTCAGGACTGTGCAGCTGGCAGCAAGAGGGTTAAAGCGTTGAGATGCTCCAACATGTTAGCAGCATGAGGACCAGGTGGAAACGAATGGTTACCAGGCTGCCACGCCACATCCGCCTGGCTCCTGCTTATTCCTGGCACCACATATGGTCTGCACGTCCCCCTGACTGCCTGGGAGAGGGACTGAGCCGAGAGGGCTCTGGGGGCTTCAGGACTCAAAGGGTGTGTATAAGTATGTTAGTTACAGGTTCACGGGCATGTGTGTGCATGCATCCGGTGGGGCAGAAAGGGAGGAGAATAGAGGGAAAAGAAGAGAGATGAATGAGGGAGGAAAGAAGGAAGGTGAAAGAGGGGGAGGGAGAATGAAAGAGAGAGGAGTCACGAGAAGAACGTGAGATGGGGATGGAGAGGGAGGGGAGAGGAGTAGAGGGGAAGGGAGGGAAGGGGAGGGGAGGAGAGGAGGTACCATTCATCCAGAGGAGGAATGGAAATGAGGCTGTGACTTTATGCAGCACAGCTATAAGCTAGAAAGCCGATAGACTGAGAATTCAGCCAGACAGTGGGACTTGCAGGTAACACAGAACCTACAGGAAGGAGAGCAGGAGAAGGAGATGAGACAGGAAACTGGAGTGTGAGGCTTGATCAGGGAAGGCCTCGCAGAGCACCCTGATACCCTGATCACACCCTGGGACGACCATAGCCAGAACCACCCTTAGACCCTGCTCCTCAGTGGAGCCCCATGCTTTGGAGTGCCTGGAAATTTCCTAAGCCCCCTCCCATGGCTGGGACTGGCCAGGCTGCCTGTGCCATCTAGGTGGGGCACCCTGAACTCAGGCTTGATCTTCGTGGACTTTAGCATCCATTTATCCCCTTAACCAAATGCCCTGAGGAGCTTCAAGACTTGCATCTATGTGGGCCCTGCACACCCTAGGAGGAGCCCTGACCACTCCCTTGGATAAGCCATGTTGGAGTGGGGATGGGGTGTGCCTTTGAGGAACACCAGCCTTGGGCTCTCCCTTGAGAGGATCCCAGCCCCGAATGGGCTGCACGTGCAGCCAGTACCTCCCCGCTCACTTTGCCTACAATCCTGAGTTCTGAGAGGAAGATGGACTTTCCTCCTCACCAGCTGCACAACATAAGGAAGAAAGGTGATGGGCATCGCAGTGCTTTGCATATGAGAAAGAGTGGGGCTGGGCTCAGGGGGTGTCAGCAAATTCACAGGGGAAGATAATTTACTCAGATCTAGAAGATAAAACAGTGAAACATTGGGCCGGGCATAGTGTCTCACACTTGTAATCCCAGCACTTTGGGAGGCCGAGGTTGGTGGATAACCTGAGGTCAGTTCAAGACCAGCCTGGCCAACATGGGGAAACCCCGTCTCTACTAAAAATACATTGGCACATTTTTCTGTAGGTAAGTGACACTTCAATGAAAAGTTTAGTCAGAAAAGAAAAAAATAACCAAATTGAGAAATGTCAAAGGACTTGAATAGACAATTCTCCAACAAGAAATACAAATGGCCAAGAAGCACAGGAGAAGATGCTCAATGTCACTAGTCATTAGGGAAATATAAATCAAAACCACAATGAAATACCACCTCACACCCATTAGGATCAGTACTTTCAGAAAAACAGAAAATAACAAGTGTTGGTGAGGATGTGGAGAAATTGGAACCCTTGTGCCCTGCTCTTAAGAATGTAAAATGGTGCAGCTGCCATGGAAAATAGTATGGCAGTTCCTCAAAAAATTAATTATAGAATTACCATATGCTCCAGCAATTCCACTTTTGAGTACACCATTTATCCAAAAGAGTTGAAAGCAGGGTCTTGAAAAGACATTTGGGCCAGGAGCGATGGCTCATGCCTGTAATACCAGCACTTTGGGAGGCCGAGGTGGGTAGATCACTTGAGGCCAGGAGTTCAAGACCAACCTGGCCAACATGATGAAACCCCATCTCTACTAAAAATACAAAAACTAGTCAGGCATGGTGGCGTGCATCTGTAGTCCCAGCTACTCAGGAGGCTGAGGCACAAGAATTGCTTGAACCTGGGAGGCGGAGGTTACAATGAGCCAAGATCACACCACTGCACTCCAGCCTGGGCAACAGAGTGAGACTGTCACAAAAAGAAAGAAAGAGAGAAAGAGGAAGGAAGGAAAGGAGGGAGGCAGGAAGGAAGGAAGGAAGGAAAGAAAGAAAGAAAGGAGGGAGGGAGGGAAGAGACTGGCCGCAGTGGCTCAAGTCTGTAATCCCAGCACTTTGGAAGGCCGAGGCTGGCGGATCACCTGAGGTCAGGAGTTCGAGACCAGCCTGGTTAACATGGTAAAACCCCATCTCTACTGAAAATACAAAACTTAGCGGGCATGGTGGCACACACCTGTAATCCCAGCTACTTGGGAGGCTAAGGCAGGAGAATGGCTTGAACCTGGGAGGCAGAGGTTGCAGTGAGCTGAGATTGCGCCACTGCACTCCAGCCTGGGTGACGGAGCAAGACTCCATCTCAAAAAATACATAAATAAAATAAAATAAAGAAAGAGCTATTTGTACACCCACATTTATAACAGCATTATTCACAATAGCCAAAAGGTAGAAATAAACCAAGTGTCCATAGAGTGACGAATGGATAAACAAAATGTGGTCTATACACACAATGGAATATTATTCAGCCCTAAAAAGGAAGGCAATTCTGACAGATGCCTCAACAGCAACAACCCTTGAGGGCATTATGCTAAATGAAATAAGCCAGGCAGAAAAAGACAAATATTGTATTCAAATGCATGAGGTCCCTGGAGTAGTCAAATCCATAGAGAGAAAGCAGAATGGTAGTTGCCAGGAGCTAGAGGGAGGGGGGAATGGGGAGTTATTGTTTAATGGGGACAGAGTTTTAGTTTTGCAAGATGAAAAGAATTCTAGAGAGTCCTGGTTATACAACAATGTGAATGTACTTAATGCCATTGAACTGTACACTTAAAAATTGTTAAACTAGCAAATTTTATGTTATGTGTATTTTATCACAATTTTTTTTAGACAGAGTCTTGCTCTGTCGCCCAGGCTGGAGTGCAGTGGTGTGATCTTGGCTCACTGCAACCGCTACCTCCCGGGTTCAAGCGATTCTCCTGCTTCAGCCTCCTGAGTAGCTGGGACTACAGGCATGCGCCACCATGCCCGACTAATTTTTGTAGTTTTGGTAGAGACGGGGTTTTCACCATGTTAGCAAGCTGATCTCGAACTCCTGACCTCAAGTGATCTGCCCACCTCAACCTCCCAAAGTGCTGGGATTACAAGACATGAGTCACCGCACCTGTCCTTATCACAATTTTTTTAAAAAGGGGGTCTCAACTTTCTTGGACCTTTCCAGTTCCTTATAAACTTTAGAATCACTTTGCCAAGTTCAGCAACAACTTAAACTATTATATTTGTATCATGATTCTATTGAGTCGATAGATGATTAATTTGGAGAAAATTGATATAATATTGAATCTTCTAATCCATACACTTGTTATATTTCTCCAAAAAAGAAAAAAAACCTAACCTCATTGCCAGGGGCTCACAGTGACCCTTATGCCCACTGAGAGTTGATTCTGTCTGTGCCTGACACCCTTCCTACATCAGCTCAGTTAGTCCTCCCAATTGGCCCAAGGAAGGAATTTGGGCCTCAAGGAGCTCTGCATAGTTCTTTAGTCTCTGTTGTTTCCTCCTCCCCTGCTTCTGCCATGTGCATAGTTGGGACTAGCCCACTGGAGGAGAAACCTGTGGAGGACTGCTGAGTTGTCCAGCCAAGGCCATCCTAGACCAGCCAGCCCCAGCCCATCCATGAACTGACCATGGATGCCTGAGTGAACCCAGGAAAGATCAGCCAAGCCTGGCCTGGGTCAGCAGAACTGCCTAGCTAACCTGGAGATTCAGGAGTTAAAGAACTTGTTATTTTAAGCCACTACATGTTGGGATGGTATTCTACAGCAAGAACAAATGCCTGTATCTAGGAAACCTTCTGTGATCCCCTGAAGGATTGGCTCACTTCTCTTCAGTTTCCAAGCATTATGTAGCTAGTTCTTTTGCTTACCTTAGCCTCATGTTACTGTGGTATGGAGATGTCTACTATCTCTCCTCCTAGACCGTAGACCCCTTGAGGACAGGGAATCTGGCTTGATTTCTCTGCCTGCCTTTAGGGTGCTTAGCAGGCAGCTGTGCAATTAATGTTGGTGCATGAACATGTGTTGGTATCAGTCTACTCATTAACACGTGATGCACGGCCGTGACAGTCCTCTTAACCATGCAACGATTCACCATCCTGTGCAAGTGAACTTCATTGATTCATTCACAGGTAGAGATGGATCAGCTCGGGTCCCCACAGTTGAGGAGCTCACCACCAAGTTGGGGAGACAAACTCATAAAGAATGAATCACAGCCAAAGGAGATAAGTGCCCGGATGTATAAAGCGCAGTGAGGGACTGCAGTATAGGGTTGTGGCTACAAGTGTGGACTTTGGCATCAGAAAAGCTGTGAGTTTAAGTCCCATGTCTCCCACTTACTTCGGCAGGTTATCGCTTTGCACCTCACGATGGCATAAGAATGAGATCAGAGGCCGGGTGCGGTGCCTCACGCCTGTAATCCCAGCACTTTGGGAGTCCACGATGGGCATATCTCTTGAGCCCAGGAGTTTGAGACCAGCCTGGGCAACATGGTGAAACCAGCTCTATAGAAAATACAAAAGTTAGTCAGATGTGGTGGGGTGCACCTGTAGTCCCAGCTACTCCGGAGGGCTGAGGCAGGAGCATTGCTTGAGCCCAGGAGGTCGAGGCTACAGTGAGCCATGATCATCCGCTCCACTGCACTCCAGTCTGGGTGACAGAGCAAGATCCTGTCTTAAAAAAAAAAAAGAAAAAGAAAGGATGAGATCATTCATGTCAATTGCTTTGCATAACGCTTAGTGAATGTTAAGTGCTTGCATTAGTCCTAAGAATTATTTTTACATTAGTAGAACAAAGGATGGACTTAATAATATTAATACTATGGGCCCACAATTCCAAAATTCTAAATGCCCTGGAAAACAACACCAACATTTTCTTTCACAAATTCAGTGGCAAACCCCTCCCTGACCTGACTGAAACTATTTATAGTCTTCATCTAGTGTGCGACTGTTCATGCATTTCCTGCAGGAGCGTTAATGAGCTTTGTTATGGAGACGTGCTCCATAGTCTGCTCAAGCTCTTTCACAATATATGGTATATGAACTTTCTATCTTTTATAAAATCTGAAAAATTCTGACTTTCAAGCCACATCTAACCCCAAGCTACTGTCCTAAGCACTTTGCATGTCATAACTTATTCAGTCCATGTGTCAGTTCTTCCTGATTGGGTGGGGCAGAAGAAGGGGAAAGATCTGGGAAGTTTCATGGGGAGGTGACAGTTCAGCTGAGTCTGGAAGCTGAGTAAAGATTAACTGTGGGACCAAGGCAAGGAAGGGCATTCTGGCTGGCAGTGGCAGCCTATGCAGAACTCAGAGGAATAAAAATGGGGACTGTAGGGCTGGGTGTCGTGGTAATCCCAGCACTTTGGGAGGCCAAAGTGGGCAGATCACGAGGTCAGGAGATTGAGACCATCCTGGCCAACGTGGTGAAACCCCGTCTCTACTAAAAATACAAAAATTAGCTGGGGTGGTGGCGCGTGCCTGTAGTCCCAGCTGCTCGGGAGGCTGAGTCAGGAGAATCGGAGAATCACTTGAACCAGGGGGTCGGAGGTTGCAGTGAGCCGAGATTGCGCCGCTGCACTCCAGCCTGGCAACAGATCGAGACTCTGTCTCAAAAAAAAAAAAATAGGGACTGTATTGTGGGTCTGCAGTGGTTCTGCCTAGTTGGCGGAGAGAGGCTGCTGGGAGAGCACCAGGGTGGGGAGCTGGGAGGTTTGGCAGAGACCAAGTACACTGAGGGTCTTGCGTGCACAGCTGAGGAGTTCCCAGTTATCTGGCAGGCAAGATGAAGCTGTTGGTTTTAGCAAGGGGAGGACCAGGTCAGATTCGTGTTTTAGGGAGACCTTAAACAAGAGATGCTCCTGTAAGTGCCTTGCTGAAATCCAGCATTGCTCTGCCTACAGCCTCCCCCAATCCACCCAGACCACACATGGAAATGAGGCTGCTTTGGCATAGTTTGCCTGGCACAACTCAACTTCTAGAAAAATGTATCTGTAATCGATCATGTCATGGCAGGAAACCAACAAAGAAGCAGGCAAGTGTGGCTTTGAGAAGTCGGGAAGCAAGGTTCTGTGGGCAACCTCCAACCACGATTTCCACCACTGCCTTGCGGCCTCTAAGGCATCGTGGCTGACCTGGTCCACGAGGCAGGCCAGGCCACGGAAGGGCTCACAGCTCAGCTGCTCCCGGTCTCTGCTCCACGACGTCTGTCATGCACACTTGACAGCACCCACGTGCAGCCCAAACAGACACTGTTCACTTCTCAAGTTGGTTTCAAATTTTGCTCTTTTTGTTCCTGTTTTTCGTTTAGATTTTTTGGCTGGTTCAAGTTCGACAGGCAATTTCAACACTGAGATTGAAGGGAGAGAATGTAGCCTGTAAAAGAGCAAAGGATGTGTGTGCTTTGTGTTGTTATTAGTTTTAGAGGGGCCCTGGGAAGGCGCATACACGAATTGAGTCCGCCAGCCAGGTTCGTGGCGCCTCACTGTCTTCATCTAGCATGAGCCCCCCATCCCCGCACCAAATTAATGGTCTCCTGCTCTTAATTCATAACCCTGTCTCTACTCACAAGCCATCTACTTTTATGTACCTAATGTGTGGCCTTGCAATCCATCTTCTTATTTTTTTTTTTTTTTTTGAGACAGAGTTTCGCTCCTGTTGCCCAGGCTGCAGTGCAGTGGCGTAATCTCAGCTCACTTCAACCTCTGCCTCCCAGGTTCAAGCAATTCTCTGGCCTCAGCCTCCCAAGTAGCTGGGATTACAGGCATGTGCCACCATGCCTAGCTAATTTTGTAGTTTTAGTAGAGACAGGGTTTCTGTATGTTGGTCAGGCTGGTCTCGAACTCCTGACCTCAGGTGATCTGCCCGCCTTGGCCTCCCAAAGTTCTGGGATTACAGGTGAGAGCCACCGCATCCAGCTCAATCCATCTTCTATATCCTTATATATGTAATTTTTTTTTTTTTTCAAGATGGAGTCTCGCTCTTTCACCCAGGCTGGAGTGCAGTGGCATGATCTTGGCTCACTACAACCTCTGCCTCCCAGATTCAAGCTATTCTCCTGCCTCAGACTCCTGAATAACTGGGATTACAAGCGTGTGCCACCACACCAGACTAATTTTTTGTATTTTCCAAAGAGATGGGGCTTCACCATGATGGTCAGGCTAGTCTTGAACTCCTGATCTCAAGTGATCCACCTGCCTCAGCCTCCCAAAGTGCTGGGATTACAGGCATGAGCCACCATGCCTGGCCAAATATCATTATATATGTAAGTATATAGCATCACTTTGAGTATGCATTTTAAAATCTGTGGAAGTAAGACCATGTTATTCATCTAATTCCACTTTTGGCCTTTGGCATTATCTCTCAGTAGATGTAAGTCATTCCCTTTGACTGGTACAATATTTCATCTCATGCCTTTCCCACGTTTCATTTATCCATGTCCCTACCAATGGATACACTTGGTCATTTTAAATAATATTGCAGTGAACATCTTTTTACTTGGCTAGAACACAAACTTCACAATCAACTGAACCTGGAATTGAGTTCAGCTTCCATCACCTGCTCACTGTGTGACCTTAAACCTCTGTTCTGTCATCTGTTAAAAGAAAGGGGAGACCAGGCACGGTGGCTCACGCCTGTAATCCCAGAATTTTGGGAGACTGAGGCGGGCGGATCACGAGGTCAGGAGATCGAGACCATCCTGGCTAACACGGTGAAACCCCGTCTCTACTAAAAAAATACAAAAAAAATTAGCTGGGCGTGGTGGTGGGCGCCTGTAGTCCCAGCTACTCGGGAGGCTGAGGCAGGAGAATGGCATGAACCCAGGAGGCGGAGCTTGCAGTGAGCAGAGATCACGCCATTGCGCTCCAGCCTGGGTGACACAGAGAGACTCTGTCTCAAAAAAAAAAAAAAAAAAAGAAAGAAACAAAGGGGCGGGGGGTGGGCAGGGAATAAGGACCCTATCTTACAGGTGGAGGCTTCTCACACTAGACTGCATGGCTCACACCTGTAAACCCACCATTTTGCGAGGCCAAGGCAGGCGGATCACTTGAAGTCAGGAGTTCAAAACCAGCCTGGCCAACATGGTGAAACTCTGTCTCTACTAAAAATACAAAAATTAGCCTGGCATAGTGGTGTACGCCTGTAATCCCAGCTACTCAGGAGGCTGAGGCATGAGAATTGCTTGAACCCGAGAGGCAGAGGTTGCAGTGAGCCAAGATTGTGCCACTGCACTCCAGCCTGGATGACAGAGAGAAACTGTGTCTCAAAAATTAAACCAACCAACAAACAAAATATATATGTACATAAAGAGAGAGAGAATAAAATGACTATTGCAAAGAATTACCACACGTAAAAGGGCCTTGAAAATCTAAATATGTGTATGTAAATATGAGTTATTATTAATAGTTATTTAAATAAACTTAATTCATAATTCCAGTAAAATCAAATGCATTAAGTGGCACTAACACCAGGCTTTCTTTACATTTTGCGTGCGTTCCCAGTTCTGCCTCTTCCCCTTCCTACCCATCTTCTTTCACATCAGGAAACATCTATAGAGATTGAGTGGAATTGGGCAATGCAGGAATGGGCCTGCCAGGCTGAGGTGGGGTGGCCTAATCGTTCCTCTTGAGGCTGGTATCCACGAGTCACTCACTGTCCAAAGGCCTCCCCTGGGCCACCTGGGCCTATAAAACCCAGGTAATGATATGCACCCAGCTCACTAAGGTGTTGTGAAGATTAATGATGGCTTGTAGAGGGCTTTGAAGATGAAACATGCTTGTTATGGAAATAAATGGCTTGAGACGCGAAGTCTTTTCTGCCTTCGTGTCTTCTCTCTGGATGTTCTTGTCTTCCAAGGGCCCCAGATGAGTTCAGAGGTGAGGGTGACCTCACCACAACTCTTATGGGAAGCAAAGATTTAGTGCAGACTTCGTCTAACACCACAGAGATGGACTCCTCATTGCTAGTTTTAAAATTTAAACACTAGCTCCATTTCCTAACTCACGGAGCTAAGCTGGTTTAAAACACATTAAACAGATTCAGCAACGGCATGGTGAATGTACTTCCGGTACTGAGCTTTTTGCTGCCAAATTTAATTATTCAAATTGGTTTAAAAAATTGGGTTTCTTCCCCCCATATCTTCTCAGATTTAGAGATATTCAAAGTGGAAGAAGTATGAGCTAAGTGTGTTTAATGGAGAAAGTATTAGCGTTAGTGTCAGACGGACCTGAATTCAGATGCCAGCTGAGCCGCTCTCTGGCTATAGGCAAGTTATGTAACTTCTTTGAGCCTCAGTTTCCCAATCTGTCAACCAAGGATAATCATAACCCCTGTCAGGGTTACTGTCAGGATTAGTTGAGTGGATGCAGGAAATGCCCATTAAAAGTACTCAATAAATGTTAGCTATCAATAATAACACGACCAAACCCAGTGAAAGAGGTGGTATCATTGTCACTTGACAAAGGAGTCCAAGCCTCAGAGGGCTGGCGTGTCCTGCCATGATCTTTCAGAAGGAAAGTAGTGTGCCAGGATTCAAACCTGGATCTGCCTGCCCCCAAATCCCTGGTCACCCACATGTGGCATCCCCCCTGGATAGAAGCTTGTTTTCTTTTTCTTTTTATTTTTCTTTCTTTTTTTTTTTGAGACTGAGTCTCGCTCTATCACCCAGGCTGGAGTGCAGAGTGGTGCAATCTTGGCTCACTGCAAGTCCTGCCTCCTGGGTTCAAGAAATTCTCCTGCCTCAGCCTTCCGAGTATCTAGGATTACAGGTATGCGACACCGACACCATGCCCAGCTGGTCTCGAACTCCTGACCTCAAATGATCCGCCTGCCTCAGCCTCCCAAAGTTCTGGGATTACAGGCGTGAGCCATCACGCCCGACCAGAAGCTTGTTTTCTAAAACCAGAAGTTGCAGTCATACTCAACCTAAGCAGAGAAAGAGGGAGCTCCTTCTAACAGGAGCTGGAAGGTGGAGCTCTCACGCCATGGAGTTGTTTAACCCTACATTTCTGCATGACATTGGCATCTTCTATGTTTGCTTCTCATTTCCTGGTGATGTTAACACTTGCTTGCCCAAATGGGGAATGCTGTCTACAGTGTGTTTTCTTACACATTAGGTGGGGCCGAAAACATCCTGGAAGCTTCAGGTACCCCTGAAACCTGAGTTGTACTTCAACAGTTGGAGAGGCTCAAGGCTGCAGAGCCTTTGGGTCTACGCCCAGGGGCCTCACCTTGGCTCATTTCAAGGTCAGCTTGGCCAGATCCCTCAATGGAAGCCAAGACTTTTGCTCATTCATTTGCAACCTTCCATTTTTTCCTTCACAAACATTCATAGAGCTCCTACTATGTCCTCAAACATAGATTAATTACAATGGCCCTATTTGATGTTCACCACCCATCAGAAACTACACTTCCATGCATCATCTCATTTGAACTTTATAGCAGTGCTTTAAGTAAATATTAACATTGTCACCATTTTGCAGTTGAAGGAAAAAGACTCAGGGCAAGAGCAGTGCTAGAGTAAGAAATGGAACCCAGGTTTTTCCGACTCCACCACCTGTACTCTTAACGATGACAACACACTGCCTCCTTGAGGACATGCACAGAATCTCATTCATTTCTTATCTTTAGCCCCCCCAGTACAACATACAGGAGGTGCTCAATAAATGTTTGCTGTTGAATAAATAAGTAATGTGCTAGATAATCCCCAACCCATGTACGGTGCTCCACAGAAATTGCAAAATGCTTTTCACCGATGCCCATCTTTCACGTTAGACATGGGAGGTAGGTTTTATGAACCCACTTCACAGACAAAGTTTGCAGAGGTGATTAATTTATCTGGGGCCATGGAAAGAGTAAGAGGCTTTGGATAAAATAAACTCACAGTGAAGACACAACACCCAGTGGAGCTGCAGGGCGGAGAAGCATCTGCCTGGTTGAAAAAACAAGGATATTACAAAGCACCCGAGTTTAAACTGAAATCATATGTCCAGCACATGTTTTCTGAAAACATTCACATCACTTCCATGGTCGGTGTGAGGTTTCAGATATTAAAATTATGAAAGAGCAATGCAAGATGTGAGAGGCAGAGATGGAAAGAGAACAAAGTAAAGTTCAACCTTGTCATCACCTCTCTTTACCACAGTTCCCTTCCCAGAAATCTCTCAAGGGTCCAAGTTTCCAACCTACTTCATCTTGAATGGTACAGCTTGTGGCAAGAAACTCTGCTATAAATAGGCAGATTTGAAGAACTGAAGCCAGGTTGAAGTCCAGACCCAGTTTCTTTCCAGCTGTGTGACCTTGGACAAGTGTCTTTGACGTCATGTCTGCATTTGTAAAACGGAGATGAACCACAGGCTTGTTGAGATGATAAAACGTGTTACTTTCTTACCTCCTTTTTAGAGTTCTAGGAAGTAAAAACGATAGTAGTTATTAAATATAACTGTTATATGGGTCAGCATAAGCAAGGTTTTGCTCTAACAATAAGCAACCTATAACTTCAGTGGCTTAACACATAAAAATGTTGACTTCTCACTCCTGTTCCAGGTCCATCACGAGTTAATGAAGAGATGCTTTTCACTGTGGTCATGCAGGCGCCCAGACTGAGGGAACAGCCACCATCTTGTTTCTGATCACTGTGTCCAGTGGGAAAGAGGAATTTGGATGGCTTCCCAGTGATAATTATGTGCTCTGGCTTGGAAGTGATACATGTCACTTTTTGCTTACAATTCATGGGCCAGAACATGACACATGACTCCTCCCAACCACCTGGGGGCCAAGAAGGACACCCTACTGTGAGCCTAGGAGGAGGGAGATTCAGAAATAGGTGTGGTGTCAAATGGTGTCTGCCATTCACTGAGCACTTAGCAGTACAGTGTCAGGGATTGTACGGAGGGCTTTTCAGATAGATTCCTTAATGCCCTCAACAATCCTCTGAAGCAGGGACTTTTATCTTCAGTTTATATTTGAGCAATCCGGCACTCAGAGATGTGAAGCCACTTGCCCAAGGCTGTGAGTAAGTGGCAGGGTCTGATAGCCAGGTGAGAACCCCTCTTCATTTCCCTGAGCTGTGCAAATGAGGTGATCAAATACACTGCTGGAACAGGAACTAGTATTAACTGAGATCCTTCTGTGTATCGGCCCCTTTTCTACCATCTCAGTTATACCTAAGAGTTGATTTCTATGTTGATGATGATGAAGGATCTGGGGCTCAGAGAGGTTAGAGAACTTGCCCACGATTCACAGCAGAGGTAGCTCTTGAACCCAGGTCTTTCTGGGTCTAAACTCTATTTGTTTCAAACCCTGCTGCCCCTCTCCCCCTCATGACTTATCCTCGTTTATTATAATGATAGCACTGCAGAGTGGAAGGCAGAGGGATAACAGCATGGCTGGCAGAACTAGATTGTAGCTGGGTTTGAATCTGGGAGCTGCCACTTCCTAGCTGTGTGAGCTTGGGTAAGCATTTCACCTCTCTGTGCTTCCATTTCTAAATCTGCAACGTAGAGCCTACTTCATAGGGTTGTTTTGAGGAATAAGTGAGATAATCATCACCATGATAATAACTCACATTTTTTAAGAATATACTTGGTCCACATATTGAGCTAAGCTCAGAACTTTAAATGCATCCTTGTCCCCCCAGCCTCTTTCTTTCTTTTTGAGACAGGGTCTCACTTTGTCACCCAGGCTGGAATGCAGTGGCACCATCACAGCTCACTGCAATCTCTGCCTCCCAGATTCAAGCAATCCTCCCACCTCAGCCTCCTGAGTAGCTGTGGCTACAGGTGCACACCACCGCACCCAGCTAATTTTTGTTTGTTTGGTTGGTTGGGTTCTTTTTGTAGAGAAGGGATCTTGCTATGTTGCCCAAGTTGGTCTCGTACTCCTGAGCTCAAACAATTTGCCTGCCTGTGCCTCCCAAAATGCTGGGACTTCAGGCGTGAGCCACCATACCCGGCCTAATTTCATTTTTACTTTTCATTTTGAAATAATTTTAGATCTACAAAAAAATTGGAAAAATAGCACAGAGAGCTCTTGTATAGCTTCCAGCCAGCTTCCCCTAAGGTTAACATCTGGCATAAGCAAAGTACATTGGTCAAAACTAAGAAATTAATATTGGTATGATACTAGTAACTAAACTACAGACTTCATTCATATTTCGTCCCTTTTCTCATCAATGTCCTTTTTCTTTTCCATGATTCACTCCAGGTTGCAGCATTGCATTTAGTCATCGTGTCTCCTTAGCATCTGTTGATCTTTACACCCACTCTTTCATCTTCATTTTCTGTTGAGGAAACTAGGCTAACATGATTAAGGTCACACAGCCAGTAGGTGGTAGAGTTAGAATTCAACTCCAGGTCTATCTGACCCAAAGCCCAAGTCTTCACCCTTCATAAAGCAATCATCAGAAAGAAATCCAGTGTTCTGAATCAGATCAGCATGCAGAGAATAAGGAACTCGGGGGAGAAACGACTAAAGCATGGAGAAGTGGCTTTACAGCTGCAGAATACTAACTCAGAATGATCCACTCGAACCATCGTCAAAGTCCAGGCAATCAGTTCCATGAGGAAGAGAGTCAGGCTGCTGAGCCTGCACCTTGGGAGTCTCGTGAAGGGATCAAGCTAAGCTCTGGCTTAGACGCTGGCAGAGGGGATTCTCCACATGGTCAGACTAGAGTGCCTGCTCCCTGGCAGCAAAGCCCATGGCAGAGCATCCTAAGAGAGGTGGGGAGTCAGCAGGATGGCGGCCAAAGACAGGACCACAGAACTCACCTAACAGGTGTTTCTTGGTGGCTTCCTCTGGCCAGAGAACACAGTGAGGTAGCTGCAACCAAAGCAATCACTCAAATGACTCACCACACACATCATCTCTGCTTGCCTAGCATTTTATGTGTCCAAGCTCCAGGGATGGAGAAACAAGTAGGGGGATCCTGGTGTTCTGTTTCTTTGGGGAAAAAGAAAGGATCTAGATGGATCAGCCAGTTCAGTACATGCAAAACTTAAAGAGGGCCCCTGATCCTGCCTAGATCCTCAAACTCTGGGTGTCAAGTTCAGGTATGGCTGATGCAGCCCACGGCCAGCCACAGAGCAGGCGCTGGTGACTATATGTTGAGTGTGTGACCAAGTGAATTAATGAATTTAACTAATTTGCATGTACTCCAGTAAGAAATTAATTAATTTGGCTTGGCATGGTGGCTCACGCCTATAATCCCAGCACTTTGGAAGGCCGAGGCAGGTGGATCACTTGAGGTCAGGAGTTCGAGACCAGCCTGGGCAACATGGCAGAACCCCATCTCTACTAAAAATACAAAAATTAGCCAGGTGTGGTGGCACACGCCTGTAGTCCCAGCTTCTCAGGAGGCTGAGGCAGGAGAATAGCTTGAACCCAGGAGGCAGAGGTTGCACTGAGCCGAGATCGGTGGCATTGCACTCTAGCCTGGGCGACAAAGTGAGACTCCGTCTAAAAAAAAAAAAGAGAGAGAGAGAGAGACAAGGAGAGTTGGGTGTGGTAGCTCATGCCTGGAATCCCAGCACTTTGGGAGGCCGAGGCGGGTGGATCACATGAGGTCAGGAGTTTGAGACCAGCCTGGTCAACATGGCGAAACACCGTCTCTACTGAAAATAACAAAAATTAGCCAGGCGTGGTGGTGCATGCCGGTAATCCCAGCTACTCGGGAGGCTGAGGCAGGAGAGTCACTTGAACCCGGGAGGTGGAGGTTGCAGTGAGCCAAGGTTGTGCCACTGCACTCTAGCCTGGGTGACAGAGCAAGACCCTGTCTCAAAAATAAATAAAATATTTTAAAAGAAATTATTTATTTATTTATTTAGAGACAGGGTCTCACTCTGTCACCCAGGCTGGAGTGCAGTGGCATGATCATAGCTCACTGCAGCCTTGACCTCGTGAGCTCAAGTGTTCCTCCCACTTCAGCTTCCCGAGTAGCTGAGACTACAGGTATGTGCCACCATGCCTGTCTAATTTTTTTTTTTTGTAGAAACGGGGTCTCCCTATGTTGCCCAGGCTGGTCTCAAACTCCTGAGGCCTCAAGCAATCCTCCTGTTCTGGCCTCCCAGAGTGTTGGGATTACACACTTGAGACACCATGCCTGGCCAGAAATTAATCAATTTATTTAGATCTGGGCCAACATGGAGGACTCTGGCACTTGGAAGCTCTCTAAATGTTTGTTGACCCAACAGACGGGCCATGAGTAGATTCTCTACGGAAAGATTTCTAGTCTGTGGGTTGCAATCTATCAGCAGAGAATCAGTGCACCATAGTGGCTGACAGAACAGAACCTGGGCTGGGGTTCTTAAGTTATATAGTCAAAACTCTGCCACCTACTGACTGTATGACCTTGAGCAGGTCACTTAACTTCCTCTGTAAAATGGGGCTGGAGATGATGATAATTTCTTTCTCTTTTTTTTTTTTTTGAGATGGAGTCTTGCTCAGTCGCCCAGGCTGGAGTGCAGTGGCGCTATATCAGCTCACTGCAAGCTCCACCTCCCGGGTTCACACCATTCTCCTGCCTCAGACTCCCGAGTAGCTGGGACTACAGGCACCTGCCACCATGCCTGGCTAATTTTTTTGTATTTTTAGTAGAGACAGGATTTCACCATGTTAGCCAGGATGGTCTCGATCTCCTGACCTCGTGATCCACCTGCCTTGGCCTCTCAAAGTGCTGGGATTACAGGCGTGAGCCACCGCGCCCAGCCTATAATGATAATTTCTATCTCAGAGAGTTGGTGTGAGGAATAAATGAATCAAATGCACAAATGCATGTGCGTGCGTGTGTGTGCGTGTATCTATTGATCTGGAACTTAGCTTGACTTTATAACTGAGCCCAACTCACAGTGAGCATCTCACAGGGTTAGTTATTACAAGAAATCTTCCCTGCCTCCTTGCTCCCCCAGCCCCAATTCTGATTTAAATGCCTCTCTAAATCTGACTGAGATGCACCCTGTGTGTCATCTATCCCAGAATTTAAGTTAGCCAATCTCACCGAGTTGCGCAATCAATATTTTTAAAGCTAAATAACACAGACAGTCTTAGAGTGTATCTCAGAGACAGGAAAAGTCCTGTTTTATGTTTCCGTTATAACACATAGGCATGTGTGTGTTCAGGGTCGTGATGTAAATCATGTTTCTTCCCGGGGGTTCACAGTAAAGACGTTGAGAGCCACTGCCTCAAGAGACAAATGCTAAACAGTCTTCCTCAGCAGAAGGCTGGCTGGCCCCCAGATGAACTGTGCTGTCCACTTCTTCCCTCAGGCTTCTGTTGCCAAATCACCTCCTCTAAGAAGACCTCTTCTCCCTGAGCCCGGTGGGCTCCTACTGTGCCCTGTAGGTCTGTGGTTTCTAGAGAAAACGTACTGAGCAGAACCCAGGCAGGTGCTGCCTCTGGGCCTTTTACTCACCTTAGCACACAGAGTCCTCCCCATCAGCCTATGAGAGTGGTTCTCGAAGTGTGATCCTCCCACCAGCATCAGCATCTTCTGGGAGCTTGTTTGAAATGCAAATTCTCAGGCCTCAACTCAGACCTACTGAATCCCAGACACTGTTGCTCAGCAACCTGTGTTTTCACAAAGACCTCCAGGTGCTTCTAATGTAATGTAAAGTTTACAAACTATTGCTGTGTGAGGAGACTGATTTTGCTTTGGGGAAACTGAGGCACCAGGAAAGAAGTTGACATCCTCAAGGTCACCCAGGGAGGGAATGACTGAGTTAGAATTCTTTTTTTTTTTTTTTGAGACGGAGTCTCGCTCTGTTGCCTAGTCTGTAGTGCAATGGCATGATCTCGGCTCACTGCAGCCTCCCCTGCCTGGGTTCACGTGATTCTCCTGCCTCAGCCTCCTGAGTAGCTGGGATTACAGCACCTGTCACCACGCCCAGCTAATTTTTGTATTTTTAGTAGAGACAGGGTTTCACTATGTTGGCCAGGCTGGTCTCAAACTCCTGACTTCAGGTGATCCACCCGCCTCGGCCTCCCAAAGTGCTGGGATTACAGGCATAAGCCACCGCACTCAGCCAACTGAGTTAGGATTTCTAATCGCATAGCACTGCAATTGTTTTTGTGCCTGTCCCTCCTACTAGATAGTGAGTCCTTCTCAGCAGGGACTAAGACTGATGCATTTCTATTGTTCAGACTTTAGTATCGAGCCTGACATGCAACAAATGCTCTGTGACCTCTGCTGGCTAAATATAGACCATAAACATCAATTAAAAATGAGCCCAGTGAATACTCTCATCAAATGGGCATTACCACCCCAAGCTGGAAGAGGAGATGCATGCAGTGAGGCAGAGGACTCACTTCTTGCTCAGTAAAACTCCCTAGAGCCCCTGATGTAAGTTGCAGACTACAGCCAAGTCATGCTCAACTTTGATTCTAGTCCGGAAAGTTTTTCAGTTCCACGTGGGTGTGAGGGGGAGGAGCTAGGAAATGGTTAACAGTTTGATAAAGTTAAACAAATCCTTTACTGGTTGTGAGACTTTCCAATAATGAGAAGTCAACACAATTAGACAAGGCACTAAATTTTTGTGCAGAGTGCCAGCTGTCACTCTTCTTGACTAGCTAAGATCAAAGAAACGTATTTTCTCTCTTAAGTTATTAGACATGACAGGACCATTAAATGGAGATATTGTCATAAGAAATATGTTGCTTGCTTTGAAAATAAAAATCTCACCTTTGCTTCTTTTTTCTCTTTGAAAAGCTGAGAGAAATCAAACTATTTAACTTGGGCCTTTCCAACTTGATAGTATTCTGTCATCTTGTCCCCAGTCAGATGTGGGATTTTAGCTGCAGTCATTCTAGCCTTTCCTCTTGCACAGAATGTCTGTGCAAGTTGGAACTGGAGGACCGAGAAACCAGGCTGAGATGTCTGTGAGCTGTGCTCCAGCCCTGCTTTCCCCAGTCATAACAAAATTCACCATCATTCCAAAGCCTTGCTTGCTTTGAAAGGAGCTCATCCTCAGATGTCTTTCCAAGTGCTTATTCTTAGCCTTTCTTCATCTCTAACCTGCTTCCAAAAGCACTCACTCTTCACTTCTGCTAGTAGCAAGGCGGCTTGTCTGGACTGAAAATAGGGCTTGAGTTGATGAGTTGTTTGCTTACAGTCACTGATTGCACAGGAGCTGAGGGGCACCTGGGAACAAACCTTTGTATCAATCAGGGTCCGGGGAAGAGAGACGGAACACGTTCCAAAGAAGACACTTAAAGAGTTTCATGAAGCACAATTTCCAAGAGTGGGCAGGGTTAAGGGATGGCGAAGCACCCCAGAATGAGTAACAGCAGGCAACCGTTACTATTCTTAGATGTGAAAAGGCAAGGAGAGGGGGAGGATACTGGAATTTGATGAGAGTCGTAGCTGAGAACAGGTGCCACCAATGGGGGCTGTGGCCACAGGGAGAAGACAGCCTCTGCCAAGCCACAGTGGGCAGGGATTTATGTCCCCTCTCCCCCACTAACAGCCCTCTGGTCTTCTGGTGGTCCTGTGCGTTGACTGCACTCAGCCAGCAGTCAGGGATCCTGACCCCCTGGGAGTAAATGGGGAACATCCATCTGACACTGAAGCCTGGCCACCACTGAGGTCTGGACACACCCCAGCAAGATAGGCATGGGGGGTGGAGACCCTGCAAGAGCTGCACTGCAGGTTTAAGGAGAAAGGCCCTGAAAGAATTTACCATCAAGTTACTGGCATCATGAGGGAGACTTGACAAGGAGGGTGAGCTGTGGGGGGATCCATGGTTTTAGATCCCACAATGAAGTGCTAGTGAAATTCATCCTGGGACCCCAACACCGTTGCGGGGGGGTGGGTTGTGTGTCCCGGGGAGCAAAGTGCTCTGAAAGAACCTAAGTAGGCCAGGCACGGTGGCTCGTGCCTGTAATCCCAGCACTTTGGGAGGCCAAGGCAGGTGGATCACTTGAGGTCAGGAGTTCCAGACCAGCCTGGACAATATGGTGAAACCTCATCTTTACTAAAAATCCAAAAAAATTAGCCGGGTATGGTGGTGCGCACCTGTAGTCCCAGCTACTCGGGAGGCTGAGGCAGGAGAATTGCTGGAACCCAGGAGGCGGAGGTTGCAGTGAGCTGAGATTGTGCCACTGCACTCCAGCCTGGGCAACAGAAAGAGACTGTCTCAAAAAAATAAAACAACAATGAC
This sequence comes from Homo sapiens, assembly GCF_000001405.40. NCBI lineage: Eukaryota > Metazoa > Chordata > Mammalia > Primates > Hominidae > Homo > Homo sapiens. The sequence continues at coordinate 123,952,029 of NC_000009.12, read as the reverse complement.
CAAAAGGAACAACATAAGTACATCACTGAATTATGTGAAATTCAGGGCACAAACTGCCTTGTTGTGGGGACCCATCCCCACCAACCCAGCATAGCACAGGAGAAGTATTTCCACCTCACAAGGGTGACAAGGGGGGCTTCCAGCTTTCCAGGTCCCCTGACGCCTGGACCCCTGGCCCCTAGATGGTGGCCCAAGCTGCAGGCCCAGGGGCCCACCTGAAGTGCCTCTCTATGCAGATGTGGGGCCCTACCTAGCCTGTCCAGAGGAGTCAGCAATGTCCAGGTCTGTGATGGGGACACATGCAAGCACCCCCTGAGAACCCCAGAATTGCTCAGGACTGTGAAAGTCTGGGCTTTTGGAATCAAGAAAGAGAAGACTCAAACCCACCAGATTTTGGGTAGCAATGCACTTGTTCTCACAGGAGGTGAAGTCTGGGAACTTTTCTTATCCTTGCAGCTGACCTTCAAGGTGGAGAGTCTGGTACCATTTTTACAAATGGGGATTCTGTTTAGAGAAGGCGTCCCAGGTGGGCTAGAAGCACTTCCCCCTTCCAGGGCCCCCCTCATTCCCTCTGCTCCCACCACCGTGGCTCCAGCTTCTTTGCTTAGCTAGAACTTGCCAAACTCATCCTTGTGCCAGCACCTTTGTGCCTGCTCTTCCCCCTGCCTGGAACATTCTCCCCACTAGATATCTGCATCATTCCATTTCTCTCCTCATTCAGATCTTTGTTAAATGCCACCTCTTCAGAGAGCCCTCCCCGGAGCACCCAGCCTTTTCTAGTTCCTTACCCTGTGTTATCCTCATCACAAGCTGAAATTATCTTTTTTTTTTTTTATTGTTTGTTTACTTACTTACTGACTGCCTGCCCAGGCTCCATGGAGGCAGAGATTTTGTCTCGCTCTCAGAACATATTCCTAGCACATGGAAATTTTTTACAAACTGAGAAGAGATTCACCTAACGTAAAATTAACCATCTTAAAGTGTACGATGCAGTGACATTTAGTACATTCTCAGTGTTTTTCAATTATCATCTCTATCTGGTTCCAAAACATTTTCATCACCCAAAAGGAAACCCTGTCCCCATTAAGTAGTCACTCCCCATTCCCTCCTCCCTCAACCCCTGGTCATCACCAATGTGCTTTCTCCCTCTATGGATTTACCTTTTCCGGACGTTCCCTATGAATGGAAGCATACACTATGTGAATTTTTGTGTCTGGCTTCTTTCACTTAGCATGCTTTCGGGCTCATCCACTTTGGACCATAGATCGGTACTTCATTCCTTTTTATGGCTGGATAATTTTTTTACGCATCTGTACCACATTTTGTTTATCCATTCATCTGTTTTGTTGTTGTTTTTGTTTTGAGGCAGGGTCTCACTCCGTCGCCCAGGCTGGAGGGCAGTGGTGCCATCTCGGCTCACTGCAGCCTCGACCTCCCAAGCTCAAGTGATCCTCCCACCTCAGCCTCCCAAGTAGCTGGGACTACAGTTGCACACTACCACACCCAGTGAATTTTTGTGTTTTGTGTAGAGATGGGGTTTGTGCCATATTGCCCAGGCTGATCTCCAACTCCTGAGCTCAAGCAATCCACCTGCCTCAGCCCTCCAAAGTACTGGAATTATAGGTGTGAGCCATCGAGCCTAGCCCATTCATCTGTTGATGGATATGATATTTCCACTTTTTGGCTATTATAAATAATGCTGATATGAACATACGTGTATAAGTATTTGGGCCTTTTCCTCTAGAAAGTCCCCTCTCTCTCACTAGAGAGATAACTGTTTTCCTTTCTTTTTCCTTCTCTCTTCTTCTGCCTATTAAACCTCTGCTCCTAAATTAAAAAAAAAAGTGTATAAATATTTGTTTGAATACCTGTTTTGAATTACTTTGGGTATATATCTAGGAGTAGACTTGTGAGGTCATACGGTGATTCTATGTCTACATATAGAACATAGAATAGAACAAATAATGTAATAGTAAAACTTTTTTTTTGAGAACACTTGTTTTATTATTATTATTTTTTGACAGGCAGGTTCTTGCTGTGTCATCCAGGCTGGAATGCAGTGGCACAATCATGGCTCACTGCAACCTTGAATCCTGGGCTCAATCTATTCTCCTGCCTCAGCCTCATGAGTAGCTGGAACTACAGTTGTACAACACCATGTCCAGCTAATTTTTTATTTTTGCAAGGTCTCACTATGTCACCCAGGCTGGTCTCAAGGATTCCTGACCTCAAGGATCCTTCTGCCTCAGCTTCCCAAAGTGTTGGGATTACAGGCATGAGCCATGTTGCCTGACCAATATAGGGGCTTTTAATAAATATTTGTGGAGGTCAGGCACGGTGGCTCACGCCTGTAATTCCAGCATTTTGGGAGGCTGAGGCTGGTGGATCACCTGAGGTCAAGAGTTCAAGACCAGCCTGCCCAAAATGGCAAAACCCTGTCTCTACTAAAAATACAAAAAATTAACCTGGCGTGGTGGTGCATGCCGGTAATTCCAGCTATTCGGGAGGCTGAGGCAGGAGAATTGCTTGAACCCGGGAGGCAAAGGTTACAGTGAGTCGAGATCGTGCCACTGCACTCCAGCCTGGGTGACAAGAGCAAAACTCCATCTCAAAAAAAATAATAATAATTAATTTAAAAAAAATTTGCAAAATAAATGAACAGTGAGTGAGTAAAAGAAAGAATAAATGAATTTAAACATCCAGGTGTTTTCCACTGTTAGGCTTCTTTTATCCTGCCATATCACTTCCCCAAGTAAGAAAAGGAATTGAACAGCCCTGGGCATGCTAAGGCCTAAACTATCTCAGGACAGTACCATGGACCACTGGCTGGCACACAGTAGGTGTTCAAGAAAAAATTGTCATATATAAGTAATGCTGCAGTGGCCATCTCTGTGCATTTATTTTGTTCACATTGTTGATTGTTAACGTCAGACAGATTCTGGAGGGAAAACGGCTATGTCAAAGAGCGTGCACTTTTTAAAGGCTTTTGACACATGTAATAATATATTGCTTTCTGAAAAGGCTGCAAAACGTTTATCATCAGACTTGAGAATGTTTGGGCTTACTTAGCTTGTTCTAACTGGTGGCTGACTGCTTCCTGTTTGAGGAAACTTTCTTCTCAAAATACCTCTGCCATCATCTCTAGCTAGGTAAGGTGTCTCTAGCTAGGTAGTTGGGATGATGATATTGTTGCTTAGTTTTCCTCATCTCTGGGTCTCAGTTTCCCCACCTGTTATGATATGTTCCAGCCAATGCATGCTTCTTGGAGTTGAGGGTCTCCTTTCTCTTGGACATTGACCCCCACTTGAGTCCAGGATAAACCCCAGCCAGTCTGCCCCTCTGTGCTTATAGGCCTCAGGAATGCAGCCTACTGGAAATGAGGCTAAATTAGTTTCTTCTGAAGAAAATACCCATTTGGAAAACGACTTCCCATGTCTGTGCAGCCACAGGCTTGCCTTTCTAGGGAGACATGTCAGAATATGTCATGCTTGGCGGCAAATGAAGGCTGTATAGTTTATTACTGCTATTAGTGATTATTTGTACAAGGCCATAGGTGTACACAGCCCTTTACAATGTCAGGAGATGGCTGGAACAGAGGGCAACGTTTCTGCCTTCCAGGGACATCCTGCATTGACTGCTGGTGGAAATTAGTGCCCATCAAAACCACAAAGACTCACTCACACAAACCAAGAAGGTCTGACTAGCTGGAAAGAATGAGTTGGGAAATGGGAGAGAAGGAGGATTTTCAAAGTGCCTCCATGTGCCCACTATTATACAGACATGATCTCATTTAATCTGCAAAATAATCCTATGATTTTTTTTTTGTAGCAGAGTCTTGCTCTATCACCCAGGCTGGAGTGCAGTGGTGCAATCTCAGCTCACTGTAACCTCCACCTCCCAGGTTCAAGCAATCCTCCCAACTCAGCCTCCCGAGCAGCTAGGATTATAGGCATGCACCACCCCCAGCTAATTGTTTTGTATTTTTAGTACAGACAGGGTTTCACCATGTTGGCCAGGCTGGTCTCAAACTCCTGACCTCAAGCGATCTGCCTGCCTCAGCCTCCCGAAGTGCCGGGATATAGGCATGAGCCACTGTGCCCGGCCTAACCCTGGGATTTGGAGATTTTTATCTCCTTTTTCTAGTGAGGGGATTGAGGCTAGGCTGAATGCTCTTTTGTCCAATTTTCTTAGCTTTTCCAAGCTGTATGGAGGGTGATAATACAACTATAGATATAATATATATGCATATATACCTGGGTAAGGATTGCAAGAGATAGCGGAATGGGCAAATGGGAGGCAAGAAAGAAGGAGCTGGCAATTTTGTTTTCCTGAATTCTGTGTTCTTTGCACTAGAATTTTGTCTGACTTGGCAGCCGGGGTGAGCACATGAGCTTTGGAATCAAGTAGACCTGGGTTCAAAATCTTCTCTAACCCAGAAGCCTGGGATGAGCCACTTCTTTCTCTGAGCCTCAATTTTCTCCTCTGTAAAATGGGTATAAGAACCACTTCCCACCTGGTGCTCCATGTGAGGATTAAGTGAAACAATGTGTATACAGTGCCGGTGCATAGAAGGTAATAACCAGAAAGAATTGAGGAGGGTCAAGAGTGAAAGAGGTTTGATGGGTACTATTGTCCACTAGTCACCTAATATGTTGGTGCCTCAGTTTCCTCATCTGTAAAGGGGAGATGATCAAGTGTCTTCCTCATGGGCTGGGTGTGAAGATTAAATGAGTTAATAAAATCTGACAACTGGGCTGGGTGAGATGGCTCACACCTGTAATCCCAGCACTTTTAGAGGCCAAGGCAGGCGGATCACCTGAGGTCAGGAGTTCAAGACCAGCTTGGCCAACATGGTGAAACCCTGTCTCTACTAAAAAAACAAAAAAATTACACGGGCATGGTGGTGTGTGCCTGTAATCCCAGCTAGTCTGGAGGCTGAGGCACGAGAATCGCTTGAACCTGAGAGACAGAGGTTGCAGTGAGCCAAGATCATGCCACTGCACTCCAGCCTGGGTGACAGAGTGAGACTCCATCTCAAAAAAAAAAAAAAAAAAAAAATCTCACGACTGGCATCACTTATTCTTTTTTTTTTTTTTTTCCCTGATACAGTCTCTCTGTCCCTCAGGCTGGAGTGCAGTGGCACAATCACAGCTCACTGCAGCCTCAACCTCCCTGGGCTCAGGTGATCCTCCCACCTCAGCCTCCTGAGCTACGGGGACTACATGTGTGTGCCATTACACTAGGCTAATTTTTTTTGTATTTTTTGTAGAGACAGGGTTTTTCCATGTTGCTCAGACTGGTCTGGAACTCCTGGCCTCAAGCAGTCCGCCTGCCCTGGCCTCCCAAAGTGCTGGGATTACAGGCATGAGGGACCTTGCCCGGCTCATTCTTGAGATAAGAGCTGTGTTAAGAACCTGGCCTGCCAGGGTAGGGAGTGGGACATGAGCACATTGTGAATTAACATCATGGAACAGCTGAAGAATTCAGAATTTAGTTCTTCCTAGCTGTGAGTCTGAACTCTGAAGAAAAGTATATATGTGTGTGTGTTTGTGTGTGTGTGTGTGTGTGTATTTTATATGTGTGTGTGTGTGTGTGTGTGTGTGTGTGTGTGCAGAGAGAGAGAGAGAACCATTGTAGGTACACGTTAAATAGTATCATTTGTTGGTTGATTGTTAATGTTCAGGCACAGAGGAGGGGAGGGGTGGGTGTGTATTTCATTTTTGCATATGCTGTTCTCTCCATGGAATCCCCACCCCGACTCCTGCTCTTTTCGTTTTCAATGAACAAGTATGTTTATATGTTGAGCATTTACTACACACCGGGCACGTGGTGGTGGCTGGGTCCCTGCCTCCTGGAGAAAACAACAAGGTAGGTGCTATTTTCCAGGTTCCATACAAGCTGCCTCCCAGACAGAGGGACAGACTTTCTCTGATGTCTTTATGAAATTTGAAACCAAACACGTGGATCCATTTTCCTTTGCCGCTCTTCAGCTAGAAAACTTCTCTTCATTAGGGTGTCAGCATAAACCTCACCTTTTCTAGAAGACACTGATGGGGTTTCAGGACACACTACCCCAAACCTTGGCATTTGAGAAAACAGCAAAAGCAGGAAGATCGCTCTGCCCTTCCCCTCGCCCTTTTCCCTGAAGCAGGCCATAAAAACCTCATCCAAGAGTGCCCTCCCTGCAGCGGGAAGAAAGGAACGTGTTTATCTCTAAAGACACAGAGATGCCAAGAAGAATCTGAACAAACAGGCCTTGCTCAGATTCCTCCAGTGACTACCATGAGATCATATGCTTGTTCCCCAACTGTGCTTCTTCTCAAAACTAAGTGTATGGATACTCTGTCGCCAGGCTGGAATGCAGTGGCGCAATCTCCGCTCACTGCAACCTCCGCCTCTCGGGTTCAAGCAATTCTCCTTCCTCAGCCTCCCGAGTAGCTGATATTACAGGCACCCGCCACCACGCCCAGCTAATTTTTTATTATTTATTTATTTATTTATTTATTTTTGAGACGGAGTCTTGCTCTTTCACCCAGGCTGGAGTGCAGTGGCGTGATCTCGGCTCACCGCAAGCTCTGCCTCCCGGGTTCACACCATTCTCCTGCCTCAGCCTCCCAAGTAGCTAGGACTACAGGTGTCTGCCACCATGCCCGGCTGATTGTTTGTATTTTTAGTAGAGACGAGGTTTCACCACGTTAGCCAGGATGGTCTGGATCTCCTGACCTCGTGATCCACCCGCCTGGGCCTCCTAAAGTGCTGACATTACAGGCATGAGCCACCTCGCCCGGCCCACATAAAACATATTAAATACATTTGTGTGCTTTTCTGTAGTTAATCTGTCTTTTGTTATAGATACCTCAGCCATGAACTCGGCAATGGGAAGGAAAGATATTTCTTTTCTCTCCAACACCATTGACAGTCACTGCCAGAAGTCAGGTCCCCGGTTACCAGTTTCCTTCATATCCTGGACTTCTCTCTCCTCTGATTCATCAGGCTTGCAACTGTGATTATTTGTTACGCTATTTATTTTATTTATTTACTTTTTAAATTTTTTTATTATACTTAAAGTTCTAGGGTACATTTGCACAACGTGCAGGTTTGTTACATATGTATACATGTGCCATGTTTGTGTGCTGCACCCATTAACTCGTCATTTACATTAGGTATTCCTCCTAATGCTATCCCTCCCCCCTCCCCTCACCCCACGACAGGCCCTGGGGTGTGCTGTTCCCCACCCTGTGTCCAAGCGTTCTCATTGTTCGGTTCCCACCTATGAGTGAGAACATGCGGTGTTTGGTTTTTTGTCCTTGCGATAGTTTGCTCAGAACGATTGTTTCCAGCTTCTTCCATGTCCCTACAAAGGACATGAACTCATCCTTTTTTATGGCTGCATAGTATTCCATGGTGCATATGTGCCACATTTTCTTAATCCAGTCTATCATTGATGGACATTTGGGTTGGTTCCAAGTCTTTGCTATTGTGAATGTTACGCTATTTAATATCATCCCTTCCGCTAGACTGTAAATGCCATGAGGGGAAGGTGTGTGTTTTTTCACTTTAATATCCCTCAGCTCCCATTGCTGTGCAATTAGCCTTCAATAGAAATGTATTGAATGAGGAAACAGGCAGAAGAGAAAGCATTCTGAGGGCAATAATGTAAAATAAACAAACACATGCATTAAAAACCTTGTCTTTCTCTTTCTTTCTTTCTCTCTCTCTCTCCCTTCCTTCCCTCCTTCCCTTCTTTCTCTCTTTCCTTCCTTCCTTCCTTCTTTCTTTCCTTCTTTCTTTCCTTCCTTCCTTCCTTCCTTCCTTCCTTTCTTTCTTTCTTTCTTTCTTTCTTTCTTTCTTTCTTTCTTTCTTTCTTTCTTTCTTTCTTTCTTTCTTTCTTTCTTTCTTTCCTGACACAGTCTTGCTCTGTTGCCCAGGCTGGAGTGCAGTAGCACAATCATAGCTCGCTGCAGCCTCAAACTCCTGGGCTCAAGCCATCCCCCTACCTTAGCCTCCCCAGTAGCTAGGACTACAGGTATGCAACACCACACCCAGCTAATTAAAACAATGTGTTTTTTTTTCTTTTTTTTTTTTTTTTGGTAGAGACAGGGTCTTGCTATGTTGCCCAGATTGGTCTCGAATTCCTGGCCTCAAGCAATCCTCCCGCCTTGGTCTCCAAGAGCACTGGAACTACAAGTATGAGCCATTGCACCAGGCCTTGTCCTTCTTTTTGAGCAGCTGAGATGAGAGGGCAGGGCTTTGGCAAACCAGATTGAGCTCAATCTTTTGGGGCAAAACCAAGGAAAGGAATAATAATATTATTAATAATAATATTTTATTATCCAGTCACTCAGGCTGGAGTGCAGTAGTGTGATCTCAGTGCATTGGAGCCTTGACCTCCTGGGCTCAAGCAATCCTCCCATTTCAGCATCCTGAGTAGCTGGGACCACAGGTGTGCACCCCTATGCTTGGCTAATTTTTTTGTGTTTTTTTTTTTGTAGAGATGGGGTTTCGCCATTTTGCCCAGCCTGGTCTCAAACTCCTGAGCTCAAGCCATCTGCCTGCCTTGGCCTCCCAAAATGTTGGAATTACAGGCATGAGCCACTGCACCCAGCTGGGATAATTATTTTTCTCATCCACTTCTTGTTGCTTGGGGGTGCTGAAGGCAGCTGAACATAGGGTTTGCCAGGCCCATGAGGGAAGCCCCTCAGGGTCTCTCTGCTGGAGGCTGGGCCCCCCAGGTCTGCACCTCTGTCTAGGGTTTCATCTCTGTCACATCTGTTTCCATCCCCACCCCTATGCCCCACACCTGAAAATCTCCTGTCTGTTTTTGTTTTTTGCCAAGTGTCTTACCTCTCCTGGGAGGGCCCAGGGCCCTGTCCCCATTCAGAGGCTGGAGACCTGGGGCTGGACTTGCCAGCAGACCCCAGCCAGGCCACCATGCTCCTCCCCCAGACCCCAGTGTGGCCTTGATTTCTTTCTTCAAAAGCTATGCTGGCTAGGCCACGCAAGATCCAGCAACAGTTCCCACCAAACTCCCAAGCTGACTGCAGACATTTGTGCTGTCAACAGAATTGCAGAAAATGCAATTCGTGTTGTTAATGAGCAGCTTGTTTGGGTAAACAAACCAGGTGAGGTGAAAAAAGTGATGCTCTCCAGCAGGAAACACAAGCGAACATTAACCAGATGGAGAGCCGCGCGCTTCCACACACTTCCTATTCCGGGAGGCTCTGGGTGGCTGCAGCGGACATTCCTGGCACTGCCTGGGACCTGGGACGCTGCAAGCCTTCTGCCTGGCCTGAATCTCCTCCCAAAGGGGAAGAGCCACTTTGTACCCGGCACCGCCCTGGGCCTGGCACTGTGCCTCACGTCTTGCCTGGCCTGAGCCTGGTTTATCATCAATCCTCATAGCACCATACAAAGTACATGTCACAGCTGGGGAAACTGAGGCTCCAAGATAAGGAAGATGCTTGCCCCAAGTCAGGATGGTGGATTTGAGCCCAGGTCAGTCCAGCCTGATTTCTCAAGTCTATGGTCTCACCAGTGTCCCACACCCCCCTTGCCCTTGTCCCCTGCCTCACCCTCCCCTCTCAGCCTCAAGGAGGCCTCCGTGGCTGCCACTGACTGTCTCCTCCCTCAGACTGTGCAGCTGAGGACATTTTTAGCTTCCCACAGAGGAGATTCCCTGACTATCTGGTCAGGACAGCACAGCTTTCTTTCTTTCTTTCTTTCTGTCTGTCTTTTTTTTTTTTTTTTTTTTTTTGACACAGAGTCTCCCTTTATTGCCCAGGCTGGAGTGCAGTGGTACAATCTTGGCTCACTGCAACCTCCGCCTCCTGGGCTGAAGAGATTCTCATGCCTTAGCCTCCTGAGTATCTGGGGCCACAAGCACACGTCACCACGTCTGGCCAACTTTTTTTGTATTTTTGGTAGAGACAAGGTTTCCCCATGTTGGCCAGGCTGGTCTCAAACTTCTGACCTCAAGTGATCCACATGCCTCGGCCTCCCAGAATGCTGGGATTACAGGTGTGAGCCACTGCGCCTGTATGGCTTTCTAAAAGTTGCACAGGTAGATCTTTGACTAGCTTCCTCATAACAACAAAGTCTGTGTGTGTGTGTGTGTGTGGGTGGGTGCACGTGTGTGTATGTGTGTGTGTGCACAGCCATCCGTTTATTCCAAGAGGAACGGCTTGTCCCTGGAAAATCAATAATTTAGAGGCATTCACAGTCCTCACATAATAAGATGACTACATACTCTGTTTTGTTAGCCTCAGATCATTCAGGAAAACACACACACACACACACATACACACACACACACACGGATGGATGTGGCTATATTTTACAACCATGAATGATATGGGTAATTGCAATGGCTAAATCTGTCTCCTATACAGACAGGGCCAGGAAAAGGGAGGTTCAATTCTACATATGTTTCTGGCTCGCTCTCTGCATTGCTCAAGAAAAAAAACCTACATCACATTCATATGTTATAATGCTGTGAGTTATTTTCCCCTTAGCATTCAAGGGTAAAGAGTCCATTAAGCTGTCATTGGCCACATAACCAGCAGGAGAAGTCAGGGCAGACAGTTTGGCTTTAGCTGCCCTGGAGCACACGTGCTCTGCCTCAAGAAGAACACTCGATGGTGTCTGTGTGCATTTGCCCTAGAAGCAGAAATCAATTACTCCAACGGCTATTAGAGGGATGATCTGGTTGGGCAGGCTTGCTGTGATCGCAGCCACTGTTCATTCTGGAGTTCCTTATATGTATTGTATCTTTTTTACTACCAGAGTCTTAGAGAGAGAAGGAGGCTGTCACAGAACCAGAACATGGTACCTGCTGGGGTTTGAGGTATGAACTTTCCAGCTCCAAACCTTATGCTCTTAACCACTAGGCTATCCTGCCTCAGCTGCAAATGTCAGTGGTTTACTTCATACCCAACATCATGGGAGCTCCCAGCTTTTGAAGGGCCACATATTACATGTCAGGCCCCATGGATGATCTCATTTCATCCTCACCACAACCCTATAAGGCAAGCACTTCTATGATCTCGATGTAATAGCTGAGGAGACTGACGCTTGGGAAACTGGAAGGGACTTGCCCAAAGTCCCCTAGCTCAAATGCAGCAGGTATGTGAACAAAGGGAGTTGGTTTTCCACTCTGCTAAGCTGCCATCCGGCTAGCAGCACAGGCCCAGAAGCAGGGGGAGCTTCCACAGGCAGCTGCCTTTGCTGAATTCAGAACAGCCTTCACGGAGCAACCCAGCTCCTTCCTTCATGGAGGTGGAAGCCTTTCCTTTGAATGAGCCAATTATTTTCAGCAAGGTTGTTTTTATTTTGTTTTGTTTTGTTTTGTTTTTAGACAGAGTCTTGCTCTTGTTACCCAGGCTGGAGTACAATGGCGTGATCTTGGCTCACTGCAACCTCTGCCTCCTGGAGTCAAGTGATTCTCCTGCCTTAGCCTCCTGAGTAGCTGGGATTACAGGCATCTGCCACCATGCCTGGCTAATTTTTTTTTTTTTTTTCAGTAGAGACAGGGTTTCACCATGTTGGCCAGGCTGGTCTCAAACTCCTGACCTCAGGTGATCCACCCACCTCAACTTCCCAAAGTGCTGGGATTACAGGCATGAGCCACCGCGCCTGGCCTAGAATGAGCCAATTATTTTCAAAAAGCAAAAAATAATTTATGCATATTAGCTAATGAGGATGCTGTTCAGGATATTTTTAGCTGAGTGGAGAGAGAGAGAGACGGGAGCTTGGTAGAACTTGTTTTGGAAGAAGAGGAGAGACAGCTTGGGAATCAGGCCTTAGCACAAGCCTCAGCTCTTACCACAAGCCTCAGCTCTTACCACTTTTGGTTGGGTGACATGAAGTGGGGTTGGAAGCAGGGATCATCTCTCTTCTCTGGAAGTGTGTATCATAGTACCAATCTTCCAAGAGCATTGTCAAGATTGAAGATAATGTGAGTAAAACACATAGTCAGTAGTCACCAGCTGTACCTATGATAATTATTCATTTATCAAATATTTATTATTGCTGAGCCTTCAGTGTTTACGGATATAACCATTTTATCCTCACCACCATCCCATGAAGTACTAGGTTGGTGCAAAGGTAATTGCAGTTTTTGCCATTAAAAGTAATGGGCTCTTAATCTCTACTCAGACGCTAAGGTAAGTCAATCACTGTCACTCATTTTGTGTGCCTTGATTTGCGACATAGGAGAAATACTGGGACAAAAGCTTTAGAATTCACTGGGTGCGGTGGCTCATGCCTGTAATCCCAGCACTTGGGGAGGCTGAGGCGGGCGGATCACCTGAGGTCAGGAATTCGAGACCAGCCTGGCCAACATGGCAAAACCGTGTCTCTACTGAAAATACAAAAATTAGTCAGGCTTGGTGGCAGGTGCCTATAATCCCAGCTACTCAGTAGGCTGAGGCAGGAGTATTGCTTGAACCTGGGATACGAAGGTTGCAGTGAGCCAAGACCACACCACTGCACCCCAGACTGGGCGACAAAGCAAGACTCCATCTCAAAAAAAAAAGCTTTAGAATTCAAACAACTAAAATTTCTACTAACAATTAAAACACAAAAATGGTTATGTGAGGTGTCTCTCTAGAAGGGGCAATTAAAATAAATAAGATACACGCACATGTGTGCAAGCGTGCACGCATGAAAAAAAGTATAAAGAAAAACTTTAGCAGAGAGTCCAAGAGTCCAACACACTTTCAAAATGTTAGAGCCGTATGGTGACTATTTTCAAAATGGAAGAGAACTGGGCCTCTGGAGTTTAGGCTTGGGTCTTGCCTAAAAGACTGAGCCAATCAGGTGGAAATGGGAACAGCCCCAGGGGAGGGGGTCCTAGAAGTCCTGACAAGTAGAATTAATATCCAAAGTGAGTTGGGAAGAGTCAAGGTCAGGCCTGGGAAAACAAGGCATGTATCAAATCCTAGAGATGAGGGAGAAGGAATGGCCAGGTAGGAGGTGCGGAAGCAAGTTCAAGCACACAGAGGTCCTTTTACAGGGTGTCCAGCCTGAGCCATAGTAGATAAGCAAGGTGGCTGAAGAGGCTACACCAGGCCAGGTTCTGAACTGTGTCTGAACTGTGTCCCCAACACCAAGCATGAGGCACCAAGTACAGAGTGAGCCCACTGGAAATGTCTGCTGAATGCTCTGCTGCCAGACTGGGGAGAGAAATGTGGAGCAAGAAAGTCCTAATCACAGGACCTGGCACACAGGAGGGACTTGGAAGAAGGGTGAATGGATCGTTCATGACACCTTGCTTGGGTCTTCTAGTTCAGCCAACCAAATGCAACCTAAGTTCCACTGACTGCCCCTTAGGAAGTCAGCCTAAGCCAGTGGGATGCAGGATTCAGAGCTGAAGGCTGGTGACACGTGAGGGAGAAGCAAGCAGGCTGCTGAGGCCCTGTGGGTACTCATGGGAATGCCATTCATACTGGCATCTGGGTCAGGCTTAAGTCAGTGGTTCCACACCTGTTCGTGGATCTGCATCACTTGTGGAATTTGTTAAAACACAGCGCTTCTTATCTCCCTTCTGAAGTAGAATTTCCAAGACTGGACTCTAGACGCCATGTTACAGACAAGCATCACAGGTGATACTGGTACACACAGCTAAATAGGGGAACCAAGGCTTTAAACCATGAATTCTCTCTGGCCGTTCTTAGAATTCAGCTTTTATTGGTCGGTTGGTTGGTTGTTAAGAAGACAAATATATAATAGTTAACATTGAGCCATTGCAATAAGATTAATCATGTACTTCCCATGCATTAACACATTTAACTTTCACAATGATTCTATGAGGAAGGGACTATTCTTTCCATTTTACAAATAAGAAAACTCAGTCTGAGAGAGGTTAATAATTTTCCTAAGGTCTCACACACACAGCCAGGCAGTCTGGCTCCAGAGCCCATTCTCTTAGCTTCCATGAGAAGAGACTTAAGTATATCACTTTAAATCCATGTATAGGTCAAGTGTGGTGGCTCACGCCTGTAATCCCAGCACTTTGGGAGGCTGAGGAGGGCAGATCACCAGAGGTCAGGAGTTCAAGACTAGCCTGGCCAACATGGGGAAACCCTATCTCTACTAAAAATACAAAAATTAGCTGGGCGTGGTGGTATGCACCTGTAATCCCAGCTATCTGGGAGGCTGAGACACAAGAATCGCTTGAGCCTGGGAGGCGGAGGTTGCAGTGAGCTGAGATCATGCCACTGCACTCCAGCCTGGGCGACAGAGTGAGACTTTTTCTCAAAAATAAAATAAAATAAAATAAAATAAAAATAAGTCCATGTATAGTCAGGAGAAGAGGGGACTGCAAAGAAATTACATGTGCTATTTATTCTTGTTTTGTATTTTTTAACAATATAGTACACTATATACAATATACAATATAGTTATACTATATTAGTTATACTAACAATATAGTTATACTAACAATATAGTTATTACTAAGAAAAATAATGTTTGATGAATTAATGAATAAATCAGTGAAGGAAAACCACAGCAAGATAAAACATTGTATCTTAGGGAACTAACCAATGATCCCAGAATCAGGAGTTAGGCCATCTGAGCTAAGTTTTCATGGCTTGCTGGCCATTAGATCTCAGGTAAGTCATTCAAGCCTGCTCTGTATCAGAATCTTTTTATTTTATTTTATTTTATTTTATTTTATTTTATTTTATTTATTTAGCCTGTTGCCCAAGCTGGAGAGCAGTGGCAGAATCATAGCTTACTACAACCTTGAACTCCTGGGCTCAAGCGATCCTTCCACCTCAGCCTTCAGAGTAGCTGGGACGACAGGTGTGGACCACCATGCCCGGCTAATTTTCTTTTTAATTATGTTTTGTAAAAATGAGGTCTTGTTGTGTTGACCAGGCTGGTCTCAAACTCCTGGCCTAGAGCGATCCTTCCACCTTGGCCTCCCAAAGCACTGGGATTATAGGCATGAGCCAGCATTTCTGGCCAGAATTTTCACTTTTAAACCACGGACAATAGCTCTCCCTGATTATTGAGCAGTTGGGAAAATATAAACTATTAAGTATCTGCAAGGTAGTTGATATGGTTTGACTGTGTCCCCACCCAAATCTCATCTTGAATTCCCATGTGTTGTGGCAGGGACCTGGTGGGAGGTAATTGAACCATGGGGGCAGGTCTTTCCCCTGCTGTTCTCATGATAGTGAATAAGTCTCACGAGATCTGATGGTTTTATAAAGGGGAATTTCCCTGCATGAGCTCTCTCTTTTTGCCTGCTGCCATCCATGTAAGATGTGACTTGCTCCTCCTTGCCTTCCACCATGGTTGTGAGGCTTCCCCAGCCATGCGGAACTGTAAGTCCATTAAACCTCTTTCTGTTGTAAATTGACCAGTCTCGGACATGTCTTTATCAGCAGTATAAGAACAGCCTAAGACAATGGTATTATTAACAATAGTAAAATAATGAACATCTATCCAGAGAACAGGTGAATGTCCAGTCTGGGATTACTAATCACAAATGAGGAAAGGCTCAGGCACTCATACTTAGTTCTCAAAAGGAGATAATGAGTCTTACTTATCTCATACACACAAAAAAATTACTCAAAATGGATCAAATACCTAAATGTCTAAGAGTTAAAATGATAAAACTCTTAGGAGAAAAGGAAGAGACTTCATGACATTGGATTTGGCAGTGATTTCTTGGATATGACACCAAAGGCACCAGCAACAAAAGAAAAAATAAGCTGAACTACATCAAAATTAAAAGCCTTTCTGCATCAAAGGACACTATCAACAGAGTGAAAAACCAATACACTGAATGGGAGAAAATATTACAAATCATATATCTGATAAGGAATTAACATCCAAAGTATATCAATAACTCCTACAACTTAACAACGACAAAAAACCCAATCTGATTGCAAAATGGGCAAAAGACTTGAATAGACATTTCCCCAAAGAAGATATACAAGTGGACAACAAGCACTTGAAAGGATGCTCAAATCACTAATCATTAGAGAAATGCAAATTAAAACCACACCACAGTGAGATACCACCTCACATCCATTAGGATAGCTATTAGGAAAAAAGAAAAAAGAAACCCCAAACCCCAAAATAACAAGTGTTGGTGAGGAAGTGGGGAAATTGAAACCCTGGTGCACTGCTGATGGAAATGTAAAATGGGGCAACTGCTATGGAAAACAGTAGAATAGTTCCTCAGAAAATCTTAAAAGAATTACCACATGATCCAGCAATTCCACTTATGGGTATTATCCCAAAGAACTGAAAGCAGGGTCTTGAAGAGATATTTGTACACTCACGTTCATAGCAGCATTATTCACAAGAGCCAAAAGGTAGAAACAACCCAAGTGTCCATTGGCAGATGAATGGAGAAACACAATGTGATCTATACATACCATGAACTACTATTCCTTAAAAAGGAAGGAAATTGTGACATATACTTCAGCTTGAATGGACATTGAAGACATTATGCTAAGTGAAATAAGCCAGTCACAAACAAATAATGTACAATTCCACTTATATGAGGTTATATGAGAGTGGTCAAATTCATAGGCAGAAACTAGAATAGTGGTTGCCAGGAATAAAGTGGAGGGAAGGGAGGATGGGAGGGGGAGTTGTTGTGCCATTTCATGGGTATAAAGTTTCAGTTTGGGAAGATGAAAAAAGTGCTGGAGGAGGATGGTGGTGATGGATGTATAACAATGTGAATGTACTTAATGCCATTGAAATGTACACTTTAAAAATGGTTACAGTGGTCAACTTTCTGTTATGCACATTTTACCACAATTTTTAAAAATGTATAAAAAATAGAAGGTGAGCAAATGCACCAACTGAATATACTAAGTTCAAATTTAAGAAAGCACTTCCCAAATCTTGTTCTGTGGCTTATTATTCTTGAGGAATGTGCCTCAAAATAAGGGTTTTGTGGTTGTTTAGTTATTTTTTCAAAAAATATTTACCGGTCACTGCCTGCGTGCTAGGCTCTGTACTAGATGTTGAGAAGTAGGTATGGACAAACCTGATGTGGTTCCTCTCTTTATCAATTTGACCATTTAGCAGAATAATATTCCCATTCATTGAAAACCAAATATAGAGCAAGAAGCTTAAATTCTTCATTTTGTTTTATCTTTGTAAAGTGGGTATTATCATCCTCTTATTAAAGAAGAAGAAACCAAGGCTCAGAAAATTTAAGTAACATTCTCCAAGTTCACCCAACTAGCAACCTGGGTCCATCTGGCTCCAGAGTCACAATAACCAAAAGAAGAAAGCAATCCAGGATGGGCGCCGTGGCTCACGCCTGTAATCCCAGCACTTTGGGAGGCTGAGGTGGGCGGATCACAAGGTCAAGAGATTGAGACCAGCCTGGCCAACATGGTGAAACCCTGTCTCTACTAAAAATACAAAAATTAGCTGGGCATGGTGGCACACGCCTGTAGTTCCAGCTACTCATGTGGCTGAGGCAAGAGAATACCTTGAACCCGGTAGGTGGAGGTTGCAGTGAGCTGAGAAGTGAGCTGAGATTGCGTCACTGCACTCCAGCCTGGTGACAGAGTGAGACTCAAAAAAAAGAAAACAATCCAAAAGTCCATCAGCTAAAACCATTGAAATGTACACATTTAAAGTGGTAAATTGTATGGTTGGTGAACTACATTTCAATAAAAAATAATATAATCACAATTTAACGTATTAGGAACAACAGACCACTGAATCCTGGCACACAGACCATTTGTTCTGCTATTTCGTATTGTATAATTGGGGGCCAATAGAGCTCCCTGGGGTTGCTGTCTTCCCCTCAATAAACACAGCTCCCTAAATTCCAAGCAGAGAAACCAAACAGGTACAAAAGAGCAAGAGCAAGCTTGGAAACTGAGGAGCATCAAAGTGTCAATGCAGGTGGTATCATCCCTACCGTTGGACTTTTATCTGCTAGATCTGCTTAGCCTATTTTGACAACAGTCAAGAAGGCAAAGTTCCTAAATCCTTTCTCTTCACCAGAAGATTTACATTCCAACAATTGATTATGGCATGTATTTGGCACAGAGGTCTCATTTCATTTGAATGACGTCAGATTCACCTAGGTTTAAAGGAATTATAAAATCAATCAGCCACTGAATTATAGAACTTTAGAACCCAAAAGGACTTTGGAAGGAGGTCACCTGGCCTGATTCTCTTATTTTGGTTAAATCTGTGGCTTGCTCAAAATCACATAGCCAAGCATGGCTGAGCCTGCTGGGTGTCTTGCAATATCTATCCTCCCCTTCTTTCCTGGAAATGCCATTCCCTTCTCCCTACCTTTCAGCTGCGGACCTTATTGTCTGGTTGTCTGGAATAAAGGCTGTATTTTCTAGTGAGGTGTGGTTGCATGACTAAATTCTGGCCACTGGGATGTAAATAGAAGTGGTGTGAGTAATTCCTGGGAAGTACACTTAAAGGTCAGAGTTTGACGTGGACAGATCCTCCTTCCTTCCTGCAGGCTGGGCTGCAGATTAGATAGCTAGAGTTTAAGCAGCCATCCTGGACTATGAGGTGGAAATTCTTCCTGGAGAATCGGAGAGCAATAAGATAGAATTCTGGGTCTCCATTAATTATAGAATTGTCATACCAGCTCTGGAATGTTAATCGCCAGACTTTATGTGAAAGAGAAATAAAATTCTATTTTTTTCAACAATTGTTATTTCACTTCTCTATCATTTACAGTTGAATTGAATTCTAACTGATACAGAACGTGAACAAACAAGTTGGGCTGAGAACTCAGGTCTCCCGAATCCAAGCATGGTACTCTTTATTATTATGTTGATCAGTTTTACAAAATGTATTTATTTATTTCAGAGATGGGGCCTCGCTATGTTGCTCAGGGTGGAGTGCAGTGGCTATTCATGGGCATGATCATAGCGTGCTGCAGCCTCAAAATCCTAGGCTCAGCCTTAAACTCCTGGGCTCAGCCTCCTGAGTAGCTGGCACTACAGGAACAAGCCACGGAGCTGGGTACTTTTTTTTTTTTTTTTTTGAGACGGAGTTTTGCTCTGTCGCCCAGGCTGGAGTGCAGTGGCATGATCTCGGCTCACTGCAAAATCCGCCTCCTGGGTTCACGCCATTCTCCTGCCTCAGGCTCCCATGTAGCTGGGACTACAGGTGCCCACCACCACGCCCAGCTAATTTTTGGTATTTTTTTTTAGTACAGATGGGGTTTCACCATGTTAGCCAGGATGGTCTCCATCTCCTGACCTCATGATCTGCCCGCCTCAGCCTCCCAAAGTCCTGGGATTACAGGCATGAGCCACCATGCCCGGCCTTTGTTTTTCCTTTGAGACAGTCTTGCTCTGTTGCCCAGGCTGGAGTGCAGTGGCGTGATCTCGGCTCACTACAACTTCTGCCTTCTGGGTTCAAGCGATTCTCCTGCCTCAGCCTCTTGAGTAGCTGGGACCACAGGCGCCTGCCACCACACCCGGCTAAATTTTTTCTATTTTTTAGTAGAGATGGGTTTTCACCATGTTGGTGGTCAGGCTGGTCTTGAACTCCTGGCCTCAAGTGATCCACTCGCCTTGGCCTCCCAAAGTGCTGGGATTACAGGTGTGAGCCACCATGCCCAGCCACTGGTTGCCTTATTAATTTTAATAATAAAAGCCAAACGGTGCTAAGTGTTTTGTATATAATAGTTGCTTTTAATTTTTGAGTACTTAATATGTGATAATCACTGTTTAAATACTTTATAAATGTCACTAACTCACTTAATCCTCGTGTCAACTCACTAAAATAGGTCTATTATTATCACCATTTCCATTTTACAGACAGAGAACCTGAGACACACAGAGAAGGAATAATTCACCCAAGGCCATATATTTAGTAAGAGGTAGAGCTGAGATTTAAACCCTGGCAGTCTGGTTCTAGAGCCTGTGCTCTTTGCTCCTATGTTACACTCGCTCTTATGATGGAAGCTTCTCATCACTCTCTCTGCCCATTTTACGGGGGAGGAAACTAAAACATACACTTGTCTAATCATTTGCATAAAATCTGCCAGTCAATGCTGAAGCCAGAATTAGAAGCCACGTTCCTAACTCCCAGTCCAGTGCTCTCTCCTCAGACCACCCTGCTGTCTCTGAGGCCACCTGAGCAGACACATAATCCCCACCTTCTACCTCCCTCTCCAACACACACACACACACACACACACACACACACACACACACACACCCCACCCAGCAGGCACCCAGACATATTTGTGGCCAGGATGGCTACAACCTCCTTTGAAAAGCAGCCAGCTTTGCCCTCCACCAATAACTTTGTTTTATTTATAGTCTCCTGCTCAGAGCTTTTGAACTGGCTCCCATTCCAGGGAAGATCTTGATAGCAACTGTTCCTTGGAGAAGTTTCATAGGTGAATAAACACCACAGAGCTCCTGCCTGTCTAGCAGAGCTTTGCTCCTGGGGGTGTTTACAAGTCGGTATTGGTGTCTGGGTGCATAAGACTTTAAATTCAAAATGACAGTTTGGACATTTTCACTTTTTTTTTGGTTTTCATTTTAAAAAGTTTACCCTTTGACTTCAACAACCTAAAGGCAGAGGCAAAAGGGAGAAACTATCTTTATTCAGAAGGTGACTCCAACAGAAGAAGTCTTCTACGACTTATCTTCTGGCTTTCTTTCCTCCCATCCTGGCCGGGAGCTAGGACGCAGGACCAGTTACGTAGAGGCTATGGGGTGGGGGTAGGGTGGGGAGGCACTCCATGCATTTATAAGAACTAAAATGGCAGAAGTGATGAATGGCATTTCGGGACAGAAAATTGGAAAAAAAAAAAAAAAAAGGAAAAAAAGCCTAATATTAAAAATGTCTTTGGACTTGTGGCCAAAGGTGCCACCTTAAAGCATGACTATGTCACAGGTGTCTGGAATGATTCAGTCTGGACACTAATCTTGGCTTCTTCACTCGTTGCTAGTTATGTGACCTTGGGAATGTGGCTCAGTTTCCTCTTTGTAAATTAGGGAGATGAACACAGGATTATTGTGAGGATTGGCACTAATGATGTACGGAAATACTGTGTCTGATGCAGAAAGGGCACTCACCCGCTCATTAAAGGGTGGCTAATGGTAGCTGTGATTATTGCTTCCTTTATGATCCCTCTGGCCCTAGAGGGGATGAAATTGAGGTGTTCATGGAAGTGAATCCCAAGGGGGAGCAGGGGTAGGTAGCAGGCTGGTGATCTCGGCTCTCAAATCCTTTCATTTGCATTGAGTTAATCTCTATCAGGGACTGTTGTGTTAACAGGAGGCTTCGATGTTGGAGTTCCCAAAACGGCTGATAAAGGGAGGCAGAGGTCCTCAGCGGGAGGGCAGAGCTGAGCCACCACGTGGGTCCACGAAGCCCCCAGGTGGCTTTCCTGTAGGTATGTGGGGTCTCCTTCAAGCTCTAAGGGGAAAGGAAGAGGAAAGGCCTTCAGATGGGGAAGTGGACGGTGTGATGGAGAAGAGGTTCTGCACGGAACTTACTGGAAGGTGCGGGATGTTAAAGGGAAAACGTGTTTTCATGGAGGCCTGGGCGGGGGATTAGCTCTCCGTTAGAGAGGCTGGGTGGGAGGCCTCCAATGGGAGGATTGGTGGCGGTTTCATCGGGAGGGCTTGGGGTCTCCATGAGAGGATTAGGGTCTCTTCAGGGCGGCTGTGAGTGGAGGTTTCCAGCGGGGCGCAGTGGGGTGCAGATGTGTAAGGGCCTGCAACGGAACGCCAGAGTCCTCCGGGGCCCGCGCCCTGGGAGACGTGCGGGTGACCGCGCTCCCGCCCCGCCCCCACCGGCCACGGCCCCGCCCCCGCGAGCGGACTACACTTCCCAGCAGCCCCAGCGGGCAGCGGCGGCGGCAGCGCGGGCGGGAGGGGCGGTGGTGAGAGGCGGAGGGGGCGGCGCGCGCCGGGCACGCGCGCCGGCGACCATGGCGTTCGCCGGGCTGGAGCGAGTACATTAACCCCTGGAGGCGGCGGCGGCGGCGAGGGAGCGAGCCTCGAGCGGGCGGGCCCCAGCCTGAGGGAAGGGAGGAAGGGGCGGGGAGAGCGCCAGAGGGAGGCCGGTCGGCCGCGGGCGGGCGGGCAGCGCAGCGCCGAGCGGGGCCCGCGGGCCCATGAGGAGGCCTGGGGACCATGGGCTCCAGGATCAAGTGAGTGCGGCCGGGCCGGGCGGAGCCGGGCCGGGCGCGGGGCGGCGAGGCCGGGCCAGGGCTGCAGGCCGCGGGCCGCGCGGGGGACTTGTTGCCGAGACCAGAGGGGCGCCCCGCGTGACGCCGGCACGCGGGGAGGGGGACGGTTGCTATGGCGATCCAGGGAGGCGCGGGGGCGGGGTGCGCGCGGGGTGGCAGGGCGCCGGGGGTCAGGTGTCCCCTCCTCACCTGGGGGTCGGAACAGCTGAGATTACAGGGCGGCCCCCTCCCCGGGTTTACGGAGAGCCCCTGAAAATGGTCCTTCAACTGTGGGGAAGGGGAGTGGGAAAGCCCCGGAAGCACCTCCCCATGTTTGGGCATGTTTGGGGCGCCCCTGAAAGTTGGCAGGTCCGGAGAGGTTGCAGCCTGGCCGCTTGAGGCCTGCGGCCCCCACAGAAGTCGCGTGAGGTTCTTAGAGGGAGGGGCCGCTCATGGTGTGGCCACCTAAGGTGTGGATGGCCGGGGAGGAAGGCCTGTCTCTCTATTTCCCCCCTCTTATCTGTGAAAATCTCCACGCAGCAAGGTCCAAAGGCTGTGAAGGAGGATACCTCTGTGTTGTAACCGAGCACCTGCTCTTGATA
Source organism: Homo sapiens (assembly GCF_000001405.40). Classification (NCBI taxonomy): domain Eukaryota; kingdom Metazoa; phylum Chordata; class Mammalia; order Primates; family Hominidae; genus Homo; species Homo sapiens. The sequence continues at coordinate 123,929,268 of NC_000009.12, read as the reverse complement.
ATCGTTGGAAAGGCTTTGTAACTCAATCTGGCGAATTCCCTCACTCATTCATTCACCTGGAGTTCCCGGTGGAGGGTTAGCTTTCCGGGGAAATTGTTGATACATGTAACTTCAGAATCCACTGAAACATTGTTGCTGTCCTTGTAGACTTAGAAGTTGACTTTGGAAAGTGCAACTCTTAAGCGGTCCAATTTGGGTGTGTGGCTTTCGACTCTATCTCCCCTCCCAGCCAGGTCCTCTTGTGGCCTCTCCCTTCCTCTGCCCCAGAACTGGAGATGTTTTATCTCTAATTACTAACAAATGTTCACTTTTTCCTCTGTGACTAATAGAATTGTTTAAGGGCATTAAAAAGCAAAGTTGACAGCATAGGCTTTTCTGTAAAACAACTTTCCTAGGACACTTTAAACCCTCTTACAAGAAAGTTTGTGGAATGTGTTTATTTCAGCATTTTGAGAATTGTACTAGGGAAGTTTGAAAGGAGAAGGGCCTTAAGGGTGAAACTAATAATTATTCAAACATTGCATCTCATGTCCAGGTGATGCCCGTGCAGTGTGACCCTTGCCCAGCCTTGCAGTCCCCCGTGTGGTTAGGCTTCTCATTTACAAAATATGTATGAGATGCGCTGCAGCAGCCTTGAGACATCTGCTGAATGAAACTAGAAAAGTTTGCTTATGGTAATGAAAATGGAAGAGTCGCATGAACACTCTGTTAAATCTTTATTTTTGTGGAAATGAGAAAAAAGTTAGAAGCATGCTCCAAACAAGAGCTTGAGAGGCTTGGGAGGTAAAAAGATGTCGTTTGTGAAACATTGGGATTAAAGAGGCACTCAAGTTTAGCTCCTGCTTCCAAGTAAGAGTTGTAAACTTGGATTTCAATAGCACTTAGAAACACTTTCCAGAAGCCAACTTAGAGTTGCAGAGTATGCGTGAGGACACTTACCCTTCTTGTTACAGAAAAGTTCAGAAACTTGCCTGACATGAAGCAGTGAGTGTCAGAACCAGTATTAAAATCCAGCAAGTAAAAGTTCAGATGGCTAGCCATCAAATCTCTCTGTTGCTCTCCAAGGTAGCAGGTTGACAAATACATTTCTCAAATGTGTTTTGTGGAACCCATCGCTAATTCTGAGCACTTGGGTTAGGGAATTTACTAAGGCATGGAATTGTATTAAGCGTGAAATGAGTATGAAGAATAGCCTTATTGATCTTGAAACTAGACTACTCTGTGATAAAAACTTAGGCTTGGGAAATATGTTAGCTTGTGGTGAAACCGAAAGAGAATATGAAGAGAGAAGTTATGAAAAGTAGTTGTGATTTATAGTGACTGTTGATTATGCAACTTCTGCCTGTAGCTAGGAATGGGGATGGACAGGAAATTACCCACTTAAGTGCTCCTCTAGTTGTTGGAGAAGACAGAGCTTTGGTTACTACTGGCTGGCTTTCCCTCCTGGCAGGGCATTCAAGATGTTCTCCTGGCTGTGGTGAAATCTAAGTGTGCAGGTTCCATTGAATAGGACAGTCTTGGAGGTAGGGACAAGGGGGAGGGGTTCCTTTTGTTTTCTCTTGCTTATCTCTGATGCAGCAAGTCAGTTGACTAGGTGGAATCAGGTCTAGGTTCAAATTCCAGCTCTTTTTAATGCTAATTATGAAACTTTACACAGACTGCCTTTTCAACCTCAGTTTCCCTGAAGGTAAAATGGGGAGGACTGTGTCCAGGTTGTAGGGTTATTATGAGCATTGAACACAGTATCAATGTAAATGTCAGGTCCATGTTAAAAACTCAGTAATTGTTAGGTTTTTTTCTTTTTTTTCACCTTCTGTATCAAAAGACTAAGAACATTACTGTATATTAGAAATGTCAGAGAAAGGTATGTTTAAGGTAATGGAGAAGAAAATTTTAATGACCAAGGAATTAGGCTGTTAACATGCAGAGTAGGGCTTAACATTGTCTCATTATTAAAAAATAAAAGTTGATTTAAAACAATATTGTGTGTAATTGTGAAGCTGGTGTCTGTTGTGTGATCAGTGGTAAAGCACGTGAGTTGCTAGGCACAGGTGTTGAGATTTCGTGTTTGATCAGACTTCTCTTTTAAGTTTAAGCCTGGTTGAACACAATCTCTGTCAGGTACCGTGGAAATCCTTAATGTGAACCATTTCATGAAACCCTCACTACTGTCCAGTGGTGGCGATGCTATTTATTAACCACATTTTTCAAATGAGAGAATGGGAGTTTATAGGCCTAAGATCAGATGCCATCCCCCAGACGCCTGCCTTGATGCCAGTTTCCTGTTGCCACCCCCACCCCCTCCTGTTCCAGTCTAGGCCAGGTGCCCTTCATCCGTGTTTCTGTGGCCCCTTGTGTTTATTGCAGTCACAATACTGAATCTCGTTTCTTGTCTGTGTCCCGTACCATGCTGGACATAAACTTCTTGAGAGGAAGGACTGTCTTATTTATCTTTGAGTTCCCTGTGTCAGACTCAATGCCTGGCACATGGTTGTTTGAGAAGAGTTCATGGAACGCATTTAAGAAATACATTAGGATCTATATTAAGATTCTAATTAAGACCGAGTTGAGTGTTTATCGAGTTAAAAAAAAAACCCTTGAGGAAGAAAAGTTTTATATTTTATAAATTTCTAAGGCAAATTATATGGTTTACGCAGGCCTTTTACTAGATTATTTAGTTCTTTTTTTTTTTTTTTTTTTTGAGATGGAGTTTTGCTCTTGTTGCCCAGGCTGGAGTGCAATGGCATGATCTTGGCTCATGGCAACCTCCAACCCCCGGGTTCAAGCGATTCTCCTGCCTCAGCTTCCCCAGTAGTTGGGATTACATGCATGAGACACCATGCCTGGCTAATTTTCTTTATTTGGTAGAGACGGGTTTCTCCCGTGTTGGTCAGGCTGGTCTTGAACTCCCAGCCTCAGGTGATCTGCCTGCCTTGGCCTCCCAAAGTGCTGGGATTACAGGTGTGATGTGAGCCACCGTGCCCAGCCTCATGTTTATTTTAATAAAGGAACATTGTCTTGCCTCAAATCAACATTTAATGGACAAAAAAAGAGAAGGTCACCAGTATGCAGGTAGCACCCTGGAAACCTAAATGTTACATCTGTATGGACATTTATCTAGAAGAATAAAAGGAGCAGTGGTAACTGACAATCTTCAACAGGTATTTTTAAATCTTATTTAGTGTTTGAATGATCCCAGTGGACTGGAATGTGGTTAATATGAAGCAATTTAACTGATAATGCAGACACACAGCAGGAAACTATGTGGCAGTTTAATATTGCTTGTGGTGACATCCTAGAAATTGCTTCCAGGCACCAAGTGCAGGAAGTGGGCTGTAAGTAATCGAAGGAAGTTTTCTAAGTGAGTTTGAAGAAACGTGACATTTATGGACTCAGAGAAAAGCATACTCTAAGACTTGAGGCATAGGAACAGGGCAGGGCAACTAATTTGGCCTTGTGGTGGTGATTATTCTACATTAGCCTGTATACCTGTCTTCTGTCCCTGTCAAACTGTGACCTCTGTGAGGTTAGTGACCAAGAAATTTATCCATTTATTCATCCATTTACCTACTGTAGAACTAAGAAGATTAAGCACATATTAAACAATAAATGTTAGCCATTATTATCATAATTAGTGGCAATACTGTGCCTGGCAGTGTGCTAAGTACTGGGGACACAAAGATGAACAAATATTTTTCTTTAAGGCTTTCTAAAGTAGTGGACACAAATGTAAAACAAAAACAATCCCTTCCAGACTCCCTCCCCACCAAAACAAAACAAAACAACAAAAAAAACAAAACACAAGTATAATACAGTATAAGTTAATTGCAATGGTGGAGATGCCGCTGGTGACGAATAGGTGAGTAAGTGAAGGAGAGACTGTCTTCTGGGGAGGAGGGAGGGTCAGGAAAGGAAGCCTTCACCAAGGGGATCATGTTTCAGCTGAGAGATAGGTAGGGGTGGTTAGCAGAGGGAGTAGAGGCAGTAGTGATGGTGGTGGTATCAGCAGAGGGAGCAGTACATATGAGGACGTGGCATATTAGGGAAATAAAAATATTACCATTTATTCCTGGCACTTAAATGCCAGGAATTGTGTTAGACATTGGGAATTACGATGGTGAATAATACAGATTCACTCCTCACGGTGCATACAGTCTTGTGGACCTGACATTAAAAAAACCAGGTGAATTCACATAAAGCTATGTGGATGTTCTATAAAGGAAGCACATGAGTTGCCTCAGAGAAAATGATGGGAGCGACTGTCCTATTTTAGATAGAGTGGCGAGGGAAGGCCTCACTGTGGAGATGACATTTGAGCTGAGACTTAAAGGATGAGGAGGTATTAGTCATCTAAAGAGACTAGGCAAGACTTTTTATTCCAGGCCTTGAGGCAAGAAAACCCTAGGCATATTTCAGGAACGGACAGAAGGCCAGTGGGTTTGAGTAGTGACTGATGGCAGAGAGGCTTGTGGTGAGGTCAGAGGGAGAGACCCTGGACAGGGCCTTGTAGGTTGTGGTAATCTGAAAACTGTTTAAGATACGAAATTTTATAGTATGTGAATCTTATAAGATTACAACATAAGATTCACATACTATAATATTTACTTTTTTTTTTTTTTTGAGACAGTTTCACTCTGTCCCCCAGGCTGGAGTGCAGTGGTGTGATCTTGGCTCACTGCTACCTCCGCCTCCTGGGTTCAGGTGATTCTTATGCCTCAGCCTCCCAAGTAGCTGGGACTGCAGGTGCCCGCCACCATGCCTGACTAGTTTTTGTATTTTTAGTTTCACCATGTTGGCCAGGCTAGTCTCAAACTCCTGATGATCCGACTGCCTTGGCCTCCCAAAGTGCTGGGATTACAGGCATGAGCCACTGTGCCCAGCCCTAAAATTTACTTTTTTAAGTGGTTTTAAGTATATTCACAAGGGTGATTGATTACCACTAATTCCAGAACTTTTTCATCACCCCAGAAAGAAACCCCATGCCTGTTAGACACTCCTCATTCCCCCAAACCCTTCAGTCCTAGGCAATCACTAATCTACTTGCTATAGATTTGCCTTTTATGGGCATTTCATATATTAATAAATAGAATCATATATAACCCGTCCTGCGTGGCTTCTTTCACTTAATGATTTCAAGATTTATCCATGTTGGAGCATGCATGAGTGTTTCATTACTTTTTACTGCTGAATAATATTCCATTGTATGGACATACCACATTTTACTCATCCATTTGTCAGTTGTTAGGTATTTGGGTTGTTTCCCCTTTTCATCATTATGAATGATGTTGCTATGAACATTTTGTGTGGACATATGTTTTTATTTCGCTTGGGTATATACTTAGGAGTGGAATTGCTGGATCTTTTGGTAACTCTATGTAACATTTTGAGAAACTGTTAAAATTGTTTCCTAAAGCAGCTGTACCACTTTGTGTAAAGTGGTATTTTATTGTGGTTTTGATTTGGCCCAAATGAGTTACATAGAAAAGATCAGTGTAGACGGAGATAGGTTTCTAGGAAGAGGTTGGAACTTGAACTGAAAGAAAGGGGAGATTTGGAGAATGGAGGGGGATTACCAAAGGAAGACAAGTGGAAGTTATATGACTTGAAAGTGAGGATAAACCGATCTCATTTCAAGAATAGAGGAGCAGTGTTGGCTTATGATAGCTCTGCTCCAGTTTGTTTAAAGGATCCCATTGCCAAAATACACAAAAAGTTTGCTTTTTCTTGAGGCCTGTTGTATAGCACAACTAACGTATCTCTCTGCTTTGTGATGAGACCAAGAATTGGAATGTGACTTCCTTCCAGGCCTTCTTCCTCTAATGCCTATTCCCCTCTTCCCTTTCTCCGCCACAGTGCTGTCCTCCCTGTCCCCAAAGGAGAATGTAGAGAGACTTGGAGTGGTGGAATAAAAGTCTCTTTGAAGACCAAGCTCTCCATCGTTAGTGCTCAGAGTCAGCCACTTGAATTTTCATGACTTTTCTGGAAAACATGTTGGTGCTACTCCATCACTCTTTTCTTAGCCATTGTAGTCAACTTAGAGGGCATTGTACAGCAGATAGGAAGGTTGAAACAGAAGGTAAGACCTGGAGTATTGCTCTAGGAAAGTATGTTTGCATTGAGTTATTAAATCTGTGTAAGTTCCTGGCTGGAGTTCCGGTTGCAGTTGCAAAGGTCCAGCCTTTTTCCTGGCCCTAGGGAGAGCTAATCTCTGGGTTCGTAACATCCTTTTTGCTTAAAGGGGCTTTGTAGGGACATGGAAAGATAAACAAGGAAGAAAAATAAACAAAATGAAGTTGTTTTGTTCTCTACTTTTATTGGAATCCGTACCCATTCTTTCCGAGTATTCAGGACTTGAAAAGGAGCCAAATAAAGTAAGAAAAGATATGTTAAAATACATATATGTTCCTATAGAAAAGAGAGGTGACATTCCAAAAGTTCATTTGGACGTTGGTTATGACATTTAGAATGTGTTTCCCTCTTCAAGATACTGTTATGTACAAATCAGTAACTGTTGAGGGCAAGGGCATTCCAGATATAGGGAACTGTGTATGCAAAAGTCATGGGGAGATAAAAGGTAAAGCTGAAATACAGGATATAAGGATAAAGATTACAGGAGAGGAAGTTGATGAAGTAGGCATGTGCCAGTGGGATATGATGCCATTGAAGGGTTGAACTGGGGATGTACTATGATCAGATTTGGGTTTTTAGGTAGATTACCCTGGCAGCAGCAGTTTAGAACAGTGATATCTCTGGCTTTTACAAGATGACGCATTGGAACGTGAGAATATGTTAGAAATTGTATTTATTTTTATATCAACCTTCAAAGTTTGTATTTTTTAATGTATGTGTTAGTATAGTAAGGCATTATTATAATTTATGGATATTTATCAGATGTATGCTCACTTTTTTACTGATAGGAAGAATGCATGGAAAAAAATGGGAGGCCACTGGATTGTGGAACTGTGTAAATAGTTTTTACTGCTGAAGATCAAGGTCCAGAGCAAGGTTTTGGCAGTGTAAAGAAAAGGAATGACAGGCCGGGCGTGGTGGCTCATGCCTGTAATGCCAGCACTTTGGGAGGCCAAGGAGGGTGGATGGCTTGAGTCCAGGAAGTTGAGACCAGCATGGGCAACATGATGAAACTCTGTCTTTACAAAAAAATACAACAATTAGCCAGGTGTGGTGGCATGTATCTGTGGTCCCAGCTACTTGGGAGGCTGAGGTGGGAGGATCACTTGAGCTCCCACAGAGCTCAGGAGACGGAGGTTGCAGTGAGTCAAGATCACGCCACTGCATTCCAGCCTGGGTGACAGAGTGAGACCCTGTCTCAAAAAGAAAAAAGAAAAAAAAAAAAAAGGATGGCTTTGAGAGATTTTAAGTAGAAATGACAAGACTTGGTGACAAATTACACGTAAGAGGCAAAAGAAGAATCAAAGATGACTTGCCAAGGTTAGCAGAGTTATGTTACAAATGGAGTATTTGTGAGGTGAGGACTGGTTATATGTTTGCTTTTCTGAGGAAAAGTGAAAAGTTATAATTGGGATAAGGCATTTTAGTCTGCATTGAGAATGGAAGGAATCTTTGAGGGATCCATAGTGAATGTGTGTGCTTTATTGAATGAGTAAGACTTGAAGTGGGCTGGACTAAATTGCTGAAGGCAAATCTGTTCATGGTAGATTTAGAGAGGGGGAAAAGAAAAACCACCTTTTGAATTCACTTTAGCCACAGGAAAGGTTTGAGGGTGTTGCATTGATCTCGCATAGGCTGTATGAATAAATGGAAGGAAGGAAACCAATCTAGAGAAGATACTGTTTGACTCCACGCTGGCAGTTCTTGAACTCCGGGGTGTGAGAGGAGCCAGGGGTATGTGAGCATTGGAGTACTGAGTTCCCAGAACTATACATTCTCCCTCTGAGTTCTAAATTTCTGAGCTTCAGGTTAAAAAAATAATATTTATGGAAGGAAGCTAATAAATTAACCTACAGGGTTGTTGTGATAATTAAAAGAGATATTGTGCCTAGTTCTCAGTGGAGATATGACTGCTTATTAAATGGCAGCTATCATTAATATTGCTTGGAGAGGAGAAAACACAGTTGTCTGAACAACCTGGAGTTAAAAAACAAGTTAAAAAACAGCAAGTATGTTCCTTTTTATAGTATTACAGTTTTTTTTGGTTTTGTTTTTAAAAACCAAAGTATTTGCTTCCTTTCAGTAAGAATGTTAGGATGACGTGTAGTGTATTTCACTGAATTTGTTTGAAAGATTGAGATGCTGATATATACAAAGCACTATTGCTCTTGCTGGTTGGGAAGAAAGGAAGCCTATAGTCTACTAAGACAGGTAAGATGAGCGTGCAAACAATTAGAATTATAACATTTAAGAACACTTATGTCCCCAGCCAGGCCCGGTAGCTCACACCTGTAATCTCATCACTTTGGGAGGCTGAAGCAGGCAGATCATTTGAAGTCAGGAGTTCGAGATCAGTTGGGCCAACATGGCAAAACCCCATCTCTACTAAAAAAAAAAAAAAAAATTACAAAAATTAGCTGGGCATGGTGGCGCATGCCTGTAATCCCAGCTACTTGGGAGGCTGAGGTGTGAGAACTGCTTGAACCCGGGAAGGGGAGGTTGCAGTGAGCTGAGATTGCACCACTGTACTCTAGCTTGGGCAACAGAGCAAGACCCTGTCTTGAAGTAAAAAAACCACTTAATGTTCCCTTTATCATAAATATTGGAAATCTATTCAGTTTTATAAAAGATTTATACAAATAATTTATATTTATCTCTGTTTAACTGGTACTACTTTTCAGTCTTTTTAAAGTGTTTTTTTTGTGTGTGTGTGACAGAGCCTTGCTCTTGTCGCCCAGGCTGGAGTGCAGTGGCACGATCTTGGTTCACTGCAATTACTACCTCCTGGATTCAAGCTTCCTCTGCTTCAGCCTCCTGAGTAGCTGGGATTACAGGCACCTGCCACCATGTCCGGCTAATTTTTCGTACTTTTAGTAGAGACGGATTTCTCCAGTTTGGCCAGGCTGGTCTCAAACTCCTGACCTCAGGTGATCCGCCCGCCTCGGCCTCCCGAAGTGCTGGGATTACAGGCTTGAGCCACCATGCCCGGCCTTAAAGTGATTTTTTATTCTTTTTCTTCTTGGTGCTTGAACCTATTTTTAAACTTTATTTTGGAAAATTTTAAACATCTATAAAAGTAGAATAGTATAATGAGCCCCCAAATTCCCATCAACCAGTTTCAACACTTAATTTATGTTTTACCTAGTTTTATTTATAGATAACTGACTGTAACTCCCTCCCCTGCTCTCTAGTCCTGGATTATTTTGAAGCAAATCCCAGATGTTGTCATATCATCCTTTTTTTTTTTTTTTTTTTTCTGAGACAGAGTCTCACTCTGTCACCCAGGCTGGAGTGCAGTGATGCAATCTCGGCACGCTGCAACCTCCACCTCCCAGGTTCAAGTGATTCTCGTGCCTCAGCCACCCCAGTAGCTGGGATTACAGGTGTGCACCACCATGCCTGGCTAATTTTTGTATTGTTGGTAGAGATGAGATTTCACCATTTTGGCCAGGCTGATCTCAAACACCTGACCTCAAGTGATCTGCCTGCCTCCACCTCCCAAAGTGCTGGGATTACAGGTGTGAGCCACCATTCCAGGCCGCAGATGTCATATCATTCTTAAATACTTCCATATGTGCCTCTAAAAGGTAGATTTTTCTTTTTAAAAAACATAACATTTTCACACCTAAAAAGTTAACCAAAAAATTTAATTTTTAATTTTTTTTTTTTAGTTGAAGTTGTACTTTGTCACCCAAGCTGGAGTGCAGTGGTGTGATCTCGGCTCACTGCAACCTCTGCCTCCTGGGTTCAAGCGATTCTCCTGCCTCAACCTCCCCAGTAGCTGGGATTACAGGTGTGCGCCACCATGCCCAGCTAATTTTTGTGTTTTTAGTAGAGACAGGGTTTCACCATGTTGGTCAGGCTGGTTTCAAACTCCTGACCCCAAGCAGTCCACCCACCTAGGCCTCCCAAAGTGCTGGGATTACAGGCATGAGCCACTGCACCCGGTCAAAAAATTTTAATGTTATTAAATATCCAGTCAGTGTTCAAAGTTTTTCAGTTATGTCAAATTTAAAAAAAACGGTGGATTCGTTTGAATCAGCGAAGTTCATACATTGCAATTGGTTGATATTTGCTGTCTTTTTCCCCCATGCAGTTTATTTTTTGAAGAACTGGGTTATTTGTCCTATATGATTTCCGTTGCATCCTTAAGGTTTGTTTAATGTATTCCTCTGTCCCCTTTATTTCCTACAAATTGGTAGTTGGATTAAGTGACTTGATGAGATTCAAGTTCACTTTCTTGGCAAGAATATTTTAAAAGTGGTGATAGGTACTTCCATCAAGAGGTACATTATGTCTGGTTATCTCTCTTTGATCTGTTCATTAATTAGAGGTTATAAAATGGTGATATTTTGTTTCTATCACTTCTTCTTCATACTAGCTGGGATACTTGTAAAAAGAAACCTTTTCCATATCAACCATTTGGTTGCTCTGAGATACAGTTCATATAGGAAAGGCAGGGTAAATGCTTGATTTTATTAATTTTTTAAACATTTTCAAAAGGTAATTTTTGAGAGAGGGGAGTGTCACTTTAAATGGATGTATTTAAACTTATTGGCTATATTTCAATCTGCTGTAGTTACTGTCCTCACTGATGTTTAATTTGTCCTATCTTTGTCCAGTGGGAATTTCTTCTTTTTTTTTTTTTTTCTGAGACGGAGTCTCCCTCTATTGCCCAGGCTGGAGAGCAGTGGCGTGATCTCAGCTCACTGCAAGCTCCGCCTCCCGGGTTCACGCCATTCTCCTGCTTCAGCCTCCCGAGTAGCTGGGAGTACAGGCGCCCGCCGCCACGCCCGGCTAATTTTTTGTATTTTAAGTAGAGATGGGGTTTCACCGTGTTAGCCAGGATGGTCTCGATCTCCTGACCTCATGATCTGCCCGCCTTGGCCTCCCAAAGTGCTGGAATTACAGGCATGAGCCACCACGCCCGGCCTGTCCAGTGGGAATTTCAAGTGAACTCTGAAGTCCTTTTAACAGGATCCCAGTAGTTTCTTTTCTTTTATTTATTTATTTATTTATTTTTTTTGAGACAGAGTCTCATCCTGTTGACCAGGCTGGAGTGCAGTGACGCGATCTTGGCTCACTGCAAGCTCTGCCTTCCGGGCTCACGCTATTCTCCTGCCTCAGGCTTCCAAGTAGCTGGGACTACAGGTGCCCGCCACCACGCCCGGCTAATTTTTTTTTTGTATTTTTAGTAGAGATGGGGTTTCACCGTGTTAGCCAGGATGGTCTCGATCTCCTGACCTTGTGATCTGCCTGCCTCGGCCTCCCAAAGCGCTGAGATTACAGGCGTGAGCCACTGTTCCCGGCCAGGATCCCAGTAGTTTCTAATAGCTCCCTTGCCTTTTGGTATGACAGAGTGTCCCAGACTCATCATCTGTGTTTCCTCCTCCAGACCCAGTGTTTCTCTAAGGAGTCCTGGTTCCTTTTGGTGGGAAATAGTATTAGAAATCACAGCCTGGGATTTAGGACTTTTGGGGATGGGGTGGGTTTGCTACCAGGTCAGTCATAATTTCTAGGATTCTCCAGGGGTCAGAATTTGGGAATATGTGTGTGTGTTTTTAAAGGTAAATTGCATTATGTGTTCATATTGCTTTTTCCAGTTCTAGACTATAGCAGTTTTATTTAACCTCATCACTTTTACATTGGAATTTTCCATACCTATATCAAAGTCTTGATTTCCAACAACACCAACACCATTACTCTTTTGCTTTATCCCGCAATACCTAGACAGCTCAACAGCAGCACTAACATTACCGTCAACAATGCGATTACTGAAAATAGTTATGTTTTTGGCTTTTTAAAACTTGGCAGTTCTTTTGGTCGTTAGGGTATATTTCACTGGGACTGTAGTCAAATTACTGTTTTAAAGTCAGTAGAATTGGTTTTTTTCTGTGGTTGTGTCTCCAACTCAATACAAAGTTAGTTTTTTGTTGTTGTTGTTGTTTTGTTTTTTGAGACAGGGTCTTGCTCGGTCGCCTGGGCTGGAGTGCAGTGGCACGATTTCGGCTCACTGCAATTTCTGCCTCCTGTGTTCGAGTGATTCTCCTGCTTCAGCCTCTTGAGTACCTGGGACTACGGGTAACTGCCACCATGCCCAGCTGATGTTTGTATTTTTAGTAGAGACAGGGTTTCACTTTTTTGGCCAGGCTGGTCTCCTGACCTCAAGTGATCTGCCCACTTTGGCCTCCCAAAGTGCTGGGATTACAGGCAGGAGCCACCGTGCCTGGCCCATAGTTAGGTTTTTATAATTTTTTCTTTTAATCTGTTGGAATTACTGTTTAAAAATAATTTGATTTTTAAAACAATTACTTAAAATATTTATATTGTTTCAAAGCCAAAGCTACAAAACAGGCATATTCATAAGTCTAACTTCTATCCCTGCCTACCACCGTGTTCCTTCCCTGACATAGGTACCGAGTTTGATTTTAGATTTTCATTTGTCCTTCCATTAAAACAAAAAAGGCAGCCGGGCACAGTGGCTCACGCCTTTAATCCCAGCACTCTGGGTGGCCAAGGCGGGCAGATCACCTGAGGTCGGGAGTTCGAGACCAGCCTGACCCACATGGAGAAACCCCGTCTCTACTAAAAATACAAAAATAAGCTGGGCGTGGTGGCACATGCCTGTAATCCCAGCTACTCGGGAGGCTGAGGCAGGAGAACTGCTTGAACCTGAGAGGCAGAGGTTGCGGTGAGCCGAGATTGTGCCATTGTACTCTAGCCTGGGCAACAAGAGCAAAACTCTGTCTCAAAAAAAAAAAAAAAAAAGCAAATACGTAGATATATTCACATCTCCTCTTGCCAGGCCCTCAGATAAGTGATAGCATTCCATGTATACTTTTCGCCCCTTAACTTTTCTCATTTTATAATATATCCTGTAAAGAGGTCTCTCCTGGAAAAATACAGGGAATGTGGGGCTCTTCCTCATTTCTCTGTAGGACAGCAATAGTACTCTATTGGATGGATGGACTATGGTTTATTCAACCCATCTCATACTGACGGGCACTTAGGTTGCTTCTAGTCTTTTATTATTACAAATGGTGCAGTAATGAATAGTCTTGTGTATGCACCTTTTTGTATTTTTACCATTATACCATTGCGATAGATTTTTCCAAGTGGAATTTGGGTCAAAGGGTAATTTTGTATGTAATTTTGCTAGATATTGTCAAATTCTCCTCCATAGAGATTGTGCCAATTCATATTCCCACACGAGAATGCTTGTTGTCATACAGCTTCATCAACAGAGTGTTTGTCAAACTTTAAAAATTATTTTTATCAGTTACAAGTGCATGCAAAGTTACAAACATATATGGTCACGAATCAAATACTTAATAAGAGCCTGTGATAAGCAACAATCCTCTACCCTATTCTTCCCTAGTCCCACTCTTTGGAGACAAACTCTTATTAACTGACCCTATTTTTAGTTTTTCTGGTTGTTAACTCATAACCATAGATAAATCTCTCTCTGTTAATTAACTTTAGACAGTATCTGTTAACTCCTTGAAATGAAAGACAAGTAACTTTATAGTACTTCTCTCTTCTACTCATCTGATATTTTATCTATTTTGTGTTACTTTAATTTTTATAATGGTTATTAACTTAAACCTCTTTATTGTTCCATTAACCCTCAACACTGTCTTTTGATTTCACACTTTGTAAGGGGAAGGGTATTATCCTAGCTCTTCCTTCTACCTTTTCAAAGTTATGCTTTAACATTATGTGGTCATTGAAATTTTGATCCATGACCAGAATCAAATCTTCTGTGATTTGTCTTTTGGTTAATTCTAAAAGTGGAATGTTATTATGAATATTTAAATATAAGTATTTAACTCCACTAGATCGGGTAGGGTGCTAAAATAACATTTTCAGCCCATTTGAAGGAGAATGTTAATAACATCAGGGTCACAGTAATTTTTTTCTTGCAATCCATCCAGAATTGAAAATTATGCTAAATGTCTTTGGCATCATATATGGATAAGTTTGCATATATTTGTACAAAACAGCAAATTATTTGTACACTAGCCCTGTAGAGAGAGCAGCCCAGGAGATCATGCAAGTGCTTTCATCCTCATGTTGGCAGGATGGAAACCTCTACTTTGCAGCCTTTGTGGGGGCCTTGGCCTGGGTGCTAGCTTTTGGCCAGCAGAACCTGGCAACTGATGATGTTATAATCAGCATGGCTCCTGAGCTTGGGACTCAGGTTGAGATGGTTTGGATGTTTGTCGCCTCCAAATCCCATGTGGAAATGTGATTCCCAGTGTTGGAGGTGGGACCTGGTGGGAGGTGATTGGGATCGTGGGGGTGGGCCCTCATGAATGGCTTGGCATCATCCCCTTGGTGATGACTGAGTTCTTGCTCTAGTAGTTCATGATCTGGTTGTTTAAAAGAGTGTGGCTCCTCCCCCTCCCTCCCTTGTTTCACTCTCACTATGTGACACGCTGGCTCCCTGTCACCTTCAGCCATGATTGTAAACTTCCTGAGGCCTCTCCAGAAGCAGATGCCAGCACTGTGAGCCTACAGAACTATGAGCCAATTAAACCTCTTTTCTTTATCAATTACCCAGTCTTGGGTATTTCTTTTTTTTTTTTTTTTTTTGAGATGGAGTCTTGCTCTGTTGCCCAGGCTGGAGTGCAGTGGCGCGATCTCGGCTTATTGCAAGCTTGGCCTTCCGGGTTCATGCCATTCTCCTGCCTCAGCCTCCAGAGTAGCTGGAACTACATACAGGCGCTCGCCACCATGCTCGGCTAATTTTTTTTTGTATTTTTAGTAGAGACAGGGTTTCACTGTGTTAGCCAGGATAGTCTCGATCTCCTGACCTCGTGATCCACCCACCTCGGCCTCCCAAAGTGCTGGGATTACAGGGGTGAGACACTGCGCCTGGCATTGCTATAAAGAAGTCGCAGGTACTTTATAGCAATGGCAGGAACAGACCAACACAGGTGCCCTTCAAGACCTTGAGCTTGACAAAGGCCTTGATGGTCTTCATTTTATTGGCCTGTGTCTTTTGACCCTTCTTGTGTTTCTTGGCAAAGTGCATGATCCTTAAGAACTAAGGTTCTACCCGCTTAAAATATATCTTTATGATCAGGGCCTATCGATGCCATTTCTGTTTGGAACTGGTTATGTGTGGTATAGTTCTCGGACCTGACCATGTCTGCACTGCTGCCTGCAGTGCAGAAAGTGCCTGAGACTGGAAAATAAAGGTCCATATCTGGCTTTTGATTTTTTTTTTTTTTTTTTGAGATAGGAGTTTCGAGCCCAGGCTGGAGTGCAATGGCGTGATCTCAGCTCACCACAACCTCCGCCTCCCGAGTTCAAGCGATTCTCCTGCCTCAGCCTCCCGAGTAGCTGGGATTACAGGCATGCACCACCATGGCTGGCTAATTTTGTATTTTTAGTAGAGACGGGGTTTCTCTATGTTGGTCAGGCTAGTCTCGAACTCCTGACCTCAGGTGATCCACCCACCTCGTCCTCCCAAAGTGCTGGGATTACAGGCGTGAGCCACCATGCCCGGTCGGATTTTGATATTTTAAAGCAGTATTCTTTCTCTTCTTCTCCCTCTTCCAGAGTTTCTTAAATCTTTTTTTCCCTCTTGCATTATTTGCTTTTATTGTATCCTTAATTTTTTTCCACACTTGAAATTATACTTGCAGTTTTTCCAGGCTTCCCTGTACCCCTGATGGTTCCCTCCCACCTTCCTGTTAAATCCTTATAAAATTGGCTCTATTGTTATAACCCTGGAATGTCCTCTCATCACTTTTCAAGGTTGATTTGACTATTTCCTGGCCCTGTGTGATCATTTTGCTTTAATTTGTTCGCTGGAGTACATATTCAGGTTCTTATAGGAGATAGCCCCAGTAGCACCCCTGCAGAAAGAGTACATAAAAAGTAAACTGTGGGTTCTCGCATGTCTGAAAAATGTCTGCTTTCTCACAGGGGATTAGTAGTTTGTATGGGCATGGAGTTCTAGGTTGACAAAATTTCCTGCTGAACTTTGAAGGTTTTTTTTTTTTTTTTTTTTTTTTTAAACTGTCTTTGGTCTGGCTTTCTCTGACACTGCTCTGGAAGGGAAGGAGGCTGCTCTTCTTTGCTTTTCAAAGTTGGGGTGTACATTCAGGTTCCCTACTCTGCTTCCGTTGACATCCAAGGTGAAGGATTCCGTTACTACACTGTAGGGTGGGAGTTCTGGCTCCCTAGTAGGCCTCCATGGAAACCTCCATGGCTGGGTGGGGTAATGCCTTATTCTTGCTCCCACTGGGGACTCAACAGACACCACGGGGTGGAGGGGAGTGGTCTTGTCCCATTTCATCACTGGGAGGTGATAAAAATCCTTAGTCTCTGGTAGGTCTCCTCCACATGATCCAAGTGGACGTGGGAAAGGGGAACCTCGTTACTGCCAGAGGCGGTGGAAGTCCAGGGTCTCCACTGAAACCACACTGATGGGGTCATTGTTACTGCCTGGTGGGGGATGATGCAATCCCCAGCTCCCTCCTTAGCTTTCTGTAGCACTACTCTGGCGGGGGTGGGCTGGATGGGGTTCCTCATCACAGCCCAGAAACCTAGGCTTTCTCCTTGTCTTTTATGGATTTGGGTGAGGGTGGGACGACAGGGTTTCCTGTGGTGTTTGGTGAGTATTTTCTTAAAAAATTTTTTGACTTATTAGCTGCCCTTTTTGGTCCTTTGGCTAGAAGAAAGCTGGCTTTTGTTTGAGCATTTTTGGGTCTGCATCAATTGGCATTTCCAGGTTGCTGACTTCTCTGGCTCCAACAATGTGATACATGAGGCAAGGAAAAACCCAGGGGACTCATCTCTGCTCACTCCTTGGGTCCTGAGGTCACTAGCTGTTCTGCTTCTCTCTCTGCCTTTCAGAACCATCTTATGTTTGTCTTATATGTAATGTGCAGGGTTTTTTGTTATTTCTAATGTAGATTTTCTTCTGCCATTACACATATTTTTAAACTTAAATTTTTTGCTGTTATATCATTTACATACAGTAAAGTACACAGATTTTAAGGATACCACTTGATTAATTTTTAATGGTTATATACTCGTGTAATCACCATCCAGATCAAGATACAGGCTATCTCCAGCATAGTATAAGGCTTTTCATGCCCCTTCCAGTCAATACCTATTTAAAAATAATCACGGCAGGGCACGGTGGCTCAAGCCTGTAATCCCAGCACTTTGGGAGGCCGAGGTGGGCGGATCATGAGGTCAGGAGATTGAGACCATACTGGCTAACATGGTGAAACCCTGTTCTCTACTAAAAATACAAAAAAAAATTAGCCGGGCATGGTGGCGGGCACCTGTAGTCCCAGCAACTTGGGAGGCTGAGGCAGGGGAATGGCGTGAACCCAGGAGGCGGAGCTTGCAGTGAGCCAAGATCGCACCACTGCACTCCAGCCTAGGCGAGAGCAAGACTCCGCCTCAAAAAAAAAAAGAAAAAAAAAATCACTATTCTGATTTCTGTCACTGTAGCAATTTTGCCCATTCTTGAACTTCATATAAATGGAATCTTGCAGTATATGCTCATGGGTGTGGCTTCTTCTGCTCTACATTGTGTTGGTAGAATTCATCTGTGTTGTTGTATGTAATTGTAGTTCATTGTTTTTCATTGCTGCGTAGTACGATTCCCATTTTTGGCTATTATGAATAAAGTTGTTATGAATATTCTTATAGATGTCTTACAGTTAACAAAAGTGTTCCTTTCTGTTAGGTTTATACCCAGGATTGGAATTGCTTGTTCAAAATTTATAAATATGTTTAGCTTTAGTAGATTCTGACAGTTTTCCAAATTGTGTGCCAATTCATACCTCATCAGCTATATATGACAGTTCCACTTGTTTCATATCCAACACTTTATATTGTTAGTCTTTTTTAGCCATATTATTAGCCATTAATGTCATGTTTTCGTAGCTCATTGTGGTTTTAATCTGCATTTCCCTGATGACTGATTACTCATGTTAAGCACCTTTTCATATGCTTCTTGGCCATTTAGATATCTTCTTTTGTGAGGTACCTATTCAGGTCTTTTCCTGTTTTTCACTATGTTCTCTGTTCTTTTCTTACTGATTGGTAGGCATTCTTTATATTATTGAATGTGAGTACTTTGTCAGACATAAGTATTACAAAAATCTTTCTTCAGTCTGCAGCTTGCCTTTTTACACTTAATAGTGCTTGTTTTTGTTTTTGTTTTTGAGATGGAGTCTTGCTTCATTGCCCAGACTGGAATGCAATGGCTTCATCTAGGCTCACTGCAACCTCTGCCTCCCAGGTTCAAGTGATTCTTATGCCTCAACCTCCTACTGAGTAGCTGGGATTACAGGTGTGTGCCACCACGCCTGGATAATTCTTGTACTTTTAATAGAGACAGGGTTTCACCATGTTGTCCAGCCTGGTCTTGAACTCCTGACCTCAAATGATCTGCCTGCCTCAGCCTCCCAAAGTGCTGGGATTACAGGCGTGAGCCACTGGGCCCAGCCACTTAATAGTGCTTTTTGATTAACAAGAGATCTTAAGTCTATTTTATTGATCCTTTCCTTTCTTTACTTTTTGATGTGTTCTGTTTAAGAAATATTTGCCTAACCAAAGACCATGAATATACTTTTGTTTGTTTTATCCTAGAAGCTTTGTTTTACATTTTAATTTTAGTTCCGTGATGTGATCCATTTCATATGAATTTTTATGTATGATATAAGTTATACATCAAGGTTAATTCCTTTTCTTCCCTCATGTGGTTGTCCATTTGACTTAACATTTATCAAGACGATTCTTTTCCCACTCAATTTCAATGGCATCTTTCTTGTAAATCAGGTATACGTTTGTATTTCTGGACTCTGTTCTTTCCATTGCATTAATACCATGCAATCTTAATTACTGTACCTTTAAAGTAAGTCTCGTTATTTAATAGTGGAATTCTTTCAATTTTGTTATTCAGATTGTTTGGGACTATTCTAGGTCCTTTGCATGACCATATACATTTTATAATCAGCTTGTGAAATTCCACAATTTTGATGGAATTGCATTGCATCCCTAATTTGTAGAGAGTTGATATTAACAATATTGAGTCTTCTAGTTAATGAAGATGACATATCTCTCCTTACATATCTTCAATTTTTTTTCAGCAGCATTTTGTAGTTTTTAGTGCAGGGTCCTGAACATCTTTTGTTAGATTTATTTGTAGTTCTTTGATTTTTTTTCCCATACTATTGTAAATGGCATTGCTTTTTAAATGTCATTTTCTAGTTTTTACTAGCATATAGAAATACAGTAGATTTCTCTTGTATGTTGACATTGTATCCAGCAACCTTGCTAAATGTACTTAATTCTAATGATGTTTTTAGGTTTTTTTTATTTTATATGTATACAGTCAGGTTTTCTGTGAATGACAATTTTACTTCCTAGTTTTTGATCTTTATACTTTTTATTTCTTGCCTTATTTCACTGGGTAAGACCTCTGATATGATGAATAGGTTCATCTGAGTACAGATATAGTGGTCTTATACCTGAATTCAGAGGAAAGTGCTTAATATCTTACCATCTCATCAGTGTCAACCAGTATGTTGATAGCTGTTTTTCTTAGATGCCCTTGATCAGTTTGAGAAGTTTCTGTCCATTTTTACGTTGCTGAGAGTTTTTGTCATGAATGGATGTTGAATTTTACCAAATGCCTTTTCTGCATCTCTTGAGACGATTATAATTTTTCTTTTTTCCAGTTTTTTTATTTATTTTTATTTTTTATTTTATTTTATATTTTATTTTATTTTTTTATTGTTTTTTTTATTTTTATTTTTTATACTTTAAGTTTTAGGGTACATGTGCACATTGTGCGGGTTAGTTACATATGTATACATGTGCCATGCTGGTGCGCTGCACCCACTAACTCATCATCTAGCATTAGGTATATCTGCCAATGCTATCCCTTCCCACTCCCCCCACCCCACCACAGGCCCCATAGTGTGATATTCCCCTTCCTGTGTCCATGTGATCTCATTGTTCATTTCCCACCTATGAGTGAGAATATGCGGTGTTTGGTTTTTTGTTCTTGCGATAGTTTACTGAGAATGATGATTTCCAGTTTCATCCATGTCCCTACAAAGGACATGAACTCATCATTTTTTATGGCTGCATAGTATTCCATGGTGTATATGTGTCACATTTTCTTAATCCAGTCTATCATTGTTGGACATTTGGGTTGGTTCCAAGTCTTTGCTATTGTGAATAATGCCGCAATAAACATACGTGTGCAGGTGTCTTTATAGCAGCATGATTTATAGTCCTTTGGGTATATACCCAGTAATGGGATGGCTGGGTCGAATGGTGTTTCTAGTTCTAGATCCCTGAGGAATCTCCACACTGACTTCCACAATGGTTGAACTAGTTTACAGTCCCACCAACAGTGTAAAAGTGTTCCTATTTCTCCACATCCTCTCCAGCACCTGTTGTTTCCTGACTTTTTAATGATTGCCATTCTAACTGGTGTGAGATGGTATGTCATTGTGGTTTTGATTTGCATTTCTCTGATGGCCAGTGATGATGAGCATTTTTTCATGTGTCTTTTGGCTGCATAAATGTCTTCTTTTGAGAAGTGTCTGTTCATGTCCTTCGCCCACTTTTTGATGGGGTTGTTTGTTTTTTTCTTGTAAATTTGTTTGAGTTCATTGTAGATTCTGGATATTAGCCCTTTGTCAGATGAGTAGGTTGCGAAAATTTTCTCCCATTTTCTAGGTTGCCTGTTCACTCTGATGGTAGTTTCTTTTGCTGTGCAGAAGCTCTTTAGTTTAATTAGATCCCATTTGTCAATTTTGTCTTTTGTTGCCATTGCTTTTGGTGTTTTGGACATGAAGTCCTTGCCCATGCCTATGTCCTGAATGGTAATGCCTAGGTTTTCTTCTAGGGTTTTTATGGTTTTAGGTCTAACATTTAAGTCTTTAATCCATCTTGAATTGATTTTTGTATAAGGTGTAAGGAAGGGATCCAGTTTCAGCTTTCTACATATGGCTAGCCAGTTTTCCCAGCACCATTTATTAAATAGGGAATCCTTTCCCCATTGCTTGTTTTTCTCAGGTTTGTCAAAGATCAGATAGTTGTAGATATGCGGCGTTATTTCTGAGGGCTCTGTTCTGTTCCATTGATCTATATCTCTGTTTTGGTACCAGTACCATGCTGTTTTGGTTACTGTAGCCTTGTAGTATAGTTTGAAGTCAGGTAGTGTGATGCCTCCAGCTTTGTTCTTTTGGCTTAGGATTGCCTTGGCGATGCGGGCTCTTTTTTGGTTCCATATGAACTTTAAAGTAGTTTTTTCCAATTCTGTGAAGAAAGTCATTGGTAGCTTGATGGGGATGGCATTGAATCTGTAAATTACCTTGGGCAGTATGGCCATTTTCACGATATTGATTCTTCCTACCTATGAGCATGGAATGTTCTTCCATTTGTTTGTATCCTCTTTTATTTCCTTGAGCAGTGGTTTGTAATTCTCCTTGAAGAGGTCCTTCACATCCCTTGTAAGTTGGATTCCTAGGTATTTTATTCTCTTTGAAGCAATTGTGAATGGGAGTTCACTCATGATTTGGCTCTCTGTTTGTCTGTTATTGGTGTATAAGAATGCTTGTGATTTTTGTACATTGATTTTGTATCCTGAGACTTTGCTGAAGTTGCTTATCAGCTTAAGGAGATTTTGGGCTGAGACAATGGGGTTTTCTAGATATACAATCATGTCATCTGCAAACAGGGACAATTTGACTTTCTCTTTTCCTTTATTTCCTTCTCCTGCCTAATTGCCCTGGCCAGAACTTCCAACACTATGTTGAATAGGAGTGGTGAGAGAGGGCATCCCTGTCTTGTGCCAGTTTTCAAAGGGAATGCTTCCAGTTTTTGCCCATTCAGTATGATATTGGCTGTGGGTTTGTCATAGATAGCTCTTATTATTTTGAAATACGTCCCATCAATACCTAATTTATTGAGAGTTTTTAGCATGAAGGGTTGTTGAATTTTGTCAAAGGCTTTTTCTGCATCTATTGAGATAATCATGTGGTTTTTGTCTTTGGCTCTGTTTATATGCTGGATTATATTTATTGATTTGCGTATATTGAACCAGCCTTGCATGCCAGGGATGAAGCCCACTTGATCATGGTGGATAAGCTTTTTGATGTGCTGCTGGATTCGTTTTGCCAGTATTTTATTGAGGATTTTTGCGTCAATGTTCATCAAGGATATTGGTCTAAAATTCTCTTTTTTGGTTGTGTCTCTGCCCGGCTTTGGTATCAGAATGATGCTGGCCTCATAAAATGAGTTAGGGAGGATTCCCTCTTTTTCTATTGATTGGAATAGTTTCAGAAGGAATGGTACCAGTTCCTCCTTGTACCTCTGGTAGAATTCGGCTGTGAATCCATCTGGTCCTGGACTCTTTTTGGTTGGTAAACTATTGATTATTGCCACAATTTCAGAGCCTGTTATTGGTCTATTCAGAGATTCAACTTCTTCCTGGTTTAGTCTTGGGAGAGTGTATGTGTCGAGGAATTTATCCATTTCTTCTAGATTTTCTAGTTTATTTGCGTAGAGGTGTTTGTAGTATTCTCTGATGGTAGTTTGTATTTCTGTGGGATCGGTGGTGATATCCCCTTTATCATTTTTTATTGTGTCTATTTGATTCTTCTCTCTTTTTTTCTTTATTAGTCTTGCTAGCGGTCTATCAATTTTGTTGATCCTTTCAAAAAACCAGCTCCTGGATTCATTAATTTTTTGAAGGGTTTTTTGTGTCTCTATTTCCTTCAGTTCTGCTCTGATTTTAGTTATTTCTTGCCTTCTTCTATCTTTTGAATGTGTTTGCTCTTGCTTTTCTAGTTCTTTTAATTGTGATGTTAGGGTGTCAATTTTGGATCTTTCCTGCTTTCTCTTGTGGGCATTTAGTGCTATAAATTTCCCTCTACACACTGCTTTGAATGTGTCCCAGAGATTCTGGTATGTTGTGTCTTTGTTCTCGTTGGTTTCAAAGAACATCTTTATTTCTGCCTTCATTGCGTTATGTATCCAGTAGTCATTCAGGAGCAGGTTGTTCAGTTTCCATGTAGTTGAGCGGTTTTGAGTGAGATTCTTAATCCTGAGTTCTAGTTTGATTGCAGTGTGGTCTGAGAGATAGTTTGTTATAATCTCTGTTCTTTTACATTTGCTGAGGAGAGCTTTACTTCCAAGTATGTGGTCAATTTTGGAATAGGTGTGGTGTGGTGCTGAAAAAAATGTATATTCTGTTGATTTGGGGTGGAGAGTTCTGTAGATGTCTATTAGGTTTGCTTGGTGCAGAGCTGAGTTCAATTCCTGGGTATCCTTGTTGACTTTCTGTCTCATTGATCTGTCTAATGTTGACAGTGGGGTGTTAAAGTCTCCCATTATTAATGTGTGGGAGTCTAAGTCTCTTTGTAGGTCACTCAGGACTTGCTTTATGAATCTTTGTGCTCCTGTATTGGGTGCATATATATTTAGGATAGTTAGCTCTTCTTGTTGAATTGATCCCTTTACCATTATGTAATGGCCTTCTTTGTCTCTTTTGATCTTTGTTGGTTTAAAGTCTGTTTTATCAGAGACTAGGATTGCAACCCCTGCCTTTTTTTGTTTTCCATTTGCTTGGTAGATCTTCCTCCATCCTTTTATTTTGAGCCTATGTGTGTCTCTGCATGTGAGATGGGTTTCCTGAATACAGCACACTGATGGGTCTTGACTCTTTATCCAATTTGCCAGTCTGTGTCTTTTAATTGGAGCATTTAGTCCATTTACATTTAAAGTTAATATTGTTATATGTGAATTTGATCCTGTCATTATGATGTTAGCTGGTTATTTTGCTCATTAGTTGATGCAGTTTCTTCCTAGTCTCGATGGTCTTTACATTTTGGCATGATTTTGCAGCGGCTGGTACCATTGTTCCTTTCCATGTTTAGCACTTCCTTCAGGAGCTCTTTTAGGGCAGGCCTGGTGGTGACAAAATCTCTCAGCATTTGCTTGTCTGTAAAGTATTTTATTTCTCCTTCACTTACGAAGCTTAGTTTGGCTGGATATGAAATTCTGGGTTGAAAATTCTTTTCTTTAAGAATGTTGAATATTGGTCCCCACTCTCTTCTGGCTTGTAGGGTTTCTGCTGAGAGATCTGCTGTTAGTCTGATGGACTTCCCTTTGAGGGTAACCCGACCTTTCTCTCTGGCTGCCCTTAACATTTTTTCCATCATTTCAACTTTGGTGAATCTGACAATTATGTGTCTTGGAGTTGCTCTTCTCAAGGAGTATCTGTGTGGCGTTCTCTGTATTTCCTGAATCTGAACGTTGGCCTGCCTTGCTAGATTGGGGAAGTTCTCCTGGATCATATCCTGCAGTGTTTTCCAACTTGGTTCCATTCTCCCCATCACTTTCAGGTACACCAATCAGGCGTAGATTTGGTCTTTTCACATAGTCCCATATTTCTTGGAGGCTTTGCTCATTTCTTTTTATTCTTTTTTCTCTAAACTTCCCTTCTCGCTTCATTTCATCTTCCATTGCTGATACCCTTTCTTCCAGTTGATTGCATCGGCTCCTGAGGCTTCTGCATTCTTCACGTAGTTCTCGAGCCTTGGTTTTCAGCTCCATCAGCTCCTTTAAGCACTTCTCTGTATTGGTTATTCTAGTTATACATTCTTCTAAATTTTTTTCAAAGTTTTCAACTTCTTTGCCTTTGGTTTGAATGTCCTCCCGTAGCTCAGAGTAATTTGATCGTCTGAAGCCTTCTTCTCTCAGCTTGTCAAAGTCATTCTCCATCCAGCTTTGTTCCGTTGCTGGTGAGGAACTGCGTTCCTTTGGAGGAGGAGAGACGCTCTGCGTTTTAGAGTTTCCAGTTTTTCTGTTCTGTTTTTTCCCCATCTTTGTGGTTTTATCTACTTTTGGTCTTTGATGATGGTGATGTACAGATGGGTTTTTGGTGTGGATGTCCTGTTTGTTAGTTTTCCTTCTAACAGACAGGACCCTCAGCTGCAGGTCTGTTGGAATACCCTGCTGTGTGAGGTGTCAGTGTGCCCCTGCTGGGGGGTGCCTCCCAGTTAGGCTGCTCGGGGGTCAGGGGTCAGGGAACCACTTGAGGAGGCAGTCTGCCCGTTCTCAGATCTCCAGCTGTGTGCTGGGAAAACCACTGCTCTCTTCAAAGCTGTCAGACAGGGACATTTAAGTCTGCAGAGGTTACTGCTGTCTTTTTGTTTGTCTGTGCCCTTCCCCCAGAGGTGGAGCCTACAGAGGCAGGCAGGCCTCCTTGAGCTATGGTGGGCTCCACCCAGTTCGAGCTTCCTGGCTGCTTTGTTTACCTAAGCAAGCCTGGGCAATGGCGGGCGCCCCTCCCCCAGCCTCGCTGCCGCCTTGCTGTTTGATCTCAGACTGCTGTGCTAGCAATCAGCGAGACACCGTGGGTGTAGGACCCTCTGAGCCAGGTGCGGGATATAATATCGTGGTGCGCCGTTTTTTAAGCCGGTCCGAAAAGCGCAATATTCGGGTGGGAGTGACCCAATTTTCCAGGTGCATCCGTCACCTCTTTCTTTGACTCGGAAAGGGAACTCCCTGACCCCTTGCGCTTCCCAAGTGAGGCAATGCCTCACCCTGCTTCAGCTCGTGCACGGTGCCCGCACCCACTGACCTGCGCCCACTGTCTGGCACTCCCTAGTGAGATCAACCCGGTACCTCAGATGGAAATGCAGAAATCACCCATCTTCTGTGTTGCTCACGCTGGGAGCTGTATACCGGGGCTGTTCCTGTTCGGCCATCTTCTTTTTTTCCAGTTTTTTTTTTTTTTTTTTTTTTTTTTTGAGACGGAGTCTCGCTCTGTCGCCCAGGCTGGAGTGCAGTGGCGGGATCTCGGCTCACTGCAAGCTCCGCCTCCCGGGTTCACGCCATTCTCCTGCCTCAGCCTCCCAAGTAGCTGGGACTACAGGCGCCCGCCACTATGCCCGGCTAATTTTTTGTATTTTTAGTAGAGATGGGGTTTCACCGTTTTAGCCGGGATGGTCTCGATCTCCTGACCTCGTGATCCGCCTGCCTCGGCCTCCCAAAGTGCTGGGATTACAGGTGTGAGCCACCGCGCCCGGCCTTTTTCCAGTTTTATGTAGTGAATTACATTTATTTTCAAATGTTAAACCAGCCTTGCATTCCTGGGATAAACCCACTTGGTCATGTTATACTATTCTTTTTTGGATATTATTATATTCCATTTACTAATATTTTGTTTTATGTTTACATCTGTATTCATAAGAGATTTTGGCTACAATTTTTTTTTTGTAATCTTGTCGGATTTTGATATCAAGGTTACATTGGCCTTTTTAAAAAAAAAAAAAACAGCTGTTGTTACTTGTCTTGTTCTCCTCTTCCTTGCAGCTTTTTGTTCCTGTTTTATAGAGGTGGTGTTTTTTTTTTCTCTGTTCTATTTAAGGATGTCAGTTTCCTGAAGCATATTTCTTAATCTTTTTCAGAAATATATTCGTCTTCCAAGAGATGATGATGCTTTTCTCTCATTTGCAATGTTTTTTGACAGATCTTTTATTTTTCACTTGCTTTCTTGAGTAAGGAGAGCTCTATCTAGATTTGCTGTTTTGCCACAGGTGGTTGAATGGGTTACCATGGGCACTGTTCTTTGTGCTTGCGAGTGATGGTCAGATCCCCTTCTCAGATCTGTGGCTGAAGAACTGGTTTATGTTCATTGTTCCTAGTTGAATTCCTAGTAACTAGCAGGCATTTGCACCACGAAGGTAGAACTTTATTGCCTTACAGAATAAGCTGAAATTTCTAGAGTGCATTCTGTTAGAATTATTCCTGTCTCTGCTTTCACTGAACTTTTTGTGTGTAATTATTATAACCAATGTAACTAATTTTAATTCAAGAGATTAGGTAGCTCTGCCTGTTTATTAGTCTCTCTCTGTCTCTACGTGTGTGTGTATGTGTGTGTGTGTGTGTGTGTGTGTGTGTGTGTATGTGTGTGTGTGACCCATGAGTATAACCAGGACTGAAGGGTAAAATGACTGAAGGTGGAAGACAAATGAACCTGTTATTATAGAAGAGAGGTCATGAGGGCCGATATTTGGATATTTTCTTTTGCTTTACATGACATCGCCTTTATTTTTATTTATTTATTTATTTTTGAGACGGAGTCTTGCTCTGTCTCCCAGGCTAGAGTGCAGTGGCGCGATCTGGGCTCACTGCAAGCTCTGTCTCCCGGGTTCACACCATTCTCCTGCCTCAGCCTCTCGAGTAGCTGGGACTACAGGCGCCCACCACCGTGCCCAGCTAATTTTTTTTGTATTTTTAGCAGAGATGAAGTTTCACTGTGTTAGCCAGGATGGTCTCGATCTTCTGACCTCGTGATCCACCCGCCTCAGCCTCCCACAGTGCTGGGATTACAGGCAGACATCACCTTTATTTTAAGAGTCCAGGTGTCAGTGAGAATTATCAAGATGTAGCATCAGAAGATTAGAAGGTCTTCACAACCACATGATGAGGACTCTAGAGTTTGTAGCCTGGGTGATTGAGAGAAAGACGTGGCAGAACTAGGATTAAAAATAGGGAAATTGAGATTTTTCTAGGGAAATAAATGATTGCTTTGATATGGGTTATATTAAGTGTGAGGAGCTTTCCAGGGGCAGGTGACATTTAGACCTGAATGAAGTTCATGACAGTGGAAACTAAAGTTATAGTTTGGGAATCGCAGAGTGTGGTGATAGTGGGAATGAAAGAAACTTCATGAATTTTTAATAGGAGGGTAGAGGGCAGGAGAGAGGGAATAGTCTGTAAGATGTTGGGGACATCTCACATCCTAAATGCAAATATCTAGCCTTGTTGCTTCATGCACTCATCTCTCCGCTGATGTTCCCTTGGTCCAGGGCACCATCTTCTCCTACCTTAATGGCTGTAATTCCTCCTGACTGGGCTCTTTCTACCACTTTGACTCTTCCAGTCCAGTCTCTGTACAGTATCCAGGGTGAGCCTTCCAGAAGACCAATCTGAACATGTCAGTTGACTGCTTAAAATCCTTCAGCTGCTCTCCATGCTTCCAGATTAAAATCCATACACCTAATATGGCTTTAAGGCCCTTTGAGACCTCAACTCTGTCTGTTAGTATAAAAATAACACAAATTGAATAACCAAAATTTATTGAACTCTTTTGAACTTTAGAACTTATTCCAAATAGTTTATATTTGTTGTCTTGTTAAATTTTCATGTTTATTCTTTGAGTTTATCCTTATTAACAATCCTATGGAGAAGGTACTGTTAGATCCCCATTTTACAGATGAGAAAGTCACAGAGAGGTTTCCAGTTGCACAAGGTCACAGAGCTATCAAGTGTGGAATGAATAAATTTACATCATTATGTTATTTAATCCTCTCCATAATCCTATGAAGTAAGTATTTTTATCACTGCCCTTTACAAATGAAGTGACTGAAGTCAGAGATGTTAGGCCGTTTGTGTGGTGGAGCTGCAACTGGAGCCCAGATCGATGTGATTCTAAGTGTATTTTGTCTTCCATGCTAGTCTGACCGCAGCCTCATTGATAGCACCCCTCACCTCTCACCTTAATCACACGTGTAGATTCCCTTGTTTAACTTCTGCTCATTCTTTAGGTTTCAGCTCAATTAGAGCTCTGGCTGAGAACCCTTAAGCGAGCATCCCCTTTACCCTCCTGCCGCACTTGAAGGCACTTTGTTATCATCACTGGCTGTTAGTGTTCTTTGATTGTCTTTCTCATAGTGTGTGGGCTTCATGAAGTCAGGTACTGTGAGCCTCTTGCTCACTGTTAAACCTTGAGTGACTTGCACTGTATGTGGCACATAACGGTACTCAGTTGCTGTATATTGCATAATTACATAAATGTTTAACTCAGTGATGCAGTTTGGTGTTGACTGGGTTTCGTTCTTAAAAGAATATAATCAGTAGTCTATTTATATGTTTAACTCCCAGGATTTATATTTGTGATGGTTCCAGATAACTGATAATCCCCAAATCATGTGGCTTTAGCAATCCGCTTTAGGAGTATAAATATTTATATTTCTGTTATTTTTCTTAGGCTAATGTTGTGCTTTATCTATGGTGTAAATACTGATAATCAGAAGAGAATGGCAATCCAGAACGTGCTGGTTTAACTGGTGAATGTAGCCTAGGCTGTCTCACTTGTGACTAGAATACAAAGTCAGTTATTCTTACAGTGATCATTGAAAGTTATTCCTATTCCACCTATAAGCTGGTTATTCTCTTTGCTACCACAGGATAAGTAGTTATAGCCTGGAATTGAGGAGAAAGAAATTTATAGTGTCCCAATGGCCTACTTTTTAATATTTTCTCAGGCAAATTGGTCTGACCTTTCCTACCTTGGTCTGACTTCCTCATAGGAAAAGTTTCACATTGCACAGGAAAGAACAATTTAGCAGGAATATAAGTTGCAAATTATTAGTTCAGTGGTACTCAAGCATGTTCAGGTGATGAAGTACCTAAAAGTCATGGTATTCTGTGGAATACTATGAAATATTTATATATTAAACTTTACATTTTTTCCCTAAATCAGATATTATTTTATATTACATTCCAGAATAGACAGGGAGTAGCAGGTGATAAAGGTTTAAGAAAAATTTGTGGTAAGAAAACTTAAAATTATATTACCTTATTTTTTCATGCAAATTGGGAAAAGGCCATTTTTGGCACCTTTGTCTAGCTTCCAAACCTCCAGCATTTAAGGTAGTGTAGTTAGAGAACCATTAAATTAATTGAATATGGGGGAGAGAGGAGAAGCTGAAATGAAAGGTGATGATATCAAGGTTTCCAATTTGGGCCTCATAATACCCTTCATAGACACTGGCGAGTCAGGAGGGAGAACTGGCATTGAGGTCGAGAAGGATGAATTTGGTTGATTGTAAACTAATGATAGGCTGAGGAGAGAGATGCAGTAGACAGAAGAGAAGCACAGTGCCTGTCACCTAGCATGGTTCTCAATAATTATTGGCTGCCATTTGTCACCAGGAAGATAGTGTAGAGATTTGGAAATTATGGGCATGAATGAATAAGAACTGTTTTCAGGCTGAATATAGTGAAGTGAGTTTCAAGATTTGAGCCTCGGGGAATAGAAGAGACAAAGTTAAGCCTTGTAGAATGCTGTTGGGAAGTCAGTGGAAGTGGAAATTCAGAAAGGGTGATTTGGTTTAATGGTGGGTTGTGGATGTTCTGTGAGGAGATATAGTCTCAGTAATGTGTTGCCTTTATTCATTCATCTAAAGCAGAAATCTAGGAATTACCTTTGATACCTTCCATGTTATTTTATCCCCCTAATCTAATGATAAGGTGCTGTCAAGTTTACCTTCTTAAGTAGGACACAAAGAGCACACTGTAAAAGAGTAAACTGAACTTTATCAAAATTAAAGTCTTTTGCTCTTCAAAACCTGTCATTAAGAAAATGAAAAGACAAACCACAGACTTCTAAAAAACACATGCATTTGGCCAGTTCTTTCTATTTCCATTTCCACCTTCATGTAAAACATATATCAGCTGGGCATGTTGGCTCACGCCTGTAATTTTGGGAGGCTGAGGCAGGAAGATTGCATGAGCCTAGGAGTTTGAGACTAGCCTGGGCTAATAGGGAGACCCTGTCTTTACAAAAGAAAAAAAAAATAGCTGGATGTGGTGGTGCATGGCTGTAGTCCTG
Source organism: Homo sapiens (assembly GCF_000001405.40). Classification (NCBI taxonomy): domain Eukaryota; kingdom Metazoa; phylum Chordata; class Mammalia; order Primates; family Hominidae; genus Homo; species Homo sapiens. Next base: position 123,898,460 of record NC_000009.12, on the reverse strand, counting down.
GCTACTTGGGAGGCTGAAGGGGAAGAATTGCTTGAGCCAGGAGGTTGAGGCTGCAGTAAGCTGTGTTCATGTCATTGCACTCCAGTCTGGGCTACAGAGTGAGACCCTGTCTCAAAAAATAAAATAAAAAATAAAATGTATCATATTATATGTACATATGAGACCCTCATAACTCAATAAGACAATCCAATAAAAATGGACAAAAGATTTGAAAAGAGTATTAAAGAAGATATACAAATGGAAAATAAGTGCAAGAAAAAATGCTCAGCATCATTTTAGTCATTAGGAAAATGCAAATTAAAACTACAGTGAGAAAGCTCCTACACCCCCAATAGAATGGCTAAAATTACAAAGTCTGGGCTGGGCACAGGGCTTACACTTAGGTGGGAGGATTGCTCAAGGATACAGGACTTTGAGACCCTACCTTTAAATTAAAAAAAAATTTTTTTTAGTTGTTGACTAGGATGTATGTATGTAGAAGAAGAGGACCTGTGGACCTTTTTTTTTTTTTTTTTCCGCTTGAGACAGGGTCCTACTCTGTTGCCCGGAGTGGAGTGGCAGAACCATGGCTCACTGCAGCCTTGAACTCCTGGGCTCAAGCAGTCCTCTTAAGTAGCTGTGCACACTGCCACATCTGCCTAATTTTTAAATTTTTGGTGGAGACTGGGTCTTGCTATGCTCCCCAGGCTGGTCTTGAACTCCTGGCCTCAAGCGATCCTCTCTCTTGGCCTCTCAAAGTGTTGAGTTTACAGGTGTGAGCCACTGCACTGGGCCAGACCTTTATGCATTGCTGGTAGGCTCCGAGGTGAGCCCTGGAGTTCAAAATCAGCTTTCTGAAGTCATTTTCTTGAACTGCCCTCTCTTGCCATCTCCTCAGTGCCCTGCGGCTCCCTTTATTTAACCCTGCTCTGCTGTGTACTTCCCATGATTGTGTATGTAGTCTGGGCTTCGCAGTGAGAGGACAGAGTAGAAAAGAAAGTAATAGGGGTTTGCCCTATCCTCTTAAGGCCACACTTCCTCTGGTTGTAGGGAAAGGTTCCTTCCCTCACTCAATGCTTTAGGTACCTGTAGGCTGCTGCCTCTTTTCTACTTCTTGAGCCTGAACTAGCCAGCTTCTCTTGGAAGTTATTCATGCTGATGTCCACGTCCAGTATTTGGGCTGCCTTGAGTCTATGCTGAGTGATAATGGAGGAACAAACTCAAACACACCACTGGTTTGGTGGTACTTTTAATTAGAATCTTCTATCCCATTTCATCTGCTACTCTACTTTCTAGGTTCCTCAAATAGCGCTCCATGAATTCTCCCCTGGTTTTATAGAGGTATTTTCTCGTTGTGGAGAGACAGGGTGGAGTGTGCCTGTTACTGGGAGCCAGAACTTCTAGATTTCTTTTTATTTATTTTGCTTTGCGTTCATTGGTCCTTTTAAATGTGTGAATGTGTATCTGTTGTTAGTTCTGGGAAGTTCTCTGTATTTTCAGACCAAGAATGAAGTTAAGGTAGAAATCTTAAGAGATAGCTAGAGTATTAAAAACAGCTGTTGGCTATGTCTCATCCTCTTCTCTTCCAGAGTATTGATTTGTCTTAATGTTTTACTTCTGCGTTTATCTTGTGTAGCTTTTGTTTTCTATTTTCTGTTTTTCTTTTTGAACTCTATTTTGTATCATTTCTTTAAGTTCATGAATTCTCTCCCTGGTTGTATCTTTCCTGCTCTTAAGTCATCCGTTCAGTTATTCATTCTTATTTTGAGAACTATTTTGTTCTTTTTCAGTTTTCCTTGGTCATGTCATAGTTTCTTACTGTTTACTCATTTTTAATCTTTTAAAAATTTATTTAAGCTTATTAAATATTCCATATTCTGTCTCCCATAATTCTAATACCTGAAGTCTGAAGGTCTGACTCTGCCATCTTTTATTTCTGAGGTTCTTATTTATGGGCCTTGTTTCCCCAGGGTTTTCTGATTTTTGCCAGTGAGCTCATATTTCTTGGAGCTTTCTGTGAGAAAAATTTTGAAGCCGAGTTTGAAGTGGATTTTTCCAGAGAAGGTTTACATATTTTGTTAGTGTCCTGAAGCCACTCTTAGTTTGGGACCACTTCGGTTTAAATTCTGGGGTTGAGGGTTTTTTTTTTTTGTTTGTTTGTTTGTTTGTTTTCAGAGAGTCTCACTCTGTTGCCTAGGGTGGAGTGCAGTGGCAGTATCCTGGCTGACTGCAGCCTTGAACTCCTGGGCTCAAGCTAACATCCTGCCTCAGCCTCCCGAGTAGCCAAGACTACAGGCGTGTACCACCATGCCCTGCTGATTTTTTAATTTTTTTTTATTTTTTCCTGATGGAGCTGGGGTCTTGCTCTGCTAACCAGGCTGGTCTCATATTCCTGGGCTCAGCTTACCCAAGTGCTAGAATTACAGATGTGAGCCACCATGCCTGGCCTGTTGAGATTTTTTTGACCACTCAGTAGCAGTCCCTTGTGAGGGCCTGCTTGTGTTTGAACTGGTGGAAAAATTTCCCTTTCTCAGTGCTGAGTTTTGAGGCTAGTGGTTTTTATGACAGTTCCTGAGATGTGTATGTGTGTGGATGGGTTTCTTTCTTCATCACCTTGGTCATCCCACTTTAAATGGTGGGAGAGGGATGTCTGTTACACTTTTCTCCTTAGGCTGAATGTTCGTTTTGTCTTGAATTCCTTGAGCCCCTTAGATTGGGAGAATGGAGCATGCATTGGACTACATAAATATCTTCAAGGAGAAAGTGAGTTTTTGTGTTTTGGTAACCCTGTTAGGTTTCTATCTTCACTTAGTTCTTTGTCTGAATCTTTGTTCTTTTCTTTTTTTCTTTTTTTTTTTTTGAGTCAGAGTCTCACTCTATCGCCCAGGCTGGTGTGCAGTGGCATAATCTCGGCTCAGTGCCACCTCCACCTCCTGGGTTCAAGTGATTCTCCTACCTCAGCCTCCCAAGTAGCTGGGATTACAGGCACATGCTACTATGCCTGGCTAATTTTTTATATTTTTAGTAGAGATGGGGCTTCACTATGTTGGCCAGGCTGGTCTTGAACTCCTGATCTCAAGTGATCCACCCGCCTTGGCCTCTCATAGTGCTGGGATTACAGGTGTGAACCACCATACCCGACCGAATCTTTGTTATTTTCTTGCAAGCTCATCAATGTATTTATCTGAGAAGATGGAAAAAAACCATTATTTATAGTTTTCAGTGGAGGATCTGAAGGGTACTTAGTAGGAATTTGCAAGTGGCATGCAGCTATGGTCCCAGCACCTAGGGAGGCTGAAGTGGGAGGATTGCTTGAGGCTGGCAGTTCAAGGGTGCAGTGTGCTATGATCATGCCTGTGAATAGTCACTGCACCCCAGCCCAGGCAATATGGCAGCACCCTGTCTCTTAAAAAAAAAAAAAAGGAACTTGCAGCTGCAGTGTTTCTGAGTTTCAATCAGGGTGATTCTGCTAGCATTCTCCAGCCTCTGCATGAGCATTCATACCTCTGTACTTTGCTCAGCATGTGTCTCTTGTTTAAAATCCCCCCACTCCTCTCCACCTAGCCAAACCCAGTTCATTCTGCAATGTGAACAATCAAGTTTCACCTCTTCATGGTGCTTCTCTTGAATGCTGTAGCTCACTGGTTCCCAAATGTTTGGAATATTTTAAAGTACAGACTTAAAAACAAATTTTGTGGAGTTACATCAAAATGATCATCTCCTGTCACCATTATTTTTGAAAAGAAATTACATTTTCATATCTGAAAGGCAGGAGGAATATGATGTCCAATTAAGGATAGTTTTTATAATTGAATTAAATATCTTTATATGGAAAGTACACTGTATTGTCCCCGTTTTTCTCATTTTGCTACTGATTAGAAAAAGCCTCATTGCATCCTATCCGCTGATAATCAGGACCACAACCTTAGCTCAGAATGATGTCTTCAATTTGCAAACCCACAGCATTTTGTTTTATCAATTCGTGGCAGCCAGTCATTTATTTCTATTGATTTCAAACAGCCCATGTTTGGCTGTTTACATTTTATGTTTTGTCTCCTTGACTTGGTTGTAAGCTCCTTAGGAGCCATTATCTGTGTGTATTTAGATTACTCATAAATATGTGTTGAATGAGTTAAATTTAGATACCTCGGATGATGGTTGAAACCTAGCAATATTTATAGAGCACACATTTGAGTATATCACAGTTCTGAACGTTGTTTACTTCTGGAGGAAAAAGAAGTTTTAATGTGAATCATGAGTCACTTACTCATCTCTCTCCTCCTCAGGGAATTTCATTCACTTAACAAATTCACCAAGCGCTTGTTTAAAAACCAGGTCTTTTGTTAGGGATCTGGGAATACAGAGGTGAAGTGAAACAAAGTTCCCAGTGTAGTAGGTAATATGTATATATAAGTACAAAGCATAGAATACCACCTGGGAAGCCTTATAACAGGGCTTTGAAACCAGTTTTGTGACGGTGTGGAGAGAGCAACTGAGCTTTGTAAGGGGGTGAGAGAAGCCTCCAGAGAGGAGGAGGCATTTGTTCATTCACTTTCCATTCATTCAGCAAATATCTCTTAAGTGCCTACTACTTGCCAAGCACTGTTCTAGATGCATCTTGAATAAATAGGACATTGTTAGGAGATGGAACACATTTTAGGTGGGGAAATTATGATAAAGAGCATGCCCTTTGAAGTAAGAACAGACCTGGGCTTGAGTTCATACACTGCCACTTACTAGATATTTGTCTTTGGGCAAGCAATTCAATTTCTAGAAGATTCTTACTTTTGTAAAGTGCTGTAGATCCTCCCTCCCTCACAGTATGTCATGTGGGTAAAGTGAGGTGCTGTATATAAAATTAAGCTTAGCACAGTGCCCAGCCCCTCTGAAATAGTGCAATAAGTGACAAATGTATATACAAGGCATGTAAGTGATTGAGGCCTGATGGTAAGATTAACATGACTAAAATGTGGGGGCATGTGGGTTGGTAGGGGGTGGTGGGCAGATGAAGCTGATAAGTCTGGTCTCACTGAGGCTAAATTGCAAATAGTCTTGCATCGCATGTCCTGCTAATGACGGTCTTTTAACTCCTGAATGCATTTGGGAGCCTTTGAGGTTTACATTGTGTTTTTGTCTTTTCTTTTTTAAACTATGCAGTGGCATGCTGAGCTGTAGCATAGTGATTAGGGACATGGACTCTGGAGCCAAATCTGCCTGGGTTCTAGTCCCAGCTGTCTCACTTACTAAATGTTTGACTTTAACTGATCTGTTCGTTAGTTTCTTCATTGGTAAACTGGATGATAATCATATCTATCTTAAATGTTTATCTTGTTTTGTTTGTACAATGCTCTTTGAATCACTTTTTTTTTTTTAAAAACATATAATCCTGTACGTATAGTGGGCCAGTGGGCCATGAGCCACCATGCCCAGACCATTCTTTATTCTTATTCTTTATTCTTTTTTATTCTTATTCTTTATTATTATTATTCTTATTATTTTTGAGACGGCATCTCACTCTGTCACCCAGGCTGGAGTGCAGTGGCGCGATCTCGGCTCCCCGCAACCCCTGCCTCTCAGGTTCAAGCAATTCTCCTGCCTCAGCCACTTGAGTAGCTGGGATTACAGGTGCCCACGACCACACCCGGCTAATTTTTGTATTTTTAGTAGAGACAGGGTTTCACCATGTTGGCCAGGCTGGTCTTCAACTCCTGACCTCAAGTGATCCATCTGCCTTGGCATCTCAAAGTGCTGGGATATTATTTTATTTTACCTTCTGGGATACATGTGTAGGATGTGCAGGTTTGTTACATAGGTAAATGTGTGCCATGGTGGTTTGCTGCACCTGTCAATCCATCACCTAGGTATTAAGCCCCACATGTATTAGCTATTTACCCTGATGCTCTCCCTCTGTTTTTGTATTCTTATAAATATTCTTGGGTTTCCTCAGGGGAGTAATCTGAGGCAGTCATAGGCTCACTTCTTTCTTTTCCATCTTTCAAGGCATTGCTGCACTTTGTTGCCTAATGTCTTGAAAACCATTGTTTCATATGTTTTGTCTATGTTACTTTGAAATAATGTGCTCCTTCCGAGTCTTGCTTTTTAAGGTTTGTTAAGTGGGATTGGAGTTGTGCTCAGTCTAGGGCTAGACTAGGCAACCTAGAATTTTATTCTCCATTTCTAAGGTAATACTCTATTGTGTACTCTATCCAATGCACCATGAACATGAGTTTTCCACTTCGGCTGGGGGGAATAGGCATTATTTCTAACCCTGTGTGAGTACCAGCTACTGCACCTGTAATCTTTTTTGCTGGTTCTTTGTGCAGGCTTAAGTTATTTCCTCACATACACATGCTAATCAGTACTTAGCTATATACTTGAGGGGGCTCTTGCAGATCTCTGGAGTTCTTTCTCTGTGCAGCTCTCTTCACTCCAGCACTCTGTGCTGCAAACTCAACTGCCTTGGTTTCCCTGGACGCTTAGCTCTGTCTCTCAGCTCCAGGTGTTTGCTGGGCTTTGCTTAGGTCCCCCCTCCTTGCACCATAATCTGGAAACTCTCAAAGTGGTGAGCTGGGGCATCAGAGGGCTCAGCTCACTTGTTTACTTCTCTCAGGGATCACTGTGCTTTGTTGTCTGTTCTCCAGTCTCTTGAAAAACATTGTTCGAGAGAAGGATGGATGGATCGATGGAATTTTGGTTGTTTCAGATGGAAGGGTAAATGTGGTCCATGTTACTCCATCTCTGCTGGATTTGAGATTCCAGTAAATTTGTTATATACTTATTTAAATTTTTGATAGCCTGCTACTGCCGGTATAAGATGGTATCTGATTTAGTACGATTTTATTTATTATTATTAAAGTGTATATTTCAAGGTCTTCTAAAGAGTCTCACGATTTCTAGGTTGTGTGCCATCTTGGCACATTGAGAAGAACTACTGTTCTTTTATAGTAGTTCCAAAATCCAACTGATCAGAATCACTTAGGAAAATAGGTTCATAGATCAATAGATTATCAAAATCACTTTTCAGAAAATAGATACCTGGGCTTTATTTCCCACCTAATGAATCAGTCTTCAGTGGTAGAACCTGGGAATCTGATTTAAAAAACTTCTAGGTGATTTGAGACTGAGTCAGTATAGTGTACGTTACGTTGTTAAGAGCACGAGTTCCATGGTGACTGTGATCTATGATGACAACTCACTAAGGTCCAAATGGAGCAGTGGCAGAGGGAGAGGCAAGTTCTTCTCAGAAAAGGGAACTTGGGACCATGAAGGAGAGAGGAGCTCAGTGCTTCTGGGAGACATGGGGAAGGCACCACTCTGTAATTCTGGATCTCCCTGAAGTCAGGTTGTGAGCTCTCTGGATGGCTCAAAGGACTACTCAAGGAGTGCTGAGAACCTGAGCTCACTGTTCTGAAGGCCTTTTCAGTTGCCCTTAGGTGCTAACACAACAGCCAGACACTATGGTTTTTGAAGGGTGTGTGGAGGAGAAAAACAATTGGGCCTATAATAAGGTTCATTAAAAAAAAATTAGTGGAATAGGGGTTACATGGGTATATGCAGTTGCCCAAGTTCCTTGAACTAGACACTTACAATGAGTGCATTTTAGTGTATGTATATTAGCATACATGTAATTGTGAGGATACAATTATATGTTGGAGGTATAAAGTTGATTTTAAAAATTCAAGAATATAGACTCTAGAGCCACACTCTCTGGGTTCAAATTCCAGCTCTATCTCTTACAAACTGTGTGAACTTGGACAAGCTTCTGAACTTGTATTTCAGTTTCCTCATCTGTAAAATGAGAATGATGGTAATAGTAGTTCTTTCATAGAGTTGTTGGGAAGGTTAAGTGAAATAATAGATGAAAAGTGCTTAGAAAAATATCTGACACATATTTAAGTGTTTAGTACATATTAACAAGATTTAGAAGTGACTTGGTCTTCTGCAGAATATCTGCTCTTCTTAGATGGGGTAATGGAAATAACCTTCCCCTCACAGGCTTGGCGGGAGGGTTAAATAAGAAAGAACATAAAAGCAAGTCATCAATGAAACAAGGGGTTCTTGTTGCATATTCCTCCATAAATAGCTTCATGAACGCCTTGACATTTTTATGTAAAAAATATTCCATTTAAGCACATTTTTCTGGGGAGATGGTGAAGCTTTTCATGGCCTCCTCAGAGAAGTCTGTGGCCCACCATTCCCCCAGCCACTCTAAACAGGTGTGAGTAATTTTTGGACAGGCAACGTGGTGTGGTGGAAAAGGCATGGGTTTTGGAATCTTAAAACCAGGGTTCAGTTGGAGTTCTACCACTTCCTGGCCTCAGTTTCCCTTACTGTAAAACAAGGAAAATACCACCATCTTATTACCTGACACGGTTTTGACAATCAGCTTCAGAAACATATGTGAGTTCTAAGGTAACCATAAAGTATTTTACAGATGTTCACTTTATTACTGACTGAGGGGCATAAGTTGCACATCCATGGACTCTTTTGAATTTTTTTTTTTTCCCGAAGATGGAGTTTCACTCTTGTTGCCCAGGCTGGAGTGCAATGGTGCCGTCTTGGCTGACTGCAGCCTCTGCCTTCCAGGTTCAAGCGATTCTCCTGATTCAGCCTCCCAAGTAGCTGGGGTTACAGCTGTGTGCCACCAGGCCTGGCTAATTTTTGTATTTTTAGTAGAGACGGGGTTTCACCATGTTGGCCAGGCTGGTCTTGAACTCCTGACCTCAGGTGATCTACCTGCCTCGGCCTCCCAAAGTGCTGGAATTACAGGTATGAGCCACCACGCCCGGCCTCTTTTGATTTTTATACATTGCATTTATTCAGTATTTTTTTTCCTCTGTAGAGGAGAGACTTTTTCTTCAGTTTTGGTAAAATGAGAATTTCTTTCTGACTGCACAATCCATCCCTTGTTCTTAAAATCCCTTTATTTATTGCCTAGACTAATGTTTCTATTCGGATAGTTCCCTATTTTCTGGATTGCTTTTAGTGACGGTATTTGAAAGCCTAATGGTTTTGAGTCTTTGAAATACACAGTAATATGTGGATTACTTATAAAGCCTATTATTGGTAAGGTGAAGCCATTTTATTTTTATATGATACGTGATAATACCCTTTACATTAGTTTAACATCTTTTAGTTTACAAAGCACTTTCTCATTTTTCTCTCATTTGATCCCTGAAACAACTTTTGAGATGAGCAGGGCAGGTATATATCTTGACAGAGGAGGAAGCCGAAAGGTTAAATGGCTTGTCCTAATCCCATAACAAGTAAGGGATCTACCTGGGATTTGAACCCAAGCCTCCTGATGTTTAGTTTGGGGTTCTTTCCATAGAACCACATGTCATTCCTGTGAGAAAGTCTTGGTAAAAGGAAGGTCAGAGAAATTGGTATTTAATGAATGATTTTAAAAAAATATTTTTCCAGGAACTAGAATCTTATAGAAAAGTTGGCAGTACAGTGTAAAGAACTTAAAATACACACACACACACACACACACACACACACACACACACACACACACACACAGTTTAAAGCACGGTATTGACCTGATGCATCATCACCCTTGAATGTTTCAGTGTGCTTCTCCTACAAACAAGGTTATTCTCCCCTCTAACGCAATGCAAACATCAAAATCAGCAAGTTAATGGCAATTTGTTACTACGTCTAATCCTAAGACTGCATTCAGGTTTCACTAGTGGTCCCAATAACATCCTTTACAGCAAAAGAATCACACATTGCATTTAGTTGTCATTTCTCTTTAGTTTCCTTTAGTCTGGAAGAGATTTTCAGCCTTTCCTTGATTTTCATGACGTTGACACTTTTGAAGATTAAGGCCAGATATTTTCTAGAAGGTCCTTCCACTTGGTTTTGTCTGATGTTTCTTCAGGTGTAGCATCTCCGACAGGAATATCGCAGCAGTGATGGTGTGCCCTGCTCTTTGCGGTCCAGCAGTTTCTTCCATTACTGATGGTGATCACTTTGACTTGACTAGGTTTTTGCCAAACTTCTGCATTGAAAGTTACTCTCTTCTCCCTTGTATTCAGTATTTTGTGGGGGAGGTACTTTGAAACTGTGTAAATATACCATTTCTCATTAAACTTTTCAATTTATTCCCTTATTTAGATGCGTATGAACTCATGGCTTCTTGTTTTATTTGATGGATCCAAATCTGTTAATATCCTTACTGATTTGGATGCTCAGACTGCCCCAGATTTGGCCAGTGGAAGCCCTTTCAGGCTTGCTCCCGTGTCCCTTCAATGTATCCCCATCATTCTTTGAGCACTTCTTTGCTTCCTGGCACAAAAAATGTTCCAAGTTCATCTAGCACGTTCCCTGTCTTAGTGCTAGAATCAGCTATTTCTCCTAGGAGCCCTGGTTCCTTTTAGAGGAGAATTGTATTTAGAAGCCAAGGCCTGGGAATTAGGTGTGCTCATTGCTGTTGGGGTGTTGCTGCTCCCAGGCCCTCCCAGTAGCCAGAGCTGGGAAATATGTGTGCATGTGAAAAGTCAGGTTACATTTATGCTTTATTTTTCTATCAAGTTATATATATACATATAAACCTTGAGCACATTCTAATATCTGCATTTCAAATCCAACTTTGTATAAGTCATGTTGGTTTTCTGTTAACTTCAACTGTAAGAAACCAGCCTTCCCCATGTCTTCCAAGTAGCCTTGGGTTCAGATTAGGCACACGGCCCCTTCACCTCCACCCTGTGTGCATGCTCGCCTCCTTCTTCACCTTGCTTTCTTGGCATCACAAGGACTTGATGGTGGTTCTCCACACCTCCTGCCCCACTGCCCTGCTTGGACTCTGACTCCCACTCACTCTGGGAAGCCTCCTCCTACCCAACATGGACGATCTCCTCATGCCTGCTTGGGCACTGGCCTCCATTCTCGGGGGCCCTAATGCTTAGACATGCTCCTCACCCTCTGCAGCTCTGACACCCTGTGTTGGGATGCCCTCACATGGGTACCCCCTCATTCTGCCTGTGCTTCAACACCCCAGGCCCAGCTGTGCTGTGCGTGAATACCCTTCCACCCCACTCAGGTTCTGACTTCCCACACCAGGTTGTTCCCTGAGTAGATGTCTTCCTCATCAGTTGGATTGTGCATCTTATGCCAGGACATCCCTCAGCATGGATGTTGCCCCTTCATAGGGACACCTTCCTTGCCCCGCCCAGGCTCTGACATCTCACACTGGGCTGTCACCAGCATGAACGTCTACCTCACTCTGCCTACCTAACAGGTTTAGGACTAAACTGTTCAGAAAGGGAAGGGGAGGTTTTTACATTTTTGTAAGGTCAAAAATGTTTATTGATAATGAGATAAATATCACCTTTGCAAATGCCCTTAATGGGTAAAGCCTAGATTTTACACTGCAGCTCAGCATATGAGACAACTTATTAACACTGTGTGTTGTACTGCACATTGCTGAGGGGTGTTCAGGCTTTGTCTCTCTGCTTGGAATGCAGCTAACCCTCCTCCAGTTACCTTGCTTGCACTTAGAGGCTTAAGAATCTTCCCGTAGGGATATATGGAAGGTAAACCTTTGTGACTCTTTTCGTAGCAATATCTGCGTATCTTCATTAATCTGATCCTGAGAACATTATTAGAAATGAAGTTAAGTGTAGTCTTGAAACGACTTGTTTGTGTAATTACACAACTAAGTTAATTTTCTAACAAGTCTCAACAATGACTGCATTCTCCTATGGAGGTGTTAACTTGTTATGGGCTAGAAAGCACTCTTTGATACAATGTTTTCAGCCTGGAAAAAAAGGCTTTAATTTCAGAGTCCAGTGAAACAAATGGAGACTTGTTGGAAATTTTAACACTACCTTTTTGCTTGTTTTTCTAGCTTAAAGGACTCAATGTTTATTAGGTGGTGTTTGCTAGTGCGTTCTGAAGTGTATACAGTTTCTTTTGACCATGTTGTCAAGTTTAAGAGAGTTCAATTGGTATGAATTTTTAAACGGTACACCTCAGCCCCTTCAGCATGTAAGTTTGTAACTAAGGAAACACTGCGCTGAAGCTGGTTTGAAGTTTTGAAGACCGTGAAATGAGTAAGGGGTCCTAATAACTATTTCGTTTCAGGTCTGTAGCTCTAAATTACCCTTAAAAGGACTAGGGCCTACCATTGTGGCATGGTTACCATATGCAACACAGATTCATTTTATGAGGAGTTAATGTTACATTTTTCTCCTAATCTCATATATTCTAATTGAGGAAAAGTAGATCCTAATTAAAAGCTGATGATCCAGCAGAGTGATCAATAGCATGATGCCTTGAAAAAAAAAACAAAACAAAAAACGCCATTAAGCTTTGCTGCTGCCTAAATACTGTCAAAGCCTTTGTCTATTTCATGGCTTCAAGCTGAGTGTACTTAATCTTTTTGAGAACATGGTCCTGGCTGGGTGTGGTGGCTCACGCCTGTAATCCCAGAACTTTGGGAGGCTGAGACGGGCAGATAAGTTGAGGTCAAGAGTTCAGGACCAGCCTGGGCAACATGGTGAAACCCCATCTCTCCTAAAATTACAAAAATCCCGGACATGGTGGCAGGTGCCTGTAATCCCAGCTACTTGGGAGGATGAGGCAGGATAATCACTTGAACCCGGGAGGCGGAGGTTGCAGTGAGCTGAGATCATGCCACTGCACTCCAGCCTGGGCAACAGAGTGAGACTATCTCGAAAAGAAAAAAAAAGAACATGGTCCTGAGCACTGAGCATGACCCTTCCGGTGCACTGAGAACTGTGTTCAGCAGAGAGATCTTGAATAGAAATGCTCTATTGGCTTACCCTCAGCCTTCATTCTCCCAGAAGCAAAAACTGAGCAGACCTCCCTTCTTTCAAAAACGTTTTAGCTGTTTGTATTTGCCATTTTTCAGTGTTTAAGAGCTGAGGCTGTTGTCAGCAGGTGTGACTTATTGAGAACTTTTACTCCAAAGGAAAACATCTTTACAGAGTAATAGGTGTAAGCAGTGTGTATTCTGTAAATTACCTCTTGTCAGAGAAAGAGAAGTGATTAGTGGGAGCTGGAAACGTGTCAGATGTTGGAGGAAAACTCATTCATGAAACATTTATTGAGCCAGGTGTCAGACTAGGGTTATGAGAAGACACAGTTGGTACCCTCAAGGAGCTGCCAGTCTAGTGGGGAAGAATGTATTATATTTTATCTGAGACACACCAGTGGTTCTCAACCTTGACTGTACTTTGGAATAAGTTTAGGAATTAAAAAGTATCAGTGCCTGGAGATTCTGATTTAATTGGTCTGCGATATAGACTGGGCATCAGGATTTTTAAAAGCCCCCCAGGTAATTGTAATTGTACCAGGGTTGGATATGGTGAGAGCCTGGAGAGTGGGAAGTACAGGGTGCTTGGGAGCATAAAGGTGGGGCACTTAACCCAGTCTAGGCTGTGTGCGTGCGTCTGTGTGTGTGTGTGTGAGAGAGAGAGTGAGTGTGTGTGTGTGTGTGTGTGTGTGTGTGTGTGCGCGCGCGCTCGCAGGTCAGGTGGGAGATGGGAGGGTTGTTGAACAATAATACTTCCTAGAGAAGAGGAAGTGCCTGAGTTTGTCAAGTGAAAAAGCCTGGAAAGACTGTTCTTGGCAAAAAAGCAATTGAATAATGTAGAATAGTGAAGTGGTTATTGTCTTTGGAGTTAGTTCCATGCTGATTCTGCTGCTTGGTCATTTTGTCTTTGGCCAATTTATTCTCTGTGAGCTTCAGTGTCCTCATCTCTAAACCGGGAGTAGTATTACCTGTGGGGTTGTTGAGGACTAATTGAGGTAATGCATGTGAAGTGCTTAGGATCATGGCTGGCACATAGGAAGCAGTAAGTGGTGTTAGCTGTATGGAAATGGTATAATTGTCCTAGAATTAGGGCATGCATGCATGGTTTGCTTAGAGAGCTACAAGTAGATCTATATGGCTGGATTGTAGGGTACAAGACTGAAGAAGATGGGGGGTGGGAGGCAAAAAAAATGCTTGGCAGGTGGGCAGGGTTAGGAGTCTATAGGAGAATGAAACAATTAATAATGGGATATCATGGCAGAGCCAGGACATTTCCATGGTAATATCTTAAGATGTATCATGAAGTGTTCTGGGAAAACTTGGGTCCATATTGGAAAATTGGCTCTGAATGTGGCATTCTCAGCATCATTACATGTACCAAATTAGCAGTGAGTGTTAATAGGACAGAAATAGGATTTTCAGTTCCTTTAGCCAAAAAGTTAAAAATATTAAACATCTTGAAGAGTAATGGAGGGATAAGCAATCTCAAGGTGGTCGCAGAGAGCCTCTGGAAATTGTTATAGTCTTAATTGTTTACAGGCTTAATGAAAATACCAACTAAGGGGGTTGCTTGGCTATTTGCATTTAGAGGAGGCACTTTTTTATTTTTGATTTGCAGAGAAATAGAGAATGCTTCTATCTGCGTTGGCTTCCCTGGCCCTTAAAATAACTGATGTATATTTGTTGGTATGTTACATAACTTGTCACAACATTACTCACCACTTCTTCCATAAGGCAACATGGAAATGATCATGGATAAGCATGACCATAACTTATAATTATAGACCAATTTGTTCTTAGCATTTTAGCTCTTTTTTTTTTTTTTTTTTGAGACTGTCATAATCCTTGGCTCCATGTAATGGAATAGAACTCTACCAGCTGTTTGAACTGAGTAAGAATCTTAGGTGGCTTTATTATGACTCATTAGAGTGAGGCAGTAACTACAGATAGTGGTAGAAGAAGAGGAATAACCTTCCTTGTTTCCACAAATGCCTTTTTTCTTTGAAATTTATCTTTTATTGCAAACGCACTATTGAAATAATGGATTACTGTGGTATCCCCTATGTTTATGATGTATATTCTAAATTATCTGGAAGAATTCTACTTAACTGGTAGTTCTTAAAGTATGGTCACGGGTCCAGCAGCATCAGGATGACTTGGAGACTTGTTAGAAATACAATTCTTGGGTCCTACCTGAGACACTCTGGGGATGGGAACTGAAATCTTTTAGTTAAGCCCTCCAGGTGACTATAGTACTTGCTAAAGTTTGAGAATCGTGGAACTGGATGATCACACCCATCATTTATTGAAATCTTTTAGACCTCAGGAAGGCAACTCTATTCTTTATGCCTTCTACCCAGTATTTAGGTGGCACTGGCTGTGTGCCAGTCACTTCCCAGGCACCAGGGAAACACTCCTTGACATGATAGACAAGATCCCTGCTCTCCAGCAGCTTACATTTAGAGAAAGGAGACTGACTGTAAACCAAGATTATGGCAGGTATAATGTGGAGAATTACAGTTAGGTGATAGAGTGTGTGTTGGGGAAGGTCTTTCTGAGGAGGCCAAATATAAGCTGAGTTTTCAATGCCAAGAAGGACCACCTGTGTGAAGATCAATATAAAGGACTGTAAGATGGGACTTCTCTTTGGTGTGTTTGAGGAGCAGAAAGAAGGTCATTGTGGCTGGAGTTCAGTGGGCAAGGGGAGAGAGGTATAAAATGAAGTTGGACAGGTAGGCAGAGGCCAGATCATGTAGGACTTTGTAGGCATTGCTAAGGACTGCCACCTTCTTTTTCTGTTTTGTTTGTTTAAATTGTGGTAAATTTCACATAAGACTTCCCATCTTAACCACGTTCAAGTGTACAGTTCAAAGGTATTATGTGTATTCATATTGTGGGGCAACAATTGTCAATGTGCAGCTCCAGGACTACAACTTTGACTTGACTTTGAGTGGTGTGGGGAGCTTTTAGGAGATTTGAGCAAAGAAGTGACATAACCTGAACTTCAGAATAAAAGGATTACTGTCTGTTAATGTTGTGATCTGACTCTATAGAGGGGCAAGGAAGAAAGCAGGGAGACCCATCAGGAGGGTGCTGCAGTAATCGAGGTGATATGATAGTGATCTATCAAGGATGGTTGTATTTGGGGGTGCTGAGAAACGTTGAGATTCTGGATGTATTTTGATGGTAGAATCAGTAGAATTTTCTGATTGGTTGACTGTGGCATATGAAACGGGAGTCGAGGATGACATTAAGTTTTGTTAGTCTCAGCAACTAGTAGAGTTCAGGAGATGCAGGTTTGAGGGAGAAAAATATGATATGTTAAATTAGAAATGCTTCTTAGATGCCCAAATGGGATTTTTTTTTTTTTTTTTTGAAACAAGGTTTTGCTATGTTGCTCAGGCTGGTCTCAAACTCCTGGCCTCAAACAATCCTCCTGCGTTGGCCTCTCCAGTAGCTGGGCATCCCCCACCATGCCTGGCCCAGTGGGGATGTTGAGTAGGCAGCTGGGTAAGGGAGTCTGGAGTCAGGGAAGAAGTAGTCAGGTTGGAGATGTGACTGGGGCTTGTATGCATGGTAATGAAAGCCCAGAGACTGAATGAGATCATCTAAGCAATGAGTGGAGACAGGGACAGTAGGAGAGCTAACCTGAGAAGGAATTCGCAAAGGAGTAGCCAGTGAGGTAGGAAGAGGATCAACAGAGAGCAACGTCCTGGAAGCCAAGAAAAGAAAGACATTCAAGGAGGAGGGCAGATGGATGAACTATCAAATGCTATTGACAGGCCGAGTAAGATGAGCACTGAGAATTGAGCATTTAAATACATTTTAGCAATGCAGAGGTCTGTGGTTACCTTGACCAAGTTGTTTCAGTGGTGTCGTGGGTTCAGAAGCCTGGTTGGAGTATGTTAGAGAAAGGAAGAAGCAGCAGAAACAATGAGTATATACATTAGGCCATTTTTCACTTAGATAGCAGGGCTGTACAAAACACCCTGTGGTACAGGATAATGTGTTGGTGTCCCCGTGTTTTAAAGTTTGGATATAACACCTTTGCATGCTCATTTTATTTCAATTTTTAAAATGCATAAAAATAAATTAAAAATGGAAACTTGAGTAAAAATGTGGGAAGCTCTAAAGAACCTCCATGAAGTCCTAGGGTCCTGAAGAACACACTTTGAAGGCTGTTATATTAATCCAAAGGAATGAAATTCTGAGATGAAATTCAGCCATTTGCAAACTAGGCTTAAGAAAGACATTTTGAGGTTTCAGAGAGAATCTTCCTGATGCTCTTCAGATTATACTACCTATTACTCATGAAAGAACCTTTGAACTTCCCTTTCTTTCATCAAATGTTCTACCTTAAGATCTTTTGAATGAAAGGGGTGTTTGCATATGGTATTTTCCACAAATATTTGGTCCCATATGCCAAAGATGCCAAGATCATTTTGTACCCTCTTGCAGGGAAAAAAGAGCACAACAATTTTTTAAGGTCCTCTTGAAACTTCAGTTTACTTAATTTTTTTAAGTAAGATACTGTGACTTAATGTCTGATTTTAAAAATAACTCAGTTTGACAAGGTATATTTAAATACCTTGAATTTTAGAGCAGCCAGGTCTTTGCTACAGACGCTTGAAAGCAAAAGCCCATGTTTCTCTCTGGGGGAGAAATGACGATTTTACACCCCCGAAATAAGTAGATTCCTGATTCACAAAACACTTATTTTTCTTTCCCCTCCTAAGGAAGTAGAGGGAGTATTACCATTTTTTAGTGAGTGTAAAATGCCATTATTTATAATATAAGCCTTTATTTAAGGTATTACTAGGAAAAAATGCCGGCTCTTAGAATTGTAAAATGCTGTCGGTTGTAAGAGATATGAAAACGTGGGGGGAAACAGTTCATTCTAGAATCGAGTGAAATAGGATTTGATAAACAGGAGGCATGAGTTCTGGTCCTGGCCATGTTTCTAGACAAGTCACTTTAGAATCCCTTTGCATGAGGTTGCTCATTTGTATGGTTGTAGTAATCCTGACACACCTATCTCTCAGGATTATGATGACGATGAAATGAGATAACTGAGATTGCTATTTTGAAAAGTAGATGCCGCTGGGCATATTAAAAGTATTTATTTGATGTAAATAAATCCTTAGAGATGATTAGGCAACTCAGAAGGTTTCTTACCTCATGTTTGTTGTCAGATTTAAAATAGAATTAAGTTACAGATATTTGAAAGTACAACATTTTCTTCTGCTACATGATTTTTATTTCATCTGGAAACATCTTTTTATGGTAGTTTTGAAATTAAAGAGAAAATGTAAAAATAATATAACCACAGTATTCTTATTATCTAGAATTAACCATAAACATTCTGTTCTGTGATCTTTTAAAAATTTATGAACTATTGGCTGGGTGCAGTGGCTCCCAGCACTTTGGGAGGCCAAGGCGGGTGGATTACTTGAGGTCAGGAATTCGAGACCAGCCTGGCCAACATGGTGAAACCCCATCTCTACTAAAATACAAAAGATTAGCTGGGCGTGGTGGTGTGTTCCTGTAATCCAAGCTACTTGGGAGGCTGAGGCAGGAGAATCGCTTGAACCTGGGAAGCAGAGGTTGCAGTGAGCTGAGATTGTGCCACTGCACTTCAGCCTGGATGACAGAGTGAGACTCTGTCTCAAAATAAATACGTAAATAAACAAATTTATGAACTGTTATGAAATAAACAAGTAAGAGTATAATAATAAAAATTCATACAGTTACCATTGCCAATACAGGTGAAGGCCCATTGAATCCTGAAGATCGTGAACTTATCAAGGTTATATAGCTATGTGGGAACAGTGTCTTACGTTTAGATTGGCATCTTGTCTTCACAGTAGTCTAGTGAGATACACTGTTCCTCTTGTTTAAGTCTTGAAAACCTGTACATAAGCAAGTTAATCTTGTCACATTCGTGTTTTATTCTGGAATATACTGAGGAGAGGGCTAATTTGTGCTGGTGTTGCCTTGGTCTGAGTTTCCTCAAATTTCTACCTCTGGGTTTGGTGATCCAGCTGTGGAAATTGGAAATGTGACATCTGTAAAACCATAGTAATGGCTAGCCTATTATGTGCCAGACATCATGCCTAGACAATTTGTGTGTGTGTGTGTGTGTGTATAATTTTATTATTCATTTTTGAGACAGCATCTCACTCTGTTACCCAGGCTGGAGTGCAGTAGCGTGATCTTAGCTCACTGCAACCTCTGCCTCCTGGGCTCAAGTGATCCTCCCACCTTAGCCTCCCAAGTAGCTTGCATTATAGGTGTGCACCACCATGTCTGGCTGATTTTTGCATTTTTAGTAGAGACAGGGTTTTGCTATATTGCCCAGGCTGGTTTTGAACTCCTGGCCTCAAGTGATCCTCCCACCTTGGCCTCCCAAAGTGCTGGGATTACAGGTGTGAGCCACCACACCTGACCTGTATATATATATATTTCAAGTTTTACAGTAATTCTTTGGCTAAGTGTTTTCATTTTGTAGTTTAGGAAGGCATGGTCTCAGAGAAATAGTGTAGCTTGTCCAAAGTTCCACGGCCATTAAGTTGTGAGCTAATGATTTCAAGGAAGATCTGTTTAATACCATAGCCCACATGTTCTATACCATGCTGCCTCAATCTTTGTCAGTAATCATGATCTGTTTCTTTTGTAGGCAGAATCCAGAGACCACATTTGAAGTATATGTTGAAGTGGCCTATCCCAGGACAGGTGGCACTCTTTCAGGTACTTTGCATGTTTGATTATGATATGGTGTGTTACTTATTGTTTGAGATAGCTATGCACGTGAGATAATATGTGAATATGAGTAAATTGTTATTTGTCTTTAAGTATGTTTAAGTGCCTTTTTCCTTTTATTCATGCTCACATTATCCTAGGAAGAATGGAGAATGAAAACACAGTGAATAGTCTGAATTAAGAGTTCAAGCATAATAGGCTTGAAGTATGGCTTTATTCATTGTAATCATTGGGTCTTGGTTTGCATCTTTCACAGATGCCTGGAAGTCAACTATTTAGTGTGAAATATTGTCACCTTGCTAATGAGCAGGGCTTCACCTCTAGTCTACCAATCTAATGGTAGAATTAGATTATAGGATACAAAATAATATAAAGGAAATTCTCTGCCACTAATCTAGAAGGAGATGCTTGGACTTAATTTAGTAAATTTTATGTCTGCTGGCAAAAGAAGGTTGAAAATTAGTTGAAGGAAACACCTCCTCTGGCTTTAGCTTTTGGGCTAATTTGAATATGTGTTCCTGGACAAGAGGGTCCTAGGAAGGACCAGGGTATCTTGTGCAGGCAGCATATATTTCTTCTTAAAATCTTTCTTGGTTAATGAGAAAAATAACCTTATGATCTAGTGTTCTTTTTCTTGGTGCCTAAGAGGTGATACATTTTGCCAAAGGTATGTTTAGGACTCTTGGTCCACCCACAAAAACACCTGCATATAATAATATTATTTTTTTTTTTTTTGAGATGGAGTTTTGCTCTTGTTGCCCAGGCTGGAGTGCAATGGCGTGATCTTGGCTCACCGCAACCTCTGCCTCCCGGGTTCAAGTGATTCTCCTGTCTCAGCCTCCCGAGTAGCTGGGATTATAGGCATGTGCCACCACGCCCAGCTAATTTTGTATTTTTAATAGAGACAGGGCTTCTCCGTGTTGGTCAGGCACGGAGAAGGCATTTGTTAATATGAACAAAATCTGAAAGGTACAGATGAAATGGAAGAATGAACAAAGTGAATAGCATTTATACTACTTCCTATTTCAGCCATCTAATTCCTCTCCCCATAGACAACACCTTTGTTTAACTCTACAGTTTATTTTTTAAACTTTTATTTTATGTATTTATTTTCATGAGATGGAATTGCTCTCTTGTCACCCAGGCTGGAGTGCAATGGCACAATCTCGGCTCACTGCAGCTTCCGCCTCCTGGGTCAAGTAGTTCTCCTGCCTCAGCCTCCCAAGTAGCTGGGATTACAGGCGCCCGCCACCACTCCCAGCTAACTTTTATATTTTTAGTAAAGACAGGTTTCACCATGTTGGCCAGGCTGGTCTTGAGCTCCTGACCTCAGGTGATCTACCCACCTCGGCCTCCCAAAGTGCTGGGATTACAGGTATGAGCCACCATGCCCGGCCTGTTTTTTTAACTTTTTGTTTTGCAAGTATTTTATTTTATTATTATTATTTTTGAGACGGCATCTTGCACTGTCGCCCAGGCTGGAGTGCAATGGCATGATCTCGGCTCACTGCAACCTCCGCCTCCTGGATTCAAGCAATTCTTCTGCCTCAGCCTTCCAAGTAGCTGGGATTACAGGTGCCCACCACCACGTCCGGCTAATTTTTTGTATTTTTAGTAGAGACGGGGTTTCACTATGTTGGCCAGGCTGTCTCGAACTCTTGACCTCGTTATCCGCCTGCCTCAGCCTCCCAAAGTGTTGGGATTACTTACAGGCGTGAGCCACCGCGCCTGGCCCTTATTTTTTAATTAGTATAAGTTTAGGGGTTACAAGAGCAGTTGTGTTACATGCATATATTGCATAGTGGTGAAGTCTGGGCTTTTAGTGTACCCATCACCTGAATAGTGTACATTGTACCCATTAAGTAATTTCTTATCCCTCAGCCCCTCCCACCCTTCTGAGTCTCCAGTGCCTATTATTCCACACTCTATGACCACGTGTACACATCATTTAGTTCCCACTTATAGGTGAGAACATGCTGTATTTGACTTTCTATTTCACTTAAAAGAATGGCCTCCAGTTCCATCCATGGAACTGCAAAAGACATTATTTCATTCTTTTTTATGGCTGAGTAGTATTCCACATTTTCTTTATCCAATTGCCCATTGGTGGACACTTATATTGATTCTGTATCTTTGCTATTGTAAATAGTGCTTCTATAAAAATATGAATGCAGTTATCTTTTTAATATGATTTATTTTCCTTTGGGTATATACTCGGTAATGGGATTGCTGGATCGAATGAATTGTTTTGAGACTATTTTAAGAGTTACAAGGACAGTCCAGTGCGTATGCTCTTTCCTTAGATTTGTCAATTGTTATTATTTTGCTGCATTTGCTTTATCACCCCCCCAATACATACACAGCACATATGTGTGCATGTGAGTATACACACACAGAATTATTGCTGGATCATTTAAGAGTGAGTTGCAGACATTATGACCCTTCACCCCTGCATATCCAGGAGATATTCTGGATATATCTCCTAAGAATAAAGACATATTCTTATATACCCCTAGTATAATGGTTGAAATCAGAAAATTTAATATTGATATAATGTCAGTTGTCCATATTTAAATTTAATCAATTGTTATATCATGTCCTTTACAGCATTTTCCCTATGACCCAGAATCCAATCCGGAATCATGCAGTCCATTTAGTTTTCATGTCAGTTTACTTCCTTTCAGCCTAGAATAATTTTTACAGCCTTTCTTTGTCTTTTTTGACATGTTTTTGAAGAATTTGGGTCTGTTGTTTTGTAGAAAGTTCCTGGATTTGTATCTGTCTGATTGGATCTTCATGATTAGATGCAGGTTATTGGTTTTTGGTAAAAGTATCTCAAAAGTGTTATGTATTTTTCAGTGCATCCAGTAAGCAGACCATGATATCTGTCCTGTTATTTGTGAAAAAGTACATAAAACATATGTATAGTTTAACAAATAAGTATAAATTGAGTAACCATGTTATTATGATCCAGGTTAAGAAATATAATGTTATCCAGTTCTTCAGAAATACTGGTCCTGGCAAGAGGGACCCCTGCCTTGGCCTGATGCTTTAGAAGGATCTGCTTTGTCCCTCCTCTACCAGTGCCCTTTCCACAGGGCAAGGAGTCTCTGGGGCCTACGGAACATGGTCACTTGGAGACTAAACCCTTCCATCCTAGACCATGCTTTGAGCACCCAGCATCTCAGAACTTCTTGCCCAAATGGCCTTGAGCTTGTTTCTGGAGCCTGTGTGAGTCTCTCCCCTGGGGTCTGTCCTCCTGGGAGTGGACTATGCTACTGGTGTATACATCCCTAGGTCTAAGGGTGGCCTAAGGATAGCTGTCAGTGGGGAATAGGGTATGGGATAGAGCTTGCAGTACAGGATGGAGAGGGGGCTGTGGGCAGTGAGCCAATGGCCAATTTGCCCTGCACCACTGCTTTTCTCCATGGAATGCAAAATACAAAAACACAATATGAACCTGGCCTTCTAGTCAGTTGTAAAGGTATATTTATTATGGCAGGAGGATAGAAAATATTTAATAGTTTGTATGCTTGTTTTAAAACTTTTAAATATTTAAATATTCAGATGTATGGTCTGTAGGTCTCTATTTGAACCCTTGCCTAAGCCCTGTAAATGTTACAGGTGGGTTTGCCCAGCACCCCAGAGGCCCCTCCCTCCCTGCCTTCAGAGGTAACTACTATCCTGACTTTTATGATAATCATCTCTTTGTTTTTCTTCATAGTTTTGCTACATAAGTATACCTCATTGAAAAAATATAATTGAATTGTGCCGCCTTCTGAATTTTATAGAAATGGAATTATTCTGTATGTAGCTCTGCTGCTTTTTTGCTCAATTATGTTTGAAAGGGTCTTCCGTGTTGTGTGTAACTGCAGTCATAGATTTTCATTGCTGTGTAGTGTACTATAGAATTATTTCAGAATTTAGTTATCCATTCTACTGTTGACCTTTGAAGTTGTTCGCAGTTTTTGGCTACTATAAGCCATGCTACTGTGACCTTTCCTACGTATGAATCCTGGCACATGTAAACATACATTTCCATATAGAACATACTTGATTACTGAATCATGCCATACTTTTACAAAATGGATTGTGCCAGTCTGTACTCCCACCTGCAGTGTTTGGTAGTCTACACTTACTGCTCTACAACTTCATCAGCCCTTGGTACAGTTAGATTTGACTTTTGCCAACCTGATGGTTATATAGTAGTATCTCCTTGTTGTTTTTTATTTGCTTTTTGTTGAAGACTAATGAGATTGAACCCCTTCTTATATGCTTACTGGCTTCTTACTTATTTGTTTGTTTATTAGTTAGAGACAAAGTCTTGCTCCTTTGCCCAGCTGAAGTGCAGTGGCGTGATCATAGTTCATTGCAGCCTCGAACTCCTGGGCTCAAGTGTTCCTCCCACCTTAGCCTCCTTAGTAGATGGTACTAGCCTCCTTAGTAGCTGGTATAGGCTTATTGGCCTCGTGAATATCTTTTATAAAGTACTCATTCAGGCTACTTGCTCATTTTTAAAATTGAGTTTTCTACCTTTTCCTCATTGGTTTATAAGAAATTGTTTATATACTATAGATATTAATTATCTGGTTATATGTGTTATAGATATCTTCTATGGTTTGTCTTTGTATCTTTGACCAAAACTTCTTGGTTTTAATATGGTATAATTTATCAATATTTTCCTACTCTACAAAGATATTTTCCAATATTTCCTTTTTTTCGTTTTTTTTTTTTTTTTACTTTTTAAATTTTATGTAGAGATGGGCTCTTACTTTGTTGCCCAGGCTGATATCAAACTCCTGGATCAAGCGATCCTCCCACTTCAGACTCCAAAGTGTTGGGATTATGGATGTGAGCCACCTCTCCAGGCCCAATATTTTCTTTTAAGGGATAGATAGGGCCGGGTGCA
The DNA here is from genome assembly GCF_000001405.40 of Homo sapiens. NCBI lineage: Eukaryota > Metazoa > Chordata > Mammalia > Primates > Hominidae > Homo > Homo sapiens. The sequence continues at coordinate 123,874,029 of NC_000009.12, read as the reverse complement.
GTGGCTTACGCCTGTAATCCCAGCACTTTGAGAGGTCAAGGTGGGCGGATCACAAGGTCAAGAGTTCGAGACCAGCCTAGTCAACATGGTAAAACCCCGTCTCTATTAAAAATACAAAAACTAGCCAGGCATGGTGGTGCATGCCTGTAGTCCCAGCTGCTCGGGTGGCTGAGGCAGGAGGATCGCTTGAACCTGGGAGGCGGAGCTTGCAGTGAGCTGAGATTGTGCCACTGCACTCCAGCCTGGGTGACAGAGTGAGACTCCGTCTCAAAAAAAAAAAAAGAGAGATAGATAATTTTGCCTTTTACATCTAAGTCTTTACTAAGGATATTAGTTTTCTATTGGATGATTAATATTCAGAAAAGTTAACCTCTAAATTTGATTCCTCATCGGTGATTTTTAAAAATTGGGAAACTAAATAAAACTTATTTACTACAATATGCTATGTCTGTACTTAAAACATTTTATAAAGTGATCAGGTACTTCAAACCATACCTAAAACATTACCTAATGATAAAAAGATGTGAGGTGATAAAGGGTAAACTTTGAGGACAGTTCTTTTTTCCATTGATTGCTTTTAATGTCTACACTAGTGAAGTCATGTATTGTAAACTGTCCCTCATGTGTTCTGTGCTCTGAAGAGCATCTCATGACATCTGTGGAAGGGCATGTGATCTGTCAGTTCTACTTAGAAATTGCATTAAGACCCCTAACACTGAATTGGAACACTTTCCAAAGATTGTACAAATAAAATTTGAGTACACAAGCTGAACTCCATATTTTAGGAATTCATAAGATTTTCTAGTTACTAGTTACCAGTGAATAAACTGTCACTTAATATTTGATTTCAGGTACCTTTGTCGGTTTCTACAGCTTTATTTGTTTTTAATACAACTTATGTTTGCCTTTTTCTAATATTTAATGCATTATTTTTGCCATTTTAGATGATTACAAAGAATCTGCTTTAAGATTAGTCTTTGTTCCTAGGATCTGCATCTCTGATCTGTGCCAAAGTATCTGAAAAACTTAGATATAAACCTTACGCTGTACAGTACTAGTGTCTGGGCATAATCTTCCCTTTGAAGTTTGTTTGCATCCCCCTAGAGGGATTAATTCCCTGCTGTGAGAAGGTGGGTTAGAAAGCACTGAAACTACTTTATGGGTCTTTAATTGGAGGATTTAGTATACATTTTGTTCTATAAACTTCTGTGGGAGTTTCATTCTTACAATTTTTCTTATACTGTGGTATGTTATATTTTCATTGTAAATTAAAGTACATATACTCAAATTTTTCTTGTTATTTAGTGCATACTGACAGATTATCCTGGTGTGTGTGTTTTTTTCCATTTGTCTTTAAATTTTTAATAGCTTGTTTTCTGATTAGTTCTTGAGTATGTAAAATTTTAAACTTCTTGGAAAATGATGAACAAGAGAAAAATTATCACTCAATAACTACTGTTAATGTTTCAGTATATTTACTTCCTTATTGTCTTCTTTTGTGTGTGTGAATGTGTGTGTAAATAAAATATAAAAACTTTTTTTCTGAACTCTCAGCTATATGTGTTTTCCTCACTCTCTCCAATTATTCATTAAGCTTTCCCTAAAATTATTAATGTTGATTTGCAGAAATCATTTTAGTTGCTATGAATTATTACATCATGTTTATGTTCTACATTTACTTATAACGGAATCTTCAGGTTGTTTCCAAAGTTCTCTTGTTATAAATGATGTAGTGAACATCTTTGTGTATAATGCTTGTCAGTTTATGTATGTAATTTAAATGCTTAAAAAAAGTCATATCATTTTGAGGAGATCTTTGATCTACTTTGTTCTTAATTTTTGTATGCTTATTTTTTTTTGCCACACTTCATTTTGTGACTCCAATTGGTGTATTGGTTTAAGAACCTACCTTTACATAGGGATCCCAGAAAATCAAGACAGTTAGCTCAAATTGCAAAAACTCTGAAGTCTGAATTCAGTCTGTGCGACCAAAGGTCTCGGAAGAGGGTGCTCTTGTAAGAGAGATCAGCCTGCAAGGTCCCATGATCAGATGACACTGGCCACACAAAAACTCTGGAATGCATTTCAAACACAAGTGTCTCATTACAGCTGGCATCTTAGCCTGCAGCGGGCACTCTTCTTGGGCAGATGCTTAGCACTGGGAGACTGGCAGCATCAGGTTCTTCAGAAATGCTTGGCAGACCAGCTTCCTCCTGTGTCTACCCCACATCCCCCTACCCCAACCCCCAGCATTTTCAGTGCATTAGCCCAATGGCCACTTTTTAAAAAGAATGGGGTGGTTAGGTTGAGAAACTGTCGGGGAACTCTGAAAGGCATGCCTAAGACATGGTGCTTTGGTTGCTGAGTTTCTCAGATACGTGGGTGTTAAGCAGCAACATAAAAAAAAATCTTTGCTTAGAATCTCTTAACTAACTATACACATTTCTATATTAGCAGTATCATGAAGAAAACTGAGTTTTTGCTGACTTAAAATATTGAGAGCCAGATTTGTTATTCTGAAGTTTAACTTTCATTTTACAGGACTGTAAATTGTGGTCTAGGAGCTTCACCTGAATATCTGTGATCACAATGGATACTCAAAATTATTAGACATTTTTAAAAAGCTGATTTAAAAAACATGATGCTGGCTGGGTGTAGTGTCTCACGCCTGTAATCCTAGCACTTTGGGAGGCTGAGGCAGGTGGATTGCTGGAGCTCAGGAGTTTAAGACCAGCCTGGGCAACATGATGAAACCCTGTCTTTACTAAACATACAAAAACATAGCTGGGTATGGTGGTGCATGCCTGTGGTCCTAGCTACTCAGAAGGCTGAGGTGTGAGATCACTTGAGTCCAGGAGGTAGATGTTGCAGTGAACCAAGATTGTGCCACTGCACTATAGCCCAGGCAACAGACCTAGACCCTGTCTCAATAATAATAATAAGATTAAAAACAACTTGTTGTCTCCTGAGAAGTGGTATGGCGGGGGGAGCTCTTTTGAGAGTCAAATTTTATTCCAGATTAAAATGTTCTAGAGAGATATTAATTAAATTCATCTTATTTTTTTTCAGTAATAATGACAGTGAATGACAGCAAGCTTGAAGAATGGCAATAGAATAGCTAACTTTCCTTGAGTCCTTATTATGCCCCAGGCACTTTTCTTAATATTACTTTCTTAAAGCTCGAACAATTCTCTAAAGATGGCTCTTATGTTTGAGGAAACTGAGACTCAAAGAGGTTTACTTGCCCAGGTTGGACAACCACAAAGTCGTAGAACCATGAAAAAATAGCTGGTGAGGCCAGCCACGGTGGTTCACACCTATAATCCCAGCACTTTGGGAGGCTGAGGTGGGCGGATCACGAGGTCAGGAGATCGAGACCATCCTGGTCAACATGGTGAAACCCCGTCTCTACTAAAAATACAAAAATCAGCTGGGTGTGGTGGCATGCACCTGTAATTCAAGCTACTCAGGAGGCTGAGGCAGGAGAATCGCTTGAACCTGGGAGGCAGAGATTGCAGTGAACCCAGATCACGCCACTGCACTCCAGCCTGGCAACAAAGCAAGACTCCGTCTCAAAAAAAAAAAAAAAAAAATTAGCCGGGCATGGTGGCGGGCACTTGTAATCTCAGCTACTTAGGAGGCTGAGGCAGGAAAATGGCTTGAACCTGGGAGGTGGAGGTTGCAGTGAGCCGCGATCACATCACTGTATTCCAGCCGGGGCGGCAGAGTGAGACTCCATCTCAGAAAAAAAAAAAAAAAGCTGATTAATATTACCTGTATGTGCAGTGGTTAGAACAGTCAGATAAGGTTAATGTGGGGGCAGATAAATCAGGATTGTACAGAAAATCAGGGGATATGTGGTTTTATTCATGAACTATACAAGGGATTCTTATATTTGTCTGTTAAGTCAGCACGATTACTTCAGCTATTCTATATTTTTTTTATCTTGCATTTTCCAGTGAAAGTGAATCCATCTTATGGAGTGTTAGGGCTGGGCCCTGATTCTTTTTTTTTTTTTTTTTTTTTGAGACAGGGTCTTGCTCTCATCACCCAGGCACTCTTACATAACAGTTTCAATGGCGTGATCATGGTTCACTGCAGCTTTGACCTTCCAGACTTAGGTGATCCTCCCACCTCAGCCTCCCCAGTAGCTGGGACTACAGGTGCACACCACCACACTCAGCTAATTTTTGTAGAGATAGGGTCTTGCCATGTTGCCCAGGCTGGTCACGAACTCCTGGGCTCAAGAGATCCTCCCACCTCAGCCTCCCAAAGTGTTGGGATTATAGGCATGAGCCACCGCACCTGGCCTGGACCCTGATTCTTGATACTATAGTTGGGACAAATTGCCACTCACTCAAAAGACATGGATTGTTAAAAACATTTTTGTAAATTTTCCTGGCTCTGAGTACTTGACATGCTAGTTAGAAAAAGTCTTGTTTGGGATAGAGATGTGGAAATTCATCTAACTGTGCTTTTTTCAACTGATTTTAAAGTCAGGGATAGCTGACTTGTTTAGAAAAAGAAAGCTTTACTCAAGATATCACTATGAGCTTGTAATATGCTTTGTCTCTTTTTCTCAAGATTGCTGTAATAATGATTATTTCTTTAAACTGGAGGTGAGCCTAATGAGAGCTCATTATAATAAAATTCTTGCCCACCACCTAATGAAGTAAGAAATATTATTCTAATTATATAGGTAAGAAAAAGAGGGCTCCATGAGCGCAGAGATTATGTCTTGCTTGCACTTGTATGCTTTGGTAGCTAGAAGAGTGCCTGGCATACATTAGGCCCTCAAGTATTTAATGATTAAATCTTAGAGCTAGGAAGCAACTTGTCCAAAGAACAGAGTGACAGAGTTGGGATTTGAATTCTAGTGTGACTGTATTCTTTAAAGAAATTTATGAAAGCTATCACACAAATTATATAATGCATATGTATGTATACAGTTTAAAGAATAAATGAAAATGCACATATCCACCACTCAACTTAGAAAACAGAACATTTTGTATCTTTGAGTACTCCATTTATGCCTCTCTCAATTTGCCTTTCTCTACTGAGATCACATTTTGAATTTTACGTTAATTGTATATCCCTGCTTGAAGCTTGTGCTTTTTATATACTATGGTGATGCTCTAAATTGGTTATATAGAATGAGTTTGAATTGCTGTTCTTAGGAAGTAACAAAGTGAGCCATATATTTTCTTTTCTTAATGCTTAGTTATTTGAAGCAGATCCCAGATTTCTTCTTTTTCCTAAAGTGCGCAATTTAGGGGCCATCTGGGTATAAATTATGATATAGGGGAGCCTTAGAATTTTTGCTTTATTCATGACACTGTGGTTCTTCTTGCTGTGTTAGTGGTTCACAGTATTAGGCCTCAGGCCTTCTATGGTGGACCGGGAATTCATTGATTTACTAAACTTTGAAATCCTTTTGAGCAGTGAGTTTGTTGAATTTTTAAAATTCCCTCCACATGCCAATCTCAGAGCCTCATTTTCTCAACTCTAAAATGGGGCACTAATAGTACCTGTTTTAGTTGAAAGATTAAATGGGAGTGCACCATGCATGGGACATGGAAAGTTCTTTATAAATGGGAGCTGTTATTTTAACTTACTTTTGTTTAAAGCAAGAGTTTATATCTGTGTGGAACTCTGCTACTCAGCAACTGTTATCAAATTGACATAACTGAAAAACAGAAAGTAAAAGTAACTAGACAAAGTAGATTTCTCAGAGTCTATCCATTAAAACTTAAGTTCTTTAATCACAGAAAAGCCCTCAGCTTATGCCCTGAGTGCTTCAGTATGCCGGGAAGATTTCTCTGTGCAATATTGCTCAGCAGTTACTGATCGTGTCAATGACATCAATCATTGCATCAGTCAGGATCCTTTTCACTGGAAGTGACAGAAACCCAGTGAAATCCGACTTGAACAACAAAGGGAATTTACTGGCTCTTAACACTGAGAAGTCCAGTGGTAAAACTGGCTTTAGGTTTTGCTGAATCTAGGTTTTCTACTCATATTTTCAGAAATTTTCCCTATCTCTTGATTCTCTGTCTTCTGTGTTGGGTTCATTTCTGGGCAGGTGCTCCCTATAAAGTGGCAAAGATGGTTATGAATAAATCCAAGCTTATGTTCCATCAGTTTAACACCCAAATAGAAAAAGAGTGTCTTACAGTATCTTGAGCCATAGTCCCAAGGCTGACTCTAGTAGGCCCTGTTTGGATCACGTACCCATTCATGAACCAATAACCATGACTTTTGAGTTGTTGATTGGAGGATAAGGGAGTGTGTTGGGGGAGCAGGGGGAGAACTGGGGGAGCTGTTCAGGACCACCTGGATCCTATAGCCTGAGAATGGGGCAGGGTGGTTCCTCAGAGGAAAATCTGGTGCTATTACTGGAGGAAGGGAGAACGGATGCTGGGCCGCCAAAACAGATGTCTACTGCAGCCATCAAGAAAATGTTTGATTCAAAATATTCTTTCCAAAAAAGCAGTGAGATAATAATGAAGCTTGGAAACATTTATAACTAAAATGATTTAAATCAAGTTTTAATGCTTAAAAATACCGATCTTCAGGTTTCTTGAAAACTGCCATGTAAGACTGATTTCCCCAGGAGTCTACATGCCCGAGGTCTTATTATCACACTTCTAAATCATTAATCACCTATTCTTTGAGTGTTCACTTTAGACTGTGCTAGACTCTGTAGAGAGTGGAACGTTCACCCTATAAAACAGGAACTAGACCTCATGTTTTAAATGCTTAGAAGACTTTTTTTAAAAAAACCTTTAGGAAGTTACATTCTAGCTTTTGAACTTCTGTTGGTATTATTTCACAACACATTTTGCATTTCCTTCTTTATGTTACATTGAAAACATGCAGTCCGCTCAAAGGCTTTCTTTAGAAAAAGAAAGCTTTACTGAAGATATCACTGTGAGCTTGCTTTGCCCAGCAGAAGACTTTAATAAGTTGCTCAATTTAAAGACAGTTTTCTTACCTTTAATATGTTCTTAGACATTAGAATTTTCTGCTATCACGAAGCCTTATTTGAGGAGAAGATAGATGCAGATAAATTGCTGTCTAGATTATAACAATGTCCTTAATTATCTTTGAATAATTTGTAATAAAAACAGTATAATGGCCAGTCTGTAGACTTTGAAATCAAACAGACTTAGGTTCAGATTTCTTTTGCCACTCATTAATTGTTTGACTTTGGGAAAGCTATTTAAACTAAATTCTGGTTTGCCCATTGTTTAAGTGGGACTTCTATCTACTTGGCAGGTTGTTTTGTAAATTAGAGATAATATGTACTAAAATGCTCAGCACAGGAAGTGGTACAAACCAGCATTCTTGTGGTGATGTAATTTAACGTCACCCTTAAATTAAAAACATAAAAACCCTAAACTCCAAACCAAAATCAAACAACACAACTTCCGGAAATTGTGCTATCATTAAGAAATGAAATTTTTGTGATAGAATTTATGTAAATTCCTTTTTGAAGGGATTCAAATATTAGAATGATAGTCATTATTACTATATGAAAGATATGACAACTTGATAAAAAGAACACTGCCTGAACTGACTAATTTTCTTTTTCAGAAAATGTAGAATTAATTCTGAGTTGTTCCCAGAAAAACACACTTTGGGCACATGAATAATTCAACCTATATATTTTTTTCTTCCACTTATGTGTCACAGTTTAACAAGAACCCAGTGATCAATCCTCAGCTACCAGAGTTTTTATTTAAACTGTCTACTTGTGAGAAAGAGCCAGATGCTGAGAAAATAAGCTAGGATTAGAAATGTATTAAAACAACCCATTTCTGGAATATGGTCTAAAGTTTGTGTGTATTTAGCCCAGTTTTCTGTCCTCGCAGTAATGATCCTGATACTCAGAATGATAGAATTGACTTCTTGAACATAAAGCACATTTTCCATTGGTTTGTTAGGTTGTGCTTACCATGAAAGGAAAAGTGACAAAAGTATTTGGGAAAGATTTTATACACAGACCAAAATGAAAAATATTTTCATCATGGCCGTCCAGGAAGTAGAAAATCAGCTAAGTGCTAAGTGGAACATTCATTTCCTCTTTCTAGTATTTTGGTTAACGGAAATACATCCCCCCAAAATGCCCCCAAAATATAGTTAGAGAAATTTGGTTTAGAGGATGGTTTCTAGAGTCAGGTCATGTGGGTCAAAATTCTGGCTCCCCTACTTAGGACATATCCCTGTGTAATTTTGGGCAAATTACTTAATTTCCTTCCTTGTTTTAGTTCCCTATGCTGTAAAATGGGGATAAATGGGGATGATGATAATATCTCATATTATCATCACATTTGAGGATTCAGAAACACAGTATTTAAAGAATTAAGCACAGGGCATGGCACAGAGTTTCTCTCAGTTTGAACTATCATGAAGAAAAACATGAAATTTGTTTTGATCCTTCAAACTGGAAATTGAGGATCATCAGGAGTCTGCCCTGGGGGGACATCCCCTGATCCTGTCCTCCTCATTCTGAGCCTTCTCATTCTGCACACATGGTGGAGGGGCCCTGGGACCAGTCCTAAGGCAGTTCCAGGCCCAGGGCCTTGGGAATGCTGCTTTAGGTTTCTTTCTTACCTCTAACAGCCCCAGCAAGTCCAGTTTAGGCTTTAAAAAAGTTCTTAATCCCTGGGGTGGACCCTGGAACAAGCTGACCTAATTTCTCTTGTTTTTGCTGAATGGAAATTGAGTTGACTTGGGTTTTATTTAGGCTTCGTGGGGCCTGCTGCAGGATCAAAGCTCAGGTCTAGACCCAATTGAAGTTGAGATTTAGATTTAGAGCTGACCACTGCTACATTTTTCACTTCTTGTTTTGAAAGCTTTTTTTTAATTACACAGTTTATTCAGCAATATTTATTATAAATGCGAAAGGTGCTGGGGATGGGTGAGGACATTCCAGCAGAAGGAAGAGCATCTGCAAAGCTATGGAGGGATATTTAATTTTCTTTTTATTAATCAAAAATATGACTCAGGTTCTGATTAGTATGTAGGGACCCTGTACAGTCATGCTCAGTCTAAGAATATCAGCTCCAAGAGGGCAAGGATCATTTACTTGGTTCACTGATGTGTCCCCAGCACCTAGAACAGTGACTGGAATGTAGTAGGCACTCAGTGTGTATTTGTTGGACCAATAAATGAGTTGACACAATTCCAACTGATTGCAGAGAACCTAGATATTTTGATTCATCTCCACAGTTTTATTGTTGATAAATATCTCATTTCCAGTAGGTTGAATGGCTACTCCATTTGCTGTATTGTTTTTTTAATGGAAATTCATGGGTAGGTCTAGGGGGAGGGCATTTATATTAGCGGCAGGAGTTCTGCTGCAGTTTTCTCTCCCGCGATTTTTCTGGAAGATGTTATTCTGCCTTTTCTATGAGCAGACGTGCTTAGGACGAAAAGTTTAAAGGAAGGCGCTCTCACATTCGTCTCCCTGGGCGAGGAATGCCTTTTCCTCCCCATTTACCAAGTGTCCATCAGACTTCCCACAGTACAATGAGGCATTTACCCCGGGCCTCGGCGTCAGCCTGTACTTTTTACATTTTAGGCTTTTTCTGCCACCCCTGGGAAACTGCCCTGTGGTCTGGAATCATGGGAATTTGTGTCACTAAAAGCTGTTTCCCCACCCTCTCCTCTAGCAGAAGCAGTGTGTGTATACAGCAGGAAGAGCTTTGGACTTGGGTTTTAATTATGGCTCTGCAACTAATAGTGATCTGACCTTGGGGAAATTATTCATCTTTTTTTGGTTGAATTTTCTCATTTGCAAATAAAACTTGGATAATGCTTATCTTTTAGAATTGCCATGAGGATTAAATAAAATACTAATCATAAAATAATTAACAGTGCCTGGTTAGTTTTCTTTCTTCTGTCACATCAAATCATTGTTTTCCACTCTTTTAGCTTCTTGGCACAAAAGGACAGCTATATTATTTTTCATAGTGTAGAGGACTATAGAGTCTTTGAAACTCTCGATAATGATTTTCTGTGTGTTTTTTTTTTTTGAGTGAAGCAATATGGAGTTTTGTTAATATATTTTCAATGACATGGAAACAGTCCTTTAAAAAAAAAATCTCATATATTTAATTTAAAACTTTTCCAGACTATGAACCTAAAGTCAGGATCTTCGGATATAGTTCTTGTGCCCATACTCAGCTTCCTATAGAGGACATAGCATGTTTAAGCTTTGGGGAGAGAGAGAAAAATATATGTGTGGTGAAAGAGATATTTTAGCCTGCTTTTGTAACTTTAGCTTTGCTATGCAATGTGCCAAAAGTTATTTCTCCCTAGGGAGTGCCTCTTTCAACAGTTTGCGAAGGCAGCATAAATTCTCACTTGGTGTTCAAGGAAGATGGTAATACAATTTAGTACAACCAAAGTTGTTTTTTTTTTTTTTAACTTGTTAGAAACCAAAATGTGATTGCAGTGGCAAATTTGTCAGCACACTCGAGTTTAACAAGTGTTCGAAGGATTAGTAAAGGAAATGTAGTTTACTCTGCAGCTTTTATGACAAAGAATTTAAAAGGTTTTGCTCTAAGCCCCACCATGTGTTTCTTCCTTTTCTCCAAAACATACCTTTAAGTTGAAAAGAGAGATGAATCTCTTAGGGAGAAACTATTAACTCTGAGGGAGTTTATCATTGTTTGAGAGGAAGCAGAGCATTTACATTTGAATCAACTCTGAGTGTAGCTTGTGCCCTAATCTCATTCCTTCTAGAAGTTGGTGAGGAGTTTAAGTACTTCCTACTTTGTGTTCTGGTCCTCATAGTGCCATCCTAATTTTCCTGGGGATCATACATTTCGTAATTCAAAGTAAGCAAACTGGACACGGTGCCTTGGTTATGCATGGAAATATTTTCTGTAGTTGTCAAAGTTCTCTAAGTAGGGCCATTGGCCAGAATTGTCTCATTGTCATCGCACTTATTACCATGCTAAAAATGCTATAAAAAAGACCAAATACTACAGAAAGTTTGAAAAAGAGATAAAATATAAGCACCTCCATCACAATCCTATTTTCAAGTTTTGAAGATTCCCATTTGATGTATTTGCAGTTGAGGTACAGTTTAAATGAGAGAAAGCAAGATCTTAATGTTGACCACAAACATTTTCATCAGTTTTTCATGGCTGCATCAGAGTTTTATAGTTTGATCAACTAGCTCCTGATTGTTATACATATAAATCAGCTCCTTTAAAATAAGACCAGTTAATACTACTCTCTTATTTGTGGACTTCTGTGGCCAAATCTTTGGTACTGCCTTTTTTCGGGGGTGAGGGGTGGTGGATGGGAAGGAAGGTAGAGGAACAGAGAGAGGCTGACTGTGCCAAAGATAAACTATGTTACAGATGGAAATGTTTTTTTCTAAGTCCAAAATCTATAAGAAACCTTAAAGTGAGCCATTTTCTGAGATCAAAAATGTGTAAACTTGTGTTAGTGTTTTGCTCTGTGGTGAATGAAAGCACCACTACTTTTTAAAAAGCCACATTTATGGATCTTTAGGTTCTTTTAATACTTGCTTCTATGTTTTACTTTTTAATTTTACTTGAAGAACATTCTTCTGATGGAGGATTTAGGTCATGTTAGCTCAAAGAAAATAGAAACCATCTACCTAAAGACTTGGTGGGAGAAATTCTTTGTATTTGCTCTCATATCTTGTTAGACAGCTGTGTTCCGGACTCAGGACTGGATTTTGCTTTTGTAGCAGCTGTGAGATCCTCACCTTACAAACATAAAATGTTCCTGCTAAAAGTTTATTTATGTGACTAGGGACCATCATTGAAACCCATCCCAAAGAAATGGAATGTATATAATATACTTTATGGGTGTCAGATGAAGAACTCTTGTTGGAGCTAGTGTTTAATTAAACCCAATGGCCTTTAAGAATTAAAAAAAAATTTTTTTTTATTAGGAATTAGTACGTTAGAGCTTGGAAGTAGCTTATGTTCATTCCTTAGCGGTTGGGACAAGAATTTTGCTTTTGCTGAAAGAGCCTGTGTAGTATGGTACTAGCTTAAAATGATTTGCCTGGCATTTGCACTGGGCATATTTGGAAAGGAAAGCCTCTTTGTGTTGTGCATTTAAAAAAAGTGTCTGTAAGTGTGCTTAGAAAATGGCAGCATTTGCTGGTCTTGGCTGTCAATGTCTTGCTGCTCCTAACTGTGTTTAACCAGAAAGGGAAACTCAGAGTAGAAAAAGTCTCACTCCCAAGACTTTACAAGAAAACCCCTCTTTGTTGATTTATATATATATTTTTTAAAGGAGCTTGACATCTTCATCAAGTTCACAGTGGGCTTGCTTTGTTTGCTTTCTCTTGAATGCTTGATAAGATTTTTCTTCTATTGTTTTGTGCAGCAAGAACAGATCTTTCCATGGCTGGGGTGGGTTTTTTGTAAATCCACAATATGGTCATTGTCTGGTGGTGAATAATTGTGGCTGCTTTTTGTACAACCAGAACTAAGGCTTTGGCTGTGAACAGATTCCTTCTTAGCGTGAAAAGGGACTAATCCATGTAAATACAGCCCCAAAATAAAGCTTTACAGAAAAAGGGGAAGGCCGCTAAGCAGGAGGGCACAGGTCAGCAATTTAACCTTTAACCTAACAAATAAGAAGCATGAAAGTTCCAGAATTGGTTTACAAAAGAAAGCTCCTGTGATCTGTCAGTTTTTCTTTTCAGGAGGGAACTGGGTGAGAGATCTGACTGACAGCTAGTGCCTTTTAACTGCAGACTGAAATTAACTGCCAAATTGAAACTTGAATATTTGAAGGAGAATTTTTCTTAAATAAATTGAGATGGCAGAATAGGCCTTATAAGCACTGGTCAGGGTCTTACATGGGATTTTTATCCTGGAAGGGGGTTGGGGGAGGAATAGGCATTGGACTGGACTACCTTAAGATCCCTTCCAAGTTTGATAAAGAGAATGTGGTCTGACTCTTACTAGTCAAATTAGACATGAACTTTGCAGTTTAAGGCCAGATGAAACTCCCCTTCCGTAGTATTATCACTGATTACCCTTTGTAGACTTTTCATGGCTTCATAAATTAATTGCAGCCTTTACTAAAGATTTAAGAGCTTTTTGTAAATGTTATTGATGTTTTCCACAAAACATTAATTACGAAAAGATAGCCATCTTGAGATTTCACAATATGCACAACTTTTATGGCCCAGTGCATTATGAGAAACTCTATTGTGTGGTGCCGAGCACTGTAAAGCGGAGGACATAGGCTTTCTTTCATGTACTGCTGTTTTGTTCCGCATGCTTAGGCATTATTAGCAGATACAACTGAGTAAGCTAAAGCAGCAGAGATGAAGTATAGGTGTTTATTAGGCAATGCACTGGGGAAATGGGAAGCTGTGAAAAATGAGGGACTGCCTTGTCTGTTCCATGGGCTTGAAGAGTTAAGAAAATAAGGTTTGTGTAGAGTGGTAAGTCTTACTTTTGTGCTGTTGTACTCATTTACAAACTTTGCAAACAGTTTGTATTTATTTAATCACAATAGGTAATCTTGTTAATGAGTGTTAGTTTTTGCTTAAAGCATAAGAGATCTGATGTCAGCTGTTCTATCTCACTATGGAGAATTCTGTAACTGATAGAAACTTTAATTACTGGGAATCATTCAGATTAAAAACAAACAATGAACGAATGACTAGAGTAGGCTCCCTGTAGAATAATAGAATAATATAAGAATAGTCATTATACTATGTAACAAAACAAAATGTCAGGGGTGATTCTGTTTTAGTTTTTCAGTTGTCCATGGTATATTTGTCTAGGTTGTCTAAAATTTGTTCTAAGGGCTTATTGACCTACCTCAGTTTCCCTAAAGTATTTAGAGACCAGAGACAACGTAACGTTGCAGATTAAAATGAGCATAAAGTTAAGTGGCCACCCTCACTTAGCTCAGGCGTGCACCTTCTCTTTCCTAGCTGATTACCATGGCCTCCTAACTGGCCTTTATGCTTTCCTTCACATCCATATTTAATGCTGTCATCTCAGCAATCTTTTAAAAACACAGCTGAGACCACAATATTCCCTTTGTAACACCTTTCTGTGGTCCTCTGTCACCCCAAGCTAAAGTCAAGCTCATTAGCAGGGCAAATGAGGTCTTCCATGCTCCATCCTTTCCCTATCCAGCTTCATCTTAGTCCACTCCTCTCCTCTCCTTTTAAATATGCATTTCCCAATATGTCTCAACCAAATTTCATACATTTTTTAAAATTTCCATATTATATTTGGCTTCCCCCAAATGTAAGAAGGTCTAATATCTTTAAAATGGGGAATCTAATGATGATGGCTTTGCAAATGGCTAGCATTTGTATAGGCTTCACACTTTGTAAGCATTCCCATGTTCTTTTATTTAATCTTCACAGCAACGATGCAGAATGGGCAATGTTTTCTGGGAGATGCTTGATGAATATTTGGATGGATGGATGAATAAATGAATGAGTGGTGCATGGAGTCAGAAAACTGGAGTTACAGTCCAAATTCTTATTAACCATGTAATTTTAAATAGGTAATTTAACCTCTCTGAACCTATTTGCTAATCTGTAAAATTAGGTCTATACCTGCATTGTCTGTCACACTAGATGGCAAAATAATGAAATAATGTGTAGTAAATAGAAATACCATTCAAAATGTAAACCCCATGCAAATGTTAGTTCCTGTTATTAATATTCTTAATTTATTCCAGGTCCTGTAAATGAAGAGAAAGTGTTCATGGATATAGATAGATTTGTGTTTTAATGACTAAAAGGACATCAGAACTGTTTTTATTTATGTAGAAAAGTGTAAGCCTATTTTGTTAGCATACAGAAAACTGTATACTATTGTTTCCTTTTATAAAGAAAATGTCAGGTTTATACTGTTAGTAAGTGCTAACAAAGGTGCACATACTGTATGGTAGGTGGATGTTCAGATACAGTATCTAGAGGTTCCTTTTTGCTATGCATTCTTCCTGGATTGGTTCTCAAGAACCTTAGGGCTATGTTTGCCTTCTAGCTCTGTGAACTACACATGACTATTTTAGTATGTTATTATTTTTGTATGGATTTTTTTGGTATGCATTTTTGTATGCTATTATAATCCCTGGCATAATCTTTCCTCCTTTTATTTTCCCTTTGTCCTTACACCCTCGGTTTACATGTGTATTTTTAATCTTTTAACTATAAGTATTTTTGTAAGTCATTTCAAATTGTTTATGGAATGTGGTGGATGATAAATTCTCCAAGTAAGATCTCAGTCACACTTGGTTTCTCCTATTGCCTACAGACTGATCATTTCTCAGCTTGTGTCTTTGGCCCTGACTTCCGAGTGCCAGACCTGGGTCCTCAGCTCTCTGTCCGTAGCTGTTTCTCCATCCTACATGGGCATCTCAAATTGAATTTAACCTCCTCCCCTCGACCAACCTTTTACCCCCACTGCCAGTCACCTAGCAAAACAAAATGGAAACGCCGATCCTAATCCTAAACTGTTCCTTCTATCCACGGTCTTGTTGAAGGGCATTTGTACCCACTCACTTACTAATGCTAGAAGCCTGAAAGTCACCCTAGACTCTCACCCTACATCCAATTAAATCTGAGTATTTTTTAAAGATTTAAAAAAAGCTTTAGAAAGATTTTAAACAATATCAAAGTTACAGAAAAGTTGTAATTGCACTGCAAATAATTTTTTCTTCTGCACAATTTGGGAATAAGTTACTGATCTCAACCTCGACTACGTCAGTCGACTATGTCGACTACTGCAAACAAGGTGATTCTCCTGCACAACCACAATGTGGTATCAAAGTGAGGAAATTAACATTGATACCGTACTACCATCTAATTCTCAGTTTTGGCACTTGTCCCAGTAATGTTCTTTAAAGCAAAAGGATTCTGTTCAGAATCACAAATTGCGTTTAGTTTATTTAATGTTTCTTTCTTTCTTTTCTTTTTTTTTTTTTTTTTTGAGACGGAGTCTCGCTCTGTCGCCCAGGCTGGAGTGCAGTGGCAAGATCTCTGCTCACTGCAAGCTCCGCCTCCCGGGTTCACGCCATTCTCCTGCCTCAGCTTCCTGAGTAGCTGGGACTACAGGCGTCCGCCACCACGCCCAGCTAATTTTTTGTATTTTTAGTAGAGATGGGGTTTCACTGTGTTAGCCAGGATGGTCTCGATCTCCTGACCTCGTGATCCACCCGCCTCGGCCTCCCGAAGTGCTGGGATTACAGGTGTGAGCCACTGCCCCTGGCCAGTTTAATGTTTCTTTAGTCTCCCTTAGGAAAGGTTCTCAGTCTTTCCTTGACTTTGATGACCTTGACATTTGAAGGTTACAAGCCTCAATTTGGGTTTGTCTGGTGTTTCCTTATGATTAGGTTTAGGTTGAGCATCTTGAGTGGAAATATTATAGAAGTGATGCTGTGCTTTTCTTGTTATATCACATAATACACAATTTTGATTTGGCCCTTTACTGGTGATGATCTTTTGATCACTTGATTAAAGTAGTCTTTGCCAGGCTTGTCTACTGAAAAGTTCCTCCTTACTTACTCCTTTTTAATTAACAATTGTTTTGGGGGAAAGTACTTTGAAATTATGTAAATATTCCATTTCTCATTAAACTTTCAGTTTATTTGTTTATTTGACTTTGGACTTACTCCTTTCTTATTCAAGGTTGTTACTGAATTGTTCAAATTATTTGAGTGAATTGAATTATTCAATTTGTTCCAGCTTTGATCATTAGGAGCCAACTTGAAGGGCTCTTGTGTTCTTTTGACTGGTCCTCATCATTCTCTGGGTTCTCCTTTGCTTTCTGGTGCAAGATGTTCTGTGCTCATCTTTTAGTTTCTTTTCCTTAGCCATGAAATCTGCCATTTTCCCAAGGTTCCTTTTGGTGGAGAATGCTATTTAAAAGCCAAAATTTTGATTCTATGTGTGTTCATTGCTATGGTGGTGTTGCTGCTTCTAGGCCTTCTTGGTGGTCAGGGTCAGAGAGTACATCTATATGTATTTCTGCATCTATCTGTGTATATTGAAAAGTGTGAGTCCACACCAGTACTTCCGATTTCAACCAATACCACCGATTCATTCAAGTTTTCTCCCTTTCCATATTTGTAACTTCTCTCTTCAACTGTGAGAAGCCTGGTTCCCATTATCCTTAATATATTTACTTATTAATCCCTTGTACATGACTACTCTGTCATCATGGCTGCCACCAATGCCTACCCAGTGTGGATGTCTTCCTTAACTCAATTGGGGCTCTGATACCCTGTGTCGCTCTGCCTCTTCTGCCTGAATGCCCACCTCATCCACCTTGGTCTTTGACAAGCCCTGCCAGGCTGGTCCTTCTGTGTGGGTGCTCTCTTCACTTTGAATTTTGACACCCCGTGCATGGCTGCCATGTCCTTCCATGTTGTTCCCTGCATAATCCTCCTCAGGATCTGACACCCTATCAGGTGGCCCCTGCATGGAAAGTTCCTTACCCTGCTCAGGTGCTCTGACACCTCACACCAGATCATCTTTTAACATGGACACGCTTCTCAAACTGCGTTGACACTGACACCCCCTGCCATGCAGCTGTTCCCTGTGGATGACTGTGTATCCCTGCTTGGGCTTTTTCTCCCCACACTAGTTCACTCTCCTCTGTGGGCACCCTTGTCACAATTGGGTTCTGACACCCTATGTTAGATTACTCTAGACAGTGTGGGCGCTCTTCTCGCACTGGTTGCACTTTGAGTCCCCATATTGTGCAAGCCCTCCTATGTGGATGCCATCCTTACCTACTCTGGACTACTGTGGCTACTTCTCACCAAGTATGGACGTGTACCTCGACTTAAGGATTAAATTGTCAATTAGGAAGAGAAAGTAAAGTCTAATTTCTTGATCTTTTCCTATGTTTTTTTCTCCCTTGTTATCCAATTCATTGCCATTGACTTAGTTCTGGCCTTCCTTATTCTTTCTTGGATTACTGCCACTTAATTGGTTTTCTTTATTTTTGAGACGGAGTTTTGCTCTTGTTGCCCAGGCTGGAGTGCAATGGCGCGATCTCGGCTCAATGCAACCTCCGCCTCCCGGGTTCAAGCGATTTTCCTGCCTCAGCCTCCCGAGTAGCTGGGATTACAGGCATGTGCCACCATGCCTGACTAATTTTCTATTTTTAGCAGAGGTGGGGTTTCTCCATGTTGGTCAGGCTGGTCTTGAACTCCCGACCTCAGGTGATCCGCCTGCCTCAGCCTCACAAAGTGCTGGGATTACAGGTGTGAGCCGCCGCACCTGGACACTTAATTGGTTTCCTTAGCTGGAGTCTTATCCCTTCCAACCCCTTTTCTTCTGTCCTGCTGTCATAATGTGTGTTTTAAACAAATATAATCATGCCAGTCTTCTGCTTAAACCTTATAATGCCTCTTCATTACCTACAGGGTAATACTCAAATCTTAGCGTGGCACAGAAGGCTCCTCATCACTTGGCTGACCTCTCCTCCTTTGTCGCTCACTACTGCCTGTCATTGACCTTCTGCACTAGCTGAGCCACTTTAGTCTATTTTCTTTCATACCTTAGGATCTGGTCTTTCTCTTTTCTGTACAATACTCTTTCTCCCTATTTTCCTGGTTTATTTCCATTGTCCTTTATAACTTAGACAAGGTGCCACCTCTTTTAGGAGGCCTTCTCTAATCCTCCATTTTTTTCTGTCTACCCTTGCTTCCCCCTCTCTGCCATCCTTCACAGACTTGGTTAGATACCCTCCCTCTTGGCACCCTGCATATCGTATTATAATTGTCTTTTCTGTTTTTCTTGAGGGCAGGAACCTTCTTGCTTGAATTCTCCCTTGAAGAATAATCGTATTCAGTAGGTAGCTAGCTAAATGAAGAGATATTTAAAAATATCTCATTCAGTGGAATTTGTTATGTCCAAATAAGCAAGGCAATGTTAGTATCAGTTGTTTGTGAGGCTTTTGAAATAGCTCCATTTACATAGAACTGGACATTATAATTGTGTTTTTTAGAGTGGAGTTTTACCTATGGTTACATTTACTTCTAGAGTATCTCCAGGGACTTATCTTGTTTTTCTTAGCAAGGTAGAAAAGAGATTTAGAGTATATGAAGGATCGGTTCATTATCTTCTATTTCCCTTCCACTGCATTTATTACCACTTTGCATGCAGTAGGTTGTGGCAATGTCTGGTACTATCTCGGTAGCTGATAAGATGAAGATATATTCGACCAAGAGACAGAAGAGGAGAGAGAAACTTCATGTGAACTGGTAACCATTTGCTTAAATTGATTAAATCAGTTGCTTCATTTTTTATTTCATTTTACTTATTTTTATTTTTATTTTTTTTTTGAGACAGAGTATCACTCTGTCACCCAGGCTGGAGTGCAATGGCATGATCTCAGCTCACTGCACCCTCTGCGTCCTGGGTTCAAGTGATTCTCCTGCCTCAGCCTCCTGAGTAGCTGGGACTACAGGTGCATGCCACCATACCCGGCTAATTTTTGTATTTTTAGTAGAGCTAGGTTTTACTATGTTGGCCAGGCTGGTCTCAAACTCCTGACCTCAGGTGATCCACCCACCTCGGCCTCCCAAAGTGCTGGGATTACAGGTGTGAACCACCGTGCCCAGCTTCATTTTTTATTTTTTTGTTTTACTTTGCTTTCTGGGTCATTTTGAATTTTATTTTTAAATCTGAGACAAAATATTAAACATCTGGGTCCTATTACATGTAGACGTTCTTTACAAATGTTGTGATTGGGATCAAGGAACAGTCTGAAGTTCCCGGGCAGGAGAATCAGCTGAGGGCTAGGATGAATGTTGCCATTTGTGTTGAGAGACCAGCAAGGTTGATTTTTGCCAGCAGAAATGTAGAAAGAATGATCTTGCTCAAAATGAGTTAATGCAGTGGGTTAAAAATGAATTTGTAAATACTTTCATCTGCCTCAGTTATTGCTGCCTAATATTTGTTTCACCCACGGTTTCTCTTTTCCTGCAAATTATGTGTACAGTGTGATTGACTTTCTAAAGGTGTTGATATATACTAATATATCCTAATATTCTAAAGGTGATGATACATATATTTTTTTTCCCATGAAAATATCTTAGAAGTAGGTGTATTGTAATAGTTACCTAAAGGAAATGCTTCTTAATCTGAGACATTTTCCGGCCCATTGAGAGGAACAGTAGCTTTTTTGAGAGGCTGGCATCTCAAGATAGAAAGATGTCTCTAAGTATTGCCCTGGAGTGCTACTGAATGATTTCTTTACTCTGTCATTGAGCCCTTATTGTGTCAAAAAACAAATCTCTTGGAGACCCTCACAGAAAGATTTGTTTCCTAAAACCTGAGTGCTAGCTAGAGCTCATAATTTTTGTGTTTTTTTGAGACAGAGTCTCACTCTGTCACCCAGGCTGGAGTACAGTGGTGTGATCTCGGCTCACTGCAACCTCTGTCTCCCAGGTTCAAGTGATTCTCATGCCTCAGCCTCCCATGTAGCTGGGATTACAGGCGCCTGCCACCATGCCTGGCTAATTTCTGTATTTTTAGTAGAGATGGGGTTTTACCAGGTTGGCCAGGCTGGTCTCGAACTCCTGAACTCAAGTCATCCGCCTACCTCACCCTCCCAAAGTGCTGGGATTACAGGTGTGAGCCACCACGCCCGGCCTAGAGCTCATAATTTCAGTCTCCTCAATTTAAGGGGTTTTTACAAAAGTGTTCCAAATGAAATATTTTCTCCCCCGCTTCTATTCTTTTGTACAACAGTTGAGGAGTCAACCTATACTTGCCTTATTGATAACTGATCACTGGTTATTTATAATAAAATTTAAAGGCTGGGCGTGGTGGCTCATGCCTGTAATCCCAGCACTTTGGGAGGCTGAGACCGGCGGATCATGAGGTCAGAAGTTCGAGACCAGCCTGGCCAACATGGTGAAACCTCGTGTCTACTAAAAATAATAAAATTAGCTGGATGTGGTGGTGTTCACCTGTAATCCCAGTTACTTGGGGAGGCTGAGGCAGGAGAATGGCTTTAACCCAGGCGGTGGAGGTTGCAGTGAGCCAAGATTATGCCACTGCATTCTAGCCTGGGTGACAGAGCAGGATTCCATCTCAAAACCAAAAAAGAAAAAAAGAAAAAAAAAAGAAAGAAAAACAATTTAAAATGAAACATCTTTGGAAGGTTTTTTCTTTCTTTTTAAAAACTAGTTGCACTCTTATCAGCCAATGTTTTTGAGCTGTGTCAGGCTATTAAAATGCAGGTTTATAGGGTGGTGTTTTCAGGATGTTCCTGAGAATCAGTCCTGAGTTTCAGTATTCCCTCTGCTGCTGTGGTGGATAAGGTGAACATTCTTATTTTTAATTGCTTAGCTTTCCTAAATGTTTAACTGAGGCCCGTCGCATAAGTGCACTGGGAGTGTGCTGTTATATTCATTAGTGTGGCTTTGGATGGCCTGAGTCCATGACAGACTGGCTTTCTTCATATACTTATTCATAAATTCAAACAAGTCTTTGAAGGACTTAATGCTATGGATATAAATAAAACACTTTCTTTTTGAGGAGTTTACATCTGATGAGGGAAATAAATAGTCAACCAGTAGCCATACATTATTTGGGATAAATAGAGACAGGCACAAAGTGCTGTGGCAGCTCAGCAGAGGCAGCAGGGAGCAAACAGTTTTATACCCAGTTGCTATGGAAATCTGTGTATCCTCAGCCTCCCCAAGGTCCCCAAAAGTGCCATCCTTACATCAGCAGCTCAGACCCCTCAATCTCCGGAACTAAATCAGGCTTAGGTGAGGATGAGAAACTTAGATATGACTTCTTAAGTATAGCTTCTCAAGTACAGGCCCTCTCAATTTGTAAACTAAAGAGAGAAGTTAACTGTTCCCCGTCCCTACCACCACCACTCTTCCCCAGAGTGTAATGGCGGGACAGGCAGAAGATAACTGCCGAAGACACTGATTGTTTAAAAGGGGGCCAGCAGGAGGCACGTTGGAGCACATAGCACTCAATAGCGGTCCCCAAATACGCTGGGCAAATGTTGGAAGTTTCCTGATGGAGACTCAGTCCTGCTCTAGCCTGAGAGTGGCTCACCATGGCTCTTAGTTCTACCTTCTGGGCTTTTGGATTCTGAATCGTCCTTCTTTAAATAAAAGAGAACCTGTGTTTGCAACTGAGTGGTTTCTCAGCCTGCTTCTGGTCTGTAAAGTTTAGTGAGTCAACAGCCTATTGTTTTTTCATTTGTATTTTCTTTGTTCCTTTCAGTCCAGGCTAGCTGTGTTTCTCCCCGTAGGAGCCTCTTAAAAACTCCTTTGTTGTCCTGTGAATCTGCTGGAGTTTACTCCTTGACATAATATTCATACCCACAAATGTCTTTGAGATAAGCCCGCCTTTTCTACTTTGGTTTTCTAGTGAGACCACTGAGGAACAACAGTTGTAAGCTTCTTAGAAGCCCTGTTGTTTAACTGAATGGTTCTCTATGATGGTGCCACCTTAGGTCTTTTGGAGGTCTTGCAAAGAATTTTAAAATCACCCCCTTAGCTTTTTCTTATCCTAAGAGTACCCTGGATTTGATCTTTACCCAGAGGCCATTTCGTAATTTTAACATCATTTATTGTCTGGAGAGGCTAGAAAGGAGTAAACAAATTGAGTTCTATACATAGAATAGTAGTAATAAAAAGGAACAAGGTATTGCTATATTCAACAACATGGATGGATCTCAACATAATTATCTTGAGTGAAAGAAGCCAGACAAAAAGAGTACATACTTTCTGATTCCATTTATATAAAAGCCTAGAAAGTACAAACTAATGTATAGTGACAGAAAGCACACCAGTGGTTCCCTAGGGATGGGTGGTGGGGAGTGCAGCAGGAGGGATAGATTACGGAGGAGCACAAAGAAACTTTTGGGGTTGATTGATTGTGGTGATGGTTTAATGGATGTACACATATGTCAAAACTCATCAAATTATACACTTCCATGCTTGTGTTTTCTTATTTTTTTTTCATTCTTGTGTTGAAGACGTGTCTCTTGAAAGCAATATATAGTTGGATCTTTTAAAATCCAGTCATCTTACCTGTATTTTTTACTGGAAATGCTTTTTATGCTTCATTTTTTTATTCCTTTCTTTTGGATTATTTAAGCATTTTAATCATTCAATTTTTTCCCTTTTATCATTTGGGACTTAAATACTATTTCTGTGCCTTTAACTGATACACTGAAAATAATGGTGGCTATGACTTAGTAGTGCTTATTTTATACCAGTCATTGTTTTATATGCTTTACCTATATTAACTCTTTTAATCATCACAAAAACCCTATGGGATAGATACTGTTACTGTCTCAATTTTACAGATGGGGAAACCATGGCATGGCGAGCTTATGTAATCTGTCCAAGGCCACAGAGCTATCAAGTAGTAGGGCTGGGATTTGAACCCAGGTCGTGTGCTTTCAGTGTCCATAATGTTAACTAATACAGGCATACCTCAGAGATATTGCAGGTTCAGTTTAGTTGCAGACCACAATAAAGTGAATAGCGCAATAAAGTGAGTCACAAATTTATTTGGTGTCCCAATGCATGTAAAGTTATGTTTATACTCTACTATTGTCTATTAATTGTATAATAGCATTATGTTTAAAAAGGTACATATCATGATTTAAAAATATTTTATTGCTAAAAATTGCTAACAATCAACTTGTAATCTTTTTGATCGCAAACGATCTTGTCTAAATGTTGATGGCTACCGGCTGGTCAGGATGGTGGCTGCTGAAGGCTGGGATGGCTGTGGCAATTTTTTAAAGTAAGACAGCAATGAAGTTTGCTGCATTGATTGACTCTTCCTTTCACGAAAGATTACTCTGTAGGATGTGATGCTCTTTAATAGCATTTTACCCCCAGTCGAACTCCTTTTAGAATCGGAAACCTCTCAAACGCTGCTACTGGTTTATCAACCAGGTTTGTGTAATATTATAAATGCTTTCTTGTCATTTCAACAATGTTTACAATGTTTTCACCAAAAGTAGTTTCCATCTCAAGAAAGGACATTCTTTGCTCATTTGTAAGAAGCAACTTCTCATCCATTCAAATTTTATCATGAGATCGCAGCAATTCAGTCCCATTTTCAGGTTCTGCTTTTAGTTCTGGTTCTCTTGTAGCTTCTATCACATCTGCATTACTTCCTCCACTGAAGTCTTAAATACCTCAATGTCATCCAGGAGGGCTGGAATCAGCTTCTTCCAAACTCTTGTTAATGTTGGTATTTTGACCTCCCACAAATCACAATTGTTCTTAATGGCATCTAGAATGGTGAATTCTTTCCAGAAGGTTTTCAATTTATTTTGCCCAAACCCATCAGAGGAATAACTATATATTGCAGCTATAGCCTTATGTATTTCTTAGACTTCAAAGTCAAAATTACTCCTTGATCCAGGGGCTGCAGAATGGATGTTGTGTTAGCAGGCCTGGCAACAGCCTTCATCTCCTTGTATATCTCCATCAGAGCTGTTGGATGACCAGGTGCATTGTCTTTTTTTCTGAGTAGTAGGTTTCAACAGTGGGTTTAGACTATTTATTATGTTGGTGCAAAAGTAATTGTGGTTTGTGTCATTACTCAATGGCAAAAACCAGAATAATTTTTGCACCAACCTAAATAGTAATACATGCTATAAAATGATGTGCTGGCATCCAGGCTTTGTTCCATTTATAGAGCACAGGCAAAGTAGATTTAGCGTAATATTATACTTAAGAACCTTAGGATTTTCAGAATGGTCGATGAGCATTGGTTTGAATTTAAAGTCACCAGCTGCATTAGCTCCTAACAAAAGATTCATCCTGTCCTTTGAAGCTGGTTTTGACATCTCCTCTCTAGCTATGAAAGTCCTAGATGGCATTTTCTTCTAATATAAGGTGGTTTCATCTACATTGAAAATCTTTTGTTAGTGTAGCCACCTTTATCAATGATCTTAGCTTGAACTTCTGGATAACTTGTTGCAGCTTCTGCACCAGGATTTGCAGCTTCACCTTGCACTTTTTTATGTTATGGAGATGGCATTTTCCCTTAAACCTCATGAACCAACCTCTGCTAGTTTCAAACTCTCCTGCAGCTTCCTCACCTCTCTCAGCCTTCATAGAATTGAAGAGAGTCAGGGCCTTGATGTGGATCAGGCTTTTGTGTAAGGGAATGTTGTGGCTGGTTTGATCTGTCCAGACCACTAAAACTTTCATGTATCAGCAATCAGGCTGTTTCACTTTATTATCATTCATGTGTTACTGAAGTAGTACTTTTCTTTTTCTTCAAGAACATTTCCTTTGGATTCGCAGTTGGGCTGTTTGGTACAAGAAGACTAACTTTGAGCCTATCTTGACTTTCAATATGCCTTCGTCACTGCTAAGCTTAATTATGTTTAGCTTTTGATTTAAAGACATGCAACTCCTCCTTTCAGTTGAATACTCAGAGGCCATTGTAGGGTGAATTATGGGCTTAATGTCAATATTATTGTGTCTCAAGGAATAAGGAGGCCCAAGGAAGAGAAAGATGGGAGAATGGCTGGTTGGTGGAACAGTCAGAACACACACACATTTATTGACGAAGTTTGCCATCTTATATGGGCATGGTTTATGGCACCCCAAAACAATTACAACAGCAACATCAAAGATCATTGATCACTGATCATCATAACAGATATAATAATAATTTAAAGAGTTTGAAATATTGCAAAAAATTCCCAAAATGTGACACAGAGACAGGAAATGACTTGCTCTATCCAGGGTTGTCATATACTTTCAATTTGTTTTTTTTTTTTTTTTTTTTTTTTTTTTTAAAGCAGTATCTTTGAAGTGCAATAAAACAAACTATGCCCATACAAATCAACAGTTTCTGAGAAATTTTTGCATGTTTATTTAACTTTAATTGGCATCTTTACCCTCCTCCTGGACAATACAAGATTGTATATTGTTTTGACTTTAATCATTCCCCTCCTTGTTTATATGGTTTTTATTGTTGTGTATTTTACTTTAAACATGTAAGATATTATTGATTTTTTTATATAACCAATGCTTGTTTAGATTTATCTGTGTATTTTCTATTTTCTTTGTTCTTTGTTTTTTATTTTTTTGAGATGAAGTCTCGCTCTGTCGCCCAAGCTGGAGTACAGTGGGGCTATCTCGGCTCACTGCAACCTCCGCCTCCTGGTTCAAACAATTCTCCTGCCTCAGCTTCCTGAGTAGCTGGGATTACAGGTGCATGCCACCACGCCCAGCTAATTTCTGTATTTTCGGTAGAGACAAGGTTTTGCCATATTGGCCAGGCAGGTCTCAAACTCCTGCCCTCAAGTGATCTGGCCGCCTTGGCCTCCCAAAGTGCTGGGATTACAAGTGTGAGCCACTGTGCCTGGCCATTTTCTTTGTTCTTTATGTCTTCTTGCATCTCAGAGTTTTTTCATCTGGGCTAATCTTCTTGCTTGAATAATATTCTTTGTTAGTGGCAAATATCTTAGTTTTGTTTATCTGAAGATGTCCTTATTCTAACCTCATATTGGAGATGTCATTTTGTTGTCTTCTGGCTTCCTATATTGCTGTTGAAGTCCCTTTCCATTATAATTAATATTTTTGTGTCTTGTTTTCTAGTTTAGCAATGATATATGTCTAGCAGTGGAGTTTTCTTCTTATATATCTTGGTTAGGACCAGCTTTTTGAATCTGAGGACTTAGAACTTCTTTTTTTTTTGGAGCTTTGATTACACATATGTCTGACATTCTCTTTTTGTCCTTTACAGTTTTAAACCATTTTTTTTGTGTGTTTTCAATCTGTTTCTCTCTGATATATTCAATAACTTCTTCAAGTCTTTCTTCCAGTTTACTAGTTCTCTCTTCAGCTGTGTCTAATTGCTTTTAAAACCATCCATTTATGGCCAGGCACAGTGGCACACACCAGTAACCTAGCACTTTGGGAGGCCAATGTGAAAGGATTGCTTGAGGCCAGGAATTCAAGATCAGTCTGGGCAAATAGTGAGACCCTGTCTCTACAAAAATGAAAACAAACAAAAAACCCATTGATTTAGTGTTTAATTTTAATTATTTTTAATAAGTTTCTTGAGATATTCACAAACCATACAATTTGCCCATTAATAAAAGATATAATTAATGGTTTTGGTATATTATTTAAATTGTGGAGTAATATGTGTATATATAAAACAAAATTTGCCATTTTAAATATTTTTAAGTGTAAATTTAGTGGTATTAATTATGTTTAACACTGTTGTGCAGCCATCACCACTATCTGTTATTAAAATCTTTTCAACACCTCAAATAAAAACTTTGTAATCATTAACAATAATTTCCCATTTTCCCTTCCTTCCTAACCTCTGGTATCCTCTATCCTATTTTCTGTCTCTATGAATTTGCCTATTCTAGTTTCCTCATATAAGTGGAATCATATATTATTTGTCCTTTTCTGTCTGGTTTATTTCACTTACCCTAATGTTTTCAAGCTTTATTCATGTTGTAGTATGTACAGAACTTCATTCCTCTTTATGGCTGAATATTTATCCATTAGATGTATATACTGCATGTTGTTTATCCATTCATCTGTTGATGGACAATTTGGTTATCTCCACTTTTCAGCAATTGTGAATAATGCTGCAATCAACAATGTCATTCATTGTTGGTATATGTTTGCATTTCTGCTTTCAATTCCTTTGGGTATATACCTAGGAATGGCATTGCTGGATCATATGGTAATTCTATTTTTTAGCTTTTTGAGTAACTGCCAAGCTGTTTTCCATAACAGCTGCACCATTTTATATAGCCACCAGCAATGTGTAAGGTTCCAGTTTCTCTACATTCTTGTCAGTGGATACTGTTGTCTGTCTCTTTTATTATAGCCATTCTAGTGGGGATGAAGTGACATATCATTGTTATTTTGATTTGCCTTTCTCTAATGCCTAATTATATTGAGCATCTTTTAGTGTGCTTCTTGTATATTTTCTGTGGAGAAATACCTATCCAGTGACTGGGTCGTTTAAAAAATTACCAGGTTATAAGGGTCCTTTATATATTCTAGATACAAACCTGTTATCAGATATGTGACTTGCAAGTACTTTCTCCCACTTTGTAGGTTAACTTTTCTCTTTCTTGATTGTGTCACCTGAAACAGAAGTTTTCATTTCAGTGAAGTCCTATTTATCTAATATTTCTTTTGTTGTTTGTTCTTTAGTATGGTACCTAAGAAACCATTGCCCATCCTAAAGTTACAATGATTTATTTCTGTGTTTTCTTCTAAGTTTGTTTGTTTGTTTGTTTATTAGGTTTTAGCTCTTACATTTGGGTCTATAATCCATTCCTTTTTTATTCCTCTTTTTTTTTTTTTTTTTTTTTTTTTGGAGACAGGTTCTCACTTGGTCACCCAGGCTGGAATACAGTGGCATGAACTTAGCTCACTGCAACCTCAACTTCCCAGGCTCAAACAATCTTCCCACCTCCGCTTTGCAAGTAGCTGG